>NC_000016.10:88304513-88945790 GCF_000001405.40 Homo sapiens | reverse complement strand
GTGGTAAAAGTGTGTAGTTTCATAAGAAACAGTCAAACTGTCTTCCAAAGGGCTGTACCATTTTGCATTCCCGTCGGCAATGAATGACAGCTCCTGTTGCCTCACATCCTCACCGGCATCTGGGGTTGTCCGTGTGTTGAGTTTTAGTTATTCTAACAGGCGTGTCGTGGCCTCTCGTGGCTGTGCTGACCCACTCTCTAGTGGCAAGGCTGCTGGGCATCGTTTCCTGTGCTTATTTGCCAGATCATCTTCTAGATCTCTTCTCTGATGAGGTGTCTATTCAGATCTTTTGCTCATTTTTAATGGGGCTGTTTGTTTTCTTATGGTTTGGTTTTAAGAGTTCTTTGTATATTTTAGATAACAGTTGTTCATCAGATATGTGTTTCCCAAATATTTTCTCCCAGTCTATGGCCTGTCTTTTCATTCTCTTCATAGTGTCTTTTGCAGAGCCGAAGTATGAAATTTTAATGAAATCCAACCTGCCAAATTTTTATTGTATGCATCATGCTTTTGGTGTTATATTTAAAAACTCACTGTTCTAGGTAGGGAGCTGAGTGAAAATGCAGGTGTTTAAGACGAGTTTATTCAGATATTTTTAATGAACGACAGTGGCTATCAAATTGCTATGGTATCTAGAATCCATTAGCCACCCGCTTATTTTTAAATATCTATACCTATAGTGTATCAGACTTTCTATTCTTGGCAGCTATCTAAACTTTTGTTGCAGAGTTTTAGTTATAACAGAAAATGTTTGAGAGTCTATAGTGCTCAGAACTATTTTCTGAAGGTCAGCAACAGTGATGGCCTGGCCTCCCGCTGGACCACGCTGGCCTGGCAGGACTCCAGCTCTGCCAAAGACCAGCCTGTGTTCTGAGATTACTCAAGCTTTCTGGGTCCCGGTGTTCTCCTCTGGCAAACAAGGCTGGTGGCAAGACCTACCTCCTAGGGTCACGGAGGGCACATGAGAGGGCCTAGCGCCTGCCCTTTGGCCAGGGCCCCACAGACAGCGAGTCTTACCTGGTATCAGAAGAAGGGGCCATGACTGCGGGGAGGTGACAGTGCAGGGACGCCTGTGGCAAGTGTTTATAAACTGCGTCTTTATCCAAACCTTGAGCTGGGCACTGTTGGGTGGTTGAGAGGGAAATCAGATGTGGGTGCTGCCCTTTGGGGAGGGGGATCAGGATGGCCAGAAGTGCAGTTGGCAGGACAGAAGGCTGCAGTTGTTTTCCTGAGGGCAGCAGGGTGGGGCCTCAGAGGCACACCCAGCACAGGTCAGCAAAGCTGGGGCTGCCCCGCTGTGCGCCGCGGGCCCTAGAGCCAGGCACGGTCTCCCAGGGCTTCCATGGGTGTGTGATCGGGGCACCAGATGCTGATGGGGAGTCAACTTTACTTGGAAACGCTGCCATGCCATGAGGAGGGGAGGTGGTTTCCTTTTTTTTTTTTTTTTTTTTTTTGAGATGGAGTCTCGCTCTGTCACCCAGGCTGGAGTGCAGTGGCGTGATCTCGGCTCACTGCAAGCTCTGCCTCCCGGGTTCAGGCCATTCTCCTGCCTCAGCCTCCCGAGTAGCTGGGACTACAGGCACCTGCAACCACGCCCGGCTAATTTTTTGTATTTTTAGTAGAGACAGGGTTTCACTGTGTTAGCCAGGACGGTCTTGATCTCCTGACCTCATGATCCGCCGGCCTCGGCCTCCCAAAGTGCTGGGACTACAGGCGTGACCCACCGCACCCGGCCGTGGTGGTTTCTTTTAAGTGAATTGAGCTCCTGCCTCTACAGACAGCGACACACTGGGAGCTCCATGGGCACACCCTCGAGCTCCCTCCTCCACGGCTCTGCCCCCTCCCGAGCCCTGAGTGTGGCCCTCCGAGGTCCTGCTCGCCCGTGGTCTGTCTCCCGCACAGGTGACGCTGGCCTTGTCGGACAGACTGCAGACATCTTTCACATAGGGCTGGTAGTCTCCTCCTTAAATGTCCCCTCGAAATGCCCAGGAGCTGTGACTTGGCCGCATCCAGGGCAAGAAACCAGTTCTTGGATAAGGCAGCAGGAAGTCGGTGTGGCTGAGAGGCTCAGCCTCTCCACCTGTAAAATGGGCGTTCCGGGAGCATCCGCACAGCACGGGGGGAAATGCAGAGACGGTGCCCAGCTCTGTGCCAGCTACTGCCAGGACCATCTGACCACCCTGTGACCGCTGGGCTAGGCGTCAGGCTGACCCACTCACAGCACTAAAGGAAGCCCTCCTGCCTGCGATATCCCTTTCTTCTCTACCACGCCACCACAGCTCTCCTGAGTAGGGAGGAGGGGCTGCGGTGGGGCAGGTGCAGCGCCTGGGTTGTGGTGTCTGATGGCTGCAGTGGTATCTTCAGTGCCTTCAGGTCTGTCACTCCTCAAATGGTTGTGAGCACCCTGTGTAAGTCAGAGATGTTGCAACTGGTCACTTAACACCCGAAGCCTGCGGTCCAGAGAACCGAGACCACGGACGTGCCGCTGGTGCTGGGTGAGGGCTTCCGGCCCAGGTCCAGGCCAGCTTCTGCTCCCAGGCCCTGTGGGCAGCCACAGCTGCCGCAGGCATTGTTTAGCTCACAACCCGACTGACTTCAGGGTGGTTCGCTGCTGAATTCTCCCACCTGCCCCCACTCCCACGTTTATGTTGCTTTGTAAAATCTCTGAAACCTGGGGGCGTTTTAGGATTATCACCGGCAGAATGTTTTCCTTTCTTAGTGGCACACAAAATAATGGTGCATCTTAAAATCCACTGTGCCTCAGAGTCCATGAAGCCAGGGAGCCAGGATGGATAAATTTCGAGCATAAAATCGGTAACCTTAGGCAACACACCCACCGCATGGGGACTCGCACTGTACTGTGGGGTGGGCTCAGAACTCCCCCTCCATTCCACAAGGACTGGGCTGAGCCACATGGGCAAGCACCATGTTACGCACAGTCTGAAAACCTCCATTCCACAAGGACTGGGCTGAGCCACATGGGCAAGCACCATGTTACGCACAGTCTGAAAACCAGGAGAATGAAGGTGCTTGGCGTTTGTGTCACAATTTTCACGGAGTCTGGCTGGCTTCAGACAGCACTTCCCACAGCCAGGAGCTGGAGGAACTGGCTGGGCCACACTGCGGTTAGTGACCCAGCTGACCAGACCGCTGCCCAGGGGCTGCAGGAGGACATGGTGCTGTCCTCCCCCTCACGGAGCCCCCGTTCTGGGTTTCCGTCCCCTTCCTCTGCCAGCTCAGGTGGGTAGAGCCAAGTCCATGAGAGGGACGAGGGGTGGGGGGAAAAGGCCCGCGGCACAAAGCTGGAATGGGCCATGTTTCGCACGTTGCCATATTTTTATATTGGGGATTGGGGACCTCGGACCTTCACATGCAAAATTTATGCGAAATGAGAGGCAAACCAAGGCCCTGCTGCTCTGAAGGTCTGGCCTCTTGTGTCTCCTAATGGTGACCCCTGGGCCCCCCAGCCGCTTGTGTCTAAAGTAAGAGCACGTGTGCGTTGGGGCAGGAAACAGGGAAAAGGCGCCAATTTTACTAAAATGTACTAAGCAGGCAAATGCGCCAGACACGCCACAAAGTACTTTAGGGAAAGGCAAAGCGGGCGGGGGAGGGGGCCTGCCGGCAGAGAAAGTGCGGAGAGGGCAGAGCAGCGGCTCGGGGCGTTTCTGCAGGTGGACATGAAACGCACGATATGCAAATGAATGCAAAGTGTATGCAAATGACCTGGCCCCGGGACCCGCGGGAAGCGAGGGCTTCGCATCGGACCCGCCCGGGAGGCTGAGCGGGGGGAGCGCGACCCCTGCCGGCCACGCACGGAGGTGGCCCCGGGCCGGGCCAGGCGCCGCGCTGGGGGCGAGCGCGGGGCAGGGGGCGGGGGCGGCGGCCGAAGGAGCGACCTCCCCCCCAACTCCCCACCTCCCCACCCCCCCCACACCCCCCAACTCCCGTTCAGCCTCCCGCGCGGCCGCCAGAAGCCGCGGTTCTAAAGCTGCGAGGCCCGCGGCCGCCGACTGCTGCGAGGTGGGTGTGCGCGGCCTGCGGAGGGGGAGAGGGTGGGCGCAGGCGGGGGCCGCCCCCCAGAGCCGCGCCCCCTCCACGGCGCCCGCACCCCTCAACCTCTTCGCTCGCCCCCGCCTGCGCCTCCCCGCGCCGCCCCCCGCAGGAGGCGGCGCGCCCGTCGCCCCCTCCCCGCGCCCCTCTCCCCTCTCCCTGCTCCCGGCGCTCCGCACAGCCCCGGCCCCCACGGCCAGTTCTTAGGGCGCCGCCCCGGTGGCGGAGGCGTTGGGGGCGGCTCTCGGCGGCGGGGAGCCCCTCTCCAGGCCGGCGCCCCGGGGCGGAGCTGAGCGCCATGGGCGCCGGGCGGGAGGCAGGTGGCGCAGCGGCGGCGGCGGGGGGCAGGAGGCGGAGGCGGAGCGCGCGGGGCGGGGGCCGCGGGGCCCCGTGAGACTCTCGGGCGAGCGCGCGGCGTTGGAGCCACAGGCGCGGCGGCTGGACCCGGCGCGGGCCGCGGAGGCCGGAGACCGCCCCGGGCGGGGTGCGCGCTTTGTTCCCGCGCGGGGTGGCCGGAGCCGAGTCCCCGGCATGGCCCAGGCGGCCGCCCCGCGCGCCCCAGCCCCGCCGCGCGCCTGAGCCCGGTGCGGCGCCAGAAGACAGCGCGCAGCCGCCCCTGAGTCGTGGAGGCGGGGACCAAGCTGGAAGGAGCAGCGACTCCCGGACCGAGTCGCGAGTGTGCGCCGTCCGCCGCCCGCCGGATCCCCCGGACCCCCCGACCGTAAGTGCCGTGTCCGCCCCGCGCGCCGCCGCCGCTCTACCCCGACTCCGCCCGCGGCTGCCGTTCCCGGATCTGCGCCGCAGCCGCGCCGAGCGCACGGGCCGTTTTCAAAGTTGGTGCCCACGGCAGGGTGGAGCCAACCCGCCCAGCGCCCACCCATCCGGGCTGAGCGCAGCCCCCCGTGAGCAGAGCCTGACCTGCGGGGGCTGCGGCGAAACTTCGAGGGGAACGACGCGCCCGGGCGCTGGGAGTCTCGCGGGCTCCCCTGGGGCCGCCCGGTTTTCCTAACAAAGGCCCCGCGGCCCGCGTGACGGAGACCCGGGAGTGGGGAGGCCGAGGGCGGCCCTGGGAGAGGCAGAGGTGGCGGCGGCCGGTCTGGGGAGGGGGGTCCAGAGCTCCCTCCTGCTCCTCTCCCTCCTGCCCGGGTCCCCGGCGCTGCCCCGCAGGCTAAAGGTGGTCCGCGCTGGGGGTCCTGGACCCTGCCTGGCATGCGGTCCCTGGGGTCCTGACGGCCGCGGGCCTCGGCACAGCCGGGTGGCAGCGATGGCGCGCACAGCCTTTGGGAAGCGTCCATCTGTGTTGGGCAGGCCCCGAGCCAGGCTGTGGGAACAGCGGGGAGGGAGGTGTGAGCCTCTGTGGAGGGACAGATGGCTGGAAACGCAGCCCTAGACGGCTGACTTCACTTACGTGGAGCAGAAGGCGGCCAGGCTGGTGGCGGCGACTCAGAGCCGCTGGGCTCCGAACACACTGCGGGGCTGGCGCTCCCCCGCCCCTGCGTCCGCCCGTGTGTGCTGGGGCCGCGGCCGGGCTGTGCCCACCCCTCATTCACCCTGTGGGCTGAGGCCGGCTGACTTCAGGCCCATTCCAGGGCCCAGGAAGAAAAACCTTTCCCTTGAAAAGAGAGCACGTCGCGTGCTCCTGTGGGTGGGGGCTTGTCGGTAGCTGTCAGGCTTGTGGCCCCAGCCAGGGTGCGGCTTCTGTGCGTCCGGCCCGGGTGTGCGTTTCCTCTCCTGGACGAGGAACAGGAGGTTCCCAGGGCAGCCACCTCGGCGGACGGGTCGGCCGGGGATAAGGGGCGGGGGCCGGTTTTTCGGTACCTGGCATTGCCCTTCAAGTTTCTGAGAGGTTGGGGAAACTTCTTGAGGCTGGGACTCCACTGTGTCCCCCAGACCTGAAGGGGCGAGGGCTGGGCCTGAGCGCGTCCGACCCTCACCTGCCCCTGGCATCGCTTTCGCGGCAGGGGAGGAGGCAGGAAGGCCCAGCCCACAGTTCCTGGGCACGTTCTTCCGTGGAGGGCTGGCTCTGTGTGCCTCTGGGGTCGGGCTGTGTCCTTTGCCCCCGCTCCAGTCTGGGCGTTGGGAGTCAGATACTTCCACAGGGGCCAGACAGGCGGATGCTGTGCAAGCCGGAGCTGCCGGGAGGGTCCTGTTCTGTGCGGCCGACAGCACCGTGCCTGGAAAAGCCATGCTATTTGGGACCGTCCTGCTGGGCAAGCGGCCACTCTTCCACACTGAAAGGGAAACAGAAAGGAAGAAGCGCCCAGAGCAGGAGGAACAGATGTGGCCTCCACCCGAGATTGGGGCTCAGGGAGGGAAGAGAGTGTCGCATCAGGATCAGTCTTCCGGCAGGCTCCATCTCTCCTGGGATGTGCTGGGATCCTCTAGTGACAGGGGAGAAGGGAAGTTCACATGAGTGGTTCGTGGTGCTGGGGCCGTGCTGTCACCACCTGTGAAGCCAGGGCTGGTGAGTGGGAGGGCTTTCCCCAGACATCGCCTTCCAGAACCCTCTGGGGCTACGAAGCCACACACCAGCCGCCCGAGCCCCCCTGAGCTCTTCCCCTGCCGCCCGCTATCTGCGTAATTCAGTTACCACCTCCAGGAAATCTCTCTGGTTTGGCTCCACGTATTTTCATTTCTGCATGACTGGAAGAAATTAATTTTTCTCCCTACGCGAGGATCTGGAGATGCTGCCAGCAGGCTGGGTCACTAATCCCCAAGATCCCAGCCCTCAGGGCTGCAGTGGGGAGGGCCGGGCCTCGCCGCTGCCGCCTCTGGGGTGGCAGGGAGGGTGTGAGGTGGGTGAGGCATTTCCCTGCCAGCTTCTGGAACCATCTTGGGGCTCTCCGCTGGCCTCCCCCCTTCCCTGCTGCACCGTTAGCAGGTTGACTTTGGGGTTTTCTGATTCATCCTCAGCCTCCCACAGTGCCAGGGTGGAAGGATGGTGCTTGAATTAAGTGGCTCTGAATTTCCTTCCCTGGCAGGGAGGAACCAGAAGCAACTTCAGCGTGCCCCAGTGCCGTGTGTGCCACGCGGGTGTTCAGACCCAGCATGGAGGGACTAGCAGGGCCTTGTTATTGGTGCCACAGGTGAAGGCGCTGGCGTCTCCATGGGGCTGCTCTCCCGGCCCGCACTTGCTGCACTGCCTGCCTGTGGCCTGTGTCTCCTGCTCACAGGGTCGTGGAGCCTTCCTGGGTGGGTCTTAGAGCCTACAACAGCGCTGGGGCTTACACGCACTGTCGCGTCCCTGTAACACCCACGAGGGCCGTGGAGCGTTCCCCGTCTCCGACGCCGGGAGAGGTACAGTCACTCCACAGGTCATGCAGGGAGCCAGTCTGACGGCGGGCCGCAGCGAGTGTCTCCAGGCCCCTGTCCAGCCCCGCCCAGTCCCTGTCCAGCCCTGCCCGGGCGTTCCTTTGCCTGTGCTGTCGGTCCCCATCCCCAGCCTGCCGGGCCACATTCTTAGAGCACCTGAGCACCCCCAAGGGACTGGGGGATCTGGTGGCTGAGGGCTCGGTCATGACTCGGGGTTAGCACTGTAGGTGCAAAAGCCCTCACCTGGATACAGGCCCTGGGGCCCATCTGGGGTCAGGGCACGGGTGGGAGAACTTGACCTCTGCCCTGCCTGGGTCATGGAGCCCCAAGGCCAGCCTCATCCCGGCTGCTCTAGGTCTGCACCTCTGGCCAGCCCCACCTCTGCTTCCTGCCCTGCTGTGCAGGGGAGGGAGGTCGTTGTTGCTAAAGACCCTCCAGAAGCCACTGGAACATTGCCCGGCTATTATCACAGACATGGCATCCAGTGTTCATAGAAATCCACGTCCAGGCAACCGATGTCACCTCCCAGGCTGGCCCCAGGCCCCTGGGGACGGAAAGGACCTAAACTCTACAATTTGTCAATGCCGGAGGGTGGCTTTGCCACCACTTCACTTACAGGACAAAAAGTGCCTGTCCTCCAGTGCTCATTCCCTGGGCAAGTATTGATCGAACACCTACTCCATACCAGGCGGGGGCAGAGTCACATGCAGTGAGAGGCACCCAGGCCCTGCATTGGATCCTCACGGCAGCCAGCCCTGAGGGCACCGCTGCTGCCCCACTTTCCAGACCGGGAAGCCGAGGCCCACAGAAGTTCCTAGCTCACAGCGCAGGAGCCCGACGCGGGTGGGTACCACGGGGCTCTGTCTGTGACACATCCAGGGTGGTCAGGCCCCTGGAACTTCCCACTGAGTTCTGACACGGGAGGGCCAGCGTGGGGACGGCAGGGAGTGGGCCGGGAGTGTGCAGAGTCCAGTGCACACTGTGGGCTGGGACCCGCTGCCTCGCAGGGGCAGGAGAGGGGTGGAAACACAACTGCTGGGGTACTGGCTAGGGAGGTGCAGGCCGCTTGAGGGCAGCTCAGAGGGAGGCTCACGACAGCGTCACCATCCCTGGTGTCAGGGCCAGGTTGGGTGGACACCACGCTGTTCGTCCACCTCGTGGCTCAGTCTCTCTGGGAAAGCCTGCGTCAGTGAACGACACCCCAGATCCTTTCCTGGGGGTTTTATTCTCCACCTCCTGACTTTCCTGGGCAGAGTGAGAAGGCCTGGTTCTGCTTCTGCGCTTCCGTAGGCCGGGACCTTCCTTTCAGCGGAGCCCAGGCCGTGCTGCGGGAAACAGCCCACCGGGCAGGCCTGGGAGGGCCGCCTTAGCCGAGAGCAAATGCAGGCAAGGGCTTTGCTTGTCTGGAAAAAAAATTCCTGGAGTGGAAACCGCCCTTGTAGCATCAGTGGAAAAGACTCAGGCGGAGACCTGGCAGTTGGGCTGGAAACTGACGATGAGGAGAGTGAGAGATAACTGCTCCCCAGTCCCCACTTCTGAGCTCGCAGCTTGCCCCGAGGGTGGGAGCTGGGGACTCAGGACCCGCCGGGATCCGGCTTTCCGCCTGTGCTGTGGCAATGAGTTTCCTGTGGCAATAAAACAGAAGTTCAGACTTCTGCTTTTTGTAATTCGTGGGACCTCACTGAGAGCCAGATGTCACTGGGAAGGAAAACAAAGATGAATTTGGCCGTAATAAGGAAGATGTCTCCCGGAGCCAAGGCACCAGCAGCCCAGCCGGCAGCTCACCCCGCACTGCTGTCGGCCGCCTGCCTCTGCGTTTCCCGCCCGCTTAGCCACCCAGGGCCGGTTCTGCCCCGTCGGGTCTGGGCAGCTCAGAGCCTCCTCGGCTGCCCCTGAGGCTGAGGTCGTGGTGGATACTCGGCTGCCCCTGAGGCTGGGGTCGTGGTGGATACTCGGCTGCCCCTGAGGCTGGGGTCGTGGTGGATACTCGGCTGCCCCTGAGGCTGGGGTCGTGGTGGATGCTTGGCTGCCCCTGAGGCTGGGGTCATGGTGGACGTGGCAGGAGGAGGTTTGGGGAGGAAGTCCAGGCACCGGGGCAGTCTTCTGTTTACTCAGCAGAGGAAAGTCCACACCGGGGAGGCAGCAGGTGGGACCTGCCGGAGACCAGGATGGGAGATACCTGGGAGACGCCCAGGAAATGCCCGGGGCAGTCAGGAGGGCTCCTGCGCACCCTGGTGGCCCCAGGTCACACATGGAACTCATGAGGAAGTCCCCGCCCAGTGTACCCGACCTCCCTGAGTACCCGGGAAAGCCAGGGTGCCATCAAGCCAGCAGGGGAAGCAGCTCCAGCTGCAGTGAGACCCTCTTACAGGTGGGGAGGGGCTCCCCACGAGGGCCAGGGGTGACTGCAGCCCCCTGCCCTGTTCCCGGAGGCAGCGGGGAGGGGGATGGGCAGCCCCTCGGTTTCTTGGAGCCCCCACCTGGATTCGACTCCCCTCCCAGCAGCTGCGTGACCTACACCACATATTCCCATCTGTCCCTCGGGTCTCAAACGCAAAATGCAGTCACAAAGGCATTTACCCCTTCGGGCTGTGATGAGCTGGGATGTGTGTGTCTGGACTGGGACCATCAGCCTCGTCCCTTTTCTGGGGGGACACCCGGTGGTGTCCTGAGGCTCAGTGGTGGATGCGGCATGATGCAGCTCTGCACCCAGGCCCCCTTCTCTGCAGGCCCCCGAACAGAAGTTCATTGTCTGCACCTTTGCAAAATGGGGTGGTCCAGAGAGACCACCTCGATGGTCAGACTCTGGCACAGCCCAGACCCCAGGCCCTGTGCCTGCTCCACCCACGCGAGGACAGCCTGCAAGCTTGGGGCCAAGCCCTGGGCCCCCGGGTGCACCACGCCACCTGCAGACCCATTTACAGAGGGGAAACTGAGGGTAAGATCAGTTGTACTCTAGTTACTCCCTGTCAGAGGCAGAATTCCCACTTGGGAGCCGAGGCCACCTGACTTGGGCCCTCCAGAGCCTAGGTATTTCTGCACCACCAGGGTCCCCACGCAGGTGGTGGGGGGCTCTCACCAGGCCTGGGGATTGCCGGGCCCCTCCCCTTGCCTTGGCCACCACACCAGGGCTCCACAGCCTAGTCCAGCCCAGCCTGTACTCAGAGCGCAGTGGACATGGGGCCCTTCCATGCAGCCTCTCCTGCGCCAGAGACATCAGAACCCAGGACTGCCCCTGACCGGGGGCAGCGTTGGGTCTCTGGGCCGTGGCTGTGCCCAAGTGGACAGAACAGGGGCCTTGGGTGCTGGACTCCACGTATCCCTGTGCCTGATGGAGGCTTGCAGCTCCACCACGTGGCCTTCAGCTCCCTTAAAGAATGCGTCCTTCTGGCCAGGCACGGTGGCTTACGCCTGTAATCCCAGCACTTTGGGAGGCCAAGGCGGGTGGATCACGAGGTCAGGAGATCGAGACCATCCTGGCTAACACGGTGAAACCCCGTCTCTACTAAAAAATACAAAAAATTAGCCGGGCGTGGTGGCGGGCGCCTGTAGTCCCAGCTACTGGGGAGGCTGAGGCAGGAGAATAGCGTGAACCCGGGAGGCAGAGCTTGCAGTGAGCCGAGATCGCGCCACTGCACTCCAGCCTGGGCGACAGAGCGAGACTCCGTCTCCGAGAAAAAAAGAATGCGTCCTTCTGAACTTCGGGGGTGGAAGAGGGCAGGGCACGGCCCTTCGTGCCTCTTTCGTGGCATCTCTGCCTCCTTTACCAGGCCCTGCCAACAGCAAGAATAGGCAGGCAGCGAGGCCAGACTCCTCTCCGCTCCTCTGGGCCTCCGTGTCCCCATCTGTCCCTTGCGGGGGTTGGTCAGCACCACACACTGTGCACAGGGAAGATGGAGCCTCGCCTGTCGCCCCCCGATGGTGCCGGCCGTGCCGGCCAGGTGTGTGGCTGAGACCCTCTCTGTGTGGCCCTGCTGGCTGCTGTGTCCCCACCGTGCCTCTGCGGCCGAGCTGCTCCTTCAGGGTCCAGCACTTTTCATGCCCAGAAGCCCAAAGCATCCAACAGGGGACCTGGGAGCAGAGTGTTCGGGAACGTGCATGGAGCCTCCCCTATGGGCCCAAGTCGGCCCCTCCTGTGACCTGAGCAGCCACTGTGGGGCAGCCCTTCTCGCCCGTGCCTCCATGTGCCGAGGGGCATGGGGCAGCCCTTCTCGCCGGTGCCTCCGTGTGCCGAGGGGCGTGGGGCAGCCCTTCTCGCCGGTGCCTCCGTGTGCCGAGGGGCGGCCTCTCCCAAGGGAGCTTCGGCATGCCAGGGAAGGGGCGTGGATCATTTCAGACTGTCTCGTGGCCACGTTGAAAAAGGGAAGAAGAGACCGGGCAAAATTAATGTTTATAATATATAATCTTACTTAACCCAGTGTGTCCAAAACTCATTATTTTCGACATGCACTGATTTTTAAGCGACTGAGGTATTTTTTTTTCAGCTCTCCCGGGGGCAGCGTGCAGCTTGGCTCACTGGGGTCTCGCCTCTGTCCTCCTCGTGCCGGTCTTGTGCTTGCGGCTGCTGTACTGCACAGAGCAGAGGGACGGGGATTTCACCAAGTCACATACGCGTGGCATGAAGTGGCCACTATGGCTGTGGGGACGCAGACGTGTGGCACTGTGAGGCGTGTGAGGCGTATAGAGGCACGTGACGTGTGCAGAGGCGTGCAGACGTGTGGCACTGTGAGGCGTGTGAGGCGTATAGAGGCACGTGACGTGTGCAGAGGCGTGCAGACGTGTGGCACTGTGAGGCGTGTGAGGCGTATAGAGGCACGTGACGTGTGCAGAGGCGTGCAGACGTGTGGCACTGTGAGGCGTGTGAGGCGTATAGAGGCACGTGACGTGTGCAGAGGCGTGCAGACGTGTGGCACTGTGAGGCGTGTGAGGCGTATAGAGGCACGTGACGTGTGCAGAGGCGTGCAGACGTGTGGCACTGTGAGGCGTGTGAGGCGTATAGAGGCACGTGACGTGTGCAGAGGCGTGCAGACGTGTGGCACTGTGAGGCGTGTGAGGCGTATAGAGGCACGTGACGTGTGCAGAGGCGTGCAGACGTGTGGCACTGTGAGGCGTGTGAGGCGTATAGAGGCACGTGACGTGTGCAGAGGCGTGCAGACGTGTGGCACTGTGAGGCGTGCAGTCTGGGACCCTGCACTGGGGGAGCGCAAAACAGCCCCCAGGAGTTGACCAGTGAGGCAAACGGGAGGTGCACCAGGCAGGGCCGGGGCCACAGGGCAAAGCCTGTCTGGAAAGGAGAGAAGGCTGGTGACTTGCACACTGAGGGCCTGGCCTGTCTCTGGGCGTGCGGACTTCCATCAGAAGTGACGTCTCCGGGTCCTGGCTCCATGCCGTCACCTCCCTCGAGCTCCCAGGACCTGGCCCAAGAGGCCATTTTTCTTTTCTTTCTTTCTTTTTTTCCCCCAGACACAATCTCACTCTGTCGCCCAGGCTGGAGTGCAGTGGCGCAATCTCAGCTCACAGCAACCTCTGCTTCCCGGGTTCAAGTGATTCTCCTGCGTCAGCCTCCTGAGTAGCTGGGATTACAGCCACACACCACTGCACCCGGCTTTTTTTTTTTTTTTTTTTTTTTTTTTTTTTGTATTTTTAGTAGAGACGGGTTTGCCATGTTGGCCAGGCTGGTCTCGAACTCCTGACCTCAGGTGATCCACCTGCCTCAGCCTCCCAAAGTGCTGGGATGACAGGCGTGAACCACCGCGCCCTGCCTCTTTTTTCCCTTTACTTATAGTCGGGGTCTCCCTCTATCGCTCAGGCTGGAATGCAGTGGTGCGATCATGGCTCACTGCTGCCTTAACCTCCTAGGCTCAAGCGATCCTCCCCCTTCAGCCTACAGAGTAGCTGGGACTATGGGTGTTCACCACTATGCCCAGCTAATTGTTTTTTTAATTTTTAATTTTTTTGGTAGAGATGGGGTCTTGCTACATCGCCCAGGCTGTCTCAAGCTCCTGGGCTCAAACGATCCTCCCACCTCAGCCTCCCAAAGTGCTGGGATTGTAGGCGTGAGCCGCTGCACCCAGCTTAAGAGGCTGTTTTATGGTCATTGAGTCCAGCGCCAGGGCGGCCTCTTTCCTGGAAGTGTGTGCTCTGCCTGTTTTCCGGGATGGGGAAGTGGGGGCCGTGTGAGGGGGAAGCGGGGGCCATGTGAGGGGGAAGCGGGGGCCGTGTGAGGGGGAAGCGGGGGCCGTGTGAGGGGGAAGCAGGGGCCGTGTGAGGGGCCACCTGGCAGGCTGTCTTCCCGACGACAGCAGCCCCAAGGTCACTGCGTCGGGTGCCGTTGCCAGGGGCGCACGTGCAGGTGCATGTGTGTAAAGTCTGAGTGTGTGATGGTGTGCACACGTGTGCATGCGTGTGGGGTACCACGGTGTGAAAACCGGGCCAGGAGGAAGCATGACCTATGACCTGGCTGTCCAGACTCACAGGGGATCCCCACAGCCAGCCTCAGAGAATGTTCCACAAATGATAAGTGCCCCGGCGAAGTGCTTACCCTCCCCAAACCCTCCTCCCCATCCCCTCTGCACTGTGACCCCTTGAGAGCTTTTATAAAGCGTGAGCCGTGACACCAGGGCTCACTGGGGACCACAGCACCTGCATCCAACCAAACCTGCCCAGACCCAGGGACCATGCTGCCCCAGGACTGGGGTGACCAGAGGGACAAGCAGAGGCCTGAGCTGCAGGCCAGTGCCCCCAGCACCTGCTCACTCTGCACCATGGGGCCAGCCCACGGCCCTTCTCCACCTCTGGCTCGTCCACGGGGCCGGCCCACGGCCCTTCTCCACCTCTGGCTCATCCACGGGGCCGGCCCACGGCCCTTCTCCACCTCTGGCTCGTCCACGGGGCCGGCCCACGGCCCTTCTCCACCTCTGGCTCGTCCTTGGCACATGAAGGGGCTTCTGCCGAGGAGACCTTCGGGTTGGAAAGGTCACTTGTCACTTGCCACAGACCGGTCCTTGTGAGCGCTTCCCACCCTTAAGGGTGTGCTTGTGTCTCTGGAAGGGGGTTGTTTGCAGCAAGAAGGTCGCTCAGCTCCCACTCACTCCAGCCAGCAGCCTTCTGGGCCTGGCCTCCACCCTCCTGGTTTCCAGCACAGCCAGGCTCACAGAGCCAGGGCTGGAGTCACAGCAGTGCCTCCGCTACCTGCCTGCAAGTTGGCCCCAGTTGACAGGAGCAGGGCCCCTGGGAGGGAGGCTGAGCCCCTCTCACATTTAAGGTGCCCAAACTCAGGGAAGAGGCAGCCTGGCTCCACTCATCACTCCTGGGCTGTTAGCAACGTGGATGGGTCCCTGGCAGGGGCAGGTTAATAGGTCATGAGCTGCCTGTCTCAGTCTCCCCGCTGTTTTTTTAATTGTGGGAAAATACACATAACGTTTATCATTTTAAGCATCGTGGAGTTATAGTGTCACTTCAGTAGCACTTAGTGCACTCACAATGCAACGCCACGCCCCCCGCCAGCTCGCTCCCACACGTGCTCATCACCCGGAAAGGAAACCCCACTCCCACTGCCACTCACTCCTCCACCCCCAGCCCACAGTCTGCCCCTCCCCATCTCCTCACTCCTCCACCCCAGCCCCCAGTCTGCCCCCTCCCCCATCTCCTCGCTCCTCCACCCCCAGCCCCCAGTCTGCCCCCTCCCCCATCTCCTCGCTCCTCCACCCCCAGCCCCCAGTCTGCCCCCTCCCCATCTCCTCGCTCCTCCACCCCCAGCCCTCAGTCTGCCCCCGCTCCTGCATCTCTGTGAACTTGCCTGTTCTGGACACCGCGGATGAAGGTGACGGGGCCACGTGTGGCCCTTGTGTCTGGCTTTGTCAGCTCGGGGCCTTCGTGGCTCCCCGCACTGGAGCCTAGTGGGGAGCCTCCTTCCCTGTGGCTGAGCTGCACTGCACTGTGCAGAAAGACCACGTTTTGTGTGTCCGTTGATGGACGCGTGGGTTGTTGCCCCCATTGTTGTTATGGTGGACCATGCAGCTGTGGGCATGGGTAGCTTTTGCGTGGACGATGCAGCTGTGGGCATGGGTAGCTTTTGCGTGGACGATGCAGCTGTGGGTATTGGTAGCTTTTGCGTGGACCATGCAGCTGTGGGTATTGGTAGCTTTTGCGTGGACCACGCAGCTGTGGGCATGGGTAGCTTTTGCGTGGACGATGCAGCTGTGGGTATTGGTGACTTTTGCGTGGATGATGCAGCTGTGGGTATTGGTAGCTTTTGCGTGGACCATGCAGCTGTGGGTATTGGTAGCTTTTACGTGGACCATGCAGCTCTGGGTATTGGTAGCTTTTACGTGGACCATGCAGCTGTGGGT
The DNA here is from genome assembly GCF_000001405.40 of Homo sapiens. Lineage (NCBI taxonomy): Eukaryota > Metazoa > Chordata > Mammalia > Primates > Hominidae > Homo > Homo sapiens. The sequence goes on along the minus strand of NC_000016.10, from coordinate 88,930,077 downwards.
ATTGGTAGCTTTTGCGTGGACGATGCAGCTGTGGGTATTGGTGACTTTTGCGTGGATGATGCAGCTGTGGGTATTGGTAGCTTTTGCGTGGACCATGCGGCTCTGGGTATTGGTAGCTTTTACGTGGACCATGCAGCTGTGGGTATTGGTAGCTTTTGCGTGGACGATGCAGCTGTGGGTATTGGTGACTTTTGCGTGGATGATGCAGCTGTGGGCATGGGTAGCTTTTGCGTGGATGATGCAGCTGTGGGTATTGGTAGCTTTTGTGTGGACCATGCAGCTGTGGGTATTGGTAGCTTTTGCGTGGACCATGCAGCTGTGGGTATTGGTAGCTTTTGCGTGGACCACGCAGCTGTGGGTATTGGTAGTTTTTGCGTGGACCACGCAGCTGTGGGTATTGGTAGTTTTTGCGTGGACCACGCAGCTGTGGGTATTGGTAGTTTTTGCGTGGATGATGCAGATGTGGGTATTGGTGACTTTTGCGTGGGTGATGCAGATGTGGGTATTGGTAGCTTTTGCGTGGACCATGCAGCTGTGGGTATCGGTAGCTTTTGTGTGGATGAATGTCTTCATTTCTCTTGGTTGGATTCCTAGGAGTAGAATCCCTGGCTCACCTGGTAACTCTGGGTTTAATTGTCCACGGGGTTTCAAGGGATAAATTATCAAGAAAAGCCACTGTCCTGGTGGGCAGGGGGCTTGGCCTTGCTGTCACCGGGTCCTCCCGCAGGCCCGTGGGAGCAGCCCTCACCACGCCTCTCACAGGCGATGGTGTGCCGGCCCCGGTGATGGATGCCGTTTGCCTGAGGTCACGGGCTGGTTCAGGGGCGCCCTGGGTTGTTTGCACAGCGGCAGCCAGACTGCCTGCAAGCTGCTGTCCTGTTTGATTCCACAAACAGTTATGGGATCTCTCCAGCACCTGCTCTCTGACCGCGTGACTTGTGCCAGATTCTGTACCTGGTTTCTTTGCTTCTACCCCTGACCCCCATCCCAGGTCTATTTTGCACTCGGCAGCCAGATGGAACCCATTAAAGGCCAGTCACAGCTCTCCAGGAACGGAGCCGAGGTCCTCGTGGGGCCTCCAAGACCACACAAACTCCCCTCCCTTCCACCACCCACTCTGCTCCGCCTTGCTGCTGGCCCACCGTGCCTGGCTGCAGTTCAGGGCCTTTGCGCTGCTGGCCCCAGTGCCTGGAATGCTCCCCCCGACGCCTGCGTGGCTCCCAGCTGCCCTCCTTCAGGCCTTGCTCAGATGGCACCTTTTCAGTGGCCATCCAGTCACCCACCCGTGCCTCTCCCAACCACCACACCTCCCAGCCTCGGTCTCGTACGTTTGCACAGTGTTCCTGGGCTCCCGTCCGAGGTCAGCTCCGTGGGGCAGGACTTTTGCCTGTCTGCACCTGCACCTGACACACGAGGCGCTCAGTACACAGGCACCCTGTCTTGCCTGAGGGACGGTCCCCATACCCCACCTGGCGGGTGACAGCGCCCGGGGTCGCCGGCTGCTTCAGGGACGCCCTCACTGGGTGCTGGAAGAGGGTTGTTTGCACAGCGGCTGGGCTGCCTGCAAGCTGCCGTCGTATTTGATTCCACAAACAAATACATCCCCTGTGTCTGCTTTCCAGCCCTGGGGCTTGATCATGGGTCTCGCCTGTGTGGGGGCAGCTGGACGTGTGGCCACAGAGGCAGCTTGGAGTGACCTGGCGTTGTGACTCCCTCACAGACCGGGCCCGCTCCACCTGGTCATCGGCCCCCAAGGCCAGGGAGTAGGGGAGCGTCCCCGAAACCACAGGATCCCAGAAACGCCCCCAACAAGGACAGCTGTGCCACACGCCGGGCAAGAAGCTGCCCCGGGCCCCAGTGCTGCCGAACAAACCACCCCAAACTCAGAGGCGTGAGGCAACCCTGGTGGTGCTCAGAGACCCTCGGGCCAAGGAGTCGGAACAGAGCCCCGTGGGACAGTGATGGCCCCGTGGTGGCCAGGGTCTCGGCCAGGTGGCCTTCCCTGCTGGGGTTCAAAGGCTCGGCTTGGGGGTGCCAGGGGCTCGGTCAGCAGCGGTGGGTGCCGGGAGCCGCTGCCTGTGGACAGAGGCCTCCGTGAGGCCCTCCCTGCGGCTCCCACTTCAGAGGACGCCCCACACTGGGCAGGGTTGCCCGTGTCAGCATCTGCGGCTTTTCTGAGCTGACCGCAGCGTGTCACGAGGCGCCTTTCCATCGTGGCCCGTGCAGCCCAGCAGGAGGGGACCGGATCCCACCTCCTGAGGGAGCAGGTGGGAAGTCTGGCTGACCTGTCTTCGGGTCAGTGTTGGCTCCCGGGTGTCCGCACGGGCGGACGGCCAGCTGGGCCTCCGGGGCCTGGGGAGGAGGAGGCGGAAGGGGGATCATCCCAGGCAGTGCTGGCTTCCCCGGCTCCCTCTGTGACAGCTGAACCCCCCTACAGCTGCAGCCTAGCCCCAGAGCAGCCCGGAGATTATCACCTGCAGGCTGCATGCCAGGCTGGTACCTGGGTGGCGTGGCCCCCATGGCCAGGGTCGCTGTCTCCCTGGATGCCCAGCTCTGACCTCATGAAGGGTTGCAGGGAGGTCCCTGGAGGAGAACAGGTGGACCCACCTCTTCCCCAGCCCCTCCTCCACCCCGGCAGGATTCAGACACCCAGAAAACAGGCTGGGTCTGGGGTCAGGATCTGGCTCGAGGAGGATCTGGGGCCCCCAGTTTCCAGCTGCCTCTCCCCACAGATGGGGCCCAGCGGCCTCACCTCAGCGGGGGCATCAGTGCTGCCTGGGGAAGTCCATGCACCCGAGGGCAGGGCGGGACCCGGCTTGTCACGTCGACCTGGCCTTGACGCTGACATCTCTGAGCCACGCCTCCATCTGACCCAACTCGTTAGGCGGTGCCCGTTCATTCCCTCGACAAATAGTGATTGGTGCCTGCTGTACGCCCGGGGCTGCTGCTCCGTCTGGCAGAGACAGAGTGAAGGAAGGGAGCAGCGATGATGTTGCCCCACCAAGGGCCGTGGGGGTTGACACTGGCTTCTCTGGTAAAGGGACGTGGAACTTAGCTGCGGGAGGAGGGAAGGACCACGCGTGCCAGGCCCGAGGCAGGAGTGTGCCGCCACCTCCAGGACCAGTGAGGAGCCTTGTCTCAGAGAAAGGAGATGAGGGCAGGGAGGCAGCGGGGGCCGGACGGGGCTGCCCTGCTGCTGCAAGGACCTCGCTGTGAGGTGGGGCACAAGGGACAGGCACGGAAGGCCTTGTGAGCTCCTGGGAGCCCACGGTGCACCGAGGCACCAGCCCAATCCAGAGGAGGAATTCCCAGCAACCCCCACTGTGAACACCTCCGTCCCGTCTTACAGCCGAGGAAACTGAGGCTCAGCAGGCCCCACCCTGGCACGCACGGGACCATGGCCAGCTTGTCCCTTGGGAAGATCCTGCCCTCGGGCCTCCCTGCAGCCATGCAGTGGGGGCAGCGCTCACCCACGCTGTCCTGACACAAAGCTCGTTGGCTGACCCAGGGCCACCTGGTGTGACGCATGACAAACCTCTGTGTCACAGCCCTGAGACTCCGGCCTGGTGACTGGCCCCGAGCAGGAGAGATAGAAAGAGAGGTCGCTCAGCCTCGACCCCTGAAAACCACAGCACAGGGCTGAGCAGACACCGACATTTTGGAGACGAGGCTGGGACAGACGCCCCCCAGCCCATAGCACGCCAGGTCCCTCGGAGCGCTTGGGGGGCCTTCAGTGGTGGATTGAGGAGGTTTGTCCAGCTGGACATTGGAGGAGGAATTTGTCACACCTTTTAGGTGCTGGAACTCCCTGCACGGAACCCAGATTCACTCCTCGCCTCTGGGAACAAGGTTAGGCTCTTGGAGGCGGCAGCCCGGCCCCAGAAGCCAGTTGTACCCCCGGCTGCGGCTCTGCTCTGCCCTCCTGGGAATTCGCTCACTGGCCCCATCACAGTGGGATTAACCCCCTTTCACAGGTGGGGAACGTGAGACCGCCCAGCGCCCACCAAGTGCTCCCTGCACAATTCACGGGGGCCTCCCCCGTCTCACGGAGCTGACCTTCCAGGGGGCAGAAGAGATGGTGCCAGTTCGAGGCTGCAGCCTGTGGGAGACAGGACAGCCGTGTCTTTCTGGTCCTGGTCCTTCTCAGCCTCTCTTTTAAAAATCATCGTAAAAACGTTCACATGGCGTCTGGCGTAGAGAGGATGGCACCGACTCCGCAGTGCCACCCATGTCCTTGGTACCGGGGCTCCCTATGCCGCAGCCTGGAAAAGCCCGTCGCCGGGGAGCAGGAGCAGCTCTGAGCCCCCGGGAAAGCACATTGCCATCTCCACACACGCAGGGGCTCCCGGCGGGCAGTCGGGCAGACAGTGAAGGCTGAGGGACGGCCCCTGAAGAAACTAGAAGCCTCCGGTTACCCTGGTGCCCTGGAGGGAGAAGCAGCATTCAGAGTCATCCAGGTGGCCTCAGGCAGGCCTGGAGCCTCTCTGAGCCTGTGTCTGCCACTGCAAAGTGACTGCCTGTCCCGCCTGCCACCCTCAGAGTCGTCCTTCTGCTGGGATGAGAGCAGCGCAGGGCACTCGGAGCAGGTCTCTGGCTGCCTGGCACAGGAAGGGCCTCCCTCCCCTGCAGAATATTCCCTGGGGGCTGTTTTGACTCAGCAGCACCACCCCCTGGCCCCCTGCAGATCTCCTGGAGGCTGCATGAGAGCGCCTGGTGGATGAGTCAGGGTACCCGGAAGGCACCGCTCAGGAGGGAGCAGCAGAGCAGGCCCCTTGTGGGTCTCCCCCGAGCAGCTGCCACCACGGCTGCGGCTGCACCGTGCCCAAGCCCGGCCCATCTGCCTGCCTGGCACCTTCCCAAGGCCGGGGGCTGGGAGAGGACCAATCCGGGCAGGGCTGGAACCCGGCCCTCTGCCCACTGCGGACATGGCCTGCTGCCCCAGGGTCAGCGAGCTCGGTGTCCAGGACGAGGCCGTTGCTGTGTGATTCCGGGCGGGTCCCTCTCTCTCCACTGCTTCCCCCTTGGGCTGGTGCAGAGCTGAGACCCCTCGCAGACACAGCAAGCCCTGGGCTTGGCCACGGTGACCGGTGGCTTGTAATTTCTTCAGGGCCGTCCCTCAGTTTTCACTGTCTGCACCCACACGTGGTGGCGGGGAGTGTGGCTCTGTGGCCTTGGTGGAGAGAGCACTCAGTGAGGTGGGAGGCGGTGGCAGCGGCCTCCATCAGCCCGAAGCTGTGGGCAGGACTCGCCTTCACAGCCCCTGATTGGGTCTAAATTCAACAGGTGGTTTCCTGCACCTGCTTGGCCCCCAGTGCCTGGCTGTCCCCGCCGCGTCCGGCCAGCTGGGGCAATGGGTGAGACCATCTGCATCTGGGCAGCAGAGGCTGTCTGACGAGAGTGACCTCATGCTCCCGGCCATGGGGCTCTGCCTCTGGGAGCCACAAGGCTTGTCCTGTGCTGCCTTGCAGGGGCCACTCCCTGCTTCCAGCTGCTTCGAGGCCCCACGACACAGCACCGAGAGCTGCCCTGGTGGCCCCCGCAGCCACCACTGGGCCCTCCGCCCGCTCTTCTCCCCCTGGCCTGTGTCTGCCCATTGCTGGACCCGTCTCCAAGGCCATCCCAGCCATCGCCCCCGAGAGCCTCGTTCCCCACCTTCCTGGACCCCGGGTCCCTCTCCTTTTGTCTCAGCAGAGTCTAGCCTCCTTGTGGTCGGCGGCCCCAGGGAGGCAGGGCCAGGGCGGAGCTTGTGCAGGGCGACTGGAGCGGTCCTGAAGGCACGCAGTGTGCCCCACGTCAGCACAGCCGTTGCAGCTCCCAGGGAATAGCAAGGAAGGCGGGGCCCAGAGAGGGCAGATCTTCACTCAGGCTCACTGGGACTCAGCCCAGCAGGTGTAGCCCCTCCAGGGTAGACATGACCACCACCTGCCCCGCCCCACCGCAGGGGTCCTTGCTTTAGCCCAGCAGGCGCGGCCCTCCCACCCTGGCTCCTTGCTTTAGCCCTGGCTGGGTTGCTGTGACCTTGCCTGACCACGCCCCCACCTCCACCCGCGGTCTTTGCTGTAACCATGGCTGGGTCGCTGTGCACCCTTGCCGGGCTGTGCACCCTCAGCATGAGATCCCAGGGTCTTCGTGGTCCTTGCACTGTGGTGATCTATGCTCCAAAGTCCTGGCCAGTGAGCCTGGCCTCTCACCTTTGACTGGGCTCCTCCCCCGGCCCCACCTTTGAGAGAGGACGGTCCTCGGGGGTGGGTTCGGCATTCTGGTCTTTCCCAGAGCCTCCCCAACCTAGACGGTGCCGGTGTCCAGCCCAGGAGCCCAGAGCCCGAGTTCCAAAGCCGACCTCCATGTCGGAGCCTTCCCACCCTGACAGCAGGAGCGACATGTGTGAGCCGGGTTGCGGAGGATGCGCAGCTTGGCCTCCCTCCCCGAGCTGTGCTGCGCGCCAGGACTGGGCTGTGCAGAGCCTGCAGCCCCTTCACAACCCAGCTGCTCCCCAGCTGCCCCCTCACGGCTCAGTTGCTCCCCAGCTCACACAGCAGGAAGTGCATTTGTTGCTGAAATTGTCTCAAAGGCCCCAAACAAACAGCCCTTCTGGTGGCAGTGGATGTGGCGGGTAACATGGGTGGCCAAAGGTCTGAGAGGCCCCCACTCAGCTTGAGGTCTCTGTGCAAGTCCCTGGCAGCTCAGGAAACCTCAAGGCAACTAGCAGCTCAGCCTGGTGGCCTGCCTGGAAAAGGAGGCAGGCAGGGGGCAGTGGGCAGAAGCGCCGAATCCTCACCTCCTCTGTGCGATGAGGAGGGGGTGCGGGTCCCCCCCGTTTCACAGGGAGAACGCTGAGGCCCAGCAAGGCCAGGGGACTCGCCCACACCAGTGGACGCTGACTTCAAACCCCAAAGCTGTGCTCCCAGCTCGCCAACCTGCTGTGCCATCTCAGCACATCACAAACTCCCCCGCGTCTCTCCCTCCACATTTGGCGAATTGGGGAGACGTGGGGTATTTGGAGGGACCTGGTGGGAGCAGGCAGCTGGGGTGCGCTAGGTGAGGGCGCTGGGGGCCTGTAAAGAGCCGTGTAGAGCTGGTCGGGTCCCAGCTCTGTCCGTCCGCTGTGCACCTTGAGCAGTTCCTTCCTCTCTGGGCCTTTGCTGCCCCATCTGTACGGTGGGAAGAGTGAGAGGTTTATGTTTTCATCGTGATTATATAACAGAACAGCCTCCTGGGTGGGGGTGCTGCCGAGGTTAAATGAGTTAGTATTTTGTTGGCCATGTGAAACCACGCAGGGGCAAAGCCTGTGCCACGGGAACAGTGGTGTCACCGTCTCCGAGGTCGGGATGGGATTCCAGGAAGGGGCCGTCCACCACCCTCCGACGGCTGCAAGCTGGGACCCGGCCTGTAGGCGGGATTTGCCCAGGAACAGGCGTGGGTTGGCTGCTGTCCCGGGCATTGGTGCATTCTTGACCCCGCCCTCGGGAAGGCCTCAAGCATAGCCCTGGCGTGGGATAGGAGAGGCAGACTGCTTGCAGAATGTCTGCCCCGGGCATCAGCATGGCCAGGCCCTGGGACTCAGGTCCTGCCTCCTCTGTGCTGCAAAGGGCAGACAGGATCTAATGCTCCAGGCCCATACAGCCCCTTCCCACTGCGCCCACGCTGGTGCCCGGGGCAGACATGGTGAGTGCACCGAAGCCCTCGGCCCCCTCAATCCTGCTAAGGCAGCAGCAGTCTTCCCGGGGAGGATCCTAGGCCCTGCTGCTGGACAGGACTTTTACTCTGGCTAGACCGGCTCTGAGAGCCCAGCCAGGTCTGGCCATCTCCGCATCCTTAGACTGCAGAAACCTAGGGTGAGAACAGTTTCTGTGGGGGCTGTTTTCCAGGGAGGCATGGGGTACCCTCTTGGGTGAAGACCCTCAGATGCCCTTAGACCGGAAGTACCCCCACCCAAAGTGTGGCGCAGGCCAGCCTCAGCCATTGAACCCAGCTCCCGGGATGTCCTGGCCACGACACGTTTGGTGGCATCGACACCAGCCCTGAAATCAGAGCCCTGGGCTCACGGCTCACCCTGGCCTGTCCCAGTGATTTAACCCTGGACAGGCAGTTGCTTGTGTGGGCCTCAGCTTTGACACGTGTGAACTGGGAGTCAAAATGCGCCGCGCAGAGAGGTCTGGGTGAGACGGGGTGAGGCGTCCCCATTCCCCAGGTAGACATTTAATGAAGCAAGCGAACGAGAAACTGTGTCATTACCACGAAGGCTATGGCGCATATGGGGGGCGTCCCAGGTGCCGCCGAGGAAGCAACTTCAAATGAGGGAGCTGCAGCCGCAAGTCCCCCGGCACCGCGGATGTACGGCTCAGGAAATGGCAGCTGACAGGATCCTAATTCCCAGGGGTCCTGTTTAGGGTGACTCTTATCCTCCTACCACCCCAGCCTTAAGGCAGAACTTCCTGGACAAAATCCAGGCCTCCCCCCAACCGCCCCCCCTCCCTCCCCCAGCAAAATGTGGCCCAAGAAGTGAGCAGGGGGCTGCAGACAGAGAGGGAGGGCAGGAGAGGGGCAGGGGCTGGACCCCACCCAGGGAGATCCCGGGAAGAGGGGCCCACTCGCCGCCCTGGATCGGGAAATCCCGGCTGGCCACGTGCCACCACCTCCCTGCCACCCCATCCGTCACCAGCCAGACACATTTCCGATCCTGCCAAGCTGGGGTGGGGCGGCGTGGCACGGAGGATCGGCTCGGCTTCCCTGCTCCCCCCGCCCATCCTTTCTGCTGCCTGCGTGTAATTAACAGAGTAATTAAAAACAGGATGAGTTAATTGGTATTCATTTATGTGGCAGATGTTTTTAATTGAGGCAGGAAACAATTTACCTGTTTACATCAACAATGGCAGAGGCAGGCTTGTAAAACACATTTTTAAAAATATTTTCCTCCCCTTTCCTAGAAAGAATTGAAATCACTTGGTCTCCCTTGCCCCAGGCCTCCGCCCTGTGAGAGCCGGGCAGGCCTTGCCTGGGGGAAGGCCCAGGGTGGGGGCGGAGCAGGGAGGTTCCGCCAAGAGGAAACATCTGTTTAAAAGGTTTGCCTCCAGAGCAGCCTGTTTTCTTTAAACTCAGAGAAAGGATGTGTTGTTCCAGGTTGTGGAGACACCCGTCCCGCTGCTCTCCAAGATGCCTCCCCAGTGAGTTTGGCCCTGCTGTTTAATGTAGCCCCCTGGCGAGGGGCTTGGCCTCCAGGAGGGCGGGAGGCAGCCTCAGGTGGGCCTGGCTGGAGGAAGACCACCCAGCTGGGGCTGGCAAGCAGGCAGGGCAGGGAGGGGCTGGGGACCCAGTCCTCCTGGCAGAATCCAGGAGCAGGCAGGTGTGGCTGCCCCACGGGGAGGCAGAGGCCGCCCTTGTCCACCTGCACTTTTGGTGCCTTTGGCATTGCGTGGTGGGGCCTCCTGCCACTCCGTCACCATGCACCACCTGTGGCCGTTGGAGTTTGAATTAATTAAGATGAAATATTCCTGGCCAGGGGTGGTGGCTTCCGCCTGTAATCCCAGCACTTTGAGAAGCCGAGGTGGGCGGATCACTTGAGGTCAGGAGTTCGAGACCAGCCTGGCCAACATGGTGAAACCCAGTCTCTATTTAAAAAAAAAAAAAAAAAAAATTGGCCGGGTATGGTGGTGGGCACCTGTAACCTCAGCTACTCGGGAGGCTGAGGCACAAGAATCACTTGAACCTGAGAGGCAGAGGTTGCAGTGAGGCGAGATCATGCCTCTGCACTTCAGCCTGGGTGACAGAGCGAGACTCCATCTCAAAAAAAGAAGATAAAATGTAAAATTCAGTTCTCCCCTCATAGGGCTTCCTTTCAAGTACTTGGCAGCCAGTTGGGGCTCCAGCGACTGTCAGTGCATGGGCCTAGAACATTCCACCGTTGCACAAGCTTCACTGGTCAGCTGACTTGCGAGTCCCTGGTGTGGGAGGACGGCAGGCCTCGGGCGCACACCGCCTGACCCTTTCACTATCTGGGGAAGGAGGGAGGCAGGAACGCCCACCCCAGGGAGCGGGTTGAATCCTTGAGCAGAGTGCTCGGGAAGCTGCTGGTTTACAGACTGGCACTAATTGAGCACTTGCTGTATGCCTGCACTTGTAAATCGCTTTAATTCTCATCAATTCTCATGCTGCTTCCCAAGGTAACTCTCCAGGGAGACGCTATCATTGGCCCCTTTGTGCAGATGAAGGAACCGAGGCCCAGGAGTTGCAGTGTGGGGCGGGGTCTGATGCGGCCTCCAGACCTGCATTGAAACAGTGTCCACGGATTACGTGGAGCGACACTGACTTTCCAACAGTTCCTCTTGTAGGCACCATCCTTGTCTTTCTTTTTAGAGTAAACATGCACCAGACTGCACGTGCTCAGAAGTAACTGGGGTCCCGCCCGGGGACTCCGCGGAGAGGCTGCTCTGGGTGGGAGGGAACACCCGCGCTTGCCCTGCACCATGCGTGCAGTTTGGAGAATTCGAGGAGTGGGTTTTGCCCTTGTGATCATGGCCATGGGCACTGAGCTTCTTACCCGTAAGGCTGAGTGAATACCGGGCGGTAGGGACAGCGCCTGAGGCCACGCTGATGTTAGGAATGTTTATTTAGAAATAGAGTGCTTGTTCCCTGGTGCTGCAAAGAAATAGCACTTGAACGTAAATTTAATTCTCTCAGCAAGGCCATATTTACTTTCTGCAGAAAGGGTACACTCGCCAGCAGTTTTGCCACGAGAGTACACCGAATGAAGGAGACCAGGGTCATTTATAACCTGACGCTGTGTCCGGTTTTTTTATACCTACTGCTGTGTCCGGTTTCCATTGGCTGGAACGGGACCTCACATTCTGTATTTGTCCCGATTGGCTCGCAACTTAGAACTTTTTAAAAGAGGCAAAGGCAGAGGAGAACAAAGGAAGGAGGAAGTAATTTGTGGAATGCTGAGAAAGGTAAAAACACCTTCAAATAAGGAAGAGGAACAGGCCGTGACCTAATGCTTGCTTCGACCAGTATAAACATGCCAGGGCAGATACTTAGGCTAAATTGTGGGAGCTAAGAACATAAAGTACATTGATTTCTTTATTAAGGCTAGCAGATATTTAAGAATGTCAGCACAGGTCTTTGAATAAATTTTGCTTCTAAGAGAAGTTACTGTTTATTCCTAATTAGACGGGGAGGAAAGTATCTTTGAAGGGGAACCTCTACTTTTTTACACTGATAACCCGGCGAGCCTGCAGCTCCGACCTCTCTCAGCACCAACCCTGGAGGCCGTGTGGCTCCAAGGTTCTCGGCACCCCCTGCCGTGGGAGGCCGGGCTGGGCCATGTGGGTGACCTGCCATGGAACTTCTGGGACATTTCAAAAGTTCTTAGGGCAAGAAGACAGAATGTTCTGGGCTGGGGGCTCTGGCCTGGGCATAGCTCTGCTCAGCCCTCCCTCCTGGAGGCATTGGAGGCCACCCAGCCTCCTGTGTGGGGCTCACAACATAAAACCAGCAACAGCCACAAATTTTGAGGAGGTTGGTGGGCCGCACGCTTGGAGCTCAGGGCCTGTGCCAGTAACCGTGTGGGCTCTGGAGGGGCGGGAGCCCCACCCTGTCCAGGAGGTGAGAGTGGCGAAGGCCTCCCCACGGCTGTGGGCTGGGACCTCGTTGTGATGCAGCTGGTCCCAGGGGCAGCCACAGCCCACACTGCGAAGGCAGGGGGATCAGGGCCCCTTCTGATGCCAGGGCAAGAGGACAGGGCCCAGGCCATGGTGGGGTCTTCTCCCAGGCCTCCCTTCACCCCCGGCCTGCAGGGATCAGGGAGGGCCCAGCTTGGTGCCTCAGTGTCAAAAAACTGAGAAGCAAAAGGCCATTTGTGCGCGTGTTTGCATTTGGGTGGGGGTGAGAAAGAAAAGCCACAGGCATCCCCGGCCCAGGGTCCTGGGGTCCCAGGGGCTTCCTGCAGTCAGCACCAGGGAGGCCACGCTGTCTCTCCATGGGGGCCACTTCCTGCACAGCCTGGCCATGCCAGCTCACAGGACGTGGCGGGAAGCCCCAGGGCAAAGCCAGCCCAGGCTGTCCACTCCTCCACTCCAGGGAGGCCACCTCTAAAGTCCTGTCTGGGCTGCTAGGATTTGTGGGTTTCGCCTGCACCGTCTCCTGGGGTCCCTCCACGCACCCCGGAGGGACAGAGGGGATTGTGACCCCACACTCTCGTCCGCACCCACGCTCTCCTCCGCACCCACTCTGTCGTCCACACCCACACTCTCGTCTTCACGCACACTCTCGTCTGCATGTGTGTGTCATACGTGCGCACATCACATGTCACACTTATGACACTGCTGGGGGTTGCTGGGGGAACATTCTGGCACTTCAGGGAAAACATTCTTGACTTGACGCAGGGGCACCATGAGCCGCCAGACCCTAATTATTCCTTAGCGTCCACACCGGCAGTGGCTGACTTTAAACTTGGCAGCCGCCCTCTGCAGAGTTCAAGGTGATTTGCAGCCAATTCACACATTTTTTTAAACAGCGACGACACTTTGGGAACCGGTGTAGCCTCCCCTGGCGCCTCATTGGTGGAAAATCCTAACAGAGGCCTCAGGTTTCCAGGGGTTTCCAGACCCTCCGCAGACAGCTGAGCCTTCCCTGCAGGCCCTGCACGTGGGAGGGTCCCGTTCCCAGGGCTGTGTGACCTGCCTGTCCCCAGCATCCCAGCCTCTGTGCCCTCCCCGGGGCAGGCCCTCCCCTCCCACGGTGGCACCTTTCTCCCACGGTGCCAGTTCCGCAGCCTTCAGAACCAGGTGCAGCCTCTTCCTGGAAGGTTCTCCGCTCCGCTTGTGTCTGGGGTTGTCTGTGGGACTTTCTGCTCCACACCTAAGTCCAGGCATGTGGCTGTGCAGAGGGCAGGGCCAGCTAACTCCTGCAGCCCGGGCCTGGGGTCAGCCGACAGCCGATGATCTCAGATTCCACCAGTTCTTCTCTTTTTTCCTTTTTCTTTTTTCTTTTTTTCCTTTTTTTTTTTTTTGAGACAGAGTCACGGTGTCACCTAGGCTGGAGTGCAGTGGTGGGATCTCAGCCCACTACAACCCCCACCTCCCTGGTTCAAGCGAATCTCCTGCCTCAGCCTCCTAAGCAGCCCTCTTTTTCTAAAAGAATCCGTGCTTCTGCGCCCGTCTAGTAACTGATACAACGTTCGAGACCCTGCCCTCCCCTCTGTTGGCCCCTCCACGCCTGTCTAGTAACCAATATGACAGCCAGCCTGACCTCCTCTCTGTTGGCCACTCCACCTAGCAGTCTCGCCTTCACCCCCAGGGGCTGTAGCAAGGAGGGGCCTGTGCCAGTGGCCAAGAGGCATTTTTAAAAATAAAACAAGGATGTGGCATACAATAAAGGGCTGGGAGGCAAGGAGGGAAGGCAAAGGAGCCCCCCATCCCCCTTCCCCACCCAGCCCACCCACCTCTCCCCAGGGGCCGCCCTTCTTCCTTCCAGAGAAGCTCTGTCTGCAGATCAGACCACCTTTCACTCAGGCCGGAGTGTTCTGCAGCCATCCCTGAGGTCACACAGCCCTTACCAGACAACATGCACACGCAACACCCACCCCACGAATACACACAGGAATACACACGCACACATACACCCACATGTGCACGTGAGTGCACACACACACGGACACAGCCATGCACACGCATGAATACGCATATGAATACATACACCCCCATGTATGTGTAAGTGCATATACACGGACACACACCCATGCACACACATGAATACACGCATGAATACACACGCATACACCCACATGTATATGTAAGTGCATATACACAGACACAGCCATGCACACGCATGAATACACACATGAATACACACACCCACATGTATATGTAAGTGCATGTACACGGACACACACCCATGCGCACACATGAATACACGCATGAATACACATGCACACACACCCACATGTACACGTGAGTGCACACATACACGGACACACACCCATGCACACACATGAATACACACATGCATGAATACACATGCACACATACACCCATGTGTACACGAGTGCACACATATACACACGGACACACACCCATGCACACAGGCACCCATGGACACACATGAATACAGACCCATGCACCCACGTACACTCATGCATGCACACTCACACGCACACATGCCTAATGGATAGAGGGCACCGTGACGCTCCTGAGAGGGGAAGGTGGCAGGGAGTGGCCCAGAGAGGGCGAGATTCTGACTGAGGTGACCAGCCACACAGCCCACCAGGGCGCCCGCCCACCCTGTGTCTAGCCCACGTGTCTGCTCGTTCTCTGCACTTCCCCCTTAACACTCCCCCCCCACGCTCCCCCTTCCACGCTCCCCCTCCACGCTCCCCCCGTCCACGCTCCCCCGTCGACGCTCCCCCTCCACACTCCCCCGTCCACGCTCCCCCTCCACGCTCCTCCTCCACACTCCCCCCTCCACGCTCCCCTCTACGCTCCCCCCTCCACGCTCCCCCCGTCCACGCTCCCCCGTCCACTCTCCCCCTGTCCACGCTCCCCCTCCACGCTCCCCCTCCACACTCCCCCCGTCCACGCTCTCCCCGTCCATGCTGCCCCCGTCCATGCTGCCCCCTCCACTCTCCCCTCCTCCACGTTCCACTCCTCCACGCTGCCCCCGTCCACGCTCCCCCCTCCACGCTCCCCCCTCCATGCTGCTTGTGGAGCTCCTGAAGGAGCTGTCCCTCCTCTGAGTTGAGATCAGACTGGAGAATTCACTCAGATAGGCAGACCCAGAGCAGGAGGCCACCACCCACCAGTTTCCCCACCCCGCGACCCACCCATAGGCCCCCCAGCCCCATCTCCTCCCCACCCCACACCCACGCCTCCTCCCCACCCCACACCCACGCCACCACCTGGCGGCACCCCCAGCACACGGATCCTCAACGGAAGCTTGCTTGTCTGCAATTCGGCTGCCTCCCTTGGTGGCTTGGGGGCATGGAGACAAGAGAAGGGACCCGCTACCCCCAGGACTCCCAGGGTGCCAGGGCCAGTGCTGGGTAAGGACAGCGCCCCTTCCTCCCTCCACCCCTGCCCCCGGCTGGCAGCCACACCCCCACCCCCACCCCGCCCCGGCAGCGGGCGGCCCAGATTGTGGGGCCACCTCCCCCAGGGCGCTCAGGGAGTTGCTGTTGGCAGCGCAGCTCTAGCAGCTGGGCAAGGAATGTGCTTCCTTTGTGTGCGGCCACGGGGCAAGCAGGCCCCAGACATCTGGGTCCCATTTGCGGCCCTTTGGGGAGCAGGGAAGATTTTTCACTCCAGCCTCTGAGCTCACCACTCTCCCCCAGCCTTTCCAGGCTTTGCTCAACCGGCAGGGTGCTGTAGAAGACCAGGCCCTGGGCACTGTCCACAGGGTGCAGGGCAGAGGGTCAGGGCACCTTTGATGGCACCTTTGATGGCTAGGGGCTCTGGGCTTAAGCCAGAGGACAGGCCCAGACTCACCCTGGTCGCTTTAAAAACATGGCAAGACTGTGATGGCTGCGACAGCGTCCTGCCCGGCAACCACGATCACATTTTTGGTCTAGTCGTCTTTCTGTGCGTGTTTTTATTTCCAAAATAGAACCTCATGCTTTGTCGCCTTGTTGATGTTCACTCATAGGGGATGTCAATAGAGAGCGTCCCGTGACATCATTTTTGCAATTAAATGTATGCTCGCAGCACTGCACACAGAAGTGTGCACCACAAAGCATCACGTGCACACGGCTATGGGCCTGACAAACGTTTTCCGACCTGTCCCCAAGGCCTCCGATCCCCCTCTGGTCACTGCGCTGTCAGGGTGGCCACCATTCCTGACCTCTAGCATCACAGAGTGTTGCTGCCTGATTCTGAATTTTCTAGAAACGGACTCTCGCATCCCATGCTCTGCGGGGCCTGGCCACCGCGTTTGTGAGAGACCGCTTGCAGTGCTGTACATTTGTGAGACCGTGTGCAGTGTTGTACTTGGTGGGCCTGTCCTTTTTCCTTGCTGTATTGTATTCCATTGTATGGCCGTGCTGCAGCCTCGTGTCCCTCTACCTCGGTGCACGCTTGCTGAGGAAGTGGCCGGTGCAGCTGTGGCTTGTTGCTCTGGAGGCACCTGTGTCTGTGGGTTGGCTCTTCTGCAGGTTCTGTGCCCAGGAGTGAGCCGGCTATTCCAGCAGCTGTGACTGTTCCAGTCAGCAGATACCAACAAACAGCTTTCCAAAATGAAGGTGGCCACGGTGTGATTTTCAGGTTCCTTAGTTTTGTGTCGAGTAGATAATTTATCTACCCAGCCCTCTCTGAGGAGTCATCGTATTTATTCCGTTTGTCATTCTCATAAACGATGCTGTGACAAACATCCTTGTAGATCACTGTTTGTGCACATGTCCTGAGAATGCATTCCTGAAGGTGGAATTGCTGGTCCCGGCTGAGACCCCCCCACGGAGGAATGAGGTGTGGAGTAGCGGAGGGCAAGTGCAGCATTGGCATCTGAGGCCTGGTTCGGCTAGAGACAAGATGGGTCACTTCTCTTCTCCAGCTTCCCAGCCTCCCTCTCACCAGCTGTGAAATTTGATTGTCTCTCAGGTCCCTTGCAGCTCTGATATGTTGAGATTCTAAGTACCAAAGTGTATCAGTCAGCTATCGCCATGTAACAAGCTACCCTCAAACAGTGGCTCAAAGCAACCACCCTTCTTTGGCTCACAGTTCTTTAGGTTGGCAGTTTTGGCAAGCTCAGGGGGGTGGTTCTTCTGGGCGTGGCTGGGTTTGCTGGCTGGTCCGTGGTCAGCCACGGTCAGTCCAGCTCCACCAAGTGGCCGGGCCAACCCTGTCCTGCGTGTGTCTCATCTTGGGCGTGTTCACGTGGGGGCTCCACAGAGGGCTAGTGGGGCTGCCCGCCGCTGACGTCCAGGCTCAGGGTCATCTGACATCCCTTGTGCCACATCCTGCCCCCAGCCAAAGCAAGTCCCCCGGCCAGCCCAGATCCAGGGGGCAGGGAAGTGGACCCCGCCTCTGCACTGGAAGAGCTGCAATCCCATCGAAAGGGCAGGGGCTTTGGCAGGGTGGGAAATCGAGGCCATTAGCAGGAAACGCGCCTTGGGGGAGAGGGCCCTGAATAGCCATGACCGGCATTCCCTGGCCTCCTGCTGCAGGACAGACTCAATTAGCTCCTTATTCCTCAGACGCACCCCCGGGAGGTGTGTTCCTCCCACTTAATGGATGAGGGGAGCTGCCTGCTGGGCTCACACGGCAGAGGGGACAGGCCTCGATTCAAGCCCAGCCCAGGCTCTGTCCTGCAGCAGCGAGCCGCCCCGTTGAACCTGCAGAGGACAGGGCTGCCAGGGGAGGCAGATAGGGGGCTTTGTCCTTATGCGCCAGTCAGCAAACCTTTACGGGGCCCTGCCGTGTGCCAGGTGCTGTTCAGGGCCCTGCCCTGGGGGAGACGGGCGTAAACACGAGGACCAACACAGACGGAGGCTTCAGACATTGACGAGTGGCTGGAGAAGAAAAATGGGTGATGGGGCAGAGAGCGTGGGGGCAGGGACATGGGCGGTCAGGGAAGGCTTCTCTGAGGAGGGACATTTGCGCCAAGACCTGAATGATGAGGAGACGGCTATGCAGAGATCGAGGGAAGTATTCCAGTAGGAGCCAAGGCCCTGAGGCCAACGGGAGGGACAGAAGCACAGCTGGCGTGGCTGGCCAAGACTGACGGAGAGACCCCCAGCCCATCTGTCCCCATCTGGCCCCAGGACGCACAGCACACTTTGTCCCATCTTCCGCATTTCTTTGGCGAGCCCTGGGTTCACTTGCAGGGTGCAGCTATCCAGAGAGCCTTCTTGGTCCTCAAAAACCCATGAGGGAGGCTTTCTTCTCTCCTTGGGAAAGGAAGAGGCAAGGCCAGGTCCGCCTGGAGCCACGTAGTGGGTTGGGGAGGCGCGGGTGGGCCCAGCCTGCAGGCAGAGGCCGGCCTGTGCACCTTCCAACGGGAAGCCCTGGGCCGGGGCCCGGAGGGAGTTTGTGAGATTTTCGTCTGCTACGGTTCAGCAGCACTTCTGTGACAGACGGGACCTCTGCACCCAGGCCGGCTGAAGGCATGCCCTGGGTACCTGTTCGTGTTGGTGATGGCAGCCGGTGGGCAGTCTGGGCCCTGCCAGCCAACTCTGGGCAACAGAGCTTCCCCCACACAGCTGCGAGGCAGGAGGGGGGGTCTTCACTGTGCCCCAGAGGCTCTCCGATGGGTCCCCTTCCCCAACACTGATGCTCAGTGTCACCTATGGGCCAGCTCTGGGCACAGTGCCAAAGACAAGCCCCACCTGCACCAGCTCCACGCGGCCGTTGTGGCCGGACAGATAGCCCGAAGCATGACAGCTGGGTGGCCAGGGCGAGCGGCCAGGCGCTCTGTTCTAGACGCTTTTCGTGAGCTCATGTACTTCGTCCCTCCGTGATTCTGCGGGAATTCCATCCCCATTCCCATTTTACAGATGAGAAAACTGAGGCCAGATTAGGAGACGGAAAAGCCAACTCCGTTCCTGCAGGGAGAGGGCGCCTGAGGTTCCCGTTCCCTCCCTGCCCCTGTCCTTCAGATCGCCAGAGATGACGTCCCCGTGGCAGGGCCACAGAGGGCTTTTGAGTTTACGAAAGCCTTTTTGTTTGCTGTGACCCCACCCAAAGAGGCACTGCATCTTACCCAAGGGGAGCCAGAGACTCATACACATTTGGGGACGGCCCCCACCCCGAGTTCACAGTCAGTTCACACAGCGGCGCGGGAGGCGAACTGGGTTTCCTGCCACCTGGCCCCGCTCTGTTGCCATGGCAACCCCGTGCCGTCCATCGTCATCACCCACAGGCCTTGGGGTCAGGGTCCCTTGTTCCTGTCCACGGCGGGAAGGGCAGCAGGAGTGAGTGAGTGGGGCCAGAGGAAGGGTCCGCCCTGGGTCAGGCCCATGAGGACCTGGAAGGGCCTGGGAGAGAAATAGGACTTGGCTCCTTGTCCCTGTGGGGGCGGGAGGGTCTGCCTAGACCGATGGCAGAGAAGGCACTGCTCCCCGTGTTTATATGGCTGCTTATTCGCCAGGCAGGAAGGCTGGATACAAGCCAGATGTGGAGGCGGCCGCAGGGCAGCGCCTGAGGCTCTCAGGCCGCCTCTGCCCACCCCAGATCCCCACACTTGGCACAGCCCTGGAGGCTGGGGGCTGGGGGCAGGGGAGGGAGCCGCCTCCTGGTCATCTGGATACGAGGGGATTTGGGGGGACACCCACTGTCCTAGAGCCTGCCAAGAAGGGGCCCCACGTCCCTTCACTTTGCCTCTATCTTGGCCTGGGAGCCCCAGGTCTGATGCTGGTCAAAGACCTTCTCAGGGCCCTTCCCGGAGTCAGCACCAGGTTCTCCTCTGTTTCACATGCCCCTCAGGGGCACCAGAGAGTGGCACAGAGACCCCGCTGCGAGGGCCGCCCTGCACTGCTCACGCCATCCGCAGCTCACCCCACAGCTCTTCCTGAGGTGGGAGGGCACTGCCTGTCCCCACGCCTTCAGATGACGGTGGCTCCGGAGGACACTGAGGCTGGGAGTGTCCGGTCCTCAGTGGGCTGTGCCTTTCCAGGTTTTCTCAGTCACCACGCAGCAAGTGTTTGCTGAATGCCTGCAGTGTGGCCGGCACTGTTGTAGGCTGTAGAGGAAGCCCAGCCCTCCTGGAGCTCACGGGGAGCATCCACAAGAGAAGAGAAGGAGCAGGACAGGCGGGTGGGCTCACCAGCAGAGCTACAGGGAGAGCCGGTGACAGGAGGGGAGCCAGGGTGAAGGGCCGCGCGGGCTGCAGCATCACCGGGAAGGAGGCAGCCTGCAGCAAAGGTGTGAGGATGAGAGGCAGACTTGCGGGGACCTGGTGGAAGTGCATTCCCTGCAGAAACACCGCCATGCAAAGGCCCTGGGGCAAGTGCGGCGAGTGACCGAGGCACAGCACAGGCGGGTGTGGGGTAGTGCGTGTGGTTAGGCCAGAGGGGACAGCTGGTGAGGCCAGAGGGGACAGCCAGGCACCAAGCGAGGAACAGCCGGGCCACTGTGGCACTGGCCAAGCAGCTGGGGAGCCGCCGTGGGAGCCGCCGTGGACAGCTCTTGGGAAATGTGTTGGAGGGTGGCTCGTCCCTCTGGTTCCCCAGAAATCCAAGTGTACGGGTTTACCTTGGCCTGGGTTTACTGCACTGGACGGCTGCCCGGCCAAGTAGAGGCTGGAGTTCAGAGGCTGGGGCTCCATTCCTGGCTCAGCCCCTCACTCACTGCACGGCCGTGGCCAGTGACCTCAGATGACCTCACCTCTCAGGGGCAGCGTGGGTGCGGGGTCGTCCATCTCCGGGGCTGTGAGGAGGCGGGAGGGCGGCCGTGGACGGATGACTCTCGGGGTCTCCTCTTTGCACATCTGTGCCTTTCCCAGAGGAAGCTGTGGGACCGTGTGATTCTGAAGGAAAATAAACAGCTGTTTAAAGCAGTGGCGTCCTCCGTCCCAGCCGCCGTGATGGTCACCCGGGTTGCAGTGGCGTCTTCTGTCCCAGCTGCCGTCATGGTCACCCGGGTTGCAGTGGCGTCCTCCGTCCCAGCTGCCGTCGGGGTCACCCGGGATGTAGTGGTGTCCTCCGTCCCAGCCGCCGCTGGGGTTGCCTGGGATTTGCCAGTGACTGCCACGCGTGCATTCATGTCAACCCTCACCCCCATTGCACAGATGTGGACACTGAGGCTGCCCACCCAGGTTGCAGGGCCCGGAGCCTGAGCTCATCCCCTTAATTCTGCACTTTTATGGAGGGGCCAACTGAGGCACAGCACTGTTCTGGGTCCAGAGCCCGTCCTGGACCTGTCCTGAGCATCTCCGAGCCCTGCCTGCACCACAGCCCCAGAAAAGGCTTTGCAAGAGGCCTTGCTGGGCCTCTGAGGCTGGACTTTGGGGCATCCTGGGATGAGGGTTCGGCTGGAGTAACAGGAGAGGCCTGGAGCCCTCGGGTTGGTTGCAGGCCATGCCCTCCTCCTCCCCTGCCTGGGGCCTGTGGTCAGCTCCAGGAAGGGCAGAGCCGGTGCCCCCCGCTCCCCGGGAGCATATTCCAAACCCACGGAGAGGATCGGATCCAGAGCCAGGTGCCCAGGGCCCGTGCCTCAGTTTCCCCACCTGACAGCCTCTAGACTTTCGGGGGCACGAAATGAGGTGTTCTGCACAAAATGCTCAGGTCAGGCCTGGCACGCAGTAGGACGTCATCACCGTGGCTATGTTGCCTGTGCAAAGGCCTCAAGACAGGTCACCTGCGTTACCTGCCCAGCGTCCTATGCCCCAAGGCTTTTGTGAGGGGTCAAAGAAGGTTACAGCGGAAGCAGGGCTTGTTACTCCAGAGCTGGCGAGGGTACGAGGCGGGGAAGGCCGGAAAGATGAGCTCTTGCACTGGTGTCCATGGGTCCTCCTTCCATGGAGAGTTCTGGAACTCCCAGGCTGGGAGCCCTGGGCTGTGGCTGTTTCCCAGCTGGGCAGGGCGGGCTGGGTGCCCCCACGGACGGGGAAGTGATGGATGAGCGGCCCCGGCACATTGCAGGCTCTTTCCCACTGGCTCTGCCCAACCTGCAAAGCGGCTTCCTCTCCCGGCCCGTTAGTGACATTTTGCTGGGAACTGGATGTGCCGTCTGGGAAAGAAACGGCCTCTCCCATGGGCCCCGGGGAGCGGCCTCCAGGGTCTGGGAATTTTCTTTTTCTTTTCCTTTTTTTTTTTTTTGAAACAGAGTCTCGCTCCGTTGTCCAGGCTGGAGTGCGGTGGCACGAATTCGGCTCATGGCAACCTCTGCCTTCCAGGCTGAAGTAATTCTCCGGCCTCAGCCTCCTAAGTAGCTGGGATTATAGGCACGCACCACTACGCTCGGCTAATTTTTGCATTTTTAGTAGAGACGGGGTTTCACCATGTTGGCCAGGCTGATCCTGAACTCCTGACCTCAAGTGGTTTGCCTACCTTGGCCTCCCAAAGTGCTGGGATGACAGGTGTGAGTCACCACGTCTGGCAGGTCTGGGAACTTTCTTGATGAGTGGGAGCTTGGGAGGCAGATGAGGCTGCAGCCAGGGCTGGGGGAGGAACTGGCACTCTCTCCCTGTCCTCTTCCTTTAGACATCTGACCAGTTCCTGCATGCCCAGACCCTTTGGGGAAAACCGCATAGAGGGAAACCCAACATCAGGGCAGACTCAGGCATGCCCAGAGAGGGGCGCACTGTGTCCAGAGCCAGTGCCTGAGCCATCGAGGGTGGGAAGGACAGGCAAAGCCCCTGCTCTGGGGTGAGGGGACAATTAGAAGATGCCACCGTCAGTCATGGGCAGGGGGAGTGAGAAGGACACTTGGCAGAGGCCCAAGCCACAGAGGGAGGCCAGGAGGGCAGGTGCCTCCCCTCGGGGTTCCCAGGCTGCAGGTGCCCTCTGTGGCCAGTGGGGAAGGGGTAGCTGGGCCAGGTCACCTGGATCCACACCTGGCTCTCCCCCTCCTCAGCCTCTCTGTGCCTCTGTTTCCCCACTCGTAAGATAGAGAAGCGCAGGATCTCAGGGCCGCGGAAGAATCCGTGAGGACAGAGTTGGTCCTCTGTATGAGATTCCTCCCCTCCGGGCGTCAGAGCCCTTCTCGTCAGATTCCGCACCCGCTGCCCACCTGCCTCTGAGCCAGGGCCATAGGGAAGGGACTGGGACCCAGACTGACCCCACCCACCCCAGCAGGAGGACCTCAGTGCTGTTCTGAGCCAGGGAGGGGTTAGGATACTTGTGTAGGCCACAGGAGGATAGCCAGGGTGGGGACAGCAGGTGCCCCAGGGACCCCCTTGTGCTGGGCGGCCAGGCCTCGGGAGCCCTCCCCAAATTCCATGCTTTCTTCTGCACGGGCAGCGCTGGGCCTCGGGAGCTGTTTGAAAATACATGTGGGTGTCCTCGGGGACCGGGGTCCCCTTGCAGCTGATGTAGAGTTCAGGGATGCTGGAGGCCTCGTTTCTCTTTCATGGGCACTTCGAGCTCTGGAAAGAAAACCCCTTGGGGTTTGAAAGATGGTCCTTCCGCTCATGCCTCAGAGCCGGCCACCCCAGGTGCTACCCCAGACCCTGTATGGTGACGGGCCACCCACCCCAGCCTCCAGTACGAGCCAGCGTCCCTTCGGCCTATGTGACACCCACAGGGCCGCGTGTCCCAGCGTGGGGCTGGATGCCTGGGCTGTCCCAGCAAGGCTGAGTCAGGGTCCAGGCTGGCTGGCATCGGGACCGTTTAATCTCCTGGGGGCTGCAGGCACATGCCCTGGTGCTTCTGGGCTCTGAGACCCAGAACAAGTCACTCACCCTCTCTGGGCCTCAGTTTCCCCGTCTAGAAAGTGGGCGTAGTGACAGGGCCCGCCTCATGGGGCAGCGGGTAGACGGTGCTGAGAATAGGCCTGGGGCACCAGGTTCCTCCGTGACATTAGCCCTTCCTGCCACTTCTCTATTCTGCCTTGAGACAGAGACGGTCCCCTTTCTGGCGCTGCTGAGCCCCCGGGGTTGCCTCAGGGCCATTGCACCAGGACACTGGTGTCTACTGTGAAGCTCTGTGCGATTTTATTTTTCCAAGTGGTTTGATGACTTATTCACCTCCGTGTGTCTGGACGGGGCCGTCTTGCGGCTGGAGCGGGGAGCAGGGTCAGCAAGTGGTCTTGGGGACGAGGGGATGCGGCCAGGCCTCTTCCTGTGTGGTTCGCAGCCGTGGGCTGGTAGCCCACGGGGCCTCCGAGCCTCGAAGTGGGTCTGCGGAGTAGAAATGGCCTGTGGCCGAGGTGCAGGGCCTCAAAGGGGAATGGGGTGGGAAGCCAGGCACCTAGGAAGGACGAGGCTGCCCCTGTCTAGCGGTGTCTTAGCCTGGAGAGGAGCCTGCAGTTGGCCTTGGTGGAGCTGTGGGCCGGTGGGAGCTCCAGAGACTCCCCACACTGCTTGGGGGTGCAGGGATAGAGGAGGATAATAATAGCCACCATTTCGAGTGATGGCGGAGAGTGCTGGACCCCCCTGCTGCGCACGGCCTCATCTCCATCCCCTTTGAAGAGGCAAGGAAATGGACAGAGAGGCTGTGGCTTGCCCGAGGAAGCCAGGCCGGCAGGACTCAGCCTCCTGCTGTGGCTGTGGGGTGGACCCACGGTGCCTCCCTGCCCAGCCAGCGCCAAGGAAATGGGTGTCCAGGGCAGCCATGGGTCTCCTGCCCTGAGCAACCAGCCCCCCATGTCTGCAGAAAGCACCTGTCCTGCAGCTGGGCAGCCCAGCCCCTCCCACCTGCCGCAGACTAGCTCTCAGCCCCGCCCCCTCATCCCCACCGTCCTTCAGCCCCGCCCCTCCAGTCCCGCCCCTCCTTCAGCCCCGCCCCTCCAGCCCCGCCCCTCCTTCAGCCCCGCCCCTCCTTCAGCCCCACCTCCCCTCAGGCCCGCCCTGATCATGGCGCTCCACTCACCCCACTTCCATCTTTGCTCTCCTCCAGCCCCTAAGCGGGGGCTGGGGGAACCCAAAGAGGCATTTCCTCTGGGGGCCTTCCTTTGAAGGCTACCCTGGGCGAGCTGCATCCTGGGGGGCCCAGTCAAGCACAGAGACCCTGCAAACAGGTCAAACAAGAGGCAGGACCGCCCAGTGTGGGGTGACATCCTGAGGACTGAACAGGGAAGGATGGAAGAGCTTCACGGGGGCGGGGCAGCCTCTCCTGGGGAAGTGAGGTTGAAGCTGAATCCCAGAGGGAACGAGGGGCGGTGGGGGGTCGTGCATGGCCCTGAGCCCCGCACTGGGGGAGAGCAGGGAGATGGGTGTCATGGAGTGGGTGTGGGCTGGTGAAGCCCCATGTACAGTGGAAGCTGCTGAAGGGTATTAAGCAGGAGAGAGACGATGTGCCCGCCCCAGAGACGGCGCCAGCTGCTGCTGTGCAGAGCTCCAGACTCCCCGCTGCCCACTCCCCCACCCCCCTCCTTCCCAGGTCCCTCCACAGGTCCTGGCCAACTCCTAGGCTGTTCTCTTGGCCACAAATGCTGTTCCTCTACCTTTCCACACTCACCCCTCATCTTCTCTGAGGGTCCTTGTCACTTTCTGCTTTCTCGGGTAGAGTCTGTGCCAGGGGCAGCGCCAGGAGCAGGTCCCGGCCACACGTTGCTCCATGAGCCTTGGCCTGGTTTCCTTGCTTGCCAAGGCAGGGCGTGGGGAACTCCGCGTCATCTTCCTGTCACCTGGCTTCCTCCACATGTACAGAGGAAGGAAAGTGAGGCTCAGAGAGGGGAAGAGGCTCTCCCTAGGCCACACAGCCAGGAGCACTCACACAGGATTCAACAGACACCCGTGAGGTCCCATCACCTGCACAGCTGCCCCCGCACAATCCGGGGTGGGGCCCGGAAAGGTCCCATCTCCTGCACAGCTGCCCCCGCACAACCCGGGGTGGGGCCTGGAGAACGGAGGGGAGGACACCACCAGCTCCCAGGGTGTTCCTCAGGCACGGGGCCTCCTGCCCCTGCAGCCTCCGTTCGGCCTCAGGTTTGAATCCCAGACCTGCTGCCTCTTTGCAAGTACCTTGAGGCCTAAAAGGAGGCAAGCGTGTTGATGACAAGCGGAGACTTTGGAGTCCTGCCGAGTCCTGGCCCTGTGGGGGCAACACCAGGTCGTGGTTCCGATCCCGGCCCGCAGCACACTCGCGGTGTGACCTTGGGTAGATGACTTCATCTCTCCGAGCCTGGTCCGTCCTAGTAAAATGGGCTGATGGCAGCATCAGCCGCAGAGGGTCTCGGTGAGGATGCAATGAGTCGTCGATATCTGCAGAGCACCGAGAAGGATCTTCCTGCAGTGAGCCTCTGTCCAGGCCTCTGAAGTAAAGGGACAGCCTCCTGTTCTGCCCAAAGGGAACCACATGAAGTCCCCGACTGCTCAGGGCGCCGGCAGGGCACTGTCTGCTCTAGCTTCGGGATCCAGAGTGTCACGAGCACGCAGGTGGTGGCCGTGAGCACGCAGGTGGTGGCCATGAGCCCTTGTTGGGTGACGGCTGTGGTGACTCCTTGCGCCGTGGCATGACGGCCCAGCGGTCTCCTGGCCACCCTCTCCACCTTAGGAAATGTGGCATGTCCGTCCATCCTACGAGCGCCCGTCCAGCGCCCGGCACCAGCTCCCCAGTGGGGCTCTCTGCATCCACTTCTGTTTTATTCAAGTCTCGTGGCTCAAATGTAGCCGCCTCCATGGGAGGGCTTTGGAAAGTCCAAACAGGGGGCATCCCCAGTGTCCTGGACCTGTGTCCCCCGAGCCAGCCTGGCGTTTGAAGCTCTCGGCCACATCCCTGCCTGCTCCCTTCTGGGCATGCCCAACCCACGCTGGCCCAAGGGCAGCCTGGTCTGGAAGGGCTGCCCCCACCAGGAACGCCCCCCCCAGGAATGCCCCCCCAGGAACGCCCCCCCCCCCAGCCGGGAACACCCCCACCACAGGAACACCCTGCCACATTCACCTTCTTTGGTTGTCACCAGGGACTGGCCACCGGCCCTGCAGCCAGGCGGTGTTGATGGCCCCCACAGCTGTGGCCACACGTGTGCCCAGCCATCAGCCTCCGGACAGGCGGGTGGCCAGGAGGAGCAGGGCGCCCTGTGCGAGGGAGGTCAGCGGCTGTGCGGAGGGGACAGCAGGTGCCGCGAGGCCTGTGGCTGTTTACTGGCTGCTTCCTCCCCCCACCACTCCCCACAGGCCCAGCAGAGGGGGACTGCTCCACTCCTGCCTGGAGCACCAGGGGCCGGTTAGAGCCCAGGCGCCACTGCCCTGAGATGTTGGGCAGGACCTCAGCACCTCTGAACCTCTCTGCCTCTCTGTAAAAGGAGCCGGCGGCAAGAGGATCAGCAGAGGTTTGTGCCGTATTTGGCATGTGATCGCTGTAGAAGTCATTTATCCGTCACCTTCCACAGAGTCCGCGTGGCCGTGGCCCTGGGTGGATCTCTCCGTCTGACGATGGTGCTGGGGCCCCGGGAATGGGGAACGGGCAGAAGCAGGGGCAGCGCCCACAGTTGACTAATAACACGACAGATACCAGCCCCCAACTGTGGCCTCACCTGTTTCATGCCCCAGGCTGTGGGTGAGACCCATAGGTGTTAACAGGAGGAGGGTGCAGGGCAGTCGTGGGTGAGACCCACAGGTGTTAACAGGAGGAGGGTGCGGGGCAGTCGTGGGTGAGACCCACAGGTGTCAGCAGGAGCAGGGTGCGGGGCAGTCGTGGGTGAGACCCACAGGTGTCAGCAGGAGCAGGGTGCGGGGCAGTCCGGTATTCAGCAGATTGAGGATGCCTACCTTGCTGCTCTAAGCCGCTGAGGCCCCCGAAGTCTCAGCCACGGATAGCAGGTCTTTCTGCCTTGCTTTGGCACTGGCTGACCTTGCCTTAAGATAAATGGGGAGGCCCTGGGGCTTACACCCGCACCCCCTGCAGAAAATGCCGCAGACAGGGTGCTGGCTTGGCCTCCTGGTGTCTCGGGCACGTCTGTGCTGCAGGCCCTTCGGTTAACCTTGTCTGCAGGTCCTGCTCTCTGGGTGGCACAAGGGGGCTCCGTGCCCCCCAGTCCCGGCCCACCAGCGCCTTGAGCGTTTTCCTGCCGTCTCCGGACACAGCTGGCCCTGGGTGGAGCTTCTCAGACTTCAGGGAGCCTCAGACCACGAGGGAATCTTGTTCAGCTGCAGGTTCTCATTAATCACGTGTCCTGGCGTTACCACCTGCCGGGGGCTGCGCCCAGCGCAGCCAGGCCTCGGCCATCCTGAAGTCAATGCCGCCTCTGTCTTGGCTGTCCTGTGAATCACCGGGGCAGAAGACGGTTAAAATAGAGGTTTTGCCGCCCTAAATGGCCTGCCTGCCGGCCTCTCCCTGGGCAGACACCGTCCCCCGCCCCCCAGCCCAGGGGAGCCTTCTAGCATCTGAAAGTGGAAGGGACTCTTAGAACCATGGCTTCCAGGGCCAGACCAGCAGCAGCGCCACCTGGGAACATGCCGGAAATGCAAATTCTGGGTCTCAGCCTGACCTGCTGAATCAGGACTGGGGGAAGAGGCTGAGGTCTGTCTGAACACCCCCCGGGGGATGCTCATGGAGGTGGGAGCAAGGCACCGCTGCCTCGGGGCACTGCCCACTCCCTGGTCTGTAGAAGCCTCAAGCCTGGAGTGGGGCACGGCTCTCGCAGGGCGGCCACACACCGAGGGCCCCAGCTCCAGCCTGGCCGGCCACCTCAGATGAGCTGGCCCAAGCCCGTCCTCCGGCCTGGTTCTGCCCCCGTGATCCTGCACGTGGGACGTCAGCCACCTGTCAGGACACCTGGGGCAGACTGCCCCAGCGCTGGGCGGACACTCAGTGGGGCCTTCGCTGGGAACCGTGGGGCTGCGGGCCCTGGCCTTTGCACTTAGCCTGCTTCACCGACTCTTTCTTTCTCCGTTGGTCGCAGCCCCAGTGGACAGGAAAGCTAAGGCCTCAGCGATGCCGGACTCCCCAGCGGAGGTGAAGACGCAGCCCCGGTCCACACCCCCCAGCATGCCGCCCCCACCGCCTGCCGCATCCCAGGGGGCCACACGCCCCCCCTCCTTCACGCCACACACACGTAAGTAGCCCCCACCTGGCAGCCGAGGGCCAGGTGTTTCAGGGGAGGCCCTTGTGTTGTTTGAAATTCTGAGCTTCCTGCCCGGAGCCAGCGGGCACCTTCTGTGAGCCCTGAGTGTGAGGAGCTCGTGTGGCCCAGAGCCCAGGCTTGGCCGGTTCAAATCCCAGCTTCCCTGCTTCCCACTGGGTAGCTCCGGGTCATGTCCTTGCCCTCCGGGGGGCCTGGGCTTCCTCTTCTGCAATGCAGGTCCTCCCAGGGCTGTGGTGGGGCCAGGTGAGTCCACACAGGCCTTTCACCAGGGCCGGCCATGGGTCAAAGCCGGCCGCTGTGCCTCAGGCTTCCTGCCTCGTCCGGCAGGCCTAGGAATGCCAGGCTCATCCAGAGAGAACGTGGAACTCGGATGGGGTCAGGGGCTTCCGCAGGGTCATACAGCAGGTCACCTGCGTACAGGCCCCGTGGAGGGACCACAGAGGCAGCTCTGGCCTTGGAGGGGCTCAGATCTCAGGAGCTCCACAGCCCGGCTGAGCACGGGGGCCAGGGTGGGGGCCTTGGCACAGGAGGCCGGAAGGGTGGGACCTCAAGAAGCTGTCAGGCCTTGTCTTGCTGGCCCTGGCAAGGGGTTGGCCGTGCTTGGCGCACAGAGCCGCCGATGGTGGGCCCTGGGAGGCTGTGGGGCAGGGAACAGCCAGTTCTCATCACAGTCACCCGCAGAGCCTTGGCTTTGAGGACAGACATTGGTGCTCTTTGGCCCAGTTGCTGGGCCGGCGGGGTGGCAGCGTCCCTGTCCCTCAAGGCTGGGGGCTCAGGAGTGCATCTCAGTGTCTGCAGGGGGGAGACTCCATGTACCACCTCCACATGCAGCGGCCAGAAAGCCCCGTACCTGGGGGACCCTCCCCAGGCTCTGAAACTCAAACGAAGCCCCTCTCTGGGCGGGGAGCCTGAGACTTCCGTCCTGCTTGCCCCGGGTCCCTGACGGGCCAGAAAGAGCTGCTTCCTCAGTCCCTTTACGTCACGACTGTCCTCAGAGCACCGGGTGGCTATAGGCCAGGCCTGGCTCCCTCCCTGGCTCTGCCGCTGAGGCTGGGGGCCTGCTCCGCCGAGGGCTTTGGCCATCATCTCCCCTCCATCTGGAGAGAGCACTGGCTGTGCGGTCAGGCAGCAGATTTGCGGCCCTGTTTGTAGGATGTTGGCTCCGAGTCAGCCTCCCGACTTGGTTGGGGAATGGGGTGGCCCAGCAATGGGGTGCCCCCAGGTGTGCCGCCCAGAGGCAGGTACAGCTGGAAATGTGCCCGGCACTCAGTAGGAGCCAAACAGCCTAACGGCTACTCCCTGCACCCGCGGGGCCGGCCCTGCCTCAGAGAGTCGGGACGCCGCACTCACGATTTTGCAGGTCCTGGGGGACGGCGGGCCCAGCGTGCAGGTCCTGGCTCTGCGGAGCTGGCCACGGTTTCTAGTGAGAGGCTGGCTGGGCTTTTTCTCACATGTCCTTGTCACACGGCGATGTGGCCGGGCTGGGATCACCCTTCCCTCTCTTCGGAAGAGCCCTCCGGTCTGGTACAAACCACGGGCCGTCTCTCTACCAGGCAGCTTGCGACCACACCGAGCCCACATAGGTAGAGGGAGACCGCTGCTGTGTTAAATTTGCAGTATACCCCAGCCCCGGGGGAGGAAACGCTCAGGACGGACCACGGGAGACCCGGCCATGGGCGCAGTGCCTAAAACACCCGCTCCACAGACAACCTCAGGCCCCA
Organism: Homo sapiens; assembly: GCF_000001405.40. NCBI lineage: Eukaryota > Metazoa > Chordata > Mammalia > Primates > Hominidae > Homo > Homo sapiens. The sequence goes on along the minus strand of NC_000016.10, from coordinate 88,899,752 downwards.
CTGTCAGGGACAAACACCGTGGGCTGAGCCTGGTTCCCCAGACCCTCAAGGGTGCGTCTCCCCCACCTGCTCTTCCCTGGGGACCAGCAGCCTCTGCTTGGAAGGTGCCGGTCTGATGCTCCTGGCTGGAGGTGGGTTGGGATCAGCAGAGCGTCGGGCTCTGCTTCTGGAGACCTGTGAACGGATGTGAGGGCAGCCGGCATGCCTGGGGCTGGGGTCCTTCCTGCTCCCTCCACTCCCAGCCCGCCTTGGGGTCATGTTTTTGGGGTGAGGTCCCAGCTGGTTTAAGGAGCGTGAAGGTTATGAAAGAGATAAGCAGGTGCTTTTTCTTTTCTAAGCCGATGCTTCAGTCCCACTGGGCTGTCAGCAGCATCAGTCTGAGGCTCTGGCCACCCCTGAGGTAGCCTCAGATTTATCCCCTAATCCACACAATTCCGTGAAAGCCAGGTGGTTGGCCGCACCCCTGCCCCTGGCTGGTGGGTGGTGGGTGCCCTTCAGGGGCCACAGCTCAGTTGCAGAGCCCTGCCGGGAGGCTCCTCCCCGGGGACTGGCCTCTGAGCCAAGCTGATGGGAGACTGAGTCTGAACGGAGACTTGAGGGCCGAAGTTTCTCTTGCCCAGTGACAGCCCTGGGCGCAAATTCATCTTGGAGTTGAAGCTGCGGTGCTGCTGTGGGGTGGGGGGTGGGGAGGGGGAAGGCATATAAGGAGCAGGGACCCAGACCAAGCTCCTCTAAAGCTGGGAGGACGCTTAAAGGGCTAAGGCTTTATCCTGCCCTTGATTACCCCCATGACAGAGAACTCACTACCCGTCTTTACTAGAGCCTGTCTTCCTGTGGCCTGCGCCACTGACTTCAGCTCGAACAAATTCAATCTTTCTTTCTTTTTTTATATAGTAGAGTTTGGGTCTCCCTACGTCGCCCAGGCTGGTCTTGAACTCCTGGGCTCAAGCAATCCTCCCGCCTCAGCCTCCCAAAGTGCTGGGATTACAGGCGTGAGCCACTGAGCCCAGCCGAATCTTTCTTCCTGTTTGGTGCTTCCTCCTCCAGTGCCGACCCAGGGCTTTGTTTCAGAGACTCCAAGCCGAGTCTCAGGTCGCTTTTAGGACACGCGGCTTCGGCCCAGGTCCCTGAGGATGGTGCTCATGGGGTCACAGGGGCCTTCTGGGAAGAGGACGATGAAAACAAGGGGCCCCGCCCCTGCTCATAGAGAAGCCGCGGTTCTTGTAAACTCCGGAACAGTGCTGCCAGAACGGCCCTTAGGGATCACCCACTCTCAGAGAAGGAAACTGAGGCTCGGAGAGGGGAGTGGCCTGGCCCCAGGTGGTGACAGAGCCCCGTCAGAAAATCACTCTGAGAAGCAGGAAACGGCGGCCCGGGCGTCCCTGAGGGCAGAGTCTCCTGCCCAGGCCCCTCCGAAAATCAAAAATCACTCTGAGAAGCAAGAAAAGGCGGCCCGGGTGCCCCTGAGGGCAGTCTCCTGCCCACGCCCCCACCAAAAATCACTCTGAGAAGTAGGAAAAGGTGGCCGCGGGCGCCCCTGAGGGCAGAGTCTCCTGCCCACGCCCCTCCTGACAGCGTGTTCTTCTTATTTTGCTTACAGATCGAGAGGACGGGCCTGCGACGCTGCCCCACGGCCGTTTTCATGGCTGCTTAAAATGGTCTATGGTCTGTCTCTGTAAGTAAAATAACAAAAACCGCAGGCCTCCCCAGAGGTCTTCACCGCAGCATCCTCAGCTGGCCCAACACTGCTGCCCTGGGGGCGCTCAGCTCTCCTCCCCGGCCTCCGCACCCTCAGCATTGCCTCTGTTGTGTTGGTCTTGCCTCCTTAGGGAGAAGAGGGCGCAGGAGGGCAGAGCCGCCGGGTCGCTGCATCCCACAGACCCTCCGCTCCAAGCTGCGGGGCCTTAGGCAGGAGCAGAGCCTCTCTGAGCTCTCCTTCCCCAGCAGCAAAACATGGCCAATGGGGCTGACTGCGAGTGCCGAGGGGAGGGGCGAGACACTGTCCCTGGCCAGCCTGTAGCTCAGCTATTGCTAGGGCAGACCCCACCTACCTGGAGTCCCAGCTGCAACTGTTCCTGCCAGGGTGACCTTGGCCAGGTACCACCCCCCGTGCCTCAGTTTCCCCACCTGTAAAATGGAAGTCATCATGGCCCCTAGTGCCAATGGTGATCTCCAGGAGCCGTCAGATGGTGGGGCCGGGCACATGCTGAGAGCTCAGCAGACTTGAGTCACCAGCAGACGTTTCTGTCAACGTGCGTGGCCCATGGCGGGCGTTCAGGGAGCATGGGCTCTTACCAGGTGGTGGTTATAGTTTTTGTCAACCACTGAGTGCAGCCATGCTTGAGCCCATCAGACAGACTCCGGTCCATCACTACCAGCCAGCCTGGCAGCATGGCCCAGGTGTGGCTGTCGTGGCACTCCCGGCTCTAAGAACGAGGGCAGCAGAACAACTGTGCGTTGTTTCTGTTGCACAGGGCTGTCCTTTTCACAGCCATTATTCTGTGATGGGCCTGGCCACGCACTCGCGCCTGGCGTGCAGCTCCTGGACAGTGGCTCTTGTCATCCACTCTGTGATCTTATGGATGGCAAAGTTGGTGAATCCCAGATCCCGGAGCCCCCACAGCAAGGAGCAGGGGTGACAGGAGGGGCTGCGTTAGGGTGCCTCTGTCGCATCTGACCCCCCCACCAAGGCTCTGAGGCTGGGGGAGCCGCGGGGGTGCTCGCGTGTGCCCCCAATCCTCAGCTGGGGACACGTGTGCGGTCTAACTTAGGAACACACCTGTCGTGGGAATGAAAGCGCTTGTGCCGGGGTTATTTTTGGCGTCTCTTTAGCTGCTGAGACTGCCCAGCAGCGCGGGAGGGAGTGCGCGGGCAGGCGAGGGCGAGCAGGCCGCCGGAAGGACCAGGCACCCGGGGCAAGGCTGGTAAGCGCACCTAAGGGAGGGCCAGGCCCAGGCTGGCCGGGGCGGTGGGCAGGGGCCCCGGCGTGCACTGTGGCGCGTCTGAGAAGCTGCTGGAAGGTCCACAGTCCTGACGACAGTCCCTCGTGTTCTGGAGAAACCAGCCTCCCGCTGCAGTGAGGTCTCCCATGGTGACGGGCCATCTCCTGGCCTGGCTGGGTGACCGCAAGTGGCTATCCTCAGTCTTGACGGGGTGTGTGTGTCACAGTCCACCGTGTGGCCACATGGAGCTCACCATTGAGAGGGAAACTCGGCAGCGCGGTGGGGTCCTCCGGACAGAGGCTCAGAAGGCGAGAGACCAGGGGCTCGGTGCATCCTGTGTCAGCGTCCACTGTCCCCCCAGAAGAGGGAAAGCCCCAGAATACGACGCCGTTATCGGTGCCGCGCGCTCCAGAGGGCCGGTGCGTCCATCCTGAGCCCAGGAAGGCGCTGCTAAGATCGTTCAAGCCAGGGGCGCAGACAGGCTACCCCCTGTGCAGGTTGCCCGGTTGAGGGGAGCAGCCGCTCAGAACAGCGTGTGGAGGTTCGCGGCCCCAGCAACAGAGATGTCTCAATCCTGCAGCCCCCCCGTAGGGAAAGTCTGAGGCCACGCGTGCACTCAAGGTTTTGTGCCATATCTGACCTGCGATTAGTGGTTTCCAGAATTCCACTAGGTGTGGGGGCTGTTTATTGCCAACAGCCTCACACAACACCCGACCCATAAAACCAGTCAGGATGGAGCAACCCTGGGGGGCTGACTTGGGCAGCGCAGGAGAGGCTGGGGAAGCCCAGGTCAGGCCTGAGCGACTCTGGCTGGGGACACACAGTACAAAGGAGGTCACTGCCATGCTGTCCTCTGGTCCCTGGAGCCCCACTTGGAACTCCAGGATGGGTTGGGAGCCATTTGCAAATGAAGAAACTGAGGCTAGGCGCCGAGTCTGACTCACAGGGCACGTCTGGGCCTGGCGGCCGGTCCTCACTCCTAACCAGGGCAGCTTCCCCCAGCCCTCGAGGGCAGGGCCGTGTCTGTCTGGACTTCCTCACCACGCTGGTGTGTCTGAGGGCCTCTGTAGCATCCCCCGCCCTCCTGGCCTCCCACAGCCCCTGCAGTGGGTATCTGTGAGGCCCAGGCTGGAGTGAGAGCAGAGTGAGCGCTGGGCCCCGGGGGAGGCAGTCGTGGGCACACCTGTTCCCCCCGCTCCACCAAGAACATCCAGAGCACAGGGCCGGCCTCCCCCCTGTGCCACTGTGCCCAGCGCTGTTTGCTCGGTGTGTGGGGCCTGCCGGGGACGGGAGGCAATCTGGGGGAGCCGGGCTGCCCTGCTGTGTGTCTTCGGTTCCTCGGAGCCCATTTGCCGCATGGGATGTGTGTGATAACCGCGCAGCCTGTGTGCAGGTGTAGAGCCCAGCCCGGGCCACAGCACAGCTTCCTGACCCGGGCGCACTTCGCAGGTGCCACTAGACCACGGGTCGGGAAGGTGGGAGCCTCAGGCGGCTTCTGGGAAGGCGGAGTGGAGGAAGCTGATGGCGGCCACCTAAAGGTTACTGGAGGGACACTTAGAGAGGGCCTGACCCCTCAGAAGGGCCTTGTTGGAGGTACGGGCTGGTCAGTGCCCTCTGGAGGGTGCGGCCCCTTCCAGTCCAGGCCTGCAGGAGCGGGTAGAAAGGGAGGCCTGGCCTAGCCGGAGCCCCAGCTGTGGGGACGCAGCCCAGAAAGGGGGGCCGGCATGTAGGTCCCCACGTCCCATGTTCCCTCCCGTCCAGACAGAGGCCACAACACTCAGCAGGGGTCACCTCCCAGGGGCCAGGTCAGGATGGGCAGGGCTGGCCTGATCTGAAGGGTACACCAAGACCCCCCACCATCCAGGGCACAGGAAGGAAACAGCTGGTGCCTGCCGGCTGCCCAGGGGGAGCCGCTGCACCAGCCCAGCCCAGGGGCGTCTCCATCCTGTAGAAAGGGTTTTCCCCTCCTCCTCGGCGCACACAGGCCCCGCCAGGTCTCAGCCACAGGTGCGAACACACGGCTGGGGCCTCGGAGGAATTCGGCCCTGAGGGAGCAGGTGGCTCTGAGCTGCCCCCCACCCGTAGACCCACACTCTCAGCACGGGTGAGGGGTGGATCCCCTGGAGAGGGGCACTTGGGGCCACAGTGGAGCAAGAGAGACGAGCGTGTACATCATAGCCGTGCATGTGTGTGTGCATGTGTGTACATTGTGTGCATGTGTATATGTATGCATGTGTGTGTGCATGTGTGTGTGCATGTGTGTACATTGTGTGCATGTGTATATGTATGCATGTGTGTGTGCATGTGTGTGTGCATGTGTGTACATTGTGTGCATGTGTATATGTATGCATGTGTGCGTGCATGTGTGTACATTGTGTGCATGTGTATATGTATGCATGTGTGTGTGCATGTGTGTGTGCATGTGTGTACATTGTGTGCATGTGTATATGTATGCATGTGTGTGTGCATGTGTGCGTGCATGTGTGTACATTGTGTGCATGTGTATATGTATGCATGTGTGTGTGCATGTGTGCGTGCATGTGTGTACATTGTGTGCATGTGTATATGTATGCATGTGTGTGTGCATGTGTGCGTGCATGTGTGTACATTGTGTGCATGTGTATATGTATGCATGTGTGTGTGCATGTGTGCGTGCATGTGTGTAAGGGTGGTGGGGGGTGAGTGGAGGCAGGGAAATGGAGGGCTCGCTCTGAGGGCAGGGGAGTTGGTACCCTTTGTAGGGAGCGTGTCCTTCTGCAGGAGGCGGGAGCCAGCCGTGAGTGTGTGCGGGGCTTCAGTCCTCCTGACAGAAGGAGCTGGCCAGGACTTCAGGCCTCCCAGAGGCATCCAGTCCCCCTCCCCTGTCAGCAAGGGACTTGGGAGCCCTGTGACCTCTGACCTGCCTTCAGAGCCTGGAGGCCGCCCCTCAGGCTCCTGAGGCCAAGGGCACGGGGTGCGGGTGTCCCAGGCGCAGGAGGGGTGCGCTGGCCGCCTTGCAAGAGGCTTGGCCTTAGCTCTGTCACCTGAGAAAAGGGGTGAGGCCCGGCCCTGGGACTTTCCATAGCAGCCCCATGTCTGCCAGGCCCCTGGAACACTGACCCCAATAGCAGGGCCAGCCAGGCAGTCACGTCTCAGTGGCCAACAGGCGGCCCTGCAGCGCGCTCATCAGCTGTTCCTTATGTCACCTGCTTGTCCTCAACATGCACTGGCCTGTGTGCACGGGCATCTGCGTGTCCAGCCGCCAGGGGCAGGAACCCACCCAGTGTGTCCTTGGGTGTCCCAGCTCCTCTGCCCCCTGGAACCCCATTAGCAGGCGTTGGGGCTGTGTGCAAATGAAGGCATTGCTCATGGCTGGGAGTCACCTGTCTGGGACATTGCTCATGGCTGGGAGTCACCTGTCTGGGACATTGCTCAGGGCTGGGAGACACTTGTAGGAGGGACATTGCTCTGCTGGAAAGCACCTGCAGCGCATATTGCTCAGGGCTGGGAGGCACCTGTGTGTCGGGGGGGGCACATTGCTCAGGGCTGGGAGGCGCCTGTGTGTGGGGAGGCACATTGCTCAGGGCTGGGAGGCGCCTGTGTGTGGGGAGGCACATTGCTCAGGGCTGGGAGGCACCTGTTGTGGGGACATTGCTCAGGGCTGGGAGATGCCTGATTGGGGGTGGGGGTATTGCTTGGGAACATCATGCCAGAGGTGATGGTAGCTGGCCTTTCGGGGGATGAGCGACTTCTCATTTTCCAAGTCTCCTGTGCCTCCAGAAAGTGGGAAGTGAGCCATCAAGCCCCCGACGTGTGGAGAAGCCCCTTGCTCCCTGTTCACAGTGAAAACCTGAGCCAGCCTGGTAGGGTTGGTGTCTCCCAGGCCAGGCGTAGGGGCCGCACCCCTGCTGGGTGTGAAGGGCCTGACTTCAGCCCCAGAGCAAGTCCCAAGAGTGGTGCCAGGCAGGAGAAGCCACACTCAGAACGCAGTCATTCCACGGCCACCACCATTGTGGGTGCCATCCCAGCCCTTACCCATTGGGGACCTGGGGCAAAGAGGCTTCACCTCCCTGGGAATCCATTTCCAGGTCTGTAAGGGGGTGTGTGTGACCTCTCAGAGCAGGGCCGGAAGGACAGATGGTCAGCATGCTAAGGGCCAGCTCAGCTGCCCTGGGCGGGCCCAGGGCTCCTGCTGTCATCCTCAGCGCTACTGTCCTTGTGTCTCATCATTGTTGCCGTCACTTTTGACATTGTCACCTTAGTCGCTGCTTCCCTCACTGTCGCCGCCGTCTGGGTTGTGTTGTCACCATCACCTTTGTGTCCTCATGTCCGCTTCCCTCCTGCAGTGATGAACGGCAGCAGCCACTCACCAACAGCCATCAATGGTGCACCGTGCACACCCAACGGCTTCAGCAATGGCCCGGCCACCTCGTCCACAGCCTCCTTGTCCACACAGCACCTGCCCCCAGCCTGCGGGGCCCGGCAGCTCAGCAAGCTCAAGCGCTTCCTCACCACACTGCAGCAGTTTGGCAGCGACATCTCCCCAGAGATTGGGGAGCGCGTGCGCACACTGGTGCTGGGCCTGGTGGTGAGTTGGGCAGGGACAGCCGGGGCCTTGGGACATGCATATTCCCTCCGTTTAATGAGGTTGCAGCCACGGCCACTCCTTACATGGGCTCCACGCTGACAACCGGGCGTGGACCCGCTCCCACGATGCCACCTGCACCCTCTCAGGCCGTGCCCAGCTCCTGGGCTGCCTGCCTGCCTCCAACACGGAAGCCTCCTCCTCAGGCATGGGTGGGTCGGCGCTGGCTCACATGCCGAGCGGTGCTGATGTGAGGTGGGTTTTCTCCCCTGCAGAACTCGACATTGACGATCGAGGAGTTTCATTCCAAGCTTCAGGAGGCCACCAACTTCCCTCTGCGGCCGTTTGTCATTCCCTTCCTGAAGGTAATGCGAAACCCGTCCCCCGTGCTGCGGGAGCCTCCCTAGAAGGCCCCTTAATCCCACTCCTTGCCAGCGTGGACAGCGGTGGACAGGCGGGAAGGGGCTTAAGTGGCCAGATAGGCAGGTGGATGAAGAGGTGTGAGGCATCGATCTTGGCCAACCTGGGACCCTGTGGTACCCTAGGGGAGCACTGCTGACTAGTCAGGGTTGACTCCTACTAGTTAAGGCCTGAAAATTAGTTGCCAGACCGGATGATTATCAGCCCTTAAATCCAGCACAGGACAGAGCTGTCCGGTTCGCCTCTGGTTGCCGTTGGCCGAATGTGCTCGCTCACTCCACGGGTGATTTTTGAGCACTGACGACGTGCCAGTGTGGGGGCAAGGCTCGGGGATAGGGCCCAGGACATGCAGCAGGTCCCTCCTGGAGCCAGCACCCTGGGGTGGGAAGGCGTTCGGTCCACAGCCACTCTCAAATCTGCAGCTGCACGTGGTGGAGAAGTATTCCGAAAGTCCTTTGCTTGGAGGCGTGTTGGTGAGGGCTGAGGATGAGGGCGGAGCTAGGTGCAGAGCCAGCGCAGGGTTTTCCAGACAGCAGTAACTGCACGTGCAGAGGCCCTGAGGTATGGGGCGCCCGCTGTGCTTGAGGAACAGCAGAGGGGTCAGTGTGACTGGAACAGAATACGTGGGGTGGAGAGAGCAGAGGTGAGGGCGGGAGGTGAGGGCGGTAGACAGGCGGGAAGGGGCTTCTGTGGCTGCGCAGGCCGATGGATGAAGAGGTGTCAGGTGAAAGCAGGTCAGATGGTCACACCCAGATCAACCGTGGACCAGGGTGGCAGCACGCGGGGCTTGTCAGCTTTGCAGGCTCTCGGCCCGGCCCAAACCTGCTGAATCAGAGCCTGCATTTTTAAAGATGCCAGTCTGAGGAACGGGGATTGCTTGAGGCCAGGAGTTCAAGACCAGCCTGGGCAACACAGCTAGACCCCATCTCTACAAAAAATATAAAAATTAGCTGAGCGTTGTATGCACCTATGATCCCAGCTACCCGGGAGGCTGAGGTGGGAGGATTGCTTGAATCCAGGAGGTCGAGACTGCAGTGAGCTGTGATCACGCCACTGCACTCCAGCCTGGGCGACAGAGCAACACCCTGTCTCTGAACGAATGAATGAATGAATGAATGAATGAAGCCAGTGATTCCCATGGGAGAGTGATTCCCACGCACACACAGACGGGACGGGCACGGGAGTGCCGTGGAGTCAGACTGCCATCTCTGCGGGTCTCCATTTCCCCAAGACGGCTGCACATCTCTAGCAGGAGCTGAGGAAAGGTTCCCCAAATGTGTCTGACCATGTGACCTTCTCTGCCGAGCACGTGTTGGGGTCAGGGTTCCGTGGAGCTTAGTTGGGAGCTGCCAGCCTGGCCACACCTTCGGGCCCAGCCTGAGCACTGCCCGTACTGCTGTGGGCTCCATCTCTGCTGGGCCAGGCCTCCCCTCGGGGGTCCAGAGGACAGACCAGACCAGATGCTCCCTGGCTTGAGCCCGAGCCTGCCACTTAGCAGCTGTTGGCCCCTGGGTGAGGCCAGTTCCTCTGTGCTTCGGTTTCTGTATCTGCAAAATGGAATCATCCTCAGGCTGTTGAGGAGACAGCGTGGAGGGACACGCGGAAAGAACGGGGCCTCACTCCCGGGCTCAGGGGAATCTTCCACCTCAGCCTCCCAGGTAGCGGGGACTACAGGGAGGTGAGGCATGTTCTAGATTCACGCGGGGCATCGTCCAGGGATTTGAAACGTCCCCTGGAGGAGGAGGAATCGCGGGGCATCGTCCAGGGATTTGAAACGTCCCCTGGAGGAGGAGGAATCGCGGGGCATCGTCCAGGGATTTGAAACGTCCCCTGGAGGAGGAGGAATCACGGGGCGTCGTCCCTGGAGGAGGAGGAATCGCACGGCGTCGTCCCTGGAGGAGGAGGAATCGCGGGGCGTCGTCCCTGAAGGAGGAGGAATCGCGGGGCGTCGTCCAGGGATTTGAAGTGTCCCTGGAGGAGGAGGAATCGCGGGGCATCGTCCAGGGATTTGAAGTGTCCCTGGAGGAGGAGGAATCGCGTGGCGTCGTCCCTGGAGGAGGAGGAATCGCGGGGCGTCGTCCAGGGATTTGAAGTGTCCCTGGAGGAGGAGGAATCGCGGGGTGTCGTCCCTGGAGGAGGAGGAGTGCTTCAGGAAGGTCTCTCACAGACCTGTTGGCCTCTGTCAAGGTGTAGTGTAGGCACTGCCATGTTCCTGATTAACAGGTGGGGAAACTGAGGCTCTGGGTTCCCCCCAGGTAGTGGAGAGAGGGCGCCAGGGCTCAAACCTAGGTCTGTCAAATTCCAAACGCCCTGGTCGTCCCAGGGCACTTACAGGGTCAGACCCTCATTCCCCTCAGTCCCTCCCCAAGGGGACCCCACATCACACCCACCTCTGTTCCCACCCTCGCTCCCTCCCTCCCGCCCCTGCCTCCTCTGCTTTTTCCTGCCCTCCCTCCCTCCGCTGCCCCAGTCCTCCCTCCCTCCCACCACCCCCTCCTTTCCTCCTGCCCTCCCTCCTCTATCGCTCCATCCCTCCTCCCGCCTTCCTCCGCCCCCTCCCACGCCCTGCTGTGCTCATGCTCCCAGATGGTGACAAAAGAGAAGCTTCTGGAGTGGCAGGAGCCTGGGCCCATCTGGCGTCGTTTGCAGTTCGTTAGCGGCCCTTCCCTTCCCTTCTTTTAACTTGCTGCGGACTCCACCCCTCCCAGTCTTTGGGGACACAGTGCGCCTGCTTATTACCAACAGATGCCCCCAGCCTCAGCCACCCTTGCTTAACTGAGGATCAGGGTCAGGCAGAGAAACGCCGCAGCATCCCCACCCTTGCCCCCACCAGGCCTACGGCCCCTGTCCATGACGTCTGGTCAGGCCCTGGTGTCCCCCGGCCACGCCCCAGCAGGTGCCGCCCGCGGCCCGGCTCTCGTGAGGGCCGTGTCCACCTCAGTCTCCCCTTGGTACACAGGGGATCCCACGGCCTGTGTGGGGTAGCTGGAGCTCAGGGCCAGCCCACCTCGTGCCCCCACCCGGGGCCCGGGGCCAGTGGGACATGAAGTCTGTTCACCTCTCTGACATGGCGCTTCTAGGGGGAGGCCAGGAGGATTCAAAAATAAAAAATAAAGATCTTGCGGCCAGTCCTGCTTCCAGGTCTTGTGGCTCAGATACAAGCCAGAACCCTGGCCCTACTGTCACTGTCCCACCCAGGGAGCAGCCCCCACCCCACCCCTCCCACCCACCCCACCCCACCCCACCCCCTCCCACCCCACCCCACCCCTACCCCACCCCCACCCCACCCCTCCCCCACCCACACCCTTCCCCCACCCCACCCCTCCCCAACCCCACCCGCACCCCCCCAACCCCACCCACACCCCTGCAGGGCCGCAGCCCCTTCAGACACAGAGTGCAGTGGGGGAGTCCGACCTTCCCAGGCCAGACAGGAGGTGCCGAGTGGGAGTGACCCCCAGCCAGTCCCCTTGGGCCTCGGTGTTCCTGACTGTGGCCTGGGCTGGGGGAGGGGTAGCACCTTCCCAAGACATCCACAGCCCGCCAGGCCCAGTCTGGGGTACTCTCACGCAGTCCTTGAAGACATCATCCTAGAAACGGCAGGAATCGTGGCTGAGGGGCCGGAGAGAGTGGGGGCCTGCTTGGCTGGAACCCCAGCCCTGGCTTGGGCCCTCTCTCTCGTAGTTGGGGTGGTGAATCTCCCTCACGGGGTGGTGGGAAAGGACTGAGCTGATTCACCCGGAGCTCCCCGGAGTCTGTCTCGGCCAGAGGCTCCACAGCGCTAGTTTGCAGATACAGCAAGGGTCAGAGAGGTTAAATGACCAGCCCAAGGCCACAGCCCCTCTATGGCAGAGCCCACGGTCAGGGAGGCTTTAGCTGGGTGCTTGGCAGAGCAGCGGAGTCCGCGAAAGCCCTTGTAGCTCAACTAGTGCCTCAGCCACCGCCGCCGTCATTGCAAACACCAGTTCCCCAGCCTGAGCGCCCATCTGTGCAGAGGGCAGCTTCAGAAGTTCTGCAGGCAGAACTTCCGTTCAGTGGTGGAGTTGGGGCATTTTGACCAGCTCAGTGTGTGTAGCATTTTAGTGGTGACACCTCCCCGGGTGCCCTGGGCTCCTGGGGACAGAGTGGGGACACTGCCTTGAAGGAGGCACTGCCGGAGGTTCCCACAGTCCCCACCCCATTCCGCAGGCCTTGAGGAAACATTCCCTGCTTGCCGAGGGCTGCTGTGCATCCGGCCCCTACGCTGATGCTGCCCAGTCCTGGGTTCTCTGCACCCTTTCCTGAGCCTGCCCCACACGCAGCCCAAGGGTCAGGCCTTCCAGAAGCTGGGGGATGCAGCCCCACCCACCGCCCCGGCTCCCAGCTGGCCTCAGCTGGCCCCAGCCAGCCAGGGATCCAGATGTTCTCCCCGCCCTAACAGCGACCAGCCGGTTCCCGAACTGACCAAGAGGAGGCCCCTGGGGAGGGGCTGATGAGGGAGGGAGGATGTTTGGCTCCTCAGACCTCCCGGGACCTCGTTTCCCAGCTCATGCTCCTGATGTCCTCAACAGATGGCCGGTTGGCCCCTGTTCAGCCATCCAAAGAGAAAAACAGGCCGGCAGCCGGCACTGCTCGAGGGCCTGGTGGATGCACTCGTGGGGAATGGGGAGGCGCTGGCAGGAGAAGGCGGCGTGGCAGCTTTGAAACGCATGAGAAAGTTGGGGAATTGGATTTATTTACAAATGCTTAGAACCGCTGGCTCTCCCAAGTGGCCTGCTGCTGGGCCCTGGTCCAGCATGCTCAGGGTCCAGCACGCCTGTCCGCCCTCCCGCGGCAGCTCTGGGAAGACTTTGGGGAAGGCACCCGAGGAGCCCGGCTTGCGGCCCAGCAGTGCCAGCCTGGAGCCAAGGACGAGGCGGCGGGCGCCGCGGGTACACACAGGCGTCAAAGGCAGGGTCTGCATACGGATCCCGTACACCGGGCCGTCCTTCGGCCGCATGCTGCGGAGTCTTTACCCGCACACGTGGGTCTTGAGGCCGTCCTCACCAAGGCTGGAGGATCACTTGAGCAGCCACAGAACGTGGGTGTCCACGTCCTAGGTCCACGCTCCATCAAGGCCAAGGCTGGAAACCAGCGGGAAGGGAAGGGGAAGCTGAACCTCAGGGCTTCCCATCAGGGCTGGAGCAGACACACTGCAGGCAATCCCAGCTGGGTTTCACTCCCAGCTCCCTCGTGTGAGCCGCCTGTAGGCCCAGGGCTGCCTCCCCCTCTCTGAGCCTGCATTTCCCCAGCTGTGTTGGGTCATGTGGTGCCTGCTGGGCAGGGCGGGTGCAGGCGGGAAGACCAACCATGATCTGCTGCCCCTTCGTCCTCTCGCCTTCTCCAGACCACGCCATGGGAGGGAGCTGGGTGCGGTGGGAAAGCCCCACCCTGGGAGTCCAGGATCTGGGCTCAAGTCCCACATGCCCCACATCGCCGTGTGGCCCAGGTGAGGCACTCCTGCGAAGCTCTGTGCCCACCCTCCCACGCCACCCTCCCATGGCACTGCTAGGAAGGAACTTGAGGCCCAGAGAGGTCGAGCACCTTGACCTTTGAGGCCCGAGGTCAAGTTGAGCTTTCGGCCACCCAGCCCAGGCCCCCTCTGCTCGGACCTGAGCAGGGCTGTGCACCCCTGCATGCTACCCAGGCCCTCCTTCCCCACCCCACAGGCAAACCTGCCCTTGCTGCAGCGGGAGCTCCTGCACTGTGCACGCCTGGCCAAGCAGACGCCCGCCCAGTACTTGGCCCAGCATGAGCAGCTCCTGCTGGACGCCAGCGCCTCCTCCCCCATCGACTCCTCAGAGCTGCTACTGGAAGTCAACGAGAACGGCAAGAGGAGGACGCCCGACAGGTACCTGTGGGCTCCGGGGATCTGGGCTGGGGGTGCCGTGGACACGCGGCTCACCCTGCTCCCCTCTGGGTAAGAGAGGGAACCTCCTCTGGGGCTGCAGCCAGCCCGGCCGGCTCTCTCGGGCTGAGGGAGCGTGGCGAGGTGTACTAGGGCCAGCAGGCTTGGTGGCTGCACGGGCGGACACCCCAGTGGGCTGCAGACTCAGATGCTCCGGGGAGCCTAGGAGGACAGGGAGGAGGCTGGTGGGAGGACGGCTCTCCCCTGTGTGCCGGGCATGGACTCCGAGCGTCCGGGGTCCATGGTCCCCAGGTGCCTGGGCTGGGCCCCCTCTGCTGCCCCAGACGCTCTTGTGCTGCTGCTGCCCAAGGGGCAGGTGGTCTCCAGTTACGGAAGCCTGGTGTATCCCTCTCCTCGTTCCCAGAGCAGCGAGTCCGGCTCTTTGACCACCAGGCCCCAGGATGCCATGCAGCTGGAGCAGGGGTTGAGGCTGGCATGGGCCCCGGCAGAGGGGCAGAGAGTGGGGGCGCCGGGCTGGGCTTCCCGGGGCTGGTGTTTTGCTCCGTGTTTCTGTCTCGCCCTTACGTGTCCTCTTTCTCTCTGCCCTTGCCTGTCTGCCTCTCACCCCACCTGCACCTCTGTCCCCGGTTCATCCTATGTCCACTGCCCTCGCCCCACCTGCTCTTGGGGCTAGGACCAAAGAGAACGGGTCAGACCGCGACCCGCTGCACCCCGAGCACCTCAGCAAACGGCCATGCACCCTGAACCCTGCCCAGCGCTACAGCCCCAGCAACGGGCCACCGCAGCCCACACCGCCGCCGCACTACCGCCTGGAGGACATAGCCATGGCCCACCACTTCCGAGATGCCTACCGCCACCCAGACCCCCGGGAGCTACGAGAGCGCCATCGGCCGCTTGGTGAGCAGCCCGGTGGGGCGGGAGCGTGGACGCGTGTTACAGGAGCACACATGCGCCCACATGTACACCTGAGCATGTGGGCACAGGGCACCACGGGCAGCTGTGTGCACCTGAGCTCGGGAGACCCCTTCCCCCTGCCTGGCATTCCCCCTGGAGCAGAGCGGTGGCTGCAGAGGGGCCTGTCCTGGGCCCTGAACCCACCTCTCCCCCCGGGGTGGGCGGCCTCGGGCCTGGAACTGCCCACGTGGTTCTCATCCGAGCTTGGCGATTCCCACAGTCCACCCACAGGTGAGTCACGTGGCTCTCTGCTTCTCAGTTTCCTCCTCTGTCACCTGGGCCAGACGAGAGTCCCAACTCTCAGAGTCCAAGGCCTGGGGGAGTTAATGCAGGGCCCAGCAAGGGCTGCCGTGAGGCCTGGCTGGTATCTAGAGCAGGAGAGGGGCACAGAGTCTCTGCGTGAGGCCAGGCTGGTGTGGATAACAGAGAGGTGGGCACGGAGTCTCGGTGCATTTTATCCTTCACTCGTTTCTGAGCCCGTCAGTGGGGTGGCGTCAGCACCCCCATACCACAGATGAGGAGACTGAGGCCTGAGAGCACACATAATGCACCCACAGTCTCACAGCCCAGCCTGCCTGACGTTTTGACGGCCTCTGTGCTGAGAACCCAGAGATGGTCAGGCCCAGCCCCACCCCAGGAGCCCCCCCAGGACAGGCTGCAGGGAGGCCTCCAGTCTGCCATGCTGAGACAGAGGCCCAGGGCCCGGTGGGGGCCCAGCAGCAGGGTCAGCAGAGGCCTTGCCCTACACAAGGCCATCTCCCAGCCCCCACCTTGCGGAGGGTTCCAGGGCCCAGGCAGCAGGTGACGGCGTCTGGCATGCTGCAGCCGGGTCAGGCAGGTGCTGACTCCCACCCGATTCTGCTAATACAGAAATAAACGCCAGCTGTCGGGCACGTCTCAGCCACTATTTTGGTTGGGGTGTTGCTGCCAGCTGCAGCTTCACAGGCGGCAGAGCAGGCTGGTGACTGAGCTGTGGCTGCCACTTCCCCACCTCCTCTGCAATTTGGGGGAGCCATTTCAGGTTCGGAGGCTAGGAGATCTTTAGGGGCTGAAAAGGGCCCCAAGAGGGAGACCTCAGCCCCAGAAGCGTGGGCAGTGGCCAAATGCAGAAAACAGTGGGGCCTGGAAGCCTCTGATGTCTCCAGAAGTCGTGGGCGCAGCTACCACGAAAGAGTAAGCCACTGCCGGGCGTCACTCACGTCTCCCGTGGGCACAGCCACCGCAGAAGAGTTGGCCACTGCCGGGCATCACTCACGTCTCCCGTGGGCGCAGCCACCGTGGAAGTCGGCCACTGCCGGGGTCACTCACGTCTCCCGTGGGCGCAGCCACCGCAGAAGAGTCGGCCACTGCCGGGCGTCACTCACGTCTCCCATGGGCACAGCCACGGCGGAAGAGTCGGCCACTGCCGGGCGTCACTCACGTCTTAGTTTCTGGTGACCTGTGGGAGTGGCCTCTGCGGCTTCAGTCCTGGAGCCTGTCAAAAGGGAAAAACCTTAGACACGCTGTATTGAACAGAGTTTAACTGAGCAGAGAACAACCCCGAATAGGATGGGCCTCAGAGCCAGCGTGTTCCGAGAGCCCTGGCCTCGGCTTGGCTGGCGGTGTTCACAGGCAGAGACAGGAGGCGGGTGCCGAGGCCACGTGGTTGGGTGGTGTTTGGCGTGGCTTCATCGGAGTCATGGGCGCCTGCGGGTGACCGCAGAGGGCTGCCGCGAATGACTGAGACCAGCTCCTCCCAGTGAGGTTACCCATTGATTCACGGACTAAGGCAGGTCCAGGTCATGGTGTGACTTGGCACTGAGGCATCCTCAGGCCACGCTTAGTCTAACAAAGCCTTCCCGGCCAGTGGCTGAGGACACTGCTCCAGCTCCAGCCAGCCTCGGTCCACACCCCACCCCCACCGCTCCCTGCCTGGTGACCACAGGCAAACACATCCTCTTAACCAGCCTCAGTTTCCTCAGCTGCAGAATGGGACTGAGACTGAACCCTCCCTTGGAGGCGTGTGCCGTGTTGCAGGGGAAGAGCAGTCGGCCCAGAGCCCCAGGCGGCTCAGTAACCCAGGCATCCTCCACGGTCACCAAGTCAACCAGCCCTTCGGTTACCCTGTCCATCGTCCCCAGCGGGCACAGCCCACGGGTGGGGCCTGGGAGCAGAGGGCGGGGTCTGGGAGAATAGGGCAGAGACTGGCTGTGGGTGGGACCTAAGCGTGCACCTCCCCCATCCACAGTGGTGCCTGGGTCCCGGCAGGAAGAAGTGATCGACCACAAGCTCACAGAGCGTGAGTGGGCAGAAGAGTGGAAGCACCTCAACAACGTGAGTGTCCACACACAGCCACGCCCACACAGCCATGCCCAGGCGCACAGCCACGCACACACACAGCCACGCACACACAGCCATGCACACACAGCCACGCCCACAGCCATGCCCACACACAGCCACACCCATGCACACAGCCATGCCCACACAAGCCACGCCCACACAGCCACAGCCACGCCCGTGCAGTCACACACAGCCACCCCCACGCACACAGCCACGCCCACGCACACAGCCACACCCACACACAGCCATACACACACAGCCACACCCACACACACAGCCATACCCATGCACACAACCCCCCCATGTACACAGCCACACCCACGCACAGCCATGCCCACACACAGCTACACCCACACAGCCATGTCCCCACACAGCCACACCTGTATGCCTATGCATAAACACGGCCATGGCTCTGCCCCATGGGGCCTGGGGCTGCTGGAGACAGCAGGGCTGTGTGGGCGCCCCTGAGCTCAGTGCCCTCCTGTGTGGCCTGCGCCGTCCCTGCGCAGCGGCTGGGTCCTTCACCTGAGCCCCCCTCCTCCCAGCTGTCAGCGCAGCCCAGGCATCTCGAGAGGCCCAGGGAGGAGGATTCCTAAAACCCTCATGGCGGGCCTTGCTTCCCTCCACTTACTTTCTGCTCACTGGCTCTTCCCAGAGTCTATCCTGAGTCTTGCAAGAAGTGTGGGCAAAAGCAGTGCCGAGGCCTCTTTGAGGCAGGACGTGTTCGGGGACGGCCCGGAACTGGGCTCCTCAGAACCCACCCACCCCATCCTGCAGCACGTCCCAGGAGGGGTCGCCAGGCATGGGGCCAGCACCCCTCCCAGCACTGTTGTCAGCCTCGCCCCTCGCCCTCATGCTTTTTGGAAGGGGAGCCCAGGCGGAAAGCCAGGTCCCTGAGGCAGAGCCCCGCTGAGCGGGTTAAAAAGGAGAATCCCAAACTCCTGCGTGCGTCTAGGCACGTGTCCATGTGAGTCTGGTACCCCCAGGCGCTCGGCAGTCCCAGGCTAGGGACCCATCTTTGCAAGCCATGGAGGTGGGCCCTCCCTCACCCCCTTACTCTCACGGGCGGTGGGCTGGTCGGGCACCCATCCTGTCCGGGGCTCTGGCCGAGTGGGCTGGGGGAGTGTCTGGTGCGTCCCGGTCCCTCTGAGGTGCTGAAGGCTGCGCCGCCCGCCCCCAGCTCCTGAACTGCATCATGGACATGGTGGAGAAGACGCGGCGCTCGCTCACGGTGCTGCGCAGGTGCCAGGAGGCCGACCGCGAGGAGCTCAACCACTGGGCGCGGCGCTACAGCGACGCCGAGGACACAAAGAAGGGCCCCGCTCCCGCCGCGGCCCGGCCCCGCAGCAGCTCCGCCGGTCCCGAAGGGCCTCAGCTAGGTGCGTGTGGGGTGTGGGGGGAGGGAGCAGACACGGGGTGCTCTGGTGGGGCGGACACCTGGGAGCTGTCAGGCAGGCAATGCAACGAAACACCAGGCAGAACAGTTTCGCTTGAGAAAGAGGCACCTTTTTCACTTTGTAGGAAAACACGGGCTGGTCTGCCAGGAAGCCTGGAGCTCAGAGCGTCTGGTGGGCCAGAGGCTCGGAGCTGGGAGGCCCTGAGGGTCTCTGCTTCTCCGCCTCAGCGACGAATGCTGACACAGGAGAGGCCCAGGACACACACGGCTCCCAGCCGAGTCCAAGGTCCACAGCTCCAATGCCCCCCGTGCCCGGGCACTGCCCTGGGTGCCTGAGCCAGACCTTGTCCGAGGGCACCTGGGCCTCCCCCCAGGGACGCACACACTCACGCCCTGCACTCAGGGCCCAGCCAGGGTGGGGAGGGCCCCAGCGTGGGAGGGGCAGCCGCGTGGCCCATCCTGTGTGACGCCGGCCCCTGTTTCAGACGTGCCTCGCGAGTTCCTGCCGAGGACCCTCACCGGCTACGTGCCTGAGGACATCTGGAGGAAGGCTGGTGAGTGGGGGTGCAGGGGCCTGGCCAGCAGAGCTGTGGGAGGCCAGGGCCCCAGATGCGCCTCTCACCGGCTCAGCTTTGAAGAGCTTCTGTCTCTCTCTGGGGGCTCAGGCTACAAGGCTTTCTGCATTCCGCTGTGTGGCTCACGGAGAGGTCAGAGTAGGTTCACACTTAGGGCAGGACAGCTGCTACCTGCGCCTACCAGGAAACGGACCGGTGGCCGCCCAGCAGAATAAAGTGGGTCCTGGACCTGCACACCCAGGAGGGCACGCAGAAGCGCACACACTCGGAGCCTGGGCGCGTCAGGCACGCGGGGCCAGAGTCCGGGCAGAATGGGGTCAGAACAGGGGCAGACGTGGAGCTGAGCGCTGGGCAAGGCTGTGGGGACATTTGCTCATGCCGTGGGAATCAGCCTTGGGGGAGGGGCTGGGGCAGAGCCAGATATGTGGGCAGCAAGAGGGGTTAGGGTTGGGGTTAGGGTTAGGGTTAGGGTTGGGCAGCGGTACCGGGGTCTCCAGCTGGCCTCAGGGTCTCTTTCAGTGGTGGAGTTGAAACATGGCCTCCCCAGCTGCGTGGGCAGTGCTCCCTGGAGGCTGCTCTGAGCCTACCCCATCTTAGCACAGATCAGGATCTGTGTGTGGCTGTGTGTGGGTCGGGGAGCATGGTCTTCAGAGGCCAGCCAGGTTAAAGGATGGCAAGTGCGGTGAGGATAACAGCAGGGTCTGGGGTGACAGCACAGAGCCCTGGACGAGGGGGCTTCCTGGGCTGCGTCTGGGTGGGGCCAGAGGTGAAGGCGGAACGGCAGAGTTATCCAAGTGCTTCAGGTCAGCAGCAGCTCCCCCGGCTCGCGTTAGGAATGCAGATTCCGGGTGCGCCCCTGGCTGACCAGGCCCTGGGGTGGGCCTCGCCCTTGCCCTGCAGGGGTGCAGTGCCTGGGGAGCCGCTGCGGTAGAGTGCAAGCTTTGACTTGTGACACCACGTGACCCAGCTTTGCACACACATGCCTGGGATGCCTGTGTTTATTTGCATGCACTTGTCTGCACAGGCATGAGGGCCATCAACGTGTGTCTGTGTGTGCACAGATGCTACGTGTGTTCAGCTGCCTACAGCCCCATCAACATGTGCCTTTGTGTGCACAGATGGTACGTGTGTTCAGCTGCACACAGCCCCTGTCCCCAGGTTGTGGCCACGCGTAGGAAGTCCAGAGACCCATCTGGGATGGCCCATGTGACCGCCAGCCCTGCCCATGTCCTTTGCAGAAGAGGCCGTGAATGAGGTGAAGCGGCAGGCCATGTCGGAGCTGCAGAAAGCCGTGTCGGACGCGGAGCGCAAAGCGCACGAGCTCATCACCACGGAGCGTGCCAAGATGGAGCGGGCCCTGGCCGAGGCGAAGCGGCAGGCCTCCGAGGACGCCCTGACGGTCATCAACCAGCAGGAGGACTCCAGCGAGGTAGGGCCACCCGGCCACGCTGACACCCATCCCCTGCCTCGGCTCCCGTGCGGTCCCACGCCACCCCCATGAGGATTCTGAGCCTCCACGTGGCATCAGCACAGTTGTCACGGGCATCCTGCAGCAGGCACGCCATCCCCGCCCACACTGTGCTTTATCAGCACAGAGATCCCACATGGTTCAGTGAGGCGTCCTATGGATGTCCCCGTTCTGTAGTTCCAGAAACTGAGGGCTCGAGAGGGTTGGCAGCTTGTCTGAGGTCACGGCCTTGGGAAGCGGTGGGGCCAGGACTCGAGCCCAGGTTGGCTGATGCTGAGATGGAGTTTCACTCTTGTTGCCCAGACTGAAGTGATCTTGTTGCTGTGGCATGACCTCGGCTCATTACAACCTCCGCCTCCCGGGTTCAAGCGGTTCTCCTGCCTCAGCCTCCCAAGTAGCTGGGATTACAGGCGCCCGCCACCACACCTGGCTAATTTTTGTATTTTTAGTAGAGATGGGGTTTTGCCACGTAGGCCAGGCTGGTCTCGAACTCCTGACCTCAGGTGATCCACCCGCCTCGGCATCCCAAAGTGCTGGGATGACAGAAGCGAGCCGCTGTGCCTGGCCTGAAACCCGTGTTCTCTAGCCTGTGAGAACAGGAGGATCCAGGAGAGCTGTGAGGGCCCCAGGTGGCGTCCGAGGCGCCCGGCTCCCTCCCGGTGCACACGGCAGGCCTGAGAATTACGATGCTTGTGCCCGTGCACCTGGGAGGCAGGCGGGGGCAGAGGACCCTCCGCGACCCTTTTCTGCCTTGTCCACGAAGAGGGGACAGGGAGAGACCCTTTCCAGGGGAGCCCCAGGACTGTCCCTTGAGATAGGGCGGATCTCTATCTGAAGCCCCTGTGTGCATCTGTGCCTGGGCCAGCCCCGGGGTGGGAGGAGATGGAGCCCCATCGATTCAGGGGTCTCTGCACCGGCCATTTCCACGCCTGCTCTCAGCTAGGGAGAAGCTAGACCACCACAGGCACAACTCTCACAGAGCTGGCACTGAGAAGGAAACACCAAACGCAGAAGTGAGGCGTGCAGTTTCGGGAGGTGGAAGTGTGTGGGGAGTGGGGCTGTGGAGGCCTCACGGCAGGTGACACCTGAGCAGATGCCGGGAGGAATGAAGCTGGCCACGCAGGCATCGGGGGAGCGGGCCCAGCGGAGGGACCGGCAGGGGCCAGGGCCTGGAGCGGGGACTGTGCCTGGCAGTGCCTAGTCCGCAGGGAAGCTGCTGCTGCAGTGGCAGTGAGGGCGAGGTGGGGTGGGAGGTGGTACCAGAGGCTTTGGAGGCCAAATAGGGACCTGGGCTTCTCCCCTAGGGCAGGTTTGGGCTTCCCACCCCACAGCCCAACCGTCTGTGAGAGATCCAGCCAGGCCCCAAGAAGAAATATGCTCAGGCTTTGTGTGGCATCTCCTACCTGCTCTGCCCACAGGCTTTTTGTGGCATCCCCCACCCCCTCTGCCCACAGGGATGCCTAGGGCACAACTCACCCTACGGGAAGGGAGCAGAGCCCACCACAGGGTGGGGGCAGAGGTGGAGGGGGTGCAGCAGAGGCAGGGGTGGGGCAGAGGTGGGGAGGGGGACGGGTGGGTGTGGATGCAGCAGAGGCGGATGGTGAGATCTCAGCAGCCTCAATCCTGCCGGGGCCACGCCCTTTGGTTTTGCGGTTTTGGAGCCTGGTGAGCTCAGGAGGGCTTCCTGGAGAGGAGGCAGGGGTCGTTGTCCAGTTAGCACAGCGCAGACCTATCTGGGTGGGCTGGAGCGTGAGACACGGTAGTGGGATGCCGTCCCGCAAAATGGCCCAGTGAGTGGCTGTATCTGGAGCATGGCCCGAGGGCTGTGGGGCTTTGGAGTTTCTCTCTTCTCACCTGGTGATGACGTGGCTGGGTCTGAATGGCTTGGTTGAGGCGTGTGTTGGGGATTCGGGTGGCCAGACCCAGCCCTGACTGGCCCCTCTGCCCCCACCCAGAGCTGCTGGAACTGCGGGCGGAAAGCCAGTGAGACGTGCAGCGGCTGCAACGCGGCACGCTACTGCGGGTCCTTCTGCCAGCATCGGGACTGGGAGAAGCATCACCACGTGTGTGGCCAGAGCCTGCAGGGCCCCACAGCCGTGGTGGCCGACCCGGTGCCTGGACCGCCCGAAGCCGCCCACAGCCTGGGCCCCTCCCTGCCTGTGGGTGCTGCCAGCCCCAGCGAAGCCGGCTCTGCGGGGCCTTCTCGCCCCGGCTCCCCCAGCCCACCTGGCCCACTGGACACCGTGCCCCGCTGACCCCACTGGCCCCTGGCCTGCCGGACACAGCACCGTGCCAACCCCACCCAGCTCCAGGCCCACCGGATGCTGTGCCTGGCCTCCGATGCCTGGCCTGCCAGACACTGCGCCCCGCCTGACCTGGGGGAGCCGACCAATTAGTCACTGCTGCTACTGCCCCTCTCCGAAAGAAGACACAGAACCAACAAAACCGCATTCAGTGCACCTGCCTCAGCTACCTAATGATTCCGCGCGGAGACCTCCTGACAACGTCTCTTCAAGCATCCTCAGAAGCCTCGACTGAGCTTTAGACAGCAGAGCAGATGCCGCAGGCGCGGCGGCTCTGCCCACCTCTCTTTTCCTCTCTGTCTGTCTCTCCCCCTCTGTCTTCTCTATCCTCTCTCTCTCTATGACTATCACACACTTTCTCTTCAATGAAAAAATCGAATTGGTGGCTTATATTTTCAGCAAAGAATTTTGGGGGGTTTTGTGTGTTGGCAAAAGAGCTACTCAGAAATGGACAAAGAAAACGGGGGGGTTCTCCCCCTCCTGATTAAAAAGGGAGAAAGAAAACTGCGATTTTATAGCTGGAGATCTGAACCCAGCTGTGCCCCTCCCCCAGGGGCGTGAGGCTGATCAGCGAAGACGGGAGGAAAGATTTCGATTTCTGACTCAAGATGCATTTTTGGTTTCAGATTTTTTTTTCCTGTAATGTTAAACTCTTTGGCTTTAAGTAAAAATCCAAAAAGTTTTTTTAAAAAAGCAAAGGAAGCATACTTGTGAACTACCTTGCTAGCTAGCCAGCCAAGGATACCGGACACACCTCTGCTCCAAAGGAAATCCAAAAAAGCAAACACAAGAAATCAAAATCCAAAATTTGTTTGTCACTGCCAAAGTATTTTTTTCACTGTTTCACTTGCTCTTGGGTTTGTTTGGATGTGGGTCTTTTTCTCTTCTGTTCTGATTTTGTTTGTGGGTGTCGGGATATTTGGGTGCAGAGGGTTTGTGCCCAGTTAGAAGCGACTTTTGTTCTCTTCTGCGTAGGCGTTGGTGCGTCCGCCGCGTGTGCGTGGTCCGTGTGCCGTTGCTCCGGCCTGCGTCTCCATATGTGTAGGAAAGGACACGCCGTCTGTCCTCACGCCCCCTGTGACTTTTCATATTTCCGTTTTCCACTTGTGGAAAAAAAGTGCTAAAGTTTTCTTCCCAGAGAGAGCATAATTCCGAAACAAAACTGTGACAATCTTTTGGGTTGATTCTCGACTGCTTTTCGAGCATGCGGAGCCAGCAGGCCTCCCTGAAACACTGCTTCTCGGCCAGCCCGTCCTCCTCTACCTCTCTCCTCTCCGCGCCCTCCGACCTCTCTCGGCCCCCTCACCCCAGCTCCGACCTCTCTCAGCCCCATCGCCCCAACTCCAACCTCTCGGCCCCATCGCCCCACCGCAGCTACTCCCCTTTCTTCCAAACTTTTGCAGAAAAAACAAAAAAACTACAAACAAAAGCAGCCCTCTGCCTCCTCCCCAGGGAAGACCCTGACCGTGTACATAGCCCTGGTGCTCCTGCCCAGCCACCCCTCAGATGCGTTCGCCTCTGGCCCTGGGGTGTGTCTCGGTGACGTTTTCTATCAGACGTGCTCCCTCCCATCCTCCAGCCCTGCCCACCCTCCCTCCACTCCTCTCAACTGCCTCAGCGATTTCAAGAAGGAAATAAAGGGATAAAGAAATTCATGCTTGCACCGAGTACAAGGACAGACAGCAGGCACGGCCCGCAGCCTGGCATCTGTGCGTGTGGCGTGGCCCGTGGCTTGGCATCTGTGTGCGTGGTGTGGCCCGTGGCCTGGCATCTGTGTGCGTGGCGTGGCCCGTGGCCTGGCATCTGTGTGTGTGGCGTGGCCCGTGGCCTGGCATCTGTGCGCGTGGCGTGGCCCGTGGCCTGGCATCTGTGTGCGTGGCTATCAGGAGTTCTAGGAACTCAGTGCAATACGGGAGTGACCCAGCTACTGAACCAGCCACGAACAGCCCGCCAGAGGCCTGAAGCTGAGCGTGTACGTTAATGTGAATGTATATAGTCTTTGCAGAGGTCCAAATGATATTCATGATGGTAATAAACGAGATGTTTGCCAAATAAAAAACAGAAACCGCAGGAGTTTGCGAAGTGTAGGAAACAGATTTTCAAAGAAATCCGAACAGTGGCCCCGAGGGGAGGAGCGGTTTGCCTGCTGGTGGTTCTTTCACGGTGGTAAAAATTCATTCTTTGAGCATCATAAGGATGGATCCTGTCGGGTCACCACCGGTCAGGTACCGTCTGGAACCAAGTCTGACAACAGAAACCTCGTTCTGAAAGTCAAGATAGATCGAGTCTGTCCTCCAGACATTGCCCTGGCCCCGGCACCACCTCCATTCCTCAGTGACAGGCCCAGCAAGCTCCCCAAGGTTTGCTTTTGTGGGTTTCAGAGAAGCAAGGACCGGTCTGGGATTTGGGCTCTCGGTTAAGTGGCAGAAGCGCGCCTCTCCTCCTTCCAGGGCTGCGGTTCTCCAGCTCCGAACCCACACAGCGGCAGCAGCGGACACGCCCGTGCCCACGAAGGGGACTTGCCTCCCTCGGAGGTAGACGTCCTGGGACTCTTCTCATCTCTCTCCCCCACTGGGGCTCCATCTTGTCCCCACCCACACTCCAGTGCCCTTCCAGGTGGGCAGGGCAGTTGGCTGTGGTGATCAAAGGCTCTAGGGGACAGGAAATGGGTACAGTGCTGTGGGGTAAATTGAGTCAGGCCCTCCAAGGCTGTGCAGGTGAACCGGTGGTCTCTAGAGCACCGAGCCCCAGGGCAAGTGGACCCATGGGCAGCTTCCCTGGTTACTCAGGTCCCTGGGGTCAGGACTGTGGTGGGGAGCGTGGAGGAGACACGAGTTTACTTTGTGGGCAAAAGCCTCCTCTTTTTCCCTCCCCTCCCTGGATCCTTCTTTGGGTACACACAGGTGTACCAGGGACAGTGGCATGTGCACCAGCTGGCTGCATCGATCTGGCCAGCAGCCTCCAGGGGCCAGACCACAAGGCTGAGGGTGAGACAGGCCCTGTCACCTCAGATCTTGGGAAGGGGTCAGCCCTCGAGCCAAAGATGAATGCCATCTGCCCTGCGTAGCCCCCCACCATGCACCAAGCCACCCTCAGCACGAGTGCAAAACTGGCATGAGGACCTGGCCAGAGACCAGGCAGATGGAGCCCTGTGGCCGAGGGCCACAAGGAATCAGGACAGCTGGGAAAACTGAGGCCCGGAGACAGAAGAAGGGGATGTCCTGGGTGCAATGTGTCAGGGAACCCTGGGCGGGTGTTGGCCGAGTCACGTGAAGCAAGGCAGCTCCTGCCCAGGAAGGCTCTGGGGCCCCCTCCGATGCTTCAGAGGCCCGTCTTTCTGTAGCTCATATGCCCAGGCCCTGGTGGTCAAAGACCTGACAGCAAACCAGGTGGAACCCATAGCTCTGGGGAGGGGACGGGGACAGGCGGCATTCTTGTGTTAGGGGTGGTCCCCTTGGTGGCCATGAGTACCCATCCCCATGGTTCCGACCTGCAGTCTACACCTGCAGGCATCTGCTTCTCTTCCCCCAGGCAGAGGGGGGTCTGGGCAGGGGCCACACCTGGACTGGGGAGAGTCACCCTGTCTCTACCCCTTCCCGGCTGCCACCTCCACAAGCTCACAGATCACTGGCTAGAGGCGCAGCCTGCCAAGCTGTCCTCCCGCCAGCCACTGTCAAGACAGGACCATGGCAAGCCAAACGCTCTTCAGAGCCTTTTCCTCAAACCCCAAACCAAACGGCAGCTGCATCTCCCATCCTGAGATCACAGCCAGGACAGGACAGCCGTGAGGGAGCCCAAGGCCCGGCCGGACGATGGCCTGATGGGTTAGCAGAACCAACATGACCTCTTTGGAAAGAGGCTCGTGATGCACGCCCCTCAGCCTTTGCCACTCCTCCTCACTGCTCCTTGTCCCGGCCAGCCTCGGACCCAGGAAGCCTTCCTCTGAGAGGGCCTCCCAGTCCCCAGCAGAGCCCGGCTCTGTGCTATGGCTGTGCACCCGGACGGCTCCTTCCAGTCCAGTCCTCTGACCTGAACAAGGCAGAGACCAGCGTCTCCCACGGTGCTCAAGGAGTGGGTGTTGGGAGGGGCCTGCTGAACACCCGCAAGCCCCTCTGCCTGCCAGGGCCGCCCCAGGACCTGGCCAGGGCTGAGGCTGCAGGACTGGAGGGGCCAGCCTCCCAGGAGGGCCCACGAGGCCCAGCCAGGTGGGGACAGGCCACAGAGGCCCGAGAGGTTCAGTGATGGGGGGCTGGCGGGAGAGCCGGCGGGGATGGGGGGTTCACCCAAACGACACAGTGACAGGGATCAAGATGGGCCTAAAGGGCTTCTGTTTGCCAGTTTTTCCAAATAGATCCTCAAGCTGACACCAAAGCCTGACTCCAGCATCGATCCCCATCCATCCCAGCCATGTGCATGCCGGCCCCTCCGTCCTCGTGCCGGCGCCACCCGGCCCCCAGTGACTGGTTCTTCTCTCTCATCACGTTTTCTTCTGCCCCATCTGTCCAGTATCCCAGAGATCACTTTCCCCACCCCCAGCCCCCGCCCTTCCCCCCCACCCACCCCTCCACCCCCACGCGCCCCACATGCGTGTCCTCTGTGTGTCCTCTGGCCACCCACACAGCCGTCCCTCCATCCCACCCCACCCTCTCCACCCACGGACCCCAGAGTGGCACCAGCTGCCCCCCGTCGTGTGCCAGTGACAAGGGTTGCTCCTGCCATGACCTCAGCTGTTGCCCTAAGGGAACCTGTTGGTGGGCGGCAGCCTCTTCCATACCCAGCGCAGTCCAGGACTGCTCCAGACACCTGCAGGGGCAGATAAAATTCTGCTGCAGGTGCTGTGAGCAGGTGGGACCAGTACCTCGCAACAGCTCTGGCCAGTTGGGGCCACCTGGAGCTCCAGGTGGGTGGCCGGGGCCAGGAGCACACACTGGGTGGCGGCCCACACACCTGCCCAGGGTCCCCGACCAGGGCGCCAGGGTGAGCACATTCCCTGGCAGGGCCGCGACGCTGCAGGGCCGCCCTCTCCCACTCCTTGTTTCCAGGGGTCAATGCCTGGAGGGGGTGTCCCCAGGAGAGGAGGGTGACCCCATGCAGCCTCCCCGAGACCCCAGCACTCTTGGAGCCCCACTCCTCGGGGTGTACTCACAGGTGCCAGGCTCCCATTCCCTTTCCTGGGATCCCAGATGGCTCAGAGTTGAGTCCTTACGGCCTGAGACTGGGGACTTCTGGGAACAGACCTGCCTGGATAAATTCTGCCAGGAGTGATGGGTGCTCCCCAGGGTCCTCTGCAGCCTCCCTGCCCTGCATCCCCGAGCCCCGGGGCCTATTTCCTCCCACACTGCCCTGCAAGCTCCCACACTGAGGGGGTGCTCTCCAAAATGGGGCTGGGGCCCTGGATGATGAGCGTGCTGGCCGGAGAGGAAGACAGTGAGGAGAGGGGGGAGTCCATGGGGCTGGCCTCCCAGAGGCCCGCCAGCTCCCGTGCACACTTCAGAGATAAGGCCAGGGCGCTGCTGACAACCCCTGCTCCATTTTCCCGAAGTTCTAGGAAACTCCATTTTGGACACTTTCTGTTCTTTATGTTTCAATCCAGCCAAGCCCCGGAGTAGCTTCCCAAAGACCCAGAGGAACGGGAACTCAGCGTCAGTACTCAGAGTGAAACCTGCTTTTGAAATACGTCAATGACGGCAACAGGCCTCCCTTGTCCCCACCTGGCTGGGGTGGGGAGCCCCGCCAGGCCAGCTGTCAGCTCCCCAACCCCATCTGCCAGGGCCGAGGGGGTCGGGCCGGTGAGGACCAGGCGGGGGCACAGCCATGTGCAGCCTGGTGGGGAGGGGACTTACTCTCTACTTTCTCCTCCTCTTTTTTTTGACTCTCCCAGAGGAGTTGAGTTGTTTTCTGTAGTTGTGAGAAGCCCATGCCCTGGGTCTGCAGGCTGTGCAGGGCTGCGAGGTGGCCCTCGCCGCTCCGTCTGACGTACTATGGGTTTGGCCTGTAGATGCTGTGAGATGCAATAGTCGGGTTAGCGCCGTGTCCGTGTAATAAAGCGAACGTTCGCTGTCGCCTGGCTGTTCCTCTCCTTGGGTCCCAGGAGGCTTCGGCTGAGCCTCGTCTCACCCGTGAATTCACTAATTACCTGCTGGGGCTCCTCCGTGCCTGGTAGGGCGGGGCCTCCCCATGCACCACGCACACTGCAGGGACAAACAGGCCAGTGTGTGACGTGGGGCTGGGGCGACGGGGAAGAGGCAGGGCGGGAGCACGACGGGGAAGAGGCAGGGCGGGAGCACACAGGCAGGGAGGAGCAGCAGCCCCAGCCACGAGGGTCCCTGCAGGGCTGGCAACGGCTGAGCCTGCAAAGGGGACTTTGGGGGGGTCCCAACAACTTTACACCCGGGAGATGGTCCTGAGGATTCCAAGACTGGAGCCCCTGCCTGAGCAGCCCCACCTCAGACAGTGCTGGGGCTGGGGCCATGACACCTCCGACCCCGATGGGGGACACAGGGGACCTCAGGGGACACAGACAACACTGAGGGGAGGCCAGGCACGGTGGCTCACGCCTGTCATCCCGGCACTTTGGGAGGCCGAGGCGGGTGGATTGCCTGAGGTCAGGAGTTCAAGACCAGCCTGGCCAACATGGTGAAACCCCATCTCTTCTAAAAATACAAAAAATTAGCTGGGTGTGGTGGCGGGTGCCTGTAATCTCAGCTACTTGGGAGGCTGAGGCAGGAGAATCCCTTGAACTCAGGAGGTGGAGGTTGCAGTGAGCCGAGATCGTGCCACTGCACTCCAGTCTGGGCAACAGAGTGAGACTCCATCTCAAAAAAAAAAAAGAAATGAAAACTGAGGGGACACAGGGGACCTGAGGGTGGACAGCACAGGAAGGGACGGCTTGCCCCTCTCAGCCACCCCCATGGGGCCCTGGTGTTGGGTCACACACGGATCCTGTCTGGAATAGGAGTTGTCCTGGGCGCTGGGGCCCCAGGGGCCAGGCTGCCATGAATCCTCAGGCCCGGCTCTGGAACAGGGTGTATTTGAAGAGTGTCACTGGAAAGGCCAGGGTCGGAGCCGTCTGTCCCCTGCCAGGCAGCTGGCAGGAGCCCTGGCCGGGCCTTGTGTGTCAGCAATCTCAGACAGGGTGAGGATGACAAGGTTTTCCATGGCCGGGGCCCGAGCTCAGAGGGGCATGCGTCAGGGCCTGGGCCGAGTCCAGCAGACTCTGGTCTTGGATGGAACTGGTTGCAATCCTGCCTCTGACAGGGAGGTGGAGGCACGGGTGCTGGCAGACCCTCCAACACACAGGCACAGACACACGGGGCAGGGGGCTCCATCCCAACAGGAGGATCCCAGGCTGAGGCCGCACTCCACCCAGCGTACCTGTCCTCGGTGCAGATGTGGGCGCTGCCCCTGAGGAGCTTTGGTTTCTAAGGGGAGAGCTGGCCAAGTCATCAACACTGGACGGACAGCAGGAAAGGCGTGAGGACAGCGGCTCTCGAGGGAGGAGGAGCAGCCCGGCAGCCCTCCCGGAAACAGTGGCACCGTGTTCGCAGGGGGAACAGCGTCCAGGGACCACGCACACGTAAGTGTGTGGCTGTGCGGAGCCAGGGAGAGGGGAAGGGGCGTCCAGGGCCATAGCCAGGTTCCAGACAAGGCCCATTCCTCCCCGACCTCATGAGCCTGCCCCAGAAAATCCTCTGGGTGGTGAACAGATGGGGTGACAGCATGGTCTTCAGTCAGCCTCCTGGAGGTGGGAAAAGAAAACAGAATTTCGGGACCTAAAACGCACTAAGCCAAAGGGAAAAGTCAAGCTGGGAGCCGAATCACACACACCTGCCTCCCATTTTCTTCCTAATTGGACAGCCACGAAGATGAAGAAGCCTGTGCCTCCTCGCATCGCGCTTACAGGGAAATTCCTTGTGGGTCCCAAGATCTTGGCTCTGAAACAGTTCTGCTGGATCCCACCCAGATAGTGTGATCTAGCAGCTTATCTTCCCAGGTATGGGACAAAGGACAGAGCTAACGTTACCCTCCGCTCACCGGAGGCGAATGCGAACCTGCCAGCTTCCTATTCCCTGTGGCAGTTTTATCTTCTGTGGAAACGCAGAGTCGCTGAGCGTGGGGCTACGTAATTCTCTTCTCTACCCCCACCTTCCACATTTCAAAATGTGCATTTGGTGACTGCCAATCAGAGATTCAAAGGAACGCTACCACTTGCCTTTTATCCGCCCTCCCTTTTCTTTCCTTCCTGTGTTCCCCTCCTGCCCGCTCTTTCCCTTTAAGTATAAAAGTCTCCAAACCCTCTTTGGGTTTTTTTGTTTTTGTTTTTTGAGACAGTCTCACTCCGTCGCCCAGGCCGGAGTGCAGTGGCGCGATCTCGGCTCACTGCAACCTCTGCCTCCCGGGTTCAAGTGATTCTCCTGCCTCAGCCTCCCAAGTATCTGGGATTACAGGCGCCCGCCACCATGCCTGGCTAATTGTTTTTGTATTTTTAGTAGAGACAGGGTTTCACCATGTTGGCCAGGCTGGTTTTGAACTCCTGACCTTAAGTGATCCGCTCACCTCGGCCTCCCAGACTGCTGGGATTATAGGCGTGAGCCACCATGCCCGGCCTCCAAACCCTCTTTGGAAAAAGCAGAGCACAGATGTTGCCTGTGGCTTCGTGTTTCTTTTTCCTGGGTGCACCCTTAACCTTGGCAAGATACACCTCTAAACTGATTGATTGAGACCCATCTCAGACACCTTCTGGCTTTTACAGAGGTGAGAACAGACTGGGTGCAGGAGCCTGGGTTCCCAGGCTGTGGCAGCCTCCATGTCCACCTGCTCCCCGAGCCCCCAGCCCAAGATGGAGGAAGGGCCGCCCTGCGTGGGTGGTGCATGGTGCAGCAGTGCAGCTCCAGCCTAGGCCACGCCCTGTCTCTCTCTCCTCCCCCAGTCCCAAATTCCCAGGAATCCCAGCCCCACTGGCTAAACACCGGGGTGCAGTCACAGAGAGGATGGCCTCGGCCTGGGGGTAGGAGCTGTGCAGGGGGCCCCGTCTCCCACCACCAATGGCAGGGGTAAGAGCCATGCATGACCCCCTGGCCCCGAGTCCTTCACAGAGTGGGTGGGAGACGGCAGCACTGGAGATGAAGGCCAGAGCAGACTCCAGCAGCCGCGGTGGCAGGTGCAGAGGGAGGCGCAAGGGCGGACACGGGTCACCTCCTGCTGCAACCCTGCATGGGTGAAGCCAGGTGCAGACACCACCGGATGCCCACTGAATTCCGCCACAGTAACTCACGCCGTCACTCCCCACGGAGACCCCGCCCCACAATAACTCACGCCGTCACTCCCCACGGAGCCCCCGCCCCACAGCAGAATAATTCTGGCCTCATGGAAGTGGCTCCCACCTAAAAGATGACCCAGACCAGGTGCGGTGCTCACGCCTGTAATCCCAGCACTTCGGGAGGCCGAGTCGGGCGGATCACCTGAGGTCAGGAGTTCGAGACCAGCCTGGGCAACATGGTGAAACCCTGTCTCTACTAAAAAGACAAAAAAAATTAGCTGGGCATGGTGGCAGGTGCCTGTAATCCCAGCTACTCAGGAGGCTGAGGCAGGAGAATCACCCGAACCTGGGAGGCAAAGGTTGCCGTGAGCCGAGATCGCGCCACCGCACTCCAGACTTGGCAACAAAGCAAGACTCCTGCCTAAAAAAAAAAGAAAAAAAAAAAAAAGGCCCAGAATAAGGGTTAGGGAGGCAAGGGTCCCTGGGGACTCCATGGGGGTCAGGATGCAGAGACAGCTGTTGCTGCCCCTCCTCTGGGCCCAGGACCCCGCCCCAACCTGCCTCGGCCCTCTCATCCCATGCACCTGCTCTCGGTCTCTGCTCAGGCCCTGCCTCTCCTGGTCGGAAGCCACCTCTCCAGCCTGCTTGGTCCCTGGTACTAGAAGAAACCACTCCCGTGTTCCCACTTAGATCGAGTGTTCATGCAGTGTGGCGTTCGTGCCGTGTGGATGCTGCTGAGGTGTGAACCCTGTCACAGACCAAGGCTCCAGTGAGCCACAGCGTGGCCAGGCGGAAGCAGAAGAGACCGGTGACCCCCACTCAACTCAGCCTCTCCTTCCTCCAGGGAGAGTGTCCTGGAGGTACCTGTCCGAGTGACAGGGAAGGGGCGGGGCCGGGAGCCAAGGCTGGAAGCTCAGCCCCACTCAGCCTTTGCAAATGCTCTAGTGGGAGCAGCTGGCCTCAGGGGAGGGCTTAAAACTCCAGGAGAGCCTGGGCAGGTGCGGACGCGAGGGGAGTGGAGGGGAGGCCTCGCCTGGCCCACCTTCCTCCTGCCCCTCTACCATGTGGCCCTTCCCGAGCCGCTCTCTCTTCCCACCCCCGACTCAGGCCTGGCTCCAGACGGTCTCCTCAGACCCTGAGGCCCAGGGCTGGGGGGCCTGGAACGAGACCAAGGAGATTCTGGGGCCAGAGGGTGGGGAAGGGAAGGAGGAGAAAGAGGAGGAAGAGGATGCAGAGGAAGACCAGGATGGGGATGCAGGCTTTCTGCTGTCTCTGCTGGAGCAAGAGAACCTGGCTGAGTGCCCATTGCCTGACCAGGTAACAGCTGTGTGGAGGCCCTGGGGATCTCAGGGGACCTGGGGCACAGGGGCTGGTGGAGACACGGGGTCTGGGTGACGGATGGCTGCAGCTGACTTAGGAGGGGAGAGGGCCATTGCCCACCTGCCTGGACGAAGGTGGCAAGGAGACCCCCCGCCCCCAGCCACACAGACTGCAGGGTCAAGGTGGCCTCTCTCGCCTGGGGAAGGGCCCTTGAGGTGCGGTTTCGGGGGCTTCTCTGCAGGGGCGAGTTCATCCCCAGCCAGCTGCCCCAGGAAGGAGTGTCCCTGTCCAGAGAAGGGCTGCCCCTTGGGGCTGTGACCCTCTGCTGGAGCTGGCAGGCCACACACCCACCTTCCTTGAGCAGAGCCTGCAGGCTGCCTGCCCGGCTCAGGGCCGTGTGTCGGCAGGAGCTGGAGGCCATCAAGATGAAGGTGTGTGCCATGGAGCAGGCCGAGGGGACGCCACGGCCTCCAGGAGTGCAGCAACAGGCCGAGGAAGAGGAGGGCACCGCGGCCGGGCAGCTGCTGAGCCCTGAGACCGTGGGTAGGAACCAAGGGCACAGGCCGCCCCCCACTGAGCAAGGGTCCCACAGTTTCCATTAAGGTTGGGCCTGGCAGGCTCCAAGGTGTCACCTCCCCTATAAGCCTGGGCGACCTTCCCCGTGAGAGGAGTGAGGAAGGAACCAAGGGCCTGCGGGCCTGAGCTGTGTTCTCCGCAGGCTGCCCCCTCTCTGGGACCCCCGAGGAGAAGGTGGAGGCTGACCACAGATCCGTCTACGTGGGCAACGTGAGTGGTGGGCGGGGTGAAGGGGCAGGCAGCGAATGGGGCCCCATCTCTACCAGAGGGTCTGGCGCCCGGCCATGGGCCAGGCAGCCTTGCTGGGAAGGGGGTCTGACCCTGGGGGCAGCCCCGTCACCTTGAGGAAACACTGGCCTGGGCACATATTCCAGTTTTTCAACATGAGCTGGAATTCGGGGTTGCACATGAAATCTCCACTTTTGAGAAGCTTTTTAAAAGGCTCCAGCTCTCCAGAAGGAAGCGCTCCATACGAGATATCCTTTCCTCTCTTCCCTCCAACCCCAGCGGGGGTGTGGGGTGGAGGCCTGGGGCCATCCCCGCCACGGGGCCCAGCCTTGGGGTTTCTTTCCTCACCTCTAACAAGAAGGCCCCGAGTCAGGGCCAGGCGTCTCCCTCACATGCTGGTCTGGGCCTGGGTGCAGGTGGACTACGGGGGCTCCGCCGAGGAGCTGGAGGCCCACTTCAGCCGCTGTGGGGAGGTCCACCGAGTCACGATCCTGTGTGACAAGTTCTCTGGACACCCCAAGGGGTCAGTGTGGGGCCTGGTGGGGGCACTGGCCATGCGGACAGGGCCCAGCCTCACCCCTCCCCTCCCTGCCCCTCCCCTCAGTTATGCCTACATAGAGTTTGCCACCAAGGGCTCCGTGCAGGCCGCCGTGGAGCTGGACCAGAGCCTCTTCCGGGGCCGGGTCATCAAGGTGCGCCGGTGCTCCCCAGGTCCAGGAACATGAGCGCAGAGGGGCTGGCCCACTGGCCCTGGGACACACAGCAGCCCCAGCTGGCTCCTCTCTGCACAGCGTGTCTCAGGCACGGTGCTTGGCTGGGCCTGGACAGGATGTGGCGGGACCCTCGGACCTGAAGCTGGGTTTGGTCTGCCAGTGGCATGGTGGGGAAGTGTCCCCTCTCGGGCGGGAGCCCCCTCTGCAGGGGTGCTGGCCGTGACCCCCCCCTCTGCAGGGGTGCTGGCCGTGACCCCCCCCTCTGCAGGGGTGCTGGCCGTGACGGGGTGTCATATGACAGCTATGGTAGGCAAAGGCAGGGAACCCTGTAGGCCCGAATGGTATCCTGAGCCGGGCAGGACCCCATGCTCCGGGGTGGTGGGGGCTGCGGGGGCTGTGAGCTGGGTCTCGGCTGCTCCTTGAGGAGGACTCAAAACAGGCCTTTGCTCCAGGTGCTGCCGAAAAGAACCAACTTCCCTGGGATCAGCTCCACAGACCGCGGGGGCCTTCGAGGACACCCAGGCTCCAGGGGGGCACCCTTCCCCCACAGCGGCCTCCAGGGCAGGCCCCGGCTCAGACCACAAGGGCAGAACCGGTGAGTGGGTGCCTGTGGGGGCAGCCTGGGGGCGAGGGCCATGGTGGAGGGCATCAGGGGCAGGAGGGGGTCCCTGAGCTCGTTCCTCATGGGGCTGCAGGAATGTACCTGGCGGGGCCTGGGTGAGGGCTGTGGCTGCTGCATCAGCTGGTGGGGGGGGCGCTTTTTGTAGCCTCTCTGCTGGGAGAGGTGACCCCTTCTTGTTCCCACAAAGGCCCCAGGGTGGGCTACAGCTGCCCCAAGGGGCTCTCCTGGCACTGCCTTTCCTTTTCGTGGGACCCTCCCAAGAGAGCAGCTGGGAGTCACCAGAAAGGCCCCTGGGGCATTGCCTGAGCAGCCAGGTGACCTCCCTGCATCCTTATCCTGTTGTCCCCCGGGGCCCTGGGCCACCACCCCTTCTCCTCTGGAAGGCCACTCAGTGTGTGTTCTCTCTCCGTGCAGGGCCCGTGGAAAATTCTCACCATGGTTTTCACCGTATTAAAGGGAAGACCCGATTTTGAGAGAGGGGCTGGGGCCTGGATCAGGAGTAAACCACTTGTGCTCCATCCTGGGGCTGGGGCAGGGAGTGGCGCGGGGGCGAGGCCAGAGGAGAGGGGTGTCCAGAGCAGCCACTGGCCCCCTCTTGGCGGGGGGATGGCCCAGTAGGGCCTTGTATGGTGGTCCAGACCCAAGGCCACAGCCACGAGTCACAGCCACGGCCCGGTGGTGAGCCTGGCATGGGCCCCACGGGGATCTGCGGGGCTCTGGGTGTTGAGGGAGGGGAGGAGCAGAGTCCCAGGCAGTGCCAGGCCAGCTTGGGGTTGGCATGCTCAGCTCTTCAACTAAGTCATTTTAAGAAAAATAGAAACGTGTGTCTTAATGGTGAAGCATAAATTATTAAACTTGGGCTCTTTTTAAAAGCAAATGGCAGCAGCACTCCTGTGCATTCCCCCCATGGACACAGTTCCCTTTGCATCTCTCCCTGGGACGGGACACGCGGTTCCCTCCGCGTCTCCCCGTGGGACGGGGCGCGCGGTTCCCTCCGCGTCTCCCCGTGGGACGGGACACAGAAGGCGGCTGGCGAGCCGTGGCTGTGGGATGAGGACAGGGCTCCAGACCCCTCGCGACTGACAGCAAGCGGGCAGCGTGCACAGGCTGAGGCGGTGTCAATGCCACTGCCAGCCTGGTGGGCTGCAACTGCCTGTCAAGGTGCCCCCACACCTCGTAACCCTGCCACATGTCCCCCACCAAGTGACACAGACACCCGGGACGCTGGCCCTTGTCAGAAGCTCAGGAAGCAGAAGTGGAGGTCTCTGTCCTGGGCACTTTGACGACTGTCCCCTCTGAAAGCACAGCCAGTCGGGCTCCCTGGCTGCATGCACGGCCGCAGAAGCCCAAGGCTGCTTATGTGCACACACCTGACTCCAGCATTCCACGACTAACAGCGCCTCATCAGGCACTGTTTCCTTGGGCTTAAAATGGGGATGCTGCCTAACAAGGCTTGTGAAAACGCCCTCATGTAAAAAGTACTTACAGGTGGGTCTGGCTGCACCTAACAGAAAACCCAAAAATCAGTGGCTTAAACCAGAGAGGGGTGCATTTATTTTCTCACATTAAAAAAAAAGCTGAATTTAAGTAGTCTGGGGCTGGTATGTCAGCAAAGGCCCAGGGTCCTTCCCGCGTTCTGCGTCAGCAAAGGCCCAGGGTCCTTCCTGTGTTCTGCTCCACTGTCCTTAGGGTGTGACCCTTTCCTCACGCTCTCAGGACAGCTGTCCCAGCACCAGCCATCACATCCATGTTCCAGGCAGGAAGAAGGCAAAGGGGAAGGGTCCTGCATGTGGCAGCTGAGTCCCCTTCACAGGAGCTTCCCTGCAAGTCTCTCCCAGCACCACCCACCTCCACGCCACAGCTGCACACCCCGGGCTGCAAGGGAGCCCAGGACATGGCTCTCGTCTGCCCGCTATTGGAACTGGGCAGAGGCACCGGGGTTCTGTTAGTACGGAGGAAAGAGAATGGACGCTGGGTTAGCAACTTGCAGAGTCCCCACCACAGCCAGGACTCGGGCAGGAGTGATCCCCACTAAAAGGCAAAGATTTCATGCCAGGCTGCAATGGGGAAGTGCTTGGGCTGGGGTCCCACCTTCTCCTAACAAACATGAGGCTCTTGTTAAAGATTTAACCTTGTGAGAGTGGTCTGTGGCCCACATGCACCCAGATCAGCTGCCTGGTGTGCCTCGGCCCATTCCAGGGCTTCCAATTCACCCTGGGGCGGGGGAGGCCTGGGGCATGCAGTTTTCCCACACTCCTTGCTGATTTTTTCTTCTATAATTTCTAAAATTAACACTGTGCTTGCTAGATGGGATGAAAAGGCAAATATGTATCAAGAAAGTTCCCCTCCCTAGGTCCTGCCCTAGGCTGACCCCCCCTTACAGCCTTTCCTGCTGCAAGGGCTTCTGGGGTCCTCAAGGTCCTTGAGAAACTCTCCAGTCCTGGACCAGTGCTGGAACCAACTCCGGGGGGGTCCCCTCAGCGGGCTGAGCCTTGACCGCTGGACCCCAAGGACGCCGGCGGCACTGACGCCACTATGGGCTCGGCCGCTGCCCTGGGTGGTAGTCAGCCACGTCATCAAGTGACACAGCACCCAACCCCCTCAGCACCAACAGGCAGGAGGGGGTGCCTCAAGTCTGCGCTCCAAGGTTTAGGACCAGGGCTGCAGCTGAGCCAACGCCGCGGGGCCACGAGGCTTCCCAGGTTTCACAAGGGCTCCTTTTAAGGCCGGGCGGAATCCAGACATTGAGCCAGATGCAAAGAATGGAGGCCAAGTCCAGAAAGAGGAGGGCCCTCCCCTGTGGGAAGCCACGCCGGCTCCCCTTGTGCCCCTAGATCCTAGGCTGGTTCTGGGCTCAGGAGGCCACCCCCTCCAGACCAGCCCACCTGTTCAGCCAGTGGGTGACCCACATGGTCACAGGTCCTGCAGGCTCAGGAACTCTTGGCTCCAGGCACCCCTGCCTCTGCCCCTTTGGGACAACTGAGGACAGGCTACCTGCGCCATCTGATCCCAAACCTCTGCCCACACCCCAGAAAAGTCCTTAGTTGAATTCTTCTTAATTAAATCCTTGGCTGACACGGAAGGAAAAAGCCAAATCTCCTCTCACAAGACCTTTAGTTGAGAGAACATGCACAGCTGCCTGCCCTGAAAGCCCCAGGCGTCCCATTCAGGAAGAGGCAACCAGAACAGACCGACGGCCCCACCACAGTCGTGCGCGGGCTCCTCTGCGATGGCTGGCAGCACAGCTCACTCAGCACACCTGTATCATCATCGACGTCACCATGTTATCAAAGGCCCTGCTAAGAGAAACAGACCCACTCAGAGGAGAGCCAGGCCCTCCACCCCTCTGCTCAGAGACGGGCCGGGCAGCATGGCTCCATCCACAGGATGCTCGGGACCTTCTCCAGGGTCCAGAAATGTGAACTCCGCTGAGAGGCCAGGACAGGAGTCCCACCCCACCGGGCACTGAGAACCCATCTGCTGCCTCCAAGTTCCCTGTGCAGCCTCCCAAGGCCCCAGGAAGGGGTGGAGGAGGGAGCAGCATGGGCAGGCAGAGCGGTGGTGTGGCAAGGATGGCCCTGTGCAGCCCAGGAGGCAAGACTGTGGACATTCGCCTGCCTGCTCCCATCTGGGACCAGGATGGCCCCAAGACAGTGTCCTGGTGGAGGGAGGGGCCTGCCTTGGATCACTGCAGCGTCCTCTTCCCTGCCAACCACAGGGAATTATGTCTTGGAACTGGGGACTCACTGAAAGCAAGTCTGGAATGTGGGCATGGACCCCACATTTCCCTCATGATGTTCAAAAGTTAAATCTGTTTACTTTGTGGACTATTCGGAAGACACCTGCAAACCAGGTTCCTGACTGTTCCAAATTCAACATAAAAGATCAGGTAGCTACAAAAGGACGTGTGATCCCTGAAAGCCACTGCCCATGTGCTTGGCCCTGAGTCCTGCAGGTGCCCCAGGTACCCACTGGGCACACCTGGGAAGCCAAATGGGCAAGCTCTACTCCCCACACCACACACACTCTATCCACTTTATGCGCTGGAGATCTGTGTAAGAGTTGGTGTGGAGAAACGGGGCTTTGTGGCTTTAAAACCTCTGCCCTAGGGGGATGGTGCTCATAGCTTAAAAAGATCTTTCCTCCCTTATTTTCCAAATGGTTGCATTTTGGCAACCAAAATGGCAAGGCATGTCCTACAGAAAGAAGGTGGCAAGACACAGAAAGTAGGGCCCACCTGGACTGGATGCGGTCCCCCGGGTTGTAGAAGGGGTTGCACATCACGTCTGTGTAGGAGTTGTGTAGCTTCCGGAACATCTGAAAAAGACCCAGCAAACCATGACCTTGCCACATACACACAGCCACTGCCAGATTTTTAGTTTCTCAGCATTTCAAAACAAAGTCAAAAAGGAAAAACAAAACACCCACTCGGGCGTGGCCCTCTAACTCCCTGACTTACGCTGCGAATTTCGTTGTCTCGAAGGGCTGTGTTGGAGGAATCTACCACCATGACAAACTTCACCTTGGAGTTGGTGACGTAGCCGTATCTGCACAGCTGGTTAGGGAAGGCACTCGTAACACAGGGACTGCCGGTGGAGGGCCCTCTGTGGGCCCTCACTTTGGAGAAATGTGGCAACCTTGAATCACAGGAAATGCCCATGCTGGGCTGGTCCTGCAGTGGCCGTGCTGGGTACAAGCCTAAATACTTTGCTAGGGCGACGTCTGGTGTTTGCAGGAGAAGCGAAGAGCAGGCAGCCAAGCCTTACCCAGTTCACACTCCAGGAGCCGAACCACCTAGACTCCGAGTCTGTCTGTCTGGAACACCTCACCCTCTTCATGAATCAATGCCTGGCCCGGAAAGTTAACTGCAAAACCAGAGGCTTCGTGAACAAGGCGGATCCCCTCTCTAGAGGCCACATTATTTTGTAAAATAGTGGCTACTAGCAAATGTCACCATGGACAGGCTACATGATGACTTTTGGGAAGGTCTTTGAATTCCATGGCCTCAAGTGATTTGTCCCAAGGGACTAGACGAGTGTCTAGTGACATAAGAGGCAAGGCCTAATGAAATAAATGAAACTATTATCCCCTGCTCAAAGGTGGTGGCTCCCCCTGAAAAGCACAGAAAGAAATCCTTGCAGGTACAAAGCAGAAGTGTCCCACTTCCTCTGCAAACCAGACAACGGACACGTGCAAACCAAAACATTCTACGGGGAATTCTAGCCTTGCTTTTCCCAAATGGCTCTTCCAATGAAAGAGAAGAGTTACAGGCCTTCATTCACCTCAAGCTACCCTAATTCCCTGGCTGGCTAAAAACTCTCACCTCTTTTTCTTCTAAAAGGTTTCAAGTTATCTGATCCTAAAGTACATCTTGCAACTGTAGGTCCTCCCTGACACACACCCTGCCCTGAAAGATACACCTTGTAGTCCTCCGTGGGGTAGAGCAGGCCCAGGTACAGCTCCCTCTGGTCGACCAGGGCCTTCCCCATTGCGGAGATCTTCTCATCCACCACGTCCAGAGATGTGTGCACCATGTAGTGGAACTTCAGCTCGTTCTCCGTAGGGGTGCTGCGAATGTAGAGGGGGTAATTCTGCAAGAAAGGATGACGGCGACTGAAAGGACAAGACTCCACCCAGCGCACACCAGCTCTGAACTATGCTGCAGAGCCGTGACCTGCAGCCACCCGGGGAACGCATTCCCATGCTCTAAGGCCCACCGCTTCATTCTCTATGCCGCAGTGGGCACTGCCTTCAGGGGATCCCAGCTAACCTAAGGAGATTTATGTGTTGTTTGCAAAGCAGCAGCAGTAGGGTGGGCGGAAAAGAAAAAATGAATCAGAAAAATGGGCCTGAGCACAGCCTGCCGATCAAGCCTGGCACCTGGGCACGCCTCTCACCTTCTCCTGGAGGCCACTCTGCCTCAGCCCACCTCTAACTCTGCATGGCTCACCCAAATACAGCACCCTCAATACTGGCTTTTCTTCACCTTGACAGTGACCCTTTTACTAAACCCTTCAAGACTCAGCTCAAATTCCCTTCATCTCTGCATTTCTGACCATTGGAAGCCCAGAATTAACAGCTTCTTTCTCGGTCTTTCACACACCACCATTTACCCTGTGTGTGTTCAGCACTGGGTCCTGCACAAATACAGTGAACAAGAGTCCTCGCTACCCTCGTGGGGAGTGATACCTAGTCAATAAACCCACAAACAAGCAAATGATCATCTTGGCCAAGAGGGAAGCCCATGAGCAGCTTAGCAGCAGCCACCGCCCAGCAGGGAGCGGTCTCGAGTCTGGTCTCGGGAGACCCTGGCTAGGAAATGAAGGCTCCGTGCAGCAGGAGCGTGTGGGCAGCCACCCAGCTCAGTCTTAGCCTTCAGAAAATGCTTTCCAGTTGAAATGTATGTGGGCCAGTAAAGAGGATGGGAGCTGGGGAGAGGTGTTCCGCGTGCAAAGGCCCACAGGTGAGAGGGCAGAGCATGTCCAGGGAGCTGCAGAATTGTTTGGTTGGAGCGGAGAGTGCCAAGGGTTATGGGGGGAAAGGATCCCAGAGCAGGTTATTCAGACAGCATCCTAAGGCAACGAGAAGCCACTGCAGAGGTCTCAGGCAGAGGCGTGACAGGATCCGATTTGTTTTTAACTCGGCTCCGGGGAGACTGGCAGGAGGGCCGGGGCCGCCGTCCGCGGGGAACCAGCGCTGGACGGGAGAACGGGCAGAACCTGCTGAGGACGGAGGACGGAGGTAGTGCCCGGGACCACCTAGGTTTCTGGTGGGTCCTGGCGGGGAGGAGACCTGCTGCGCCGAGGGGTGCGTTCAGCAGCGGGACGGGCGAGCGCGGAACTGGGGTCTCAGTCAGGGTCTGCCTGGCGGCTCGTCCACCGCGAAGCCCCTGACCGCTGGAGCTCGGCGAAGGCCTCCTCCAGGTCCCATTTCCTAAGGTGCCTTCTAAGCCCAGGGAAGAAGTAGAAAGAAAGCGGAGAGCCGAGGATGGTGCGAGCCCGGACGCCCCACGCCGCGCGTACGCACCTCCTTGGCAATCACCGC
Source organism: Homo sapiens (assembly GCF_000001405.40). Taxonomy (NCBI): domain Eukaryota; kingdom Metazoa; phylum Chordata; class Mammalia; order Primates; family Hominidae; genus Homo; species Homo sapiens. Next base: position 88,857,165 of record NC_000016.10, on the reverse strand, counting down.
GATGCACACCGCCATCTTGGGAGGCTCGGCGCCAGGCACCGCGTCACGTGACCCGCCGCTGGTCACGCGGCCTCCAAAGCCCCGCCCCATCCGCACACAGCTGGCTCAGGCCCCGCCCCACTGGTCACGAGGCAGTCCAGGCCCCGCCTCCCGTCCCTCCGCGGACTCTGGCCCCGCCCCGCGAGTCACGTGGCCGTCCAGGCCCCGCCCCGCAGCCCAGCCGGAAGGGCCGGCGGACGCTCGCTAGGTCGGCTCGCTGGCCGGGGCTCCGCGGCTCCCGTGGTTGCCATGGCGGCGGTTGTCGCGGCGACGAGGTGGTGGCAGCTGTTGCTGGTGCTCAGCGCCGCGGGGATGGGGGCCTCGGGCGCCCCGCAGCCCCCCAACATCCTGCTCCTGCTCATGGACGACGTGAGTGCGGGCGGTGGGACGGGGCAGGGCCGGGGTGGGGCGGGGAGGGGAGGGGCGGATGGAGGGAGGAGCGAGGTGGGGGAAGGGCGGGCGGGGTGGGGGGAGAGGTGAGGGGAGGCCCCTTGGGGAAGGGGGGAGGCCCCGCGCGGGGAGGAGGAGGGGGAGGGGACGGGGGGTATCCCCGTGCGGGGAGGGGGAGGCCCCTCGGGGAGTGGCCGCGGGGTCCAGGCGTGGGGTCTCGGCGGTCACCGATCACCACACGCGCTGCCACTGTGCTGCATGACCGGGACAGCGTCCTCCCTGGCAGGTGGGTGGCCGGCGTGCTACCGGGCCCTGCCTCCCCCGTCTGACCTTTCCCGCCCTCTACTCTTGGGAAAGGTGGGCGCGCAGCGTGGCCTCCCCAAAGGGAGGAAGAGGCTGCTCCTGCCGCCCTGCCTGAGAGCTGCGTCGCCCTAGGAATCACTCCCGCCACCTCGGGCCGCCGGGTCCCCCCGCTGGGCTCCAGTCTTACCTGACGGCTGTCTCTGTCCTCTGGAGAATGCTGAGCGAAGGTCAGGTGTCCCTAAGGTCTGAAGAACTGAAAGGCTGGAATGTCTCCTGGTGGGCAAGTGCGGGGTCAGGGGTCACAGCCAGCCTGGAGGCCTCCTTCCCTAACTCCTTGTGGGAGCCACCTGGAGACTCAGGAATGAGCCTGCCTGGGGCATGGGTCACCGTGCAGGACCCCAGACACACCTGGGTTGAAACCCTACTGTCTCCAAGCTTGGGGGTCACTTCCATTCTTGAACCTCAGCTGCCACACCTGGGGGGTTACACCTGTCCCGCCGTGCTCACGTTGTGTGTGAGGACTGGGACGACACCGAGTACCAGACAGTTTTGGGCCGTCGGTGTCGCTCAGCCCCTGTGTGCTGGCTCCGACCAGCAGAGACCCTGACAGGTGCCTTCAGACCCACCTGTGCTGACCAGTGGGGGCCACGGGCCACACCCAAGGGCTGGGCAGTCGTGGCTGTCGGAATTGGAAGGTGCTGGTAGTGTAAAATACACAGATTTAGAAGACTTGGTGAAAGAAAAATAATGTAAAATATCTCACTTAACAATTTTATTAAATTAATGGTTTTTTAACATAAAGATATACTTGAAAAGATAACAGACACCACCCATAATTTCCCCACCCAGGGGTGACAGCCGACAGTCCTGGGCAGCTGCTTTTCCATCTCATATGTCTTATTTGTGTGCAGTGACTGCTTTCCAGAGCACGCTCTCCAGCGCCCAGGGGTCCGTGTCCTGACAGCAGTAGCCGGGCCTTTCTCTGCACTGAGTGGCATCTCCCTCCTAAAGATACTTTGCTTCAGAATTTCATCCTTTCACTTTTGAAGTTCCTCTGGGCCAGTGTAGATACTTTGTTTCAGAATTTCTTCTTTTCATTGTGTAACTCCTTCTGGGCCAGCATAGCTTCGCTGGATGAGCTGGGCTCTGCAGGTGAAGCCTCCCTGTTAAGTTTCTGCTTTTCCTGACTTTCTCAGAGGACAGAGGGGTGAGGCGGGGCAGCTCATGAATAATTTTTTATGTTGAAGACTTGTCGAAATAATATTTTGGTTATGTTGGGTTAAATAAAATATAAAGTTAGTCTGTATTTCACCTACTTCTGCTTTTCTAATGTGGCTCCCGGTAAATAGGGAATTGCATGTGGACTCACCCTACGTTTCCATAGGACAGCAAGGGTTCAGGCCGTGCAGGGTGGAGGGGTGGGGTGTGGCCACCGGGGCACATGTGGGGGAGGGTGACAGGAAGCCCCGCCCACCTGGGCACCTGTTCTGTGGCCTCCACTGTGTGGCTTGTGGGGTCGTTTGGCAGCTGACGCCTAAAGAACCCCAGAGGAGCTGTGTCCTGGCCGGTAGGTGTACTTGTAAGGACTTTCTGATGCAGACAGCAGAAGATGAAGTCAAAGTGACAAGCAACAGTGGGGATTCCCTGGCCCTCCTGAGTCGACAGACCAGGGCCGCCTGGCGAGTTTCCCCTTTCGTGGCTCTGCTGCCTCTGAACTGGCCACATCCTCACTCAGCCTGTGATGGTCCTAGGTGACTCCAAGTCACCCCTGCAGTCAGCAGACCCAGTGGGAGGTTGGCTCTGCCCGTGTCATGTTAGCGTGATGTGGGTCTCAGCCCTGCGCCAAGCACACTGGGGGAGGGGCACATGCTGACCTGTCCAGCCCAGGCCTCGGAGCCTCGGGCCTACCCCAGAAGGGAGACTGCCCCTGATCATCTCATCTGCCTGGACCCAGCAGAGAGGGGGTTCCCTGAAGGGCCCATGGTGCAGCTGCCAGGACAGGGCAGGGATGCTGGCAGGTGAGAGCCACAGAAGCTCACAGTGGAGCCCCGAGGTGCCCTGACGTGGCCCAGGGTGCAAGGGGGTCCTCACAGGCTGTCTTCTCTCCTTGGAGTCCGGGGCTTCCTCCGCAGCCCTGTCCACACCTCTTCCTGCACTGCAGACCGGTTGTTTCTGCCAGGGCGCTGGCGTCTGAACCTGCAACAGGTCATTCGGCCTCTGGCATGACATGGGATGGCTTGATGACCCACAGCTCTGGGCCCAGCACCACTTGAGGACGAGTGTGCATGTCTCAAGTTCAGATTTTGGAGCATGGCCCTCCAGGGACCGGCTGCCTCCAGCCCAGTCTCCCCCTATCCAGTCCTCTGTGGCTGGGCAGTGGGGGGCCTGGGCCCCCCTTTCGTCTAAGCAAGTGCAGTTTCAGAAAAGGGTTGTCCCCAAAACTAGCTTATTGCACCCCTCATGGCCAGAAGCCACTCTCCAACTGGTCACACTGACCCGGGAGAGAACCATTGCCCCCAGAGTCGGGACCAGAAGGGGAAGCTGGGACTCAGGGGTGAGAGCAGCTGGCAAGAGCCCCCACCTGTCCAGGGGGAGCTGAGCCGGGCAAGGACGGGTCTACCTGCACTCCCCAGGGCTGCCCTGCCCTGGCCTTTCACTGACCCACGGTCCAGCGCGGCCTGGCTTCGTAGTACCCTGGGCACCTGCTGCGTGAGTGAGGAAACCTGCGTGGCCCACTCTGCTCTCCAGGGCTTCTGGGGCCTTGGAGACAGGTGAGACCCAGTGACAAGTTCCACTCTGGCCCACACACAGCTCCTGCCTCCCAGGGCGAGCAGCACTCTGTGTCTCCACTCCTTATTTGGAAAATAGGGTTAAGGAGGGTCAGCCCTGACCACAGAGGAAGTGGAGAGTCAGGGCCACCCAGGCCAGCTCCTGTTGCCACAGCAGCCTCGTCGAGCCACCAGAGTCCGGGGAGGGTTGCTCAGTGCCCCTCGTTTGAAACAGACAAGCACTGGCCTGCTCGTCTTCATAATAATCCCATAGCAACCAGTAGGAATGGAAACTGCGTTTCTTAAAACTCTGAAATTCTGAAGGATACTGATCCATGGCTCACAGCTGTGCTCGCTGAACGTGGACAATCATTTGGGGGCTTTTAGGCCTTTTTTTTTTTTTTTTTTTTTTTTGAGATGGAGTCTCACTCTGGTCACCCAGGCTGGATTGCAGTGGTGTGATCTCAGCTCACTGCAACCTCCGTCTCCCAGGTTCAAGCAATTCTCCTGCCTCAGCCTCCCGAGTAGCTGGGACTACAGGCTCCCACCACCGTGCCCAGCTAATTTTTGTATTTCTAGTGGAGACGGGGTTTCACCATATTGGCCAGTCTGGCCTGAAACTCCTGACCTCAGGTGATCTGCCTGCCTCAGCCTCCCAAAGTGCTGGGATTACAGGCATGAGCCACCACACCCAGCCAGGACTTTTTTTTTGAGACAAGGTCTGGCTCTGTCACCCAGGCTGGAGTGCAGTAGCTCGATCACAGCTCACTGCAGCCTCAAACTACTGGGCTCAAGCAATTTTCCTGCCTCAGCCTCCTGAGTAGCTGGGATTATAGCCGCCCATCACCACACTCGGCTAATTAATTTGATCTTCAATCACTGATACCCTTTCTTCCACTAGATCGAATCGGCTACTGAAGCTTGTGCATGCGTCACGTAGTTCTGGTGCCATGGTTTTCAGCTCCATCAGGTCATCTAAGGTCTTCTCTACACTGTTGATTCTAGTTAGCCATTCGTCTCATCTTTTTTCAAGGTTTTTAGCTTCCTTACCATGGATTCAAACATCTTCCTCTAGTTCGGAGAAGTTGGTTATTACCGACTTTCTGAAGCCTACTTCTGTCAGCTCGTCAGAGTCATTCTCTGTCCAGCTTTGTTCCCTTGCTGGCGAGGAGCTGCGATCCTTTGGAGGAGAAGAGGTGCTCTGGTTTTTAGAATTTTCAGCTTTTCTGCTCTGGTTTCTCCCCATCTTTGTGGTTTTATCTGCCTTTGGTCTTTGATGCTGGTGGCCTAAAGATGGGGTTTTGGCGTAGATGTCCTTTTTGTTGATGTTGATGCTATTCCTTTCTGTTTGTTAATTTTCCTTATAAGAGTCAGGTCCCTCAGCTGCAGGTCTGTTGGAGTTTGCTGAAGGTCCACTCCAGACCCTGTTTGCCTGGGTATCACCAGTGGAGGCTGCAGAACAGCAACTATTGCAGAATAGTAAATATTGCTGCCTGATCCTTCTTCTGGAAGCTTTGTCCCAGAGGGGCACCTGCCTGTATGAGGTGTCAGTGGGCCCCTACTGGGAAGTATCTCCCAGTTAGGCTACACGGGGGTCAGGGACCCACTTGAGGAGGCAATGTGTCCGTTCTCAGAGCTCAAACACTGTGCCGGGAGAACCACTGCTCTCTTCAGAGCTGTCAGACGGGGACGTTTAAGTCTGCCGAAGTTTCTGCTGCCTTTTGTTCAGCTATTCCCTGCTCCTAGAGGTGGGGTCTACAGAGGCAGCAGGCTTTGCAGAGCTGCGGTGGGCTCTGCCCGGTTCGAGCTTCCCTGCCGCTTTGTTTACCTACTCAAGCCTCAGCAATGGCGGACGCCCCTCCCCAGGCAGGCTGCCACCTCGCAGGTGGATCTCAGACTGCTGTGCTAGCAGTGAGCAAGGCTCCGTGGGCATGAGACCCTCCGAGCCAGGCCCGGGATATAATCTCCTGGTGTGTCGTTAGCTAAGACCGTTGGAAAAGCGCACTATTTGGGCGGGAGTGTCCTGATTTTCCAGGTGCAGTCTGTCACGGCTTCCCTTGGCTAGGAAAGGGAAATCCCCCAACCCCTCGCACTTCCTGAGTGAGGCGATGCCCCACCCTGCTTCGGCTCACCCTCCATGGGCTGCACTCACTGTCCAACCAGTCCCAGTAGGATGAACCAGGCACCTCAGTTGGAAATGCAGAAATCGCCGTCTTCTGCGTCAATCACGCTGGGAGCTGCAGCCCGGAGCTGTTCCTATTCAGCCATGTTGGAACGGAATCCCCACACCCGGCTAATTAAAAAAAAAGTTTTTTTTAGTGACAGTGTCTGTCTGTGAGACCCAGGTTGGTCTTGACTTCCTGAGCTCAAGCGATCCTCCCTCCTCAGCCTCCCAAAGTGTTGGGATAACAGACGTGAACCACTGGATCCAGCCCTTTTAGGACTTTTAAGGGAGAGAAGAAAGGTGGTTCCTGCCCGTGGTGCCCTGTGGGGGTTTTAGATGTTCAATGGTAACCTGCTCACTCTGCAGGGAGGCTGTCCACACCTGCTTTTCATAGCCAAGAAAGGCGCCGATAAATAATGAAAGAACAGGGTCAGCAGATGAGAGCTGGCCCAGCAGCCTGGGACGCTGTCCTCAGAAGGCCCACGTGTGGGACGTTGCCCTCGGCTGGTCAGAAGGCACATGTGTGGGAGGTTTTTGCCCTCGGCTGGCGTCTGGGAACAGGAGGTCCCCCCGCTGTTCGCTGATAGGAGCAGCTCACCTTGCCACACTGTTTTTGCACATGCCACGATTTATGCCCAGCATCCTCCTTCTGGGCATAAAGAGTCTCGGCACATGCCAGGCAGAGGCGGCCGCACTGCCAGCCTAGGCAAAAGCCCTGGGAACTGAGTCTCGCACAGCTTCCCCGTCAGCATCCCGCACCTGTGCTCGCAGCCCGAGCGTCCCGTGTGGCTCCGCCTGGGGAGGGTTCCACGCTGCGGCTGGTCTCCCCGGCCCCGCCCGCACCTTCTCCCCTGGCTGATGCCCTCCCCGTTGTAAGTCATGGCAGTGAGTAGGACTGTCGCCAAGACCTGGGACTCCTCCCAGCGAGAGTGCTCCCTTGCGGTATCTTCTGAGTCAGTGGTGAGCGTGGAGCCCCCTCCCTCAAGCCCTGGGACTCCTCCCCGCAGTATTTTCTGGTGAGTGATGAGCGTGGAGCCCACTCCCTTTACAGCATTTTCCGCTGCATCCATTCATGTTATTTGTGGCCTGGAACAGGTAGGAGGATGACCCAGGTGAGCACAAGCAGATCCGGACGCAGCTCTGCTGACTGCCGACCTTCTGGGGAGGCCAGACCCGCCTCGGGAAGCCTCAGGACGCAGCCTGCAGGGAGGGTCGGGCACATGGCACCCAGTATTCAGATGTGCGGCCTCACTCCCAGCCCGAAGGGAGCCCAGCAGTGGTCCTGGGCATGGGCAGACAGTGTAACGGGCGAAACATACTGCTCCCTCCCATCCCAGGCCTTGTGCCCCCGGCCCACCTGCCATTCTGTACTCTCCCACCTGGACTGGAGACAGCAGGAAGTGCAGAAGCCACCTGAGAGGATGAATCTGCACTCGGGGAGGTGGAGGGCAAGGAGCTTTGGGCGTGTGTGGCCAGTCCCCCTCAGGCTGGCCTCAGGGAGCTGTACCGTCCCAGCCTGCACTGCAGGTTTCTGCTGCCTCAGTGGGATGCACCTCACCCTGACATGGGCGCATTCGCCCACTGTGACTAGGTGCCACTGAGCCCAAGGTCCCTTCTCAGCCCATGAGCAGCTCTGCGGGCGTCCTGCCCCCTGTCCTCCCACCTCCCTTTCTTCCTCATCAGCTTCAGGGGACACCTCTCTCTAGGTCCTCCTTTCATTCCAGCCTCCATTGTCCTCAGAAAAGCCATTTCAGTGACTTCAAAATAAACCATCTCAGGGCTGGGCGTGGTGGCTCACACCTGGGATCTCAGCACTTTGGGAGGTGGAGGCGGGTGGACTGCTTGAGCTCAGTTCACTCAAGACCAGCCTGGGCAACGTGGCAAAACTCCATCTCTACCAAAAATACAAAAAAGTTGGCCTGACACGGTGGTTCACACCTGTAATCCCAGCACTTTGGGAGGCTGAGGCAGGTGGATCACCTGAGGTCAGTATTCAAGACCAGCCTGGCCAACATGGTGAAACCCCATCTCTATAAAAAAAATACAAAAATTAGATGAGCTTGGTGGTGGGTGCCTATAATTCCAGCTACTCAGGAGGCTGAGGCAGGCGAATTGCTTGAACCCAAGAGCCGGAGGTTGCAGTGAGCCAAGACCACGCCACTGCACTCCAACCTGGGTGACAGAGTGAGACTCCATCTCAAAAAATAATGATAATAATAATTAACTGGGCATGGTGGCATGTGCCTGTAGTCCCAGCTACTCAGGAGGCTGAGGTGGGAGGATCACCTGAGCCCGGAAGGCAGAGGTTGCAGTGAGCCAAGATCGCGCCACTGTACTTCAGCCTGTTTGTCAGAGTGAGACCCTGTCTCAAAAAAATAAACCATCTCAAAAGGGATCCAAAGCTAAAAGGGCCAAACAGAATTGTGTCCCATGAGACATGGAGGGCCTTTGAGAGGAAAAAGCCCAGACCTGGCCCAGCTCTGGGACTCCACACGTTAGGAGGGGCTGAGGCAAGGAGCGGCCACCCTGCCAAGCTGAGCCTTACAGGCAGGGGCCATGTAGCCTGCCGTCCACCGGGGAAATGGATCATTGCATCCAGACAAAGACCAAGGTGTGACCACGCAGACCTGGATGTCCAGCCACCCACGTGCGCCCAGAGCGGCCCACTGTCCTCCCGCGGTCCCCGGGGCCCAGCGCCCATCCCTCCAGCAGCCGTTCCCAGTCAGCACGCTGCCACCCCCGCCCCCGGTGAGGGCTTCCCCTCTGTTCAGACCCCTGTCACTTCACACAGGCCCCGAGGCTGCTGCTTCTTTGACTTACCAGGACCCAGCGAGTCAAACGCCCACCGGCCCCGACCCAGCAGTGTCAGGGGAGCCCCTGGTCCATCTGCAGAAAACCAGGATGCCCGCACTTCCTTTTTTTTTTTTTTTCAGACGGAGTCTCACTGTCACCCAGGCTGTCCTGCCTCAGCCTCCCGAGTAGCTGGGACCACAGGCGCCTGCAACCACGCCTGGCTAATTTTTTGTATTTTTGGTAGAGACGGGGTTTCACTGTGTTAGCAAGGATGGTCTCGATCTCCTGACCACCTCGTGATCCACCTGCCTCGGCCTCCCAAAGTGCTGGGATTACAGGCGTGAACCACCGCGCCCGGCCTTTCATTCTTTTATAGCCGCTTTACTGAGACGGAATTCGCTGGTGAAAGTGTGCGGGTCATTTTTAGTGTGTTCTCAGAGTCGTCCTGCCACCACACATCGTCACATCATCTTTGTCACCACGGAAGGAAGCCCCAGCCCTGATGGGGGTCACTCCCTTGTGCTCCCCGAAGCCCCTGGCCGACCCGCTCCCCTTTCTGTCTCTAAGGATCTGCCTTTTCTGACGTGTCCGGTGAATGGAATCTTACGGCTCATGGGCCTTGTGTCTATTTTCCCCTCACACAGGGTTTTTGGGCTTCACACACACAGCCTGTGTGAGGACTCCATTCCTTTTCGTGGCTGAGTCATGGTCCACAGTGTGGAGGGACCACGTGTGGCTGAGGCTTCCACCCATGGATGGGCATCCGGGTGTTTCCAGCTTGGCTGCCAGGGAGCGAGCCGCTGTGGGTGTTGGTTCATGCACAGGTTTCCACGTGGACACACTTTTCAGTTCTGTTGGGCGTGTACCAGGGAGGCGCTGCCGGGCGGCGTGGCCACCCTGCGTGGCGCTGCCGGACCTCTCACCAGGTGCTGCGTGTCACGTTCTTACATGGTGTGTGAGGGCTCCAGTTTCCAGTGAGTTCACTTTTAATGTTTTGTTTTGTTTGGTAAAAATCAACCTTAGACAATCAGCGATCAGACTCTAGTCCCTGTCGTGGTGAACTGTGGAGAGACCAAAGTGAGCCTCTCTCCGGCTCTTGGAGCACCAGGGCCCATGCAGCCTGTCTTGGGGTCATTTGAAATGGTGGAAACTTTACAAGGGCCCGATGGGCAGGTGAGCCCCACTCGGCCTCCAGGCACAGCCCTCCTCAAGGTCCCTGCTGTCCATGCAGGTGGCAGTCCTACTCTGTGGGTGAGTCCTGGAGCCACTTGTGACAGGAGGAGGCTGGATGGGGTGAATTTGGAGAAAAGTGGCAGGTTTTTGTTTTTTATTTTTTTGAGACAGGGTTCTCTGTCTGTTACCTAGGCTGGACTGCCGTGGCGCGATCTCAGCTCACTGCAGCCTCTGCCTCCTGAGCTCAGGGGATTCTCCTGCCTCAGCCTCCCAAGTAGCTGGGATTACAGGTGTGTGCCACCATGCCCAGCTGATTTTTTGATTTTTTATAGAGATGGGGTCTCACCTTGTTGCCCAGGCTGGTCAACGAGAGAGAAAAGTATTTCAGAGACTTAAAAAAAGAACCATCGGTGGTCTCCAGTGTGCTTAAGAGCTGCGGGTGGAGCTGTTTGCGTTCCTCCTGAAGGCTTTGGCTGCCAGACATGGCTGGGCTGCAGATACTTGCTTTACTAAGAGGTTTTCCCTCCCTGCCGTCCAGGTGTGTCCACAGGTGTCCACACAACCAGGTGTCGTGAATGTCTGTTCACACTAAGTGGGCTTCTCAGTAACCCCCTGGCCACACCCCCATCTCACCCATCCCAGGAGCCTCCTGGGACCACACACGGGGGTCGGGAGCTTAAAAGAACAGAAACACGGCCGGGCACAGTGCTCACACCTGTAATCCCAGCACTTTGGGAGGCCAAGGCAGGCAGATCACCGGAGGTCAGGAGTTCGAGACCAGCCTGGCCAACATGGCGAAACCCCGTCTCTACTAAAAATACAAAAACTAGCTGAGCATGATGGAGGGCGCCTATAATCCCAGCTACTTGGGAGGCTGAGGCAGGAGTAATCGCTTGAACCCGAGAGGCAAAGGTTGCCGTGAGCCGAGATCGTGCAGGCAAAGGTTGCAGTGAGTCGAGATTGTGCCCTCCAGCCTGGGCGACAACAGCAAGACTTCGTCTCAAAAAAAAAAAAAAAAAAAAAAAAGCCAGAAACGCATTCTGTCTCGGTCTGGAGGCCGGAAGTCTGAGCTCAAGGTGTGGGCAGGACCTCGCTCCCTCGGAAACCTGCAAGGGACCTCTTGCCCCTGCAGCTTCTGGTGGCCCCCAGCCGTCCGGAGCCCATGGCTGTGTGTCTCCCGCCTCTGACCCCATTGCCACACGGCCACCTTCGCCCTGTCTCCTATAAGGACTGCAGTGTGTGGGATGAGGGTCCACCCCCATGTTAGTGACCTCATCTTACTGAATCATATCTGCGGCAACCCTGTTTCTAACTAAGGTCACATGCTGAGCTACACTGGGGCCATGATTTCAGCATAACTTTTGGGGATACAGCTCCACCCATTAACACAGATGAACTGTGATTTATTTAACCAAATTTCTGTTCCCAGTATCTCAACCACAATTTTAAATTGGCATAATGGGTTATACATAGCTGTAATTATTTTCTTAGGATAAACTCCTACAAGTGGAATTGCTGGGCCATGATCTTTTTTTGTTTGTTTGTTTAGTGAGAGTGTCTCACCCTGTTGCCCAGGCTGGAGTGCTGTGGTGTGATCATGGCTCACGGCAGCCTCAACCTCCTGGCCTCAAGTGATCCTCCTACCTCAGCCTCCTGAGTAGTTGGGACCACAGGTACACACCACCACACTTGGCTTTTTTTTTTTTTTTAGAGTTGGAGTCTTGCTGTGTTGTCCAGGCTGGTCTCGAACTCCTGGCTTTAAGTGATCCTCTCATGCCCTTTTTTTTTTTTTGAGACGGAGTCTTGCTCTGTCACCCAGGCTGGAGTGCGGTGGCACAATCTCGGCTCACTGCAACCTCCGCCTCCCGGGTTGAAGCGATTCTCCTGCCTCAGCCTCCCAAGTAGCTGGTACAGGTGCCCGCCACCATGCCCAGCTAATTCTTGTGTTTTTAGTAGAGACTGGGTTTCATCATATTGGCCAGGCTGGTCTCGAACTCCTAACCTTGTGATCCGCCTACCTCGGCCTCCCAAAGTACTAGGATTACAGGCGTGAGCCACCGCACCCAGCCCCATGATTGCCTTTTAAGATAGGGTAGCTGCACTTTCACTAAGACAGAGGTTGGCCAACTCCAGCCCATGGGTCAAATGTGAACCACCTGCTGGGTTTTGTTGTTGTTGTGGTTTTGGGACGGAGTCTCCCTCTGTTGCCCAGGCTGGAGTGCAGTGGTACAATCTTGGCTCACTGCAACCTCCGCCTCCCAGGTTCAAGCGATTCTCCTGCCGGCTACTGTACTCCGAGTAGCCGGGACTACAGGTGCCCACCACCATGCCTGGCTAATTTTTTGTATTTTTAGTAGAGGCGGGGTTTCACCATGTTAGCCAGGATGGTCTCGATCTCCTGACCTGGTGATCCGCCCGCCTCGGCCTCCCACGGTGCTGGGATTACAGGCGTGAGCCACCGAGCCCGGCCCACCACCTGCCGTTTTTTAAACCCATAAGCCAGGCATGGGTTTTATAATTTTAAATTGTTCAAAAAACCAAAAGAGTAATATTTTGTGACATGAAAAATTATATGAAATTCAGATGTTGATGAATAAAGTTTTATTGGCACAGAGCGTGCACATCTGCTCGCATGCTGGCTTGTGGCAGGGCTGAGGGGCTGTGACAGCCCCATATGGCCCACAAAGCTGAAAGGATTTGCTGTGAGGCCCTTTACATAATGCATTTGCTGATGCCAGCTCTAAATATCCATATTTGCATTCAGATTGGTTTCAGAAATAAATATGCGTTGAATGCAGCTGGGCCTGTGAACGTGGTGGTTGAATTCAGCTGGGCCTGTGAACTTGGTCGTTGTGTTTAGAATGTGTTGTCTTTCCCAGGTGTTGTGTGTTTGTGCTGCCGAAGCTGCTGAAGGCGGCCTGTAGAGGGCAGGGGCCCAGGCAGGCACAGTCACTTCACTGGTGTCTTGGTTGGTGCTTGGAGCACCTCAGGAGGGAATATGTCCTTAAGGAAGGAAGACAGGCCAGACAGAGGGGCCTCGGAGTGTTGGCTTCTACCAGGCTCCTGCTGAGGTGGGCGCTCAGGGAGACGGCTGGAGGATCCGAGGAGAGCCAAAGCCCCAGGCGGTGCCCTCCCCTTCTCCTTCTAGAGCAAAGTCCTGGCCCACTGCCTGTTTAAAAGCACTTTTTTCCAACAATACACACTGTAAAATTTGAAGAAGTTTTCAGTGAACACCGCCGCTGCCACTCACCTCCGGAGTTTGCCGTGGGCATTTGCTGTGCTGGTGCCATCACACCTGGCATCACCCCGGCCTCCTGGCATCACCCCAGCCTCCGTGCTTCCTGCCCTGTGCTCACCCGTCCTCCTGCTTGGGGTTTTTATTGTAAAATACACAGAACGTAAAATTGACCATGACAGCCACCTTAACGTGCACCACTCGGGCACAGTCCATTCACAGCGTGGTGCCTCCATCCCTTCTACCTGCTTCCAAACAGTCCATCCCAAGAAGAAACCGGTACTCATCAGCAGGCCCTCCCCAGCACCCACCCCCAGCCCCGGCAGCCACTCAGCCGCCTCCTGCCTCTGCGGACCGGCCTGTTCCGGAGGCTTAATGAGCAAATCACAGCCTGTGTGGCCCTTGTGTCTGCTTCCTTCCCTCACATGAAGCTTTCCAGGGCCGTGCGCGGTGTGGGGTGCCCTTCCTTTCGATGGTTGGGTAGTGTGCCGCGGTACGTGCGTGAGTTTCCTGAGACATAACACGTTACCACAGGCCAGGTGGCCTTAGCGGAAATGGATTCTTGCCGGATTCTGGAGGCCAGAAGTGCAAAATCAAGGTGTCAGCCGGGCCCCTCCCCCTCAGGCTCTCCAGGAAGGTCCTTGCTGTCCCCTGGCTGGTGGCTGCGTCACTCCAGTCTCGGCCTCGGCCTTCACCCGGCATCTCTACTGCATGTCTGCGTCTCTAAGGGCCCAGTCATAGGATTGAGGGCCCACCCTGGCCCAGCGTGACCTCATCTTAGCTCACTACATCTGCAGAGACCCTACTTCCAAATGTGGCCACACCCACGTAGTACACGCCGGCCGCACTTTGTCGTCTGCCGATGGGCGCTCAGGGTGCTCCTGCCTTTTGGCCACTGAGTCGTGCTGCCCTGGACGCTCGTATGCAGGCCTGCGTGTGGACGTAAGTTTCAGTCTCTTGGGTGTACAGCTAGGAGTGGAGTTGCAGCGTGGAACTGCAGGGTCACACGATAACTGGGCTTCTGGGGGACAGTTACCAGTTGACTTTGAAATCTAGACGTGTACAGACATACGAGGGCCTGTGTATTTATGTTGAAAATAGATGCACGTGTTTAGAGGCCAGCTCCTGCGAGCATGCAGATGCTGGTGTCAGGCTGGGAGGAGGCAGACGGACACATTCCCCACCTGAAGACCAAGCAGAAGTGGAGGCGAAAGACAGCGTGGGCTGACCGTGGAGCGGCCCCATCGTGCACGCACGCAGGCGATGCTGAGGTTTGGGCTGGCGTGGAGCGGCCCCATCGTGCACGCACGCAGGCGATGCTGGGGTTTGGCCGAGCTCTGCCGCTGGCTGGGACACAGGGTGGTGCTGGCTTCCACGGTCCCCGACACGCTCTTGGCACCATGGGCAGCTCCCCAGGCCAGAAGCACCTGCAGAAGGCGCTCATTCCTCCTCCCCGTGCTCTTCCCTGCAGATGGGATGGGGTGACCTCGGGGTGTATGGAGAGCCCTCCAGAGAGACCCCGAATTTGGACCGGATGGCTGCAGAAGGGCTGCTTTTCCCAAACTTCTATTCTGCCAACCCTCTGTGCTCGCCATGTAAGTCAGCGGGGCCCTCGCCCCCAGGAAGGGGTGAGCCCAACAGGCCGAGGCCTCCCGGGTCCTTCCAGCCCTGACTCTGGGCGGCTGCATCAACCTTGTCTATTCCTACTACTGCAGGGAGGGTGGCAGGTGGGCTCAGGCCTTTCTCATCAAATCCCAGCCCGGCTCCGTGCCATGTGGGGTGCGGCACCTGCTGGGTTTTCAGGGTCGAAGTTGCGGTATTGTTGGTGGCTGCTGTTCTGTTTCCCAGAGTCGAGTGCTGTGGCCGCCTGGGGAGAGGTGCTGCAGTGTGGCTCCGTCTCAGGGTACCTGGGAAGCAGGAGTCCCACTCCCTCCCTCCCTGGGGAGAGTCTCTCCTGCTGGAGACAGAAACATGTGGTGTTGATCGTGAGGAAGAGGAGAAGGCAGGGCACGGGGCTGGTGCTCGAGGATGGGGGCGTGTGGACCTGCACGCCCAGTGGGTGTCCCAGGAGCCTGCGAAAGGAGGCGGGGTCTTGGGGACAACGCTGAGCTGCAGGGCCCAAGGGCCACGCGTCTTTCAGTGGAATGGGTGCCGTGCCCCACCCAGGTGGTGGAGACGCTAACGGGGATTGACAGGCGTGGCAGCCCCTTGTAAACCTGCGCGTGCCTCGTCTGTCACGCGTCTGTCTACTCGTTGGGGCTCTTGTTGACGCCCGGGGTCTGAGCCACACCCTTCTTATCCAGTTTCTGTTTCTGTCACCTCCACATAGCGAGGGCGGCACTGCTCACAGGACGGCTACCCATCCGCAATGGCTTCTACACCACCAACGCCCATGCCAGAAACGGTAGGCTGCCCACCGCCTCCAGGGACACCCTTGGGGTGCAGGGTTGGGCAGGTGGGCTACGGGTGGTGCCCGTGTCTCCGGGACTCGGGTGGCAAGCTGCAGGTGGGGTACCGCTGGTGCCTGGGTCTCTGGGACTTAGGTGGAAGTGCAGGCCCCCCTAGCTGGCTTCCTTCCCTGCCCTGGCCCAGTGGGGACTGAGCGGAGGGTGCCCAGTCTGGCCTAAGGAGCTGAGCCGGCACCCCCACCCCAGAAGCTCCCACTCCCCAGGCGGGTGAGCCGCACACCCACAGGGAGGCCGGGGCTGTGGCATCAGCGGCAGTTCTGGAATGTTCTGGAATCGCTGTGCTTGAGGGGTTTGGATGGGCTCCCCAGGGGCATCTCACAGGGGAAGTGGGATTTCCAGTGGCATTTGAGGAAAGGGAAGGACGGGGGAGGCAGGGGTGGGGCAGTGCAGCATCACGTGGCATATTCCAGAGACCCCTGGAGACCAGGCAGGTGGGAGGCTGGCCTGAGAGGCAGGGTGGGGCCTGAGGGTGGGCAGGAGTCCCAAGGAAGGCGCTGGGGGGCACGGAGTCTGCCCCGTCCCCACCCTCTGGTGATGGCACTGGCTCTGAGGGGTGCCTGGAAAAATCTTGGGAAGTGCCATGCCCTGTGGACGCGCAGCCCCCAGGCACAGCCTTTGACCCCGAGGGGCCAGTGTCCTGTTAGGATGTGTGGACGCAGCCCCCAGTGTCCTGTTAGGATGGGGTTGGTGGCAGCTTCTCGGGGTCTCCTCGGGGCTCACCCAGCGCTGCTCTTCCAGCCTACACACCGCAGGAGATTGTGGGCGGCATCCCAGACTCGGAGCAGCTCCTGCCGGAGCTTCTGAAGAAGGCCGGCTACGTCAGCAAGATTGTCGGCAAGTGGTAAGTCTCCTGGCCACGCCTGCCCAGGCGTCCTGCTCCATCCACTTCCTGGCCTTGGTTCCAAGGGACATGGCCACAAGTTTCCAAATGAGGAGGGTGTCTTGGGTGGGAAACGGCAGCTGATTCTGGGTGTGTTCAGGTGTCTCCAGCGTCCCTGTGCAGGCCAGCGTGACCTTGCCAGCAGGATCTCAGGTCACCAGGCTGGTCCCACGGCCGCGAGTATCCTGCGGCATCAGACTCCGCAGGCCTGTCACCGTCATCCCTCGAGTCACAGCCCCTAGCACCCGCCACCACTGCCCCCCGGCTGCCTCCTGCCACGTCGTCCTTGGAGGGGCCACGTCATTACACACAGGAGCTGTGGCGGAGGAGCTGCCTGTCCACCCTAGGGGCCTGTTGGATGGTGAAAGCTCTGGTCTAAACCACAAAGAAGCCACCAGGAAGGAGAGTAACAGCCTAGCAGTTGATGAAATCCTGAGCTGATGAGAGCTTGGGTGCTACACAGCCCCCACGCTGCGGTTTTAGGCGCACAGGATGTTTCATTTCTTTTACTCCCTGGGACGCCTGAGTGAGCCTAGAGGGTTGGGTAGGAGTCACCTGTCCCGAATTTCTCTCCACTTGTTGGAGCGTTCCCCGCCTGTCAGGTCCGCATGCCGCCTCCTCCAGGAAGCCCTTGCTGCTTTCCCAGCCTCTGTGATCCCCAGTCGGCTGCCTGTGGCTCCTGCCGGTCCCCTTCAGATGGATGCTCCTTGGATGTAGATGGTCATGGCAGCCAGGAATTTGCTGAGCTTGATCACTGGATGAGGAGGACCCAGAGGCTGTCTAGGGAGCACTTCATCATTCTTCAGATGAGAGGAAGCAGCCTGCCGAGCTGAGCTCTCAGAAAGCACAGGGCAGAGCTGATGGGCACAGCAGCTGCAGAGTCCTCACACAGGGAGGTTGGGCCCCACGCAGCCTGCATAGTCCCTGAGCCAGTGCCAGGGGCCATGGCGGAAGTCAGCCCCCGAGGGCCACTGGAGCGCGTGAGTACTGTGCCAACAGGAGGAAGAGCCGGTGGCCTCTCCAAGTGACAAGCCCCACAGTGACCCAGAGCTCTCCGCCTGGCCTGGCAGCTCTGTCTTGGGCCCAGCGGCCTCCTATGCATGGTCATTGGTGCCGGTGGCCAGAGCTAGACAGGGAGTGGGTCTCCATAGAGGCCTCGAGGCTCCTGAACAGCTGTCGACGGGAGAGAGGGGACCCCAAGGAGTGGGAGCAGGAGCCAGGCAGACCTCAGAGCCCCAGGCTCCTCCCGCACATGGTGCAGTGGCTGGATGGCCCGGGCTGGGTCCTACAGCGGCTGCTCAGTCAGGTGGGGGGGTCCCTATCCCAGCAGGGTCCCCTCTCAGGGCAGTAGGGGTGTTGTCAGCCATGACTCAGACTTCCCTGAGGCCCCTCACCTGGACTCAAAAAGAGGCTGCTTGATCTGCATGAAGCCACGCGGGTGTGCAGGGCAGGGACTTGAGTCCCAGAGGGCCGCGGACACTCCCTGCTCCAGGTCACCTGCTGGTGAGTGCCAGGCCCCACTGCTGCTTTCGGACAAGGACGTTGAGCTGACAGCTTAATTTGTGTAGCGTCCTGCCCATGTGCTTCCCCTGAGCAAGGCCTTTGTGCTGCGGACGTGGAAGCACGAGTGTCCCCTGTGGCCGGGCGGTGACCTGCGGACGTTGGCGCACGAGTGTCCCCTGTGGCCGGGCGGTGACCTGCGGACGTGGGCGCACGAGTGTCCCCTGTGGCCGGGCGGTGACCTGTGGACGTGGGCGCACGAGTGTCCCCTGTGGCCGGGCGGTGACCAGCGGACGTGGGCGCACGAGTGTCCCCTGTGGTTGGGCGGTGACCTGCGGACGTGGACGCACGAGTGTCCCCTGTGGCTGGGTGGTGACCTGCCTGGGGTGTTCAGGGATGTCGGGGTGCTCTAGCAATGGGCCCAAGTGCTGAAGACCCAAAGGAAACAGCCCGGAGTTGGCAGCCAAGGGAGCTCTGAGGTCACAGAGAGGTCCAGGCGTGCTTACCTGAGAGAGGAGATGGGGAGAGGCAGCTCGGGAGGTCCAGGGTACAGAGGCCATGTCCAGGGAGGCAGCAGAAATCTGCTGTGGTGAAATCTGCCTCGGGGAAATCTGCGTCGGGGATGCTGCTTTCAAAGCCGTAGCTGCAGAAGAACTTTCCTCAGACGACACGCAACTGACGTGAGACCCGCCCACGGCCGTGCCTAGAAGCCATCTCATACCACCTCTCCTGCAGCCCGTTCTGAAGAGCAGCCGCAAGCTGGATTCGTTCCAGGACAGGACAGGCTGCGCAAGGAAACCCGGACAGCTGGCCTGGGGGCCAGGGCGAGTGGGCACAGAGGTGTGGCCTGCAGGGCTGCTGTGGGCCGGAGGATGAGATTAGGTGCCACCAGAGGGTGGGAGCACAAGGTCTGCGGGGGATTGTCAGAAGGGGAGTGCGGGACGGGGTCTGGAGGGGTTCCCACAGGCCTGGGGTGTGATGCCTGGCGATGGCCATTCCCAGCAGGTGAACCCCGGTCCCAGGAGAGCGGTTGGTGGAGGTCACCAGTGTGGCCACACTGTCACGTTCTCTTGTCGTCACTCTAATCCCTGCCTCTGCCAGGGTCCTGGGGATGTGGGTACAGCTGGCAGGCCCCGGGGCTCCCGCACGGCACACAACGCCCCGCCCAGTCGTCATCCTGGGGCCATTGCCCTGAACTGGGAGATGAGACTCTGAGCGCCTCGGTGTGGAGAGACCCAGTAATTACCTGGCAGGAAATATTTTCTGCCCTGGAAAACCCAGAGGAGACACACTTGGGTTCGAGGCATGACCCGCAAAACTCTCCTGGGAGTTCAGAAAACGTGGAAGGAAGGAGCCGGGGCCACGAGGGGCATGTCAGGCGGGTTCCAGGCGGCTGGGAGGCTCCTCACGATGCACCACCCTTCACCGTGCAGGGAACCCCGGCCGCCGCCATGCCTGCCGCCCTCGGTTGTGCCCAGACGCTCTGCAGGGTAGGCGGGCAGTGCCAGCACCCTCCTCGGGTGAGGCCTTGGTCTTTTGTCCCTGCCGTGCCCAGGCATAGCCCATACTCAGTGCTGGAGGGTGCTCGTCTTACCAAGAATTTTGTGAAGGTGGTATCTGTTGCTGCTCAGAACTTCCGAGTGTCCCCACGTGGGGTCCCTGAAGTGTCCTGGGTTCCTGTTTCCAGGCATCTGGGTCACAGGCCCCAGTTCCACCCCCTGAAGCACGGATTTGATGAGTGGTTTGGATCCCCCAACTGCCACTTTGGACCTTATGACAACAAGGCCAGGCCCAACATCCCTGTGTACAGGGACTGGGAGATGGTTGGCAGGTAATGGAGCCCCACCCCTTCCCCTCCCACGTCCTGAACTGCTGTGCCCGGCGTGCCTGCCCCCCGCCTCTAGCACTGGTGGGCTCAAGTCGCCACTCATGAGGGCTGGTCTGTCCCTGGGTCCCCGGGCACCGAGGGCTTTGGTTTGGTGGCTTCTGTCCCACCAAGTTTTGCCCCAGAGCCTATGAGACTCCTGCCTGGGGTTTCCCACCTTTTCAGGGTCGTAGATCCCTGTAGCTGTCCTGAGAGAGGAAGGCCCCCAGCAGAGCGAGCCCACACGGTCTGCCCTAGCTGTCAGGGTACTGCCCATGTGGTCTACGGGTGGGGAGGCCGGCTGTGCTCCAGACATCCAGGGACATGGGCAGGACAGGAGGTGGGATGAAACCCCCACTGGGAGCCACACCAGGAGCAAAAGCCGCTGTCCAGACAGAGCCGTCCTGGTGCCCGGGCGTGGGGGCAGCACCTCTTGACACGGCAGTGCCGGGTCCGGGACCCTCATCTTTTGTGAATTTTATTTTGCTTAACTTGACTCTTCTTGGCGGAAGTGCTCATTCATTACATGACGGTGACCAGAAGCAGCACCAGCTTGCTGCCTCTTTCTAGATAGAGCCCCGTGGAGGTGTGGGAGTCGCACCACGCAGCCCCCATTTGAAGTGTGCAGTTCTGTGGTTGGCATTAGTCACAGGCTGGGACAACCAGCACTGTAGCTGCTTCAGAACGAGCCCCATGGCCTGAGCGGCGGCTCCCCAGCCCCAGCCGAGTGACCACAGCCGCCTCACTGCCTTCACCTTGGTGTCGTGCCCTCAGCCCCATTCCCCCATCTTCCCATGTGGCAGGTTATTGCAGCACCGGCCTCAGCCAGGTCATCAGATGCAAGACCGTGCCCTGGGGGAGCGAGGGATGCGTCCAGCTTGGTTGTTCCCTGAGTGGACATTTCATTTCCAGGCTTCCTTTTTTTTTTTTTTCTTGAGACAGGATCTTGCTCTGTCACCCAGGGTGGATTGCAGTGGCGCGATCTCGGCTCACTGCAACCTCCGCCTCCTGGGTTCAAGCAATTCTCCTGCCTCAGCCTCTCAAGTAGCTGGGATTACAGGCGTGCGCCACCACGCCCAGCTAATTTTTGTATTTTTAGTAGAGACAGAGTTTCACCATGTTGCCCAGGCTGGTCTCAAATTCCTGACCTCATGATCCACCTTCCTCAGCCTCCCAAAATGCTGGGATTACAGGCATGAGCCATGACGCCCAGCCCTAGCCTTCTTTTAAATGAAGCCCATGGCTTTGCTGGTGAAATCAGGGAGAACGGGACTTTCTTGGCCTAAATTCTGAAGTCTGTCTGGATCTGTGTTCTTTTCAGATATTATGAAGAATTTCCTATTAATCTGAAGACGGGGGAAGCCAACCTCACCCAGATCTACCTGCAGGTGATGGGGACCGCACCATCCTCGCCCTGTGGGACGCATGGGGACGGGGACCGCACCAACCTCATCCTGTGGGAGGCGTGGGGACAGGAATGCATCAACCTCACCCCGTGGGAGGCATGGGTTCAGGGACCTCATCACCCTCGCCCCGTGGGACGCGTGGGGACGGGGACCGCACCATCCTCGCCCCGTGGGACGCGTGGGGACGGGGACCGCACCAACCTTGCCCCGTGGGACGCGTGGGGACGGGGACCGCACCAACCTCGCCCCGTGGGACGTGTGGGGACGGGGACCGTGGGAGGCATGAGGAGGTCGGCCTGAGGCTGGAGGACGACGGTGTGGCTCTCTCCATAGGAAGCCCTGGACTTCATTAAGAGACAGGCACGGCACCACCCCTTTTTCCTCTACTGGGCTGTCGACGCCACGCACGCACCCGTCTATGCCTCCAAACCCTTCTTGGGCACCAGTCAGCGAGGGCGGTGAGTCCTGGCTCCATGGAGCATAGACCTCGCTGGAGGCCCCAGCTGTGCTTGACTCCAGAGATGGGACACTCAGTACCGTGGCATTTAGGCCAATTATGGAAAGGCCAGAGCAACCCCACCCCTTTGAAGCCGTCCACTGGCCTGGGATCAGCAGAGGAGGGCTGTGGTGGGGGTGCTGGCTCTGTCCTTCATAAGCCACATGAACTTGAACTGAGGCCATTCCTCTTCTGGGAAGAGGCCGGCCAGTTTCACTGTGGTCTGTGAAGTTATGATTTAATGAACTCCGTGAATCACAGTATGCCGTTGGCTGCCTGATCCATTTGTCACCATCCTCCAGGTATGGAGATGCCTTTTGTCACCATCCTGCAGGTATGGAGACGCCGTCCGGGAGATTGATGACAGCATTGGGAAGATACTGGAGCTCCTCCAAGACCTGCACGTCGCGGACAACACCTTCGTCTTCTTCACGTCGGACAACGGCGCTGCCCTCATTTCCGCCCCCGAACAAGGTGAGTGCTCGCTGTCACTTCTCACGGTTTCCCCACAGCCAGCGTGTCAGCGAAGAGTGCCTGGACCGGCTGTGCCCACGGGGTCTGTGGTGGGCAGAGCATGAAGGGTCCCTCTGGGTCCAGCGGGAGGAGCAGATGTCACCGAGCCTCGAGCAAGGCCCTTCTGGCCCAGGACTAACCTGGAAGCAGGAGTGACCTTGAACTTGGGGGTGGGGAGGAGGTGACACAGGGGAGAGGGTTTGTCTTGGAAGAGGCTGACGCCTCCCGAAGGGTGACCCCGGAGGCCGGAGGCTTTGGAGGCCGCATGGAAACAGCAGGGCCGGTGGAGCAGGGTGTCCCTGCTGAGGTGGGGGCCGGCACCCCAGACCCCGAGCAGCCCTGTGAGTGTGGCCTGGACCTGGTCACCCAGGGGCCGGGCTGCCTCCATGAAGATGGACTCCTGCCCCCACCACAGCCCTGTCAAGTGGTTCCTGGGATGGAGCTTCAGCCTTTCCCCCGCTCGGCACTGATGAATGCCTGACCCATCCCCAGCGCCAACAAACCTGAACCCGCCTCTTCCCAGACCACGCGGGGGGGGGCCCTGCAGCCTCTTCCCAGACCACACGGGGGGGGCCCTACAGCCTCTTCCCAGACCACGCTGAGGGGGGCCCTGCAGCCTCTTCCCAGACCACGCGGTGGGGAGAGCCCTACAGCCTCTTCCCAGACCACGCTGAGGGGGGCCCTGCAGCCTCTTCCCAGACCACACGGGGGGGGCCCTACAGCCTCTTCCCAGACCACGCTGAGGGGGGCCCTGCAGCCTCTTCCCAGACCACGCGGGGGGGCCCTGCAGCCTCTTCCCAGACCACGCGGGGGGGGGCCCTGCAGCCTCTTCCCAGACCACGTGGTGGGGAGAGCCCTACAGCCTCGTCCCAGACCATGTCGGGGGGCGCCTACAGCCCAGTGTGCTGCGGGGATTGGGGGCTTCAGAGTTTCAAGTGATAGAAACCAGCACAGCTGAAAGCCAAAACAGAAGCATAGGCTCCCTCGCGCCACGTCCCACCAGATAGCTCCCCTGGGTGAGCCTGGCTCTCGTGCAGGCCCTCCGGACAGCTCCATCTCCCGCCCACTGGAGTCAGACCCACGAGTCGAGGCCCCCAACAGACCCATGTGTGGAGGGCTACAGGCAGCTCCCAGGAGGCAGGGTGCTGGGTGGGGGGAGGGTGGTGTTGGCCGTCATTCCCCATGGGGAGCCCGGGGGGGCCCACCTCGACGCCAGCACCCACAACCACCAGCCAGCAGGGGCAAGGGTCCCAGCGACCTGAGTCTTCATTTCTAAATGATGGAATGTTTCATACCAACAAATGGCATGTTTCATACCAACAAATGGTATATGTACCTATTTGTAACAAGATGAGAACCCACACACCCAGCACCCAGCACAAGACTAGAAACAGAACATCCCAGAGAAAGAAAGCAGGGGAGGGGGCTGGGCGTGGTGGCTCACACCTGTAATCCCAGCACTTTGGGAGGCTGAGGCGGGTGGATCACGAGGTCAGGAGGTCGAGACCATCCTGGCTAACACGGTGAAACCCCATCTCTACTGAAAAACAAAAAATTAGCCAGGCGTGGTGGCGGGCACCTGTAGTCCCAGCTGCTGGGCAGGCTAAGTCAAGAGAATGACTTGAACCCGGGAGGCGGAGCTTGCAGTGAGCCGAGATCGCACCACTGCACTCCAGCCTGGGCGACAGAGCGAGACTCCATGTCAAAAAAAAAAAAAAAGGGGATGGGAGAGAGAAGGAAAGAAAGGGAGGGAGGGAAGGAGAAGAAGCACAGCATGGCCTCCTGTGAGCCTGAGTGTCCCCTAGAAGTGGCCAGTGTCCCCAGCTCAGTGTCCATTGTCCCTTCACAGGTTCTGTGGCTCTGCTGCTGTGAGCAGGGCCCTCCCTGAGACAGGCCGGGTTGCGGGTGTTGGCGTGTTTGCCCGTGAGGGGCTCTGAGCAGAGCTGCCTGCGAGGTTCCGTTCAGAGGCTTCCCCACGCTGCCGCTCGGGGTTGGATGGCAGCGCAGGAAGGAGCTGCGGTGACTTTGCCTCCCCTGGATGGTTCACTTTTTCACTGCCGGAAAAATATTTTCTTTTTTTTTTTTTTTTTTTTTTTGAGAAGGAGTCTCGCTCTGTTGCCCAGGCTGGAGTGCAGTGGCGCGATCTCAGCTCACTGTAGCCTTGACCTCCTGGGCTCCAGCAATCCTCCCACCTCAGCCTCCTGAGTAGCTGGGACTACAGGACGTGCCGCCACACCCAGCTAATTTTTGTATTTTTGTAGAGATGGGGTTTAGCCGTGGTCTCTCTTTGGTAGAAACCAGTCTAGGCTAGTCTTGAACTCCCGAGTTCAAGCAGTCCCCCTGCTTCGGCCTCCCAAGGTACTGGGATGACAGGTATGAGCCACCGCAGCCGGCCCCTTCGTTTCCTTTTTCCCTTTTATTCAGGGGACCCGAAGCTGAGAGAGCCTCAAGTGGCTCAGGCTACAGCAGCAGGGGTGGCTTTTGTCCCTGACGTGGGCCCCCCACCCCCTTCTTCCATGTCTGGGAGTGAGCCAGGGATGGTGTAGTCACCTGAGATGGCCTTTGCCCCGTGACCACTTCCCACAAGTGATGGTTCAGAAACCAAAATCCGGTCTTGGGGGCTTGTCAGAAACACAGATTCCTACGCCCCACCGTGACTGACTGAGTCAGAACCATGGGGAGGCCAGAAGTTGGCTGCATTTTAAGTACCCCAAACACCGGGAGGCTTGTGAACATTCACGTTCGGGAAGCACCAGTCGGCAGCTGCGCACGTGGCACCCAGGGCCTCTGCTGCGGGAGTGTACCTCTCTGAGTCTTGCTGACACCGTATGGTTGTGTTTCCATTTCCTCAGTGGGCATGATGTCCCCACTTTCTCCAGGAGACTTTGCAGCCGCGGCATCTCAGATGAGCCCCTGGAGAGCCACCCCGAGGCTCGGATCATGCACTCCAGCCAGAGTGCCTTGGCCGGGCCCTTTGTCCCTATGACCAGTCTCAGTGACTCAGTGGGGAGGGAGGGGGAGGGCCTGGGGACATCTGGTCCCAGTGGCCTGACAAGGGCCCCTCTCTCCCAGGTGGCAGCAACGGCCCCTTTCTGTGTGGGAAGCAGACCACGTTTGAAGGAGGGATGAGGGAGCCTGCCCTCGCATGGTGGCCAGGGCACGTCACTGCAGGCCAGGTGAGTCAGCGTCCACCGGTCTGCCGGGCAGCAGGTCCAGGCCTGCAGCCATCCCAGGGTGTGTGCGCCCCTCACTGGCCACCTCCCCCATGCACCCCGTGCTCATCCTCACCGCTCTCCTCCCCACGCACCCTGTGCTCAGCCTCCACGCACCCCATGCTCAGCCTCACCACCCTCCTCCCCACGCTCCCCGTGCTCGGCCTCACCGCTCTCCTCCCCACGCACCCCGTGCTCGGCCTCACCGCTCTCCTCCCCACGCACCCCGTGCTCGGCCTCACCGCTCTCCTCCCCACGCACCCCGTGCTCGGCCTCACCGCTCTCCTCCCCACGCACCCCGTGCTCGGCCTCACCGCTCTCCTCCCCACGCTCCCCGTGCTCGGCCTCACCGCTCTCCTCCCCACGCACCCCGTGCTCGGCCTCACCGCTCTCCTCCCCACGCACCCCGTGCTCGGCCTCACCGCTCTCCTCCCCACGCACCCCGTGCTCGGCCTCACCGCTCTCCTCCCCACGCACCCCGTGCTCGGCCTCACCGCTCTCCTCCCCACGCACCCCGTGCTCGGCCTCACCGCTCTCCTCCCCACGCACCCCGTGCTCGGCCTCACCGCTCTCCTCCCCACGCACCCCGTGCTCGGCCTCACCGCTCTCCTCCCCACGCTCCCCGTGCTCGGCCTCACCGCTCTCCTCCCCACGCACCCCGTGCTCGGCCTCACCGCTCTCCTCCCCACGCACCCCGTGCTCGGCCTCACCGCTCTCCTCCCCACGCACCCCGTGCTCGGCCTCACCGCTCTCCTCGGAACCAGGTCCCTCTCGGTGGCTCTCGGTGTGTAGGGCTTGCTGTGCTTGGTCAGACAGGCAGGAAGGCTCTCGGTGGGGACTGGAGCCACGTATACTGCCGTGTGTCACGTGGGTGCTGGTAATGACTGTGTGGTGAGGAGACATCCGTGGTCCAGTCACCGCAGCAGTCCTGAGTTAAATGGAGCTAAACAGGTTTCTTCCCTGCAGGACTTATCAGTGCCTTTAGCATGCTGGTGGGCACCATGAGCTTCTAGAAGGGGCTTAGAGCAGGCTGAGTGTTTAAAAACCTGTCTGTCTACTACAGAATCGGTCGTTTTTTCCCCCAAAGCACATCTTCTCAGGCCAGTGTCCTAAGGACACTCAGAGAACAGCAGCAGCCCGACACGAGACCGTTGGTGTCTGTCTGCCGCATGGGGTGCGGACCTCGGTGGTGGCCTGGGTCCTGGCTGGGCGAGGGTGCGCCCTGCCATCTCAGTGTGACCACCTTCATGCTGTCACTGCATCTCCTCTGGCCCAGGAAGCTGCCCCTCGGTTGAGAATCACACCGTGTGGTCTTCTGTAACAGGCACTTGAGCCAGACATACCCATCAACACGCGGGGCTGAGTCTGGTGTTTGTAAACGACCGCTGTTTCTTCACTGTTTCTTAGTCTTTTGCCCTCCCAATGGCCTCCAGAGGCAGCCATCCCCTTCAAGTGGCCCCACGAGGATGGGGGGGGCTCCCAGTGGCAGCTGGAACATCACACATGACGACAGCCAGAGTCAACATGGGGCTCATGGGGCTGAGTGAAGACGTGCGTGGGGCCAGCTCCTTCTGGAGGCTCCAGGAGATGTTCTGTTCCCTGCCTTTTCCCAATCCTAGTAGCTGCCCCATTCCTGAGCTCCTGGCCCCTCCACCGTCAAAGCCAGCAGCACGCAGGCATCTGTCCCTGGCCTTCCTGTTCCACGTTTTTTTTTTTTTTTTTTTTTTTTTTGAGATGAAGTCTCACTCTGTTGCCCAGGCTGGAGTGCAGTAGTGCAATCTCGGCTCACTGCAACTTCTACCTCCCAGATTCAAGCGATTCTCCTGCCTCAGCCTCCCGAGTAGCTGGGACTACAGGCATGCTCTACCATGCCCGGCTAATTTTTGTATTTTTAGTAGAGACGGAGTTTCACTATGTTGGCCAGTATGGTCTCAATCTCCTGACCTCGTGATCTGCCCGCCTCGGCCTCCGAAAGTGTTGGGATTACAGGCGTGAGCCACCGCGCCCGGCGCCTGTTCCACTTTTGAGGACCCTGTGGCTGTGTCCCACCCCACCCCCTGCTCACCCAGGCTGGCCTCCCTGTTTCGAGCCTCGCTGATGAGCGGCCTGCGTTGTGTCTGCCGCCTCAATTGCCTGGCCTGGTCGCGCGCCTGAAGGCCCAGGGATTGGCTGCTGTTCTGCCAGATCCTCCTCTTCCCCACTCATTCTACACATCAGGAAACTGAGGCCAGAGAGGAAGTCGTCTGTCAGGGTCCCCCAATTACTAGGGAGCAGAGGTGGGAGCAGGCGCCTGGCTGTGGATCCTGCACTCCTGCCCACCATGCCTGGGCAGTCCCCTGTGTCCCCAGCAGCCAGTGGGACTGGGGGCGGCAACTGCCAAGGGCGCCTGTTCTCTACAGCTGTCTGGGCCTCCCTCAGACCCTGCCCAGGGCAGCCTTTGTCTGACATGGGACTCCTGGGCCACCCCAAGTTCCCAGGACCCTGAAGGTGGAAGAGACCCCACGGTTCACTGAAAAGGCAGCTGCGGCTCCGTGTGAAGGGCAGAGTGGCTGTGAGAGTGACCGCCTTGTTGTGCAGGAGAAGCATGGGTGGTGGGCACGGCCTCCTTTGTGGTGTGGGGTGCCCCTAGGACAGAATGCAGCTGTGCCGCCCCCTCCACTCCCCTGAGCGCCATCCCCCTGAGGGTAGGGATGGGCCATTTGGTTTCTTGTGTGGGGGCACCTGCAGGGAGTGGCCGGTGGTCACTCAGTGAACACTGTGACGTTGGCATGAGACTCAGGAACTGTGTAGCTCTGGGAGACGTTGGCATGAGACTCGGGACCCGCGTAGCTCTGGGAGACGTTGGCATGAGACTCAGGAACTGTGTAGCTCTGGGAGACGTTGGCATGAGACTCGGGACCCGTGTAGCTCTGGGAGACGTTGGCGTGAGACTCGGGACCCGCGTAGGTCTGGGAGACGATGGCGTGAGACCCGGGACCCGCGTAGGTCTGGGAGACGATGGCATGAGACTCGGGACCTGCGTAGGTCTGGGAGATGTGAGGTTCCCCACTGCAGTGGGTGCCCACCAGGCCGGGACAGGGCTGGGGCTCTGCTCCCCAGGCTGGGAGCCACCCGTGGCTGTGCTCAGCAGCAGCCTGGAAAAGGTGAGGGGAGCCACCCCAGCGCCGCCCGGCTCCATGCGTAGTGGGTTCAGGGACGTCTGTACCCCACAGACCTCCCCACCCACCTGCCCACGGAAAGGCTCCAGCTGAGAAAAATGCCAATTTCAGCGTTTTGGAACCTTGCCATCTGCCTCGCTCCCTGAAGAAGGGAAACCCTCTCCCCACCTGAGGAAGGGAAACCCTCTTCCCAGAGCCACCAAGTTGCCTTTTCCCGTGGGCCACAAAGTGAAATTGAATTCGATGGCATCAGGCCTGTGCACCAGGACACCACGACGGGGTTTCAGTGAAAGCGCCTGACGTCTGTCCCGACAGTTCCCTCTGGGCAGGGGAGGCTTTAGTCCCTGCAGCCCTGGATTCTGAGTGAAGTCTCGAAAGCGCTGATAACGGTTTCAGTGACTTCTCCCACAGCCGCAGCTGCCCACTGCATTTCTGGATGTTTCTGGAAGGCATCGCTGCCTGGAGAGTTCTTCGAAAACGCTCCACGAGGACCCTGCCTGTGCTGACACCACTCCCGCCCGCCCGCCCTGCCGGCACCACAAGCACTGCTCCGCAGTTATTTTTTCAGATGACAAAAGCATCTGGATTTCTTTCCTTTATTATTCTGTCCTTTAAAGGACACGGGAAGGACGGGAAGCAGTCGCACAGACACTGCTGACCAGACCTGGGGAAGCTTCTCACCTTCTGCAAAGCTTCCTGAACTTTCCTGGCAAACGCTGAGCTTTGCATTCCCTGCCCCACACTGGGCGCTGCAGACCCCACATCCCGTGAGCGGCTGCAGCGCGGAGTGAGTGTCCCTGTGAGGCCAGGGCTCCTCTGTTGGAGAAGCTGGCGATCGCCGTCTGCCCTAGCGAGGAGCTGGCTGCAGGCGGCGAGGGTGCCCCTGGACCGTGGGGAGGGCTGTCGACACTGGGTGGGAGCTCCAGGGCCTGGCAGCGGATGGCGGTCCCTGCCCAGCTGCCCCAGGGGCTGAGCTTGCCAGGCAGGGGTGTCTCTCCAGCCCCACCCCAGTCTCCCCGTCGAGTGACCCAAGCCTGGAGCCCCCGAGTTAAGAAAGAGACAGGGCCGCCGGGCTCATGCCTGTAATCCCAGCACTTTGGGAGGCTGAGGCGGGCAGATCACCTGAGGTTGGGAGTTCGAGACCAGCCTGACCAACATGGAGAAACCCCGTCTCTACTAAAAGTACAAAATTAGCCGGGCGTAGTGACACATACCTGTAATCCCAGCTTCTCGGGAGACTGAGTCAGGAGAATCACTTGAACCTGGAAGGCAGAGGTTGTGGTGAGCTGAGATCGCACCACTGCACTCCAGCCTGGGTGACAAGAACAAAACTCCATCTCAAAAAACAAAAACAAAAAACAAGAAGCAGACAGGGCCACTGAGGGAAGCCAGATGGCACGCTCTGCTCATGGCTGGTCAGCAGTGCCCACGCCCTCCGGAGGTCAAGGCACGGCGGGAAAGACAGCCTCCTGCCTGTCCTGGAGCTCTCTGGGTGTGTCAGGAGCCGTCCCCACCCCAGCCACTCGGAGCTGCTCCTGTCCAGCCTCAGCTGCCCCTCCACATCTGGTTTTTCTCCACCTGCTCCTCTGACTTAAGGGGCAGGGCTCACAGTGGCCTTAGGGCATTCAGTGTTAGAGCGAGGCTGATCCTCTCCGGACAGGTGGGCCTGGAGGGGCATCTCCCTGGGAGGGCTGTGATTCTCCTTTCATCTGATCCACAGAGGCAGAGAAGGGTGCCAGGGAGTGAGGGCGTGGCCTGGCTCTGGGGTCTTTGGGCCTGGTTTGAGGCTCCTCTGTCTCTCACAGGCCTTGTGACCCCGCTCAGTCCCTGCTGTGGGCGTGTGAGCATGTATGCATATCTGTAGACCCAGCTGGGCAGCGGGGCTCACGCCCCCCCAGGGATTGGCCCCCAGCCCCATCGGGTCGGTGCAGAGTGCCCTGACCGTGTTGCTGCCATGTGTTTCAGGTGAGCCACCAGCTGGGCAGCATCATGGACCTCTTCACCACCAGCCTGGCCCTTGCGGGCCTGACGCCGCCCAGCGACAGGGCCATTGATGGCCTCAACCTCCTCCCCACCCTCCTGCAGGGCCGGCTGATGGACAGGTTGGTGCTAGACCTGCCCCGGCCCCTTCCCCCGATCCAAGTAGTGAAGCCCAGAGCTGCTAATCAGGTGCAACCCCCAGGCCCAGCAGCCCTCCTGGTTCTGGACACAGGCGTGCTCGTGCCCAGGGCAGGAGGAGGCAGGGGTGCCTGAGACGAGAGGACCTGGGGACCTGCCTGTGGGGCAGGGGCCATCCTGGGAGGGTCCAAGCACAGCGAGGCCCTGGCTTTCAAGAAAGCCTTAGGAGGGAGGGCAAGGCCAGGAGAGGGGCCTCATCCCTGCCTGTACCCGGGCACATGCCGCCCCTGCCCGCCCCACCCCTGTTCCCTGCCTGTACCCAGACACACGCCACCCCTGTCCGCCGCACCCCTGTTCCCTGCCTGTACCCAGACACACGCCGCCCCTGTCCGCCCCACCCCTGTTCCCTGCCTGCAGCCCGGGCACATGCCACCCCTGCCTGCCCCACCCCTGTTGCCTGCCTGTACCTGGGCACACGCCGCCCCTGCCCGCCCCACCCCTGTTCCCTGTCTGTAGCCCGGGCACACGCTGCCCCTGTCTGCCCCACCCCTGTTCCCTGCCCAGCCTGGTTTTTGGTGCCTCATGGCTTCCTGTAGCTTCCTTCTTCCTTCCATCCAAGTCGCTGCTCTGCCAAGTCCATGGCCCAGCTCTTACCTTCTGTCCAAATCCTTAGTGTCCAAAGTCCATTTCCTACCCCCTGAGAGCAGCCACCATTCCACTCAAACCACGTTTCCTGGGTGGTCCTGAAGGGATGAGGATTCCAAAGGCTCAACGGGAAGCAAGGTGGGGACGGCCCAAGGCAGCTGCCGCCTCCGGCTATCTGGGGCCGGGTAGAGGGAGTTTTGCTCACTTGTCCCCTCTCGAGACCTGGCACAAGTGGTTGGTCACTGTGGGGAGAGACGGTGCCCAGCTGCGTCCCCCACTCCCCGTTCCTGACTCGCAGGCCCAACATGGTCAGGAGACCCCGTGCCGCCTGCTTATCCTCTTGTCTGCCCACCCTCCCCAGGGTCTGGCCCAGCCTTGCCAAGGACCAGCAATGAGGGGACGCCCAGGCACCCTAGCCCCGGCCGCCCAGGCACCCCAGACACCCAGGCACCCCAGCCCCAGCTGCCCAGGAATCCCAGTCCCGGACACCCAGGCACCCCAGCCCCGGCTGCCCAGAAACCCCAGCCCCAGACATCCAGGCACCCCAGCCCCGGCCGCCCAGACACCCAGGTACCCCAGCCCTGGCCGCCCAGGCACTCCAGCCCTAGACACCCAGGCACCCCAGACACCCAGTCACCCCAGCCCCGGCCACCCAGACACCCAGCCACCCCAGCCCCGGTTGCCCAGACACCCCAGCCCCAGACACCCAGGCACCCCAGATACCCAGTCGCCCCGGCCACCCAGGCACCCCAGCCCCGGCTGCCCAAACACCCAGGCACCCCAGCCCTGGCCACCCAGACACCCCAGCCCCAGACACCCAGGCGCCCCAGACACCCAGGCACCCTAGACACCCAGTCACCCCAGCCCCGGCCGCCCAAACACCCAGTCACCCCAGCCCCGGCCGCCCAGACACCCCAGCCCCAGACACCCAGGCGCCCCAGATACCCAGTCACCCCAGCCCTGGCCACCCAGGAGCTCCAGCCCCGGCCGCCCAGGCACCCCAGCCCCAGCCACCTTGCGGGCCTTTTTACTTTTCAATCATCTTTGTAAAGTATCAACCAAGACCTCACGTGGAGGCATGAGCCACTGATGACAGACGCAGCCCAGAGCCTCCAGGTGGCCCCAGCGTGTCCTTCCTGTCATTACATGGTCCTCCCCTCCCATCCCACAGGCCTATCTTCTATTACCGTGGCGACACGCTGATGGCGGCCACCCTCGGGCAGCACAAGGCTCACTTCTGGACCTGGACCAACTCCTGGGAGAACTTCAGACAGGTACAGGGCTCGGGACGTGGGCGCAGGCGGAGCTGCCCCCATCTCTATCCAGACGTGGCCCCTGAGCACCGTCCTGGGGGAGGCACAGGAGGGTGAGACAGGCAGGAACTCCACCCCCTCCACAGCCTTCTCTGTGTGGCCCCCAGTCGTTCAGCGTGGCCTAGGGCATGGCAGCTGACAGGCTGGAGAGGAGGGAGGGACCTCTTCCTGCCCCGCGTGATGACAGTAGCCCCGCGGCATAGCTACAGGCGTGGCCTAGACCCTGGTCAGGTGGCCCCCATGGGCCTCTCCATCCTGCCAGGGCATCTGAGCCTCCCCCACACCCCAGGCTGGAGGCGACAGAGACGTGGCCTGCTTGGCCCAGGTGCTACATGGGGGCCGCAGCATTGGCATCACCACAGCAACCCCCAGTGTGGGAGGGTGAAACGCCACACGCACAGGGCCTGGGGCTCCTGCCGCCCCAGGCTACCCCAGCATTGTCAGCGCCAGGCTTTCTCCCACGAGCCCTCGCCTCAAGCCTCCTGCTCCCTCCCCACGGTCTTTTCTGGCCCCTGCTGACCCCTACGCTCCAGCATCCCCCAGCCCCTCCTGAGAGGTCTCTCTCAGCCCCACCCACTCCCAGCATCAAAGTCTTGAGATATGAACCCCCTGCTAATCTGCCTTAATTGGGAAGAAAATCATTTAGTGTAATGGAGAGTCTAAAGACTGGAAGTGAGAACTGGGGCTGAGGGCTGAGCACCCAGGCTGAGGAGGGAAGCTGCTCGTGGGGCAGTGTCTGGAGGGCAATGATGCCCAGGAGTGTTTTGGCTCCTCCCCACCCTGTGCAGGCCCCGCACCCGCTCTTCTTTCGGGTTTTACCCAGCACTGTCACCTGCAAGGGCCATCCTGGGCATCGGTCCCCGGCATTGCCGCCTGTGAGGGCCGTCCTGGGCATCGGTCCCCGGCATTGCCGCCTGCGAGGGCCGTCCTGGGCATCGGTCCCCGGGCATTGCCGCCTGCGAGGGCCGTCCTGGGCATCGTTCCCCGGGCATTGCCGCCTGCGAGGGCCGTCCTGGGCATCGGTCCCCGGCATTGCCGCCTGCGAGGGCCGTCCTGGGCATCGGTCCCCGGCATTGCCGCCTGCGAGGGCCGTCCTGGGCATCGGTCCCCGGCATTGCCGCCTGCGAGGGCCGTCCTGGGCATCGGTCCCCGGCATTGCCGCCTGCGAGGGCCGTCCTGGGCATCGGTCCCCGGCATTGCCGCCTGCGAGGGCCGTCCTGGGCATCGGTCCCCGGCATTGCCGCCTGCGAGGGCCGTCCTGGGCACAGTCCTCGGACGAGCCCCTTGGCCTGCAGCACCCGCTCTGGGAATGTTAGAGGCATACCTCGCCTTTCCCGAATCAGGAGGCCCAGGGGCAGCAGAAAGAGAATTGTGGTTACTGTAAAATCCTTGCCCTTCTTGAGTGTGTGAATCTGTGTCAGCTCCCTGGGTCTGTTTTTGTTTTCTGTGTTTTCTCTTGCCTTTCACATGTTGGTCCTGCTCCTCCCTGTCTTAGGGTTTCTGTAGGGATTCTGAGCGTTGTGGCTCTCCCTTCTCCCAGGGCAGGGCCTCCCTTCCCGTCCCTTTCCCTCCCCTCCCTTCCCCAGCAGAGAGTAGGCTGTTAAAAGGGGCTTTCCTCCATGAAATTAGTGGCAGTCCAGATCTGAGGCTGGCTAAGGTGTTTTAAATACACTCACCTGCCTCGCAAAGAAGAGGGGTACATGAAAACAGGGTACGTGAGGCATGCCAGCTACGCATCTCGGGCCCAGAGCGGGTGGCTTCACCTCCTCCACAGGATGCTTATGGGCCCGCTAGTCCTTCAGCGTTTAGCCAGCGCCCTGCACCATGCTGAGTACCAGGGACGCTGCTAGGCACAGGCAGACGAGACCCCCCCACGGCCCCCAGTTAGGGGCTCCAGGACACAGGCAGACAAGGCCCCTCACGGCCGCAGTCAGGGGCTCCAGGACACGGGCAGACGAGGCCCCTCACGGCCGCAGGTCAGGGGCTCCAGGACACACCTTCCCTCTTCTCATTGCAGGGCATTGATTTCTGCCCTGGGCAGAACGTTTCAGGGGTCACAACTCACAATCTGGAAGACCACACGAAGCTGCCCCTGATCTTCCACCTGGGACGGGACCCAGGGGAGAGGTTCCCCCTCAGGTGAGTCGGTGCAGGGCCTCCTGGCTGCTGAGGCAGTGCCAGCCGGACTCCCCCAAATGCAGGCTCCACAGGGACAGAGCCCTCTGCACCCTGCCCGCCGCCTCCCCTTGC
This sequence comes from Homo sapiens, assembly GCF_000001405.40. Classification (NCBI taxonomy): domain Eukaryota; kingdom Metazoa; phylum Chordata; class Mammalia; order Primates; family Hominidae; genus Homo; species Homo sapiens. Next base: position 88,822,477 of record NC_000016.10, on the reverse strand, counting down.
CTGCATCTGCTGTTGCTATTCATACCCACACGTGCTTGGTGGCCTGCCCTCCTCCCAGGGTGCCTGCTGCTGCCCACCCTGGTGGTCTCCCCACTTCTGCCCCTTCTGGGCCACCATCCACCTGGCCCCCAGTGATGTATCCCCTACTCTGAGCTGCATTTGGGGATGGCTGAGGCCAGAGGGGAGGGGTCCAGGCCCTGGGGCAAGTAGGAGGTACAAGGACACAGGTCAGCTAGCAGGAGGAATGGCAGAAAGCCACCAGCCCCAGCTCCACCCTCTGCTCTCTGGGCCTTGTCCTCACCCCACCGAGGATGCCGGAGTCTGCGCCATCACCTGCCAGTTTTCAGGGAAGCCCTCCCCTTACCCTCAGGAGTCTTGAGGGTCATGGTCGCCAGTACCAGACTCACCTGCTGGCAGCTCCTTAGGGGCGACACAGAGGCCCCAACACTTGGCTGGAGACCCCGCCCTGGCTTCCTTTTTTTTTGTCCGAACCCATCTCCCTGGGCTAGGGCTACCTGGAGGCTTCCCCCCCTCACCCCAGCAGGATGAGCAGGTCCCCAATTCCTGCTCCTGGCCTGGGGGTCCTGGGGCACGTGCATGCCTAGTGGTCTCCAGCATTCCTGCCCTATCGAGTTGGTCCTGGGAAGACCCAGGAGCATCAGGGGAGTGGCGTGCAGAGGCAGAACCAGGCCTGAGCACAGCGGTTGCTCCCTGCCCAGGCTTTCTATGCTCCCCGATGGGCCTGGGTTTGAGTAGGGCCGGTGGGAGGCAGCAGAGAGCAGTACAGGACCGAGGGTGGCAGCACCACCGCCAAGGTGCCCTGAGGCTCCTGCACCCTCTGGACGGGGCAGCCGCCTTCCCACGGGGCTGAGCCTGCGGTGAGGCTCCTGGGCTGCAGCCCCTCAGGGATCCCTTGGGCACTTCCTCGGCAGCACCTCTCCTCCACCGAGCGTCCAGCTCAGAAGCCCAGGATGGTGACTGCGGGAAGGCAGCATGGAGCCTGGAGTGGACAGCAGTGTCCCCAGGCCCAGGTCCACCCACACCTCCCAGCTTGGCCTGAAGGGAAGTAGGGCCTGTGCCTTGTGATTAAGGCACGGGTGGCGCTGGGTCCAAGGCCAAATGCCCTGAGTCCAGAGGGAGGAGACACAGACATGGTGAAGGCCACGGGACGAGACGGGGACTGGACAGAGCGCCACCAGCCTCGGCTCACCTGGGGCCACTGGAGCTGGAAGAGGCAGGAAGGAGCCCCAGTTCCTCCAGGGGTGCACAGCCCTGAGACCCTTGGTTTCAGCCTCTGGCCTCTGGAAAAGTGAGGGGCATCTGCAGTTTCATTGTTTTAAGCCCCAGTTCATGGTCATATGTTGTGGGGGTGCCGAGATACAGAGACAGACGCCCCCGGGGGACTCGTGATCACCCATGGGGGTGAGACCCGTGAAACCATGGGGGGCCTGGAGCTTGGGGCCTTGTGGAGCTGGAGGGGCTGTCTGGGAGCCCCCTGTGCCCGCAGAAGTCACTGAGGAGCCAACAGCCCCCCCAGCTGGAAGCGCCGTCCCAGGGGGACCACGGGGAGCAGATTGCAGGCCCCAGTTACACAGAACAAGCTGCTGGCCACACCGGTGCCCGCCACACCCCCCACAGGCTGGTCGCTCCAGGGACCACCCGAGGTTAAAGCCTGGATGGCGGTGCCCCCTCGCGTCCACTGGGCGTGATTGGCATCCACAGGGGGGTCCTCAGGGCCACTGCTCCCCGCCTGTTGCGTTTGCTGGAGCCCCTCCAGCCAGGCCAGAGCAGAGACACAGTCCCACCCACCACAGCCACCCAGCCCCGCCCTCACAGCTGGAGAAGGCAGGGTTATTTCAAAGCAAACCCAGGCAGCAGGCAGAGCTTCCCAGAGGGGGTCACAAGGAGGCCCAGCTGTCGGCCATGCCTTTGAGAACCACTGTCCCTGAGGTCACACACCCATGACACAGCCTGATTCACCGTGGGCTGCTTCTCAGACACAGACACACATGTCACTTTGCCAGGAGCCTCTCTAAATTAAAGACGGGTGGCCGGTCGCCATGGTTCATGCCTGTAATCCCAGCACTTTGGGAGGCTGAGGTGAGTGGATCACCTGAGGTCAGGAGTTTGAGACCAGCCTGGCCTACATGGTGAAATCCCATCTCTACCAAAATACAAAAAATTAGCTGGATGTGTTGGTCGGTGCCTGTAATCCCAGCTACTCGAGAAGGTGAGGCGGGAGAATTGCTTGAACCCAGGAGGCGGAGGTTGCAGTGAGCTGAGATCGCACCACTGCACTCCAGCCTGGGTGACAGAGCAAGACTCCGTCTAAAGAAAAAAAGACGACGGGGCCAGGCATGGTCACTCACACCTGTGATCCCAGCACTTTGGGAGGCCGAGGTAGGAGGATCTCTTGAGCCCCAGGAGTTTGAGACCAGCCTGGTCAACACAGCAAGACCTTACTGGTACAGAAAATAAAAAATTAAGGCCGGGCACAGTGGCTCACACCTGTAATCCCAGCACTTTGGGAGGCCGAGGCAGGCAGATCATGAGGTCAGGAGTTCGAGACCAGCCTGACCAACATGGTGAAACCCCGTCTCTACTAAAAATATAAAAATTAGCCAGGCGTGGTGGCGGGCGCCTGTACTCCCAGCTACTCAGGAGGCTGAGGCAGGAGAATCGCTTGAACCAGGGAGGCGGAGGTTGCAGTGAGCTGAGATCATGCCATTGCACTCCAGCCTAGGTGACAGCGCGAGACTCTCTCTCAAAAAATAATAATTAAAATTAGCCAGGCACAGTGATCTATGGTCCCAGCTACTCAAGAGACTGAGGCAGGAAGATCGCTTGAGCCTGGAAGGTCAAGGCTGCAGTGAGCTGCTGTCTCACCACTCCAGCCTGGGTAACAGAGCAAGATCCTGTCTCTAAAAAATAAATGAAATAAACAAGATTAAAGCAACAAGCCAGGCCACGGCCTTCGGGGACGCTCACCGTCAGAAAGTGCACGTGCAGTTCACGCCAGTTCTCAACCAGCAGTATTTGGCCACAGAATCCTGCAGAAACACAAATGCACCTGAGACCCTCCTGGATTAAAAATGGACCCTGTGCTCAGGGGCGCTGTGTGAAGCCCAGGCTGGGACCAGGACAGGCATCTCCGCGGGCACCAAGCGGGGAGCCCTGAAGGACCCCAGCTCTCCTGAAGGTCGCCCTCTGATGCAACCCCAGGCCTGAGGCCTAAGCAGGGAGTGGGTGGATCGAGCAGAAAGAGGCTGGGGCAGGTGGCCGGGGGTGGGGAGGGGGGCGCATCCCCGTCCCTGTTGCATGCAGCTTCCGTGTGAAGCCTCATTTTTAGGGAAGGTTCTGGAGCAAAAAGCCAGTTCTCACAGACTGCTGAGCGTCCAAGGCAGAAGACTGGGCTTCAGTGGGTCCGGGCTCACCTCCCAGAAGGTACTGGGCCTGGACAGGTGCTGCCATCAGGAGGGGAGCTGACTCACCTGGTAACCCCGTCTCTAGCTTTGTAAGGAGCTGCCACACCACCTTCCAGAGTGGCTGCTCCGGTCCACGTCCCCACCAGCAGCAACGCAGCTCCCAGCCTGGGCATTGAGAAACTCCAGCTTCAGCCACACTCGCAGAAGTTCCTCCCTGCATCTCCGCTATGGCAGCGATGGCAGGTGTCTTTTTATGTGGATGTTGTCGATATTAGAAGTGATTGAAAATGGTGAAAAGGCATCATCTGTGCAGATGTCCTCAGAGCACAGCATGACGGCGCCGTGGACCCAAGATTCACAGCATCGCAAACTGCGGCCCTGACATCGCGAACCGTGGCACCTCGTCGAGCCGTGTAATCGTATCTTCGTGAAGATGAAAGGAATCCAAACACTCCGCAGCTTGCATTGGAATTTTAGAACTGCAGATGCCGTTCCCCTCCATTTCCTGCTTTTTGGCAATGGGATGACGTTGCTTTTGTAATGAAAGAAGGGTGTGTCATATTTGTAAATGTTTACGTAGTAGTGAGTGCTGGGGAGACCCACAGGCCCCAGCCCACATATCCCGGGTCCTGGTCACAGGCAGGGACAGGATGGGACGGCTCTACTCACAGCCTCTCTGCCAGGGCTTGGCCTGCTGAGCCTTCATTTCCTCTCTTGCCCGTGAGTCTGAGGGCAGAGGATGGCTCGGGTGCCTGCTGCCTGTCCTAGCGAGGCCCGGGGCCGCTGCAGGCTTGAGCACATGGTCCCAGTGACTGCTCACTGTGGTTCTCAGCCCGTTAGAGCTCTGCAGCCTCAGCCTGTCCAGGCCAGCCCCTCTCCGTCCTTCGCTGTCAGCCCCAGCCGTGTGACCAGAGCTCTCTGTCCCCAGCTTTGCCAGCGCCGAGTACCAGGAGGCCCTCAGCAGGATCACCTCGGTCGTCCAGCAGCACCAGGAGGCCTTGGTCCCCGCGCAGCCCCAGCTCAACGTGTGCAACTGGGCGGTCATGGTAAGTGGCTGGTGTGTGGGCGGCCGTCTCTTTGCCGGGGCTGCAGCCACCCACCCGGGGCCCAGGATGAACCGTGGCCAGCACAGGGCAGAGGCAGGCGTGCTTCCCCGCCTCCGTCAGTGGTGAGGCCCTCGTGCCTCAGAGCACACGCGGCGGCGTCCGGGATTCGGGAGGCAGGAGCCAAGCGACTCGGGGACCAGAACAACGCTGCACCAGGGCAGCCGCAGGTCCACAGCCGGCCACCCGGGCCTCTGCCTGGCTGAGCTGAGACTGGGGAGCTCCAAGGCCCCTCTCCTGCCCCCCACAAGTCACTGAGGGACAGCAGGGCGCGTGAGAGGGTCCGGGGTCCCCTGGTCCTCGACTCCCACACGGGCAGCTTCTCCTTGCAGGGGCCCTGTGATGACCTCCAAACTCCCGGGCTCTGAAGGCACCGAGGCAGGAACGGCACTGCCCGGTGGGTCCCGGGTGGGCTGGTGGGCACTGTTGAGTGGCGGCGGCCCCAGGGCCCACCTGCGAGGTTCTCATTTGTGCCTCCTTCATGCTGGGCCAGCCCCAGAGACCTTCGCATCAGACCTGATCTCACTCATAGGCACCCACCCAGAGCAGCACCTCCGTGCAGCCTGACAAGACCAGGCCTTGTTCACCTCCAGTAGAGAAACGGCCTCATCACGCCAGCATCGGCCAGAAACACAAGCACAGACGTGCCTCCAAAGTTTCACTGAAGTCTGTGTTCAGGCCACAAAGGATGCGTCGTCGTCTTGTCCAGCCCTGGGGGCCGCAGCAGTCAGGGCCTCTCAGGAGCAGCTTTTCTGTCCCCTGCTTGGGGGTCCCATAGGGTGGCATGTGGACGGCCCAGCCATCCCGCGTGTGCAGTGGCCGCAAAGGCCTGTTTCCCAGCACAGCTGATGTGGGTCCCAGCAGGGCAGGTCTTCACAGCTCCTTCAGATGGGACACGTGCGGCCCTCGCTCTAGTCGGCAAAAACGAGCCACACACAGGTCTGCGGTGTCGCTCCTGGGTGCCCAGAGCCCACCGAGCACAGTGGAGATGGCCGAGCCCAGCCTCGAGGCCCCTGGGCCGTCGCTCACCTGTTTACACGGGCTGGGCGTGGCTGCCCACAGCCCCTGGATCTGCCGCGCAGGATTCGGGAAGAAGGCCCCTCGGCAGCTGCAGACTTCAGCCTGGGCTCCTGCTGTGCGGGCGAAAAGGCCCAGCTGAAGCCTCTTTCCAGGGCCAGACCCGGCTGCAGCGTGGGAGCCGCTGGGTGCCCGCCGTGCCGTGGGAAGGAAGGTGGTGGCTCTGAACAGCCAGGGAGCCACAGCGTGGGCCGGCGGATGTAACAGGAGAGCACCGGCCATCGGGAGCACCTACCAGCAGTGAGGACCATGGAGGGCAGATGGCCTTGTCCCTGCCCAGGGACAGTCCACCCTGCAGGGTTATTTAGGACTGGGCAGGGCAGGGCCACCTCCGTTAGTTGGGGGGCGGGGGGCGGGGGTGCCTGGCAAGTTTCATAGGAAGATATTCAGGGCCCTTCCTTCAAAGGGACCTGGGCAGCTGGCGTCCCCGCCTCTGGACTCAGTGGTGGAGCAGGGAGGTCCCTGTCTCAGGACCCCTGAGTCTCGGGGCCCCAGGAGCCCAGGGCCACCAGCCGTGGAGGAGCCCTGGCCTTCTGCCTTCCACACCCAATCCCACTCCGTGCTGCTGGGTCCTTCTCTACGACCCAGGCTGCAGTGGCTCCACGGGCGCAGGCCACACCTGCCATGGAGACAGTGGGCACAGGGCAGGGGAGGTGGGCGCACACAGCCTGGCTGCCACTGCCATCTCCTGGGCACTGGGGGAACTGCCCCCACCGCCACACCTGTGCTCTCTGCAGGGGGAAAAGTGCCAACTCAGACCTGGCGAGCTGAGCCACTGGGGTCTGAGGGGCCCAGATGCCACCGTGAGCAGAGCCATGGGGGAGATGCACAGACACGCGTGTGAAGCCTGGGGGCCCTCCTTACCCCTTCCCTGCCCTCTGTCCCCGCCAACTCCAGGCCAGCCCCAGGAGAGGGGCTCAGTGGCGTCTCTGGCACAGAGGAGAGGGAGTGTGGCCACCTGGACCCCTGCTTCTGGGACAGCTGAGCGGCCTTTGAGAAATGCAGATCCCCCATCCAGACTCAAACACACCCTGCGGCTGCCTCTGCTGCCCCTGGAGTTTGGGAGCAGCTTCCTCACCCAAACCCACTCCTGCTCTGGTGGCCAAGGGGGCAGGGACACTCATGCGGCATCCCTGCTGCCGCCTAGGGCTGGAGACTGTCCTTAGTACCCTGAGCAGCACCCAGAATCCAAAGTCTGTCCCCGGAAAGTGCCCTCAGGGCCATGCGGCGTCTGACGTGGCACAGAAGTGGCCTGGATGGGGACACAGAACCAAACTGCACTCATTTCAGCCAAGAAGGCTCCTCTTAGCGGCATAAGTCTCCCTTTCTGTTGCCAGGAAAAGTGCCCTCCCATCAAGCAAGGCTTCCGCTAAGCAAGGCTGCACTGTGAGGTCCACACACACCCAGGCGATGGAGGGGTGCGGGCTCCGCTCAGCACCGCACTGAACTGAGCCCAGCAGCGCAGTAGGGACTGGCTTCTCCCTGGGAAAGGCTTCTTGAGAGGCTGAAGCTGCAGGAGAGGGTGATGAGTTGAGAAGCTCAGGGTGGGCCCTCCTGGGAGGACCGCCTGCCCTTTCTAACACTGCTGGCCCTCGGAGGCCCTCAGCCACTTGGCAGCTGCATCCCCCATACCCGGGACCTCCCCACCAAGTTCTCATTTCTCCAATGGCAGCCTTCAGAGCTGAGAGGCCGAGTCAAGAGGGTGCCATCTCCCAAGTTCCCATGATTCCTGGGGAGCGTCTGTGTAGCTGCCCACCTGGACCGAGGTGGTCCCCACACTGAGGCCAATTGGTTGGGGTCCGGGGTTGACCTGGGCAGGGGACACATCAAAACTGCTCGAGGCCAAGCGCGGTGGCTCACGCCTATAATCCCAGCACTTTGGGAGGCCAAGGCAGGTGGATCACCTGAGGTCAGAAGTTTGAGACCAGCCTGGCCAACTTGGGGAACCCTTGTCTCTACCAAAAATACAAAAATGGTTGGGCGTGGTGGCTCACACCTGTAATCCCAGCACCTTGGGAGGCCAAGGCAGGTGGATCACGAGGTCAGGAGTTCAAGACCAGCCTGGTCAAGATGGTGAAACTCCGTCTCTACTAAAAATACAAAAATTAGCCAGGCGTGGTGGCGCGTGCCTGTAATCCCAGCAGCTACTCACTCAGGAGGCTGAGGCAGGAGAATCTCTTGAACCCGGAAGGCAGAGGTTGCAGTGAGCCAAGATCGCGCCACTGAACTCCAGCCTGGGTGACAGAGTGAGACTGTCTCAGAACAGCAACAACAAAATGCCCGCTGCTGCTGGGTCCAGAAGAGCTTGAATAACTGCATGTTCTTTTTCTCAATTTTCATTTCCCAGAACTGGGCACCTCCGGGCTGTGAAAAGTTAGGGAAGTGTCTGACACCTCCAGAATCCATTCCCAAGAAGTGCCTCTGGTCCCACTAGCACCTGCGCAGACTCAGGCCAGGCCTAGAATCTCCGGTTGGCCCTGCAAGTGCCTGGAGGAAGGATGGCTCTGGCCTCGGTCCTCCCCCAACCCTGCCCAAGCCAGACAGACAGCACCTGCAGACGCAGGGGGACTGCACAATTCCACCTGCCCAGGACCTGACCCTGGCGTGTGCTTGGCCCTCCTCCTCGCCCACGGCGCCTCAGATTTCAGGACCCTCCTCCTCGCCCACGGCGCCTCAGACCTCAGGACCCTGCCGTCTCACGCCTTTGTGAACCCCAAATATCTGAGACCAGTCTCAGTTTATTTTGCCAAGGTTAAGGATGCACCTGTGACAGCCTCAGGAGGTCCTGACAACAGGTGCCTGAGGTGGCTGGGGATACAGTTTGCCTTTATACATCTTAGGGAGACACAAGATCAGTATGTGTATGGCGTACATTGGTTCAGTCAGCCTTCCACTGAATACACGATTGAGTCTGGCCCAGTGAATCCGCATTTTTATGTAAACAGTAAGGGAACGGGGCAATCATATAAGCGTTTGTCTCAGGGGAGCCCCAGAGGGATGACTTCCAGTTCCGTCTGTCCTTTGTCCACAAGGAATTTCCCTGGACGCTAATTATGAGGGAGGCGTGTAGCTTCTTATCATTGTAACTATGTTATTTAGAAATAAAACGGGAGGCAGGTTTGCCTAATTCCCAGCTTGATTTTTCTCTTGGCTGAGTGATTTTGGGGTCCGGAGATTTATTTTCCTTTCACACCTTCTCAGCAGCTGCCAAGAATCAGGTGCCCAGCTCCCGCTGCCTCCCGGCCGGCCTCCTCCAGAGGCCAGCGCCACATTGGTTGTTGAAGGGCAGGACTCGGGGCTCCTTGCTGTTCCCACGCCAGCCCAACAGCCCGGGTTGAAGGAAGCCACAGGGCCAATTCTGTGTTGAACCCTCCCCAGGCCCCTCCTCCAGTACCCCCCCACCCCACGCCTTCCCAGGCCCCCCTCGGGCCATCTGGGAGACAGAATCAGGAACAAGGAAGGGGAAGGCGGAGGCCTCCTGGGCTGGACGTGGACGGCTGAAGTGTAGCTCACACACTTGGACCGGTGGGGCCGGCTCATGTGGCAGCTTCCCCGGGGACGTGAGGATGTCAGGGTCCTCCATTTCCACCTTCCCTAGGGGTCTGGAGCCCAGGCCCCAGGCCTTGCCAGCCCTGACCACCGCACACTGCGAGGCAGCCGCCCCTACCACGCCCCTTGGCATCAGACGATGGGTCCCCCACCCGCCCTGGAACCGGGGCCCCAGCAGCCGCATGCAGCCTCCGGCCTCCCCCTCCGAAGGCTCCTGGGGGCTGCCTTCCACTGAGTGGGTTTTCCCTTCTGCAGTAACTGCCAGGCCAAAGCTGAATTGTAAAAGTTGCGAAATGATGGGCCGGGCGCGGTGGCTCACGCCTGTAATCCCGGCACTTTGGGAGGCCGAAGCGGGCAGATCACGGGGTCAGGAGATCGAGACCATCCTGGCTAACACAGTGAAACTGCGTCTCTACTAAAAATACAAAAAATTAGCAGGGCGTGGTGGCGGGCTCCTGTAGTCCCAGCTACTCGGGAGGCTGAGGCGGGAGAATGGCCGGAACCCAGGAGGTGGAGCTTGCAGTGAGCCCAGATGGCGCCACTGTGCTCCATCCTGGGCGACAGAGCGAGAGTCCTTCTCAAAAAAAAGTTGCGAAATGAAGAAAAGTCTTGGAATAGAGCACAAGGCATTTTAGCTCTGGGGATTTTCTTGAAAGGAAATTGTGTTTGGGGGGAGTTATGCCTCACACAACCCCCTGGGTACCAGTCCTCGGGCGGCCAGGGGGTTCACAGCTCCCCACCCCAAGGCTAAGGGGTCACCTGGCCTCTGCAGGCGGACAGAAGGGCTTCTGCCCTCGCGGATGCGCGCCCTGGCCTGGCCACACCTTCCGGCCTCCCTCCCCCGGGTCCGGGCGGGGAAGAGCCGCCTCAACGGCAGGGCCCATCCGCGAGAGGCCAGCGCCCCCGGCCGGTCCAGCCCAGGCCCGCCGCCTCCGCCCTGGGCTGCTCCCTCCGGGCCCTGCACCGCCCTCCTGCTACTTGGACCGCTTCCTCACGCCCTTCTCCACCCCGCGCGCCAGCCTCCCGCGCGCAGCGTGGGGATCTCGGCCAATAAAGGAGAAAGGGCGCGGCCCGTACGCGCGCCAGGTGCGTGGGCGAGACCAGCTCACGCCCCTCCTCCAGCCGCCAAGGCCCCGGCCCACAGCTGCCTGGCTGCAGTCAGAAGCGTAGCCCGAGACAAGGAAGGGCGCCTTGACTCGCACTTTTGTCCGGTTCGAACGTTCTGCTCAGTGGTGCGTGGAATGCGAGCGCGTCTTAAAATCGATGGCGCCTAGGAGTCCATGAAATACGGTACAGGCTTCCGGCGACGGATGCCCCGCCCCTCACCCACGCTCCGCCCTCCGGGGATGCCCCACCCCTCGTGGCGGTCCCGCCCGTCCCCGCGCAGGCGCGCTCGGGCTGCCGCTGGCTCTTCGCACGCGGCCATGGCCGACTCCGAGCTGCAGCTGGTTGAGCAGCGGATCCGCAGCTTCCCCGACTTCCCCACCCCAGGCGTGGTATTCAGGTGCACGCACAGGCCGCCCTCGTGGCGCCCCGACCTGCGGGCCTACGGATGGGAGCGCGTGGCCCGCGACCTCCGGGCGGGCGGGGCGGGAACCCTCGTCTTTCGCCCCCGGGGCCCTGCCCTCCTTCGGCCCCGGCGTCACCAGGCCTGTCCTTGGGTCCAGGGACATCTCGCCCGTCCTGAAGGACCCCGCCTCCTTCCGCGCCGCCATCGGCCTCCTGGCGCGACACCTGAAGGCGACCCACGGGGGCCGCATCGACTACATCGCAGGCGAGTGCCCAGTGGCCGCATCTAGGGCGCTTCCGCCTCTGCGCGCGCCGAGGGCAGCACGTGGGCTCTGCGCGTCTGCTTGGGGGAGGGCCTTTGGGGTGCTTCAGGGGGCGCCGGGACGGGCGCCGTGCTTGGGTCGCCCGGGAAGGGTTGTGAGATTGAGCCCCCGAGGCCGCCGCGCTGTGCAGGCGTCCTTCCCGCAGGTTCCGGGTCCCCAGCCCAGGACAGGCGTGACCGAGTTGCCGGGTCAGTTGGTCTCCCTGGAGTGCCCAAGCTGAATCCACAGGGCCCAGCTGCCTTGCTTCTTGTTCCTTCTGCGAGCTGGTATTGAGCGCCTGCCACGAGCCAGGCCTTCCCTGGTGAAGATCACGGAATGCCCACCCAGGGAAGGGAGGCCTGGAGGCCTCCGGGAGAGCCCAAGAGGTGGCCCAGGGAGAACAGAGTGTTCCTGGCCGTCTTGCCTCTCCTAGGGTGTGACAGCCCACTCCCTGGACACTGCCCTGAGGAAAGCGCCAGCTCTTGCTGGAGCCACAACACTGCCAGAGCTCCCTTCTCACCTCCTGCAGGAAGCCCTCCCTGACCTCCTGCCAGGCCGGGGCAGGGTTTCCCTGAGCGTCCCCCAACCATCACAGCTCAGGCCACCTCGAGAGACTCCCTTTTTAGACAGAAGCCCTGGTGCAGAGCTGCCTTTGAGAGTAAGCTGAGGCCTGTCAGGTTTCTACCAGCCCAGTTACAGATGGGCTGCTCAGCTCAGAGAGAGGGGTGGTGACTCCCCTAGGAACACACAGCTAAGAAGTGGTCCCTTAAAAGACAGACCCAGGTCTGCACTCTGACCTGGAAGCAGCTCCGGGTAGGTGATGGGTAACATTCCTTAAATGGTGCATGTCACTGGCCTTTCAGCTGGGAGCCAACCAGGTACCCCTTGCCACCGGCCAACCCTGGCCCCTGGGGATTCCCATGCTGCCGAGTCACTCCTGTCACTTACCCTGACAGGCCTAGACTCCCGAGGCTTCCTCTTTGGCCCCTCCCTGGCCCAGGAGCTTGGACTGGGCTGCGTGCTCATCCGAAAGCGGGGGAAGCTGCCAGGCCCCACTCTGTGGGCCTCCTATTCCCTGGAGTACGGGAAGGTAAGAGGGCTGGGGTGGCCAGAGGAAGGGCAGGGCCAGGCCACCGTGGCCACTCTCCCCCAGTTCTAAAAGGCCTTCCCAGGCGTGTCAAGTGGAGCTGCTGTGGTTACAGTGGCCTTGGGAGCTCAGAGAGGTTGAGACATAGGCTGGGCTCACACAGCCAGGTAACAGCAAGGTGGGGTTGGAGTCAGGGTCTAGGGTGGCAGCTGCCAAGCTGTGCAACAAAGCTGTTTTCTGCGGGAGGCTGAGGACCACACACCACTTCCCACTCCAGGCTGAGCTGGAGATTCAGAAAGACGCCCTGGAGCCAGGACAGAGGGTGGTCGTCGTGGATGATCTGCTGGCCACTGGTGGTAAGGGTCTCCCCGCAGCCAACTGCTGTGGCTCCAAGGGCCTGGTGGGAGTGGGACAGGACCTCGCTGTGTGACATGGGATGCAGCTTACTGTTGTCCAGAGGGTGCCTGGTGGCCAGGCCGACACCTTCCTCTCCCCATGCCTTCCCCTCCCCAACCCAGGGGCTGGCCTGGAGCACCTGCTCTCTGCAGCCCAGGCCAACTGGGGACCTCACCCTCCCATCCCCAGGAACCATGAACGCTGCCTGTGAGCTGCTGGGCCGCCTGCAGGCTGAGGTCCTGGAGTGCGTGAGCCTGGTGGAGCTGACCTCGCTTAAGGGCAGGGAGAAGCTGGCACCTGTACCCTTCTTCTCTCTCCTGCAGTATGAGTGACCACAGGGCCTCCCAGCCCAACATCTCCAGCTGGATCCCAGGGAAATATCAGCCTTGGGCAACTGCAGTGACCAGGGGCACCGGCTGCCCACAGGGAACACATTCCTTTGCTGGGGTTCAGCGCCTCTCCTGGGGCTGGAAGTGCCAAAGCCTGGGGCAAAGCTGTGTTTCAGCCACACTGAACCCAATTACACACAGCGGGAGAACGCAGTAAACAGCTTTCCCACAAGAGCCGTCTCCTGTCCTCCTGTTCCCCAGGGCAGGGAGCCCCAGGACAACACCAGACTTCAGCTGTACTGTGGGCATGTGCTGCTTGGCGTGATGCCCAGCAGAACCTGTCCTGGTTCTCACCTCAGGAGCTAGAACCCTCCAGGCACTGCAGGAAGAGGCCATGTGGGCCCATCTTCTAGGGGAGCAAGCGAGGGCTCTTCTGCAGATCTAGTGGCTGTAAGCATGACTTTATTAGAGTTTAGGAGGTCAGAAATACTGAAGTCAAGGTGTGGGCAGAGGCCAGTCCCTTCTGGAGGCTCCAGGGATGTCCTACTTGTCCTGCCCAGCTTCTCCAGGCTGCCTGTGTCGGGGCAGGGCCGCGTCTTCAAAGCTGGCTGGCTCTGGCCCTGTCATGAAGGCCCTGTGATGACATGGGGCGTAGCTGGACAATTCAGGATCACCTCTCCAGTCTTGAAATTTTTTTTTTTGAGACGGAGTCTCGCTCTGTCACCCAGGCTGGAGTGCGTGCAGTGGTGCGATCTTCGCTCACTGCAAGCTGTGCCTCCTGGGTTCACACCATTCTCCTGCCTCAGCCTCCCTAGTAGCTGGGACGACAGGTGCCCACCACCACACCCGGCTAATTTTTTGTATTTTTAGTAGAGATGGGGTTTCACCATGTTCGCCAGGATGGTCTCGATCTCTTGACCTCGTGATCTGCCCACCTTGGCCTCCCAAAGTGCTGGGGTTACAGGCGTGAGCCACCACACCCACCCCAGTCTTTCTTAATGACAAAAGTCACCCTTTGCTGTGGGAGGTCCCATATTCAGAGGTTCCAAGATTAGAGGGGATGGCCTGCCACCCACACTACCCAACCCCATATTGCCACAGAGCCCCCTTCACCCCCAGCCACACTCCCGATGGCCCCCCAGGGGGTGCTGGATCTGGCTTCCCTTCCCCACCAGCAGCAAGGACAGAGGTGCCCACAGAAACCGGTTTAATGTGAATCCACCAGGTGAGCCCCATGAAGGGGCCCACCGCCCGCAGCCAGAGACCCTCGGGCTGTGCAGCCTGCAGCCCACATCTGCCTCTGGCCCTCAGGGGCGCTGGGGAAAGGAAGGCCAAAGTGTATCATGTTCATAAAAGAAAATGCTGGTGGGCCCAGGCCAGCGAGCTTCTGAAGCCCACGTCTGTCCACAGTGGCCCCCAGGCTCACAGCCCCTCCTCAGCACGTGTCTGGTGGGCCAGGCGTGCAGTGATGTGGGCGAGGTCCGCGGCCTTGTCCAGCTTGACGTAGGTGTCGGTGCGGATGCGGTGGAGGCTGAGCCAGTCCGGCAGCAGCTCGGAGAGGAGCAGCAGGTGCTTCTCCATTTCCCCTGGGGGAGGAGAGGAGGACACTGAGGCTGGTGCTGGGCCCCAGCCCTGCACGGGCAGCACTTGAAACCAGCCTGACCACCCAACCTCTGTGCCTGCCTGGTCGCCCTCAGGGCCCCATCACCAGGACTTAGGGCAGAGGTGGTTCTGATCAGAGGCCCAGGTCTGGGTGGTGTGAACAGTGACCGGAGAGAGCCAGGCCTACAGTTGAGGCCCTGTGAGGAGGCACCGAGCATGGAGGCCGCCAGCCCATGAAAGCCCTGAGGCAGGAGGTGCCCTGTAGCGTCAGGACCCCTATGTGCTCAGGGCCTGGTCACCAGAGGCCTGGGAGGCAGTGGAGGGTGCATGTGGGGCCCCTTCTGACCAAGGACTGCAGGTGGTCAGGGAAAGGGCCAGAGCTGTGAGGGGGAAGCTGCCTCCAGAGGCTGCAGGTGTGGAGGGGCCGGGCGGAGGCTCAGGGGTGGCTCCAAGGAGGGCAGAGCGCCCAGGACACACCAGTGCAAGAGGCCAGCGCCCACTGCACATCTGAACAGAACAGATCAGTGACAGACACCTCTGCTCAGAAAGCTGGGGAGGCAGCTGCAGCACCAGGCAATTCCACCCTGCACGCCCCTTCACCCCGCCCTGCACGTACCAGGGCTCATGATAGTACAACAGCTGCCCACCATCCTGGCACAGGCCACCTCCATGCTGAGCGCAGGCTTGCGTTCGGACACAAAGACGCTCCGCAGCACGCGGGCCAGCTCAGGCAGCCGTTCTAAGCGCTGCAGCCGCTGCTCCTGCTCCGGGCACCGCGTCATCTGTGCCAGCTGCTTCTGTGCCTCCTTGGCTCGGATCTGCAGCAGGTACCGGGACCTGGTTAGTGGGCAGCAGGTCACCAGGCGCCCACCCGCCATCACTGGGGACGACTCACCCGCTCCAGCAGATCCTGGGACACCCCCTTCAGAGCACTGGGAGAGGCTGCAGGCGGGGTGGCTGGTGGGGTAGCCGGCAGTGCTGGCCTGGGAGACCCGGGGCTGCTGGGCGCAGCAGAGCGCAGGGCCAATTGACTCAAGGCCTTCTCCATCTGCGGGAGGGACAGGTTGGACTGGAGAGGTCACAAGATGCAACGTGCCCCTGGCTGTCTGCCCAGGAGTCCCCGGTATCTCTCAAGGCACAAGTTCACCCAGCACACTGGGTGGTCTGTGCCGGTCAATGCAGTGTCCCAGTGTGCAGCATCGCCTGCCCAGGCCAACTCCCCACATGGGGCTAGTGGCAGAGCCAGGCTTAGAGGCTGCAGCTGGGGACAGAGGGCAAATGCCACCAACTCTCTGGATCCGCCAGCCAAGGAGGAAGCCAGATGAGGCGTCAAGCTCATCACCAAGGCTTCCACCTCTTAAGCCTGGGGTCAGGCTGGCCCACCCACCCGGGAGAAATGGGCTGCCCAAGCCTCGCAGTCTCACCCTGGGTGAAATCAGGTTGCGGGCCCGGGCCAGCACCTCCTGAGCAGTGGTGAGCTTCTCCGTGGCGGGTGGCTGGGGCAGCGCGGCCGGCTCGATGTCGGGTACTTCATCCACGTTGAAGCGCGGGTGCCAGCGGGTCAGCTGGTCCTCCGGCACCACCATGGCGGGGCTCAGGGAGGCCAGGAAGGCCTGGGGAGAAGGAGTAGATGGGTGACCCTGGGCACATCTGAGACAAGGGCAGACTGCATGTGAGGTAGGCCTGTGCTTACGTCCCAGCCGGGCCGCCTCGGGCAAGTCACTCAGCCTCTGCCCAGTGCTCAGCTTGGAGGGAGAGCACAAGGCCTCCCATGGTCCGCGCTCGCTGAACGCCTTGGGGACCTCCTCAGTGCCTGCGGCTGCACCCTGAGCACACCAGCCCTCAGCTCAGGGTGAACCCAGCCCAGTTCCATCCCGGGAGAAGCTGTGAGTGGCAGGGATGCTCCAAGCACAGGGTTAGGTGCTGAGGCAGTGCTGGTGCCACCATCTTCACACAGCGGGGCCGGGGGCCGCTCACCTTGTGGTGCTCCTTGACATGCTCCACCAGCTTCTGGCTGAAGATCTGCCGTCGCTGCAGGAGGCGCGAGGCCGTGAGCTGGGGGGCTGCTCCGTCAGCCTCTGTGGGACGAGTCCAGGCCTAAGTCCCCACCAGGCCACCCAGCCACCCACCCGTGACCAGTCCTGGGCCAGATGCCCAGCACCTCACACCCACCCTGGAAACTGTGCGGCTCACAGATGGGGAAACCGAGGTCCCGCACCCAGCACTCACCCTGCTCCAGCAGTGGCTCGATGGTGAGCTGGTAATCTGACCTCCTGGTGCCATCCTTGAAGGTGGGGACACTGCGCTCCTGGCGGAAGCGGTAGGAGGCCGGGTACACGGTTTTGATCTGGCCAACATTGCACTCCTCAAAACGCCTATGGGAGGATGGGGGCGGCTCAGGAGGCAGGCCCGGGCCCACCCCCAACTCCAGGACAGCCACAGCCCACCCCCGGCCACTCACCTACGCATCATGTCCTGGACGCCCCGCTGGACCTTGGCAAAGGTGGGCGTCTCGGAGCGGTTGTGGAGCATGCCCACGATGGTGTCCATGCTGCGGAACATCTCCGCCAGCACCTGGTACTTGTAGGGCAGCACGAGTCCCGGCAGGCCGGGCTGGGCCAGGGCATGGAAGCGCTGGTAGGCGGGCGCCTTCTCGCCACTGTCAGGGAGGGAGGAGCCTCATGAGAAGCAGTAGGCCCCTACCCCTCCAACGCCACAGCAGGCCCCTCGGCCAGGGAGACCCTCCGATGGGGCCTGCCATGCCACACACGATGGCTTTCGCGGCCCTTGCACACCCACCAGCACTGGCACCGTTAGGGGTAGCAGTGGTGACGGGAAAGCCCGGCTCCACACCCCAGCTCTGCTGTGTCCACGCAGCTCCCCCAGGGAAGCTCTGCCCTCTCCCCAGCGCAGTTTCGTCAGCTCTCAGGGGCAGAGGCAGACAACACACCAATGCATCAGGAGCATTTGAAACCTGCCAGAGTCCCCGAGGCAGGAGCTGCCCCCCGCAGGAGGGACTGAGGGCACAGCGCCAGCAGTGCCCGGGACCTTTTTCTCAGGGGTCTGGGTCCGCGCCCTGGTGACCTCACCACCACCCTCCCTGGAAGGAGCAGACCTGGGCCTCTGACAGGCTCGCTGGGCCACGCCTGCCACCAACCCGGCCTTTGCCGGGGCCTCGTGGCCGCCCACCCAGCACTCACCATGGCTCCTCAGGGCGGCCCTCGGCCTCTGGGGTGCAGGACTCCCCAGCATCCTGGGCACTGGCCTTCAGCGCCCGGACTCTTGCCCCCAGCTCCCGGGCCCGTTGCAGGCATGACGCAAGCTCAGAGATGGTGTCCTTCAGGGGGATCAGGGGACACGGTGCCGTCAGGCAGGCAGGCAGGCCGGCACCACTCAGCCCTCCCGCATCTGCCCCAGGCCCCGCCCCTCACCTGGTCCTGCGCGGATGTCAGGTGGGGCGGCTGACCTGCTGCCGGGGTGGATTTCTTTATCTTCTGGCCCGGAGAAGGGCAGGCTGGGATGTCTGGGGCCTCGGGGGTACTGGGGCTGGAAACCTGGTGGGAGGGACCCCAAGGGTGAACTCATGACAAGACCTGGTGCTCCTGGCTCTGCAGAGGACCCCGAAGGATCAGAAGCCGCTCTGAGTTAACTGGGACGGGCATGGCTGGGGGGCTTAGGACTTCCCGTAGATGGTGGTCTGTGCTAAGGCCGGGGACACAGCCTTGCTCTCGTCTTCCGGGGCCGTTTCCAGGTCGGACCCCTGCCCTGGCCTCGCAGAGAAGCTGGACTTCCAGCCCCATCATCGGATCCCGGTGCAAGCCCCCCAGTGCCTCCTGCTCATCTCAGGAGCCAGCCAAGTCCCCAGTGGTGGCAGGGCGCCCCCAGGATCCCCCGGCCTGTCCCAGAGTTCCCTGCGCCCCGTCCCCCCCGCCTGTTTCCCCGCCCCCGTCCCTCCGCCTCAGTTTCCCCGAGCCCTGCCCCCCGGGCCTCAGTCTCCCCGCCCCCAACTCCCCGGCCTCAGTCTCCCCACGCCCCTCACCTCGTCCACCGACAGCCGCAGTCTCCTGCGGGCCGGTGGCCTGGCCTGGTCGCGTCCGGGGGCGGCGGGCGGGCGGGCGCGCTTGCGGCTGCCACTGGTAGCGGAGGCCGGGGCGCGGAGTGCGGGCCTGGCGGGGCTGGGGGTGCGGCAGGCCAGCTTGGGCGGCGCGATGCGGGGGGGCCCGGGGCGGCGGCGCGCGAAGAAGTCGGTGACGCGGCGCTGCTCCATGGCGGCGGAGTGCGCGGCGAAAGCAAGGAAAGAAGGAAGGGAGGAAGAGGCGGGCGCGGTTCCCGCCAAATTTCCCGCGGGCGCCCTGGCCCCGCCCCCGGCGCGGACCGAACCATCGGGGCAGAGCACGGGGGGAGGGAAGGGACGGGGCGCGCATGCGCGCTGGTGGGCGCGGGCACCGGCTTGGCCGCGCGCATGCGCCGACGTGCGGGCGTGGACTCGCCGGCGGGCGCCGTCGTGCGTGGGACTTTAGCGCGGTCTCCGGATCCCGCGTGTGGCTCCCACTTTTCAGGGCGTGTCAGTGGGGCCGCTGGCTTCAGGGTCAGAATGAGCGCAATCCAGGCAAACAGCAGCGCGCGCCTGACAAAACCCCGGCGCTGCCCGGGGGAGCCGAGGACGGCGCGGCCTGGGGGGCTGCAGGCTCGAGCTGGTAAAGGCGCTTCCCCCGCGGGCCGCACGCTCCTTATTTCTTTTTTTAAAACTATTTCTGGCTGGGCGCGGTGGCTCACGCCTGTAATCCCAGTACTTTGGGAGGCCGAGGCGGGCGGATCATGAGGTCAGGAGATCGAGACCATCCTGGCTAACACGGTGAAACCCCGTCTCTACTAAAAATACAAAAAATTA
Source organism: Homo sapiens (assembly GCF_000001405.40). Taxonomy (NCBI): domain Eukaryota; kingdom Metazoa; phylum Chordata; class Mammalia; order Primates; family Hominidae; genus Homo; species Homo sapiens. Next base: position 88,803,207 of record NC_000016.10, on the reverse strand, counting down.
GCCGGGCGTGGTGGTGGGCACCTGTGGTCCCAGCTACTCAAAAGGCTGAGGCCTGAGAATGGCGTGAACCCCGTGGGGCGGAGCCTGCAGTGAGCCGAGATCGCGCCACTGCACTCCAGCCTGGGCGACAGCGAGACTCCGTCTCAAAAAAAAAAAAAAAACTATTTCTATCGAGGCGGAGATTACGTTGCCGGGTGGTCTCGAACTCCCCGGTTCAGTGATCCGCTCTCTTGGAACTGCCCCCTCCCAAAGCGCTGCGATCACAGGCGTGGCCTCCGCGATCCGCGTTGCTCGCTTTTTAAAAGGGTGGATTTGATATGTGAATTATTTCTCAATCAAGCTATTACATGGAAACGAAGAAAAGGGGCCGGGCGCGATGGTTCACGCCTGTAATCCCAGCACTTTGAAAGGCCGAGGCGGGCGGATCACCTGAGGTCAGGAGTTCGAGACCAGCCTGACCAACATGGTAAAACCCCCTCTCTACTAAAAATACAAAAATTAGCCAGGCGTGGTGGCGGGCGCCTGTAATTCCAACTGCTTGGGGGGCTGAGGCAGCAGAATCGCTTGAACCCGGGAGGCGAAATGGCGCCACTGCACTTCAGCCTGAGCGAAAGAGCGAGAAACTCCGTCTCAAAAAAAAAAAAAAAAAAAAAAAAGGAAAGAAAAGAAACTGCCTTTAGCATGGCTGAGGGCTGAGATTTTAAAGTTTTAGTTCTTAAAACCTATAGCGCTCCTATCTGGGAAACGGCCTAGAGCGCGGTTTATCTGGAGAGCCCGAGCCACAGCCACTCCTTCCAGAGACGCCAATAAGCAGGGCCAGGCGCAGCGCTGCGGAAGTCCCCCGCAAAGCAATGCGGGCCGCCGGGGCCTGGAGGCCTGCGAGGGAAGGGGACGCGGGTGGAGGCGGCCAGGGCTCAGAGGAGGGCTTCTGTTTTCCCATTTTCCAAGTTTTCTGTAAAAAGCGTGAATTGTGCCTATTTTTTTTTAAGTTAAAGGAATAGAAACCGGTTTGATGATGCAACTGGTGCTTGCAAAATACCTCAAAGGTGGCCTGCACGGTGGCTCACGCCTGTAATCCCAGCACTTTGGGAAGTCGAGGCGGGCGGATCACTTGAGGTCAGGAGTTCAAGACCAGCCTGGCCAACATGGCAAAACCCCGTCTCTACAATAAATACAAAAATTAGCCGGACGTGATGGCAGGCACCTGTAATCTCTGCTACTCAGGATCCCGCCACTACACTCCAGCAGCCTGGGCAACAGAGCGAGACTCCATCTCCAAAACAAAACACCTCAAAAGTGAGGACGTTCATAAGTGGGGGGATGGGGAGGGCGTGGTGAGGCATTTGTTTTCCATCTGTATATAAGGGATCAGCACCTAGACCTGTGTTTTGCAAGCAGCTGGTAGCAAATTTTTAGTGGGTCAAGAAATAAATATGGAAGACTGAGACCCACATTTTTTAAAGCTACGTTTTGTTGAAAAGTTTTGTTTTGGTACACGTGCTTTTTTTTTTTTTTTTTTTGATCACCCAGGCTGGAGTGAAGTAGCTTAGCCTCCACTCCTGGGCTAAAGGAATCCCCCTGCCTTGGCCTCCCAAGTAGCTGGGGCTACAGGCGTGAGCCACCACGCGTGGCTAAATGTTTGTTTTTTGTTTTTGTTTTTTTGTAGAGACGGCATCTCACCATGTTACCCAGGCTGGTCTCGAACTCCTGGACTGAAGCGATCTCCCTGCCTCGGCCTCCCAAGTAGCTGGGGCTACAGGCGTGAGCCACCACACCTGGCCACACCACACATTAAACAAACAATGTATTTCTTCAGTCAAAACTAGTTGCAGGTTGGGGCAGGAACTGACTTGGAAGGAGCACGAGGCAATTTTCTAGGGTGATAGAAATGGTCTAGATCATGACAGGTTTGGGTCACATAAGTGTATGAATTTATCAAAATCTGAGGGTAGCTTAAGATTTGTGTATTTTATGGTATGTAAATTTATTTAAAAGCCAAATTATCAGCAAATATCGAACTCTAGTCAATGACATGCATGCAGAAGTGTTTAGGAATAACAGATGTCTGACACTTTAAAATGCATCAAATAAGATGGACAGGCTGGGCGCAGTGACTCACACCTGTAATCCCAGCACTTTGCGAGGCCGAGGCGGGTGGATCATCTGAGGTCAGGAGTTCGAGACCAGCCTGGCCAACATGGTAAAACCCCATCTCTACCAAAAATACAAAAATTAGCTGGGTGTGGTGGCGGGCATCTGTAATCCCAGCTAGTCGGGAGGCTGAGGCAGGAGAATCGCTTGAACCCGGGAGGTGGAGGTTGTAATGAACTGAGATCCTGCCACTGCACTGCAGCCTGGTGACAGCGAGACTCCATCTCAACAACAACAACAAAAAGAACAGTGTAGAACATTAAGATAGAGTCTGAGGGGTAAATGAGATTCAACTTCTCTGGATGTTTGAATTTTTTGAAAATAGAACGTCTTGAAAAGGCGTATTTCGCACTGTGGGTTTTGGACAAAAGAGTTTGAAGGCCCCTGGGACCAGACAACCTCCAGCAGGGCAGTTAGCTCATAAGGCACCTTTGTGAAAAACGGCTTGACAAGTGGAGCCACGGGGATCTCAGCCCCCGCTGCTCCCTTGGCCAGGAACCCTTGTGCAGGCCTTAGCTGGCACAGCTCTGCGTGGCGACCCTTGCTTGGGAGTCTCTTCAGCTGTAATATTCCATTCTGTTCTAATCAAGATGGGGATCCTGGCTTTTCTCAAAGGGGGCAGAAAGTGATCTGGGAGTCATAGTGGAACACAAACCAAATAGAAGTCGGCTACGTATGAAAGAGGGAAAATGTAAAATGTTAGAGCTGTAATGGGAGCATGAATTACAGACGCATCCTCTCCTTAGGACCATCTGCAGTAAGGGGACCTTGCAAATCCTTGACATCGTAACCGTTTGTCAGGTAGGAGGGAGCTGTCACCTCCCCTGGTGACGTGGCGGCTCCCCACTCTGTCTCCCATTGAGAATAAGGAAACAGCTGGTCTCAGAGAGGCAGCGTTAGCGGCACTTAACCACAAGCAACTGCTCCACATCTGGCTGCTGGTGCAACCGTTTGGCCCGGTCCCTGCCTTCCATAGATAAGCTGATGGACAGGATGCTGCCAGAAGCGTCTCCAAGGCCTTCAAAATGCCAAGGCGACTCCAGCATTTCTTCTCTCCTGCCACCTGCCCACGCACCAGCCGGAACCACAGGGTACTGCGCTGGACTCCTGGAGCCATGCCAGGGGCCAAGGTTAGGCCCATGGTCATGAGATGCTCCCAGAGACCACCTCAGGATGGGGGCTTCCTTCCTGACTTCAGCACAGCAGCACCTGTCACCACTCACCTCAAGAGGTGGCTCCCGAGCCTCCTGGGAGGGAAGGGGCCATGGCAGTTGCTGTCATCGTGGCCAGCCCTGGGGCTCCAGCCGGGGGCAGAAGCAGGCTCTGGAATGAGCTTGGACCCAGAAGTACAGTGCACAGGGGCTGGTAAGAGTGCAGGCATGAATGTAGCTTGGGTCTGGCTCTGTGTGGGGCAAGGGGCCAGGCTTCAGAAGTGTTGGGAGCTGGGAGGCTGAGGGTGGGGCCGGTGTTCACAACTCACAACCAACAGGTTGGAAGGGGGCACCCAGTGCCTTGGGGGCCATGCCCGGCCTGAGTGCAATGGCCCATGTCAATTATGGTGGCTCAGGATCCAGCCATGGCAACTGCTCAGTATTTTCAATGTCACCCCTGGAGAGTAGGCCATTCAGGATGACTTCTGCCTTGGAGGGGTCCTTGGAAAATTGCCTTGTTCACCTGCAGTGATGGAGTTCATTCAGCTGCACATTTGTGCTGTATAGCCCTGCCTCCCAGTCACAACTGATTGGGCTAGAGGTGCACAGCTGAGCCAATCAGATCCTGTCCTGGGACTGGAGCCTCCAGTAGGAGTAAGCTATTGGCTGCCTTTCATTGTGGTGTGAAGACAGAGGCAGCCAGACACAGCTGCTAGCCCAGATGGCTTTGAAGAGTTTCCAGTGTGGTCTCTTGAGAGGCCTGCCAGCCCTCCAGGCTGCCCTAGATTTTAATGAAGTAGCCTATTCCTGCCCATATATTTGCCTCTTTTGCCTGAAGTGCCTCTGAGTGGGTTTCTAGCTCTTCTAACCCAAGATGCTGTAATTAAAGCATGGTCACAAGGGTTGATCTATATGAGGCTGCATTAGTAGAAATATAGAGTCTAGTGTAAGGGAGGTGAAGGCCCTTTTCTGCTCTGTTCCATCCAGGCTCCCCCAGACAGGCCATGTTGGCTTATGGGTATGGGGTGCTAAGAGGACTTAGCCTGCTCAAGTGCCTTCAGGAGAGAGAGCCATCATGGCCAAGGTGCCAGAACCCCTGTCTGTGGATATTTACCCTGGAGAAACCTGGAGACCAGGGTCTGTGCCTCCATCCATTTGATCAGCTGGTATTCATGAGTGCCTGCCAAGAGCCTGGCCTCTGCGGGGTTCAAGCGATTCTCCCGCCTCAGCCTCCCGAGTAGCTGGGATTATAGGCACCTGCCACCACGCCCGGCTAATTTTTGTATTTTTAGTAGAGACAGGGTTTTGCCATGTTGGCCAGCCTCGTCTCAAACTCCTGACCTCAGGTGATCCACCCGCCGCGGCCTCCCAAAGTGCTGGGATTACAGGTGTGAGTCACCATGCCCAGCCAAAATTCATTAATGAGATATTTCACACTATTTTTCTCATCACCATCGTAATTATCACTGCCATCTTCCTCATGATCACCCGTATCACCATCACCACCTTCAACATCATCATCACCAGGACCACCATTACCACCCTCACCATCACCATCATCACCGTCATCACCACCATCATCACCATCACCACCATCATTACCATCACCATTATCATCACCACCACCTTCACCATCATCACCACCATCCTCACCATCACCACCATCATCATCATCACCATCCTCACCATCACCATCACCATCATCACAATTGTGCCATCTCACCATTCTCACAACCATCACCATCATGACCACCTTCATTATCATCACCGTGACCACCATTATCACCACCATCACCATCAGCACCATCATCAGTGACATAATCTCTAAGTATAATCACCAATTCTAAACACCGGTCTTTGAAATCTAGTGTATATTTTACACTTACAGCACATCTCAGTTTCAAGGAAGCTCCATTTTCATGGAATTATATGATCCTTTTTTTTTTTTTTAGACAGAGTTTTGCTCTTGTCGCCCAGGCTGGAGTGCAATGGCGCGGTCTCGGCTTGCTGCAACCTCTGCCTCCTGGGTTCAAGTGATTCTCCTGCCTCAGCCTCCCGAGTAGCTGGGATTACAGCGCCCACCCTCACGCCCGGCTAATTTTTGTATTTTTAGTAGAGACAGGTTTTCACCATGTTGGCCAGGCTGGTCATGAACTCTTGACCTCAGGTGATCTGCCCACTTCCGCTTCCCAAAGTGCTGGGATTACAGGCATGAGCCACCGTGCCTGGCCTATTTGATCTTTGATGTAGATTTTGTAAAATTCACATCTTGAAAAGTGGATTCACACTCCCAACTTGTTCCAAGTATGCTAAAAAGTTTTTCAATAATCAAATAGTGTTTAAAAGTAATTAAAGTAGAATTAGGCCGGGTACAGTGGCTCATGCCTGTAATTCCAGCACTTTGGGAGGCCAAGATGGGCGGATCACCTGAGGTCAGGAGTTCAAGACCATCCTGGCCAACATGGTAAAACCCCGTCTCTACTAAAAATACAAAAATTACCCGGGCCTGGTGGCGCGTGCCTGTAATCCCAGCTACTCGGGAGGCTGAAGTAGTAGAATCACTTGAACCCCGGAGGCGGAGCTTGCAGTAAGCCGAGATCACGCCATTGCACTCCAGCCTGGGCGACAGAGCAAGCCTCCGTCTCAAAAAAAAAAAAAAAAAAAGTTATTAACGGCTGGGTATGGTGGCTCATGCCTGTAATCCCAGCACTTTGGGAGGTCAAGGTGGGAGGATCACTTGAGTCCAGGTGTAAAAACTGCAGTGAGCTATGATGGTGCCACTGTGCTCCAGCCTAGGACAGAGACACAGCGAGACCCTGTCTCAAAAGAAAAAAAGGCACTTTAGGGAGAATGCTGGAACTGTACAAATAACAAAAAATAACGCGTGGGTGGTGCCCTCAGCTTACCCTCTAGAGCTGCAGTGCTTACCCCAGGAGGAAGGCCCAGCTGCTTCCCAGCATGTGCAAAGCAAACACGCACCCAGGGGTTCCTTCTTCTCCACCCACAGGTGAGGGTGGGCATCTGCCCTGCCTCCAACAGGCACCCCTAGGTGGTCTACCTTTGAGGGGCTTCATAGATGTTCCTTGATTTCACAACTTTGAAGGCCCTACTACAAACCAGGGGGAGCCGATGCCCCCAAAAGTCCAGGGTGAATAAGATGTGGCCCTGCACTGAGGGCTCCTCGCCTGGCAGACATGGAGGTTAGCTTAGTGCTCAAGGACTCAGGCTGGAGGAAGATGATCATTCATTCAAGAACATTAATTGAGCACCTACTATGCTCCAGGCACTGTGCTGGGAGCCTGGGGAGTCATGGTGAGCTTCCAGCGGGGCAGCACACCTTAAACAGGCTGGTTTACGCCTCTCCAGAGAACTGTGAACTCAGCTTCCCCGGGGACTGAAGCTGCAGGGAGGCAGCTGTCAGAGCCTGGGAGAGAGGCTGTTCCTGGCAGGAGCTGGGCTAGGCTGGTTCCCGGGTTTGGGCAGTGAGGAGGAGGTGCAGATAGGAAAGGCTGTTTCAGGGGTTTCAGCCTCAGGGAACATTTGGTCTTCCCCTGAGGGAAATGGAGTCTTACACTCAGGACAGGCAAGACCAGGTCTATTTATTATTATTATTTTTTACCCAGGAAGGTCTCACTCTGTTTGTCACCCAGGCTGGAGTGCAATCATAGTTCACCCTCGTAGTGCTGGGCTTAAGTGATCCTCCTGCCTCAGCCTCCCAAGTAGCTGGGACTACATGCAAGGGCCACCATGCCCAGCTAATTTTATTTTATTTTATTTTATTTATTTTGAGATGGATCTCTCTGTCTCCCAGGCTGGAGCGCAGTGACACAATCTAGGTTCACTGAAACTTACACCTCCTAGGATCAAGCAATTCTCATAACTCAGCCTCCAAAGAAGCTGGGATTACAGGCGTGCGCCACCACGTTCTACTAGTTGAGACGGGGTTTCGTCATGTTGGCCAGGCTGGTCTGGAACTCCTGACTTCAGATGATCCTCCCACCTTGGCTTCCTAAAGTGCTGGGATTACAGGTGTGAGCCACCACACGTGGCCAAATTTTTATAATTTTTTGTAGAGATAGGGTCTCACTATGTTGCCCATGTTGGTCTTGAACTCTTGGGCTCAAGAGATCCTCCCACCTTGGCCTCCCAAAATGCTGGGACTATCGGCATGAGCCACCATGCCTGGACTTTTAAAACATTTTTTTGTAGAGACATGGTCTCCCTATGTTTCCCAGGCTGGTCTCAAATGCCTGGCCTCAAGTGATCCTCCTGCCTCAGCCTCCCAAGGTGCTGGGATTATGGGCATGAGCCCATAGTCTGCACCCTGCAAGACTAGGTTTCTTGTTTTAACATTTCTGTGTCTGAGGAGGAGCCTGAATGAGCTGGGCAACCTGGGCAAAGGCCCATGGTGTTCAGATGAGGGAGTAAATGGACTCCAGATGAGGGCACATGCCGGCTTCTCTAGGGACCTTCACATGTGGTGTGGGCCCATGACCTGGTCCCACTTAGGAGACCATAGTGTCTGCCCAGGAAGCTGTCATAAGGGTTCATGGAGCATGCCTGCAGCGCGCCTGCCTCATAGGCAGCCCTCAAGATACAGGAAGCCAGGCCAGGCGCAGTGGCTCACACCTGTAATCCCAACACTTTGGGAGGCCAAAGCAGGCAGATCCCTGAGGTCAGGAGTCCGAGACCAATCTAGCCAACATGATGAAACCCCATCTTTACTAAAAATACAAAAAAATTAGCCGGGTATAGTGGCACATGCCTGTAATTCCAGCTACTCAGGAGGCTGAGGCATGAGAATCGCTTGAACCTGGGAGGTGGAGGTTGCAGTGAGCCAAGATCATGCCACTGCACTCCAGCCTGGGTGACAGAGCAAGACTTCCTCTTAAAAAAAAAAAGAAACAGGAAGCCACTGATGGTTAGCAATGGTGGCAGAGGGCCAGGTACGGTGGCCCACCCCTGTAATCCCAACAAGAAGGCCAGGCATGGTGGCTCACGCCTGTAATCCCAGCAGTTTGGGAGGCTGAGGCAGGTGGATTGCTTGAGGCTAGGAGTTCGAGACCAGCCTGGCCAACATGGCAAAAACATGTCTCTACTAAAAATACAAAAAATAGCTGGGCATGGTGGTGCACACCTGTAATCCCAGCTACTCAGGAGGCTGAAGGGGGAGGATGGCTTGAACCTGGGAGGTGGAGGCTGTACTGAACTGAGATTATGCTACTGTGTTCCAGAGTAAAACTGTGTCTCAAAAAAAAAAAAAAAAGAATTAGCCAGGAAAGGCGGCATGCACCTATAGTCCCAGCTACTTGGGAGGCTGAGGTGGGAGGACTGCTTGAGCACAGGAGGCTGAGGCTGCAGTGAATGGTGATTGTGCCACTGCACTCCAGCCTGGGCAACAAAGCAAGACCCTGCCTATTAAAAAAAAAAAAAAAAAAAAAAAAAGCTCGCGGGGTTGGGCTGGGCACAGCGGCTCCTGCCTATAATCCCAGCACTTTGGGAGGCCGAGGCAGGTAGATTGCTTGAGGCCAGGAGTTCAAGACCAGCCTGGCCAACACAGCGAAACCCTGTCTCTACTAAAAATACAAAAATTAGCCGGGTGTGGGGGCAGGTGCCTCCCAGCTACTCAGGAGGCTGAGGCAGGAGAATTGCTTGAACCTGGGAGGTGGAGGTTGCAGTGAGCCAAGATAGCACCACTGCACTCCAGCTTGGGCAATGGAGTGAGACTCCATCTCAAAAAACAATAAAATAAAATAAAATATAACCTTACCTCCAGATAATACAACGGAAGCTCCAGGTGATACAATCCTAGCCCCAGGTGATAGAACTCACGCCCTGGGGCAATGACTCCTTGTAAAGGTCAATTCAAGTAGCAATGGATGGGAATATAGAGGGCGGAGGGAATCGGTGGGAATATAAGGAGGCCTGGGCTGCTTGCTTGCTTTCTTTAATGGGACCAGGAGACTTCCCAGGTAAAACCCCCTATGGACTGTCACGGCTTTACACCCCGGGTTCGAGGCTTGCCGGTGGGAGACGTTCTGCCTGGCGACGGTGTAGCCCTGCTGCAGGGGTGGAGTGTTCCCCGGGCTGAGCTCCGCCCCAGTAACTGCCAGCTTGGGGCCCCCGGGCTGAGCTCCGCCCCAGTAACTGCCAGCTTGGGGCCCCCGGGCTGAGCTCCGCCCCAGTAACTGCCAGCTTGGGGCCGAGGTCTGCAGGTCAGGCCGGGAAGCTCAAAGGAACCTGAGAGGGAGGTTCCCAGTGGACATGAGGGTGGTTGGCCCATGCGGCGAACATGTCTATGGGGAGAGCTGCCCTCTGGGGGTGTGGGGGGCCTTATCTCTGTCCAGGGGCCCCCGCTGTGGGGTCTGCGCTGTCCTCAGACCAGCTGCTGTTGGGAGTGCCCCGGAAACACACGCTTTCTTGATGGGGGCTCTCTCAACCCCGAATGCCCGGAAGGCAGAGCCCGAGGCAGAGCCTTCCTGCTGGGGTGGGCAACCCCAGAGAGGCGTGAGCGGCGGGGAGAGTGAGGCAGGACGGACAGGAGCCCATGGACGGCGCGTCCTGGAGCTGGCCATGTCAACGTGCAGCCGACCACACAGTCACACACGAGGGTCCTCCAGGCAGCGGGTGGAACACACCTCATGCTGTGCAGGGGAGGGGGAGAAGAGTTTCTGCACCAGCTCTCATTGACGGAGGGTCAGCTGTGCTCCCCTCTGGATGGCGCCCATGGGCGTGGGTGGGTCCTGGGCATCTCGGCCTCCCTGGCAACAAAGAAGCTCTGAGCAAAAGGCAGGGGCAGGAGTGGGCAGGGGAAGGGCTCGGCCAGGGCCCATGTGACGTCACTGCCTGTGGACACGCTGAGCTGTGGCCCGGTGGCTGTGGTGAGTGGTCAGTCATCTGCAGTGGCCACTGACCTCATGGTCACTCGTCAGGCATGGAGTGAACCTCCTCATGGCCCTGGGGATACAGTCACCTGAGACATAGCTCCAGGGAGCCCCAGGGCCACAGATGGTTACATCCCGAGGACATGCTAGGGGAGCCTCAAGGGGTCGAAGCAGAGTGAGGTGAGCTCTGGGCAGTCAGGAAGGGCTCAGAGGCAGGGACTGCTGGAAGGTGGAGGAGGGATTTGGCAGGTGGGGGACAGCATTCCAAGGGGAGTCGGGACTGAGGACAATGGCCCTGGGGGATTCCATGGCCCTGTGTGGTTGGTGCAGTGGGGGGACTGAGCAGTGAGGAGGGGGTATGGCTGCTGTGTTGAGCCGAGAGGAGGGGACTGAAGACAGAAGGTCCCTGTCCTGCTCCCTTGGGCCTGAATGCCCCCAGACCTCCTTTCTCCCTTTGTTGCTCCCAACCAGAGCCCCAGGGCATGAGAGGACGCCACCCAGCCACCCACGCAGGGCTCTGCGCCTCACTGTGACCTCCATCTGTGGGATCAGCACGGGGCCAGAGTCACCAAATGCACCAAATGCTCCAAATGCACGTGGGAGCCTCAGAGTGAGGAAAGGACTGTCTGTGAAAACCTCCTCTGTCCTGGGTACTGCCTGAAAGCCTGGACTCCGAGGGCCACACATGACCTGCTCCACCCTCAAGCAGCCCGGAGGGTCTGGACCCAGAAGTGTGGGCAGGACATGGCAGGCGGCAGGGGGCCGGTCGCTCCCCTTTCAGCTATGACCAGGCCCCCAGGAAAGCCAGCCACTGGGTGGGCCAGAAGTGGGGGTGGGTGAGTCAGCAGGGCAGAGGCGCCTGCGGGTACTGAGCTGGGGGCCAGGCTGGTTCCAGGACTTCCAGCTCTTCACCCGGGTGATGCTCAGCTCATCCCCACTGCTGCCCGGAGCAGTCAGCAATTCTGTACCCTCCCAAGCAGGGCCCGAGCAGCCACCGCTGCTCCTCAGAGACCCTACTGGGGGCCGAGCTTGGAGGGCGGGGCGGATCCCGGTTCCAGCCCACTGTGCCTGTCTCTGAAGCCCCGAGCACTGCATTTACTCCACGAGACCACGCGGGGCCACAAGACCACATGGGTGGCTGCAGGAGAGCACGTGGTTCATCTTCACTCGGGGCAGCATCTGCGCTCCAGCCTGGGCCCTTGGTCTCCAGGTTAGTGTTGGCCGCGTCCTTCCCATCAGCGCATCCAGTTGGGCTCTGGTTTTACTGGCGAGGTGGGGATGGTGAGAGCCAGGGACGGATCGGCGTCTTCATCCCAGCTTCCTCGCCACAGCTTAGGGGCCTCAGTGCCCCCTTTGCTGCTGGTAGGGGTTTGTCACAGGGTTCCTGGCCACATTGCGGGGTCCTAATGCCAACCTTCTAACTCTCAGCTGGCCGCCGAGGCAAGCAGGCAGGTTCCAGGCCAGACTTCAAGCCACAGGTGCCCAGGCAGGTCCATTGCTGACGTCGGCAAGGTAGCACCCTGAGCATGGATGGAGCCGAATGCCAGCTTCAGGCAGGCAGGTGGCAGGGGCCCGCAGGTCGGCTCCCGGAGAGCAGGTGGGTGGGAGAGGAGGATGTTTACTGAGGCCAGCCATGGGGGATGAGAGTGAGGCTTCCCCTCCCCTCCCCTCCCCTCCCTCCCCTCCCCTCCCCTCCCTCCCCTCCCTTCCCCTCTCCTTCCTTCCCCTCCCCTCCCCTCCCCTCCCCTCCCCTCTCCTCCCCTCCCCTCTCCTCCCCTCCCCTCTCTTCCCCTCCCCTCTCCTCCCCTCTCTTCCCCTCCCCTCCCCTCTCTTCCCCTCCATTCTCCTCCTCTCCCCTCCCCTCCCCTCTTCTCCCCTCCCCGTGGGATATCATGGCATATCACGGCTGGTACGTTAGTTGTCTGCGAAGTACCTGAAGTTTGTGTCCTCCCAAAAGGCAGGAGAGCACATGCTGTTTCCCAGGTGTGTTCCACGCGGGTGTCTCACTCAACCCTCCTCTGAGCAGCAGCAGGCAGGACCCTTGCTTTACAGGCGAGGAGGGGGTTGAGGCTCCTGGGGCTCTGTAGCTTATCCAAGACCTCAAGGCAGTGAGAGGCATGGCTTGGGCACACGCTGCCCAGCTTCAGAGCTTCCCTGAGGACCAGGCCTGGCTGCCACAGAGGCAGGCAGTGATGGCAGTGACCGCAGGCTTCCTCCCTCGGCTGGGGCTGCGAAAGAGCGGGGGCGGGGGCGGGGAATCAGATGCACGGGCAGTGGGAACTTGTCTGCTGCCTGTGAAGAAACGGCCTTTTGCCTGTTTGGTCTGCAGAGCCCCCAGCTCGGTGCCCCGGCTGGGATCACCCCTTAGAAGAACCCAGGACCCTCGGCAGGAACAGGTGGGAGTTTGTGCCCTGCTGATCAGTTCCTGTTCTTGGTTTCCAGGAAAGGGAGGCTGGGGAACCCAATGGGAATTCACTCAGGGAAATAAAACAAGAAGTTCCCGAATCTCACAGTCCCTGACAAGGAGTCAGGAAAGCAGTATGTGGAAGACACAGAGACTGTGGTTGCCTCTGGGGAGGGATCCTGGCTGCGAGGGAGGCATAGAGTCCACTGCTTGAAAATCGTTTCTTGTTTGTTTTTGTTTTTGAGATGGAGTTTCACTCTTGTTACCCAGGCTGGAGTGCAATGGCACGATCTCGACTCACTGCAACCTCCGCCTCCTGGGTTCAAGCAATTCTCCTGCCTCAGCCTCCCGAGTAGCTGGGATTACAGGCATGCGCCACTACGCCCAGCTAATTTTGTAGTTTTATTTGAGATGAGGTTTTGCCATGTTGGCCAGGCTGGTCTCGAACTCGCCACCTCAGGTGATCCTCCCACCTCGGCCTCCCAAAGTGCTGGGATTACAGGCACGAGCCACTGCACCCAGCCTGAAAATTGTTTTAACCACGTACATATTTCTTAAAATTGTCTATCATGGTCAAAGTACATAATATAAATGTACCTTTTAAATCATTTTTAAGTGTCCAATTTGGAGGCATTAAGCACATTTACAATGTTGTGTCAACACTACTATTTCCAGAACCTTTTTATCACCCCAAAGAGAAACTCTGCCACTGTTAAACAACAGCTGCCCACTTCCCCCTCTGGCCTGGTAACCACCCTCTGCTGTCTGTCTCCATAGACATTTCACGTACACAGAGCCACATGGTGTCTTCCTTCTGTGCCTGGCTCCCTTCCCTCCACGTCCCCCAGCCCCGTGCTGGCGCGGTGGCTCACACCTGTGATCCCAGCACCTTGGGAGGCCAAGGCAGGAGGATCGCTTGAGCCTGGGAGTTTGAGACCAGCGTGGGCAATATAGCAAGACCCCATCTCTATGGGAAAAAAAATTGGCTGGGTGTGGCAGTGCATGCCTGTAGTTCCAGTTACTTGGGAGGCTGAGGTGGGAGGCTTCCTTGAGCCTGAGGTCCAGGTTACAGGGAGCCATGATTGCACCACTGCAATCTAGCCTGGTAGCCTGGGTGACAGAGCGGGACCCTGTCTCACACACACACACACAAGTTCATCCCTGTTGTAGCGTACATCAGAGTTTCATTTCTTTTTATGGACAAATAATATCAGATTGTATGAACAGACCACATTTTGTTTCTACACTCCATTAACAGACTCTGGGGTTGCTGCCTCTTGAAATTATTATTTATTTTATTACTTTTTTTGAGACAGGGTCTTGCTCTTTCACCCAGGCAGGAGTGCAGTGGCATGATCTCAGCTCACTGCAATCTCCACCTCCTGGGATCAAGCGATTCTCCCGCCTCAGCCTCCCGAGTAGCTGGAACCACAGGCATGCGCTACCATGCCCGGCTAATTTTTGTATTTTTAGTAGAGACAGGGTTTCACCATGTTGGCCAGGCTGGTCTTGAACCCCTGACCTCAAGTGATCCACCCACCTCAGCCTCCCAAAGTGCTGGTGTTGCAGGTGTGAGCCACAGTGCCCGGCCAAAATTATTATTATTTTTGAGACAGGGTCTTGGCCTGTTGTCCAGGCCGGAGTGCAGTGGCGCCATCACTACTCACTGCAGCCTCCACCTCCTGGGCTCTAGAGATCCTCCCACCTCAGCCTCCTAAGTAGCCGGGACCACAGGCAGGCACCACCACATCTGGCTAATTTTTTTTTTTTTTGAGGCGGAGTCTCGCTCTGTCACCCAGGCTGGAGTGTAATGGCATGGTCTTGGCTCACTGCAACCTCTGCCTCCCGGGTTCAAGCGATTCTGCCTCAGCTTCCCGAGTAGCTGGGATTACAGGTGCCTGCTGCCACGCCTGGCTAATTTTTGTATTTTAGTAGAGACAGGGTTTCACCATGTTGGCCAGGCTGGTCTCGAACTCCTGACCCTGTGATCCACCCGCCTCAGCCTCCCAAAGTGCTGGGATTACAGGCATGAGGCACCATGCCTGCCTGGCATGCCTGGCTAATTTTTATTTTTTGTATAGATGGGGTCTTGCTGTGTTGTCCAGGCTGGTCTCCAACTCCTGGCCACAAGCCATTCTCCTGCCTTAGGCCCCCAAAGTGTTGGGATTACAGACGTGAGCCACCACACCCAGCCTGAAATTAATTTTTAAGTATAGACAAGTAATGGTGACTATGTTATCATTGGGGAAAAAGTTACAACCTGCATGATAAAGCTTAAAGTCCCTGTGACCCCTCTTGCCCTGGCTTTTCCTCTCTCCCAAGGGGACCTGACCATTGTTGCTCTCCCAAGACTAAGTCACTGGCCGGGCATGGTGGCTCACACCTGTAATCCCAGCAGTTTGGGAGGTCAAGGCAGGCGGATCATTTGAGGTCAGGAGTTCAAGACCTGGCCAACATTTTGAAATCCCATCTCTACTAAAAATACAAAAGTTGGCCAGGTGTGGTGGCACACGCCTGTGATCCCAGCTACTTGGGAGGTTGAGGCAGGAGAATCACTAGAACTCAGGAGGCGGAGGGTGCAGTGAGCCGAGATTGCTCCACTGCACTCCAGCCTGGACAACAGTGGCAGACTTTGTCTCAAGAAAATACAATAAAATAAAAAATAAATCACTGTTTTAAACAGTGACAAAAATAAAAAGCAACAGCAAGTTGAGAAAGGGCTCCCAGCTGTGGGTCAGTGGGACAGGAGTGACTTTGGACTTGGAATCTGGAAAGCTGGGTGCAAAGGCCGGTCTATTCCTTTGGCAAATGGTTATCCCGCTCTGGCCCTTAGCGTCCTCTTCTGCAACAGGGGTTGAGTTAGAACACGGTCCAAATTCCTGAACGGGCAGTGAACTGGGCACAGGTGGGCTCCCCTGCCCTTGCCCGCCCCACCTCTCCCTGGCTGGCAAGCAGAGATCTTTTTCAGAGTATTTGTCTCCATTTTGCTAATTTTATTTTGTGAATAAGTGAATTATGTATGAAGCAAAATATTAAAACAGCACCAAAGGGTATAGGTGAAGACCAGGTCTCCCTCCCACCCCAAGTGGGTGAGCGTGGCCCTGAGTGTAGCTGCTTGCTTTTCCCAATTGTTAGCACTGTAACTTAGCAATTGTTCCTCCTTGATAACAGAGCAATTGCGGGATTCTCTCTAACCGCTGCTACAGAGTGCCATTGTATCTTAGCTTCATGTTGATACAAAACACCTAGCCGGATTCTGTTTTTTACCTGCTGTGTAGCACTCCACTGTGAGACACGCTATCATTTATTTGACAAGCTTCTGTGGGCAGAGTTTTTCTGCTTTTTGCTGCTTGAACAATTCTAGGACACATACATCCTCTACCTTTGCAAGTCCATCTGCAGGGCAAGCTCCCAGACTTCCCCACCTCTGCAGCAACTTTTCAAAGCCTGACCAGAGGGTGAGACTTGCAGAGAAAGTAAATCAGCCTTTTTTTTTTTTCTTCTTTGAGATGGAGTCTCATTCTGTTGCCCAGGCTGGAGTGCAGTGGGGTGATCTCGGCTCACTGCAAGCTCCGCCTCCCGGGTTCACGCCATTCTCCTGCCTCAGCCTTCCGAGTAGCTGGGACTACAGGCGCCCGCCACCGCGCCCGGCTAATTTTTTGTATTTTTAGTAGAGATGGGGTTTCACCGTGTTAGCCAGGATGGTCTCCATCTGCTGACCTCGTGATCCACCCGCCTCGGCCTCCAAAAGTGCTGGGATTACAGGCGTGAGCCACCGCACCCGGCCTATATCAGCCTTTAAACACTAGACTTCCCATGAAAATCTCCATTTCTGGGTGGTTTTTTTTTTTTTAATGGAGTTTCGTTCTTGTCACTCAGGCTGGAGTGCAATGGCATGATCTCGGCTCACGGCAACCTCTGCCTCCCAGGTTCAAGCGATTTTCCTGCCTCGGCCTCCTGAGTAGTTGGGAATACAGGCGCCTGCCATCACGCCCGGCTAATTTTTGTATATTTATTTATTTATTTATTTATTTATTTATTTATTTATTGAGACGGAGTCTGGCTCTGTCGCCCAGGCTGGAGTGCAGTGGCGCTATCTCGGCTCACTGCAAGCTCCGCCTCCTGGGTTGATGCCATTCTCCTGCCTCAGCCTCCCGAGTAGTTGGGACTACAGGAGCCCGCCACCACGCCCGGCTAATTTTTTATGTTTTTAGTAGAGATGGGTTTTCACCGTGTTAGCCAGGATGGTCTCGATCTCCTGACCTGGTGATCCACCCGCCTCGGCCTCCCAAAGTGCTGGGATTACAGGCGTGAGCCACCGCGCCCGGCCTAATTTTTGTATTTTTAGTAGAGACGGGGTTTCACCATGTTGGCCAGGCTGGTCTCGAACTCCTGACGTCAAGTGATCCCCCGACCCCCTACCCCCTTGCCTCAGCCCCGCAAAGTGCTGGGATTACAGGCCTGAGCCACTGCCCCGCCATCTTTTTTTTTTTTTTTTTTTTTTGAGCTGGAGGGTGTGGGCTTGTGCTGGGCTCTCATGAGTTGCCAGTGCCTTGAGGCTCAGTGGCCACAGTCCCCCCAGCCCCACTCCCTGCCTTACGCAGCTGAGTTTGAGAGCCATGAACTGAGCCCAATTAAACGGTGTAGAGCCCTTTGCCCTCTTTCTGTGCCCATCTCAAGGGCAGACGAAGGCCAAACTGACGTGGCCTGGGTGAGGGTCCCGAACACCCTGGACTCAGACCCTACCTCTCCGTGGCAGGGCGCCGCGGCAGCAGGTGCACAGGCCGTGGCTCTCACTCTCACCGTCTCACGCCAGAGCGACCCGGGCAAAGCCGCGCGCGGTGGCCGGCGTGGCTGGGAGCAGCCCCCGAGCCCCCGTCAGACCAACGCGGATCGCGGCACTGCTGCGACCCGAGCATCCCGCGTGCTCCCTCCGGGACCACTAGGCCCGGCCGCCGCGGGAACTCCGAGCCTCCCCACGGTCCCCAGGGGGCGCTGCGTGCTCGCGCCTCGGGGAGCAAAGCGAAAGTCGCTCGGGCACGCGGGGTGCAGTTGCGCGTGGGGCGCTGCCTGGGGGAGCCAGAGGCCCCGGGACCCCTTATGTAGCGCCCGGGCCCCAGCCGCAGCCCACCCAGCGAGAAGCGCCCCTGCCCACCGCCGCGCACGCTCGGAGCCGCGGGGCCAAGACTGCGGGAGGGGAGGGGTCCGCTCCGGGCCAGCGCCAGTCGGGGGTCTCCAGGCCCCAACGCACCAGGGCGGGCCGGAGGCGGGACGGGCCGCGCGGGACAGCGGAGGGGGTGCCTGGGCGCGCCGGGCCGTCGGGGAAGCGCGGAGGCGGGCACGCCGGGGAGGGCGGGAGGGGGCCGAGCTTATAAAGGCCCGCGGGCGGAGGAGGGCGGGAGCCGCCGTCCGGCCCAGCTCGGCCCCAGTGAGCCGAGCGCTGCGCTCCGCCGAGGGGCAGGGCGGTCGCCTGAGCGAGCGCGGGCCCGGGACGTCGGCACCGGCGGGGCGGCCGAAGGAGAAGGAGGAAGAGGAGAAGGCGGCGCGCGGGTCCCCGCGGGTCAGCCATGGCGCGCCGGCCCCGGGGCCCCCGCACCGCCCCATAGCGCCGCGGCGTCCGCTCGGTCTGGGCCGGGCCCTGGGCCCTCCAGCCATGGAGCCGCACGTGCTCGGCGCGGTCCTGTACTGGCTGCTGCTGCCCTGCGCGCTGCTGGCTGGTGAGTGGGGGGCGGGCGCCTGGGGGCGACGGGAGGGGGCTGCGTCTCGGCTCCCCACGGCCTGGACACCGGACGACGCCGGCCGGGGCGAGGGCTGCGGGCGAGCGGGCGCGGAAATTCCCAGGGACGCGCGACCCGGGCGCCCGCATTCCTGAAGCATGAGCGCGCCAGGCGGCGGCGGGGCTCCTGTCCCAGGGCCGGGCTGGAAGGGCGGCGGCGGCTGGGGGAGACGGCACCGCGTGCCCACGGGGGCGGTCGAGCGAGCGCCGGGCATAGCGCGGCTGGCGTCTCCGCCGGGGCGCTGCGGAGAGGAGGCCGCCGGGCGAGGCGGTGTTTGCCCCGGTGGGAAGGGCCGCGGCGGTGGTGGGGGGAGCACGAATCTCTTTTTCTCTTTCGGGTTTAAAAAAAAAAGCGCAAAGTTGCATCAGGACTTCCTGACAATCTGGGAGAAGGCGGGCTTCCTGCCTGGAGCTGTTTAATTTGGAGCTTCCCGAGCCCAACGAACGTCCGTGCCCAGGGCCCAGCCCCGCTCACCGCTGCACCCCCCTCTGCCGGACTGAGGCGGTCCCACACTTTGGAAAAAAATAGTGTGGGTTCCTCCCTGGTCCTCCCTTGCCCTACTGGGCTCAGTTTCGCAGGGGCGGGGGCCGGCCTCTGCCCTGGTCTGGGGGAGGGGACACCCCCGGAGGCTGTGGCCTGGTGTCAGGGCGGGGCAGGGGTCCCCAGTCCTGGCATCTGTGTTCCCTGCTTGCCGGGCAGTGGTGCCCCTTTCGCGAAGCACACCCGGGTGGCTTGGTGCTGCACGGCCTGGCACCCCTACCCTTCCCCGACCCTGGCCTAGCCGGGACCCAGGGTCCGCGCCCTCCGCCCGGGGGCTCCCCACGTGTGATTGATCTGGGAAGCAGTCGGATGGAATTAACCCACGGACAAGTGGGACGGTTTGCATTGGGAGTCCGCCATGGACACGGCAGGTGGGGCCTTTTGATTGTAAAAGCCCTTTCGGAGCCCTTGCCTCGCTCCAGGTGGGAGCTCGCCCAGCGCTAGCTTTGGGGATCTAGAGCCGCCTGCCTGAGGCTCCCAGACAGACTGCGTTTTGATCGGTCGCACAGAAAGGTGGTGAAACTTGGGGAAGATTTTCTAGACAGGAATCAATGAAAACCATTGAGGCTGGAGAGGAGAGGTTTTGAGCAACTCTCTTCAGTGCGGTCAGCCCTGTGTGGACTGGGCAGCCTGGGACCTGCTCCCAGTGCAGGGTCAGATGGGCCGTAAACAGGGCCCGGCTGTGTTCCTTCCTGTGCCTTGAAAACAAGCAGGACAGCCTGGCACAGAGGCAGAGTCTAGAGCTGACAGGCCTTAGAGAGGGAAACAGGAAAGCTTCTGAAACGTCCCGTTCACACTGATCGTTCCATTTCCTCTTGTGTCTGAGTGGGAGCGGGTGTCCTCCCTGCAGGGAATGCCCCCCCTCTCAGATGGCAGCTGCTCCTTGGGCAGAGTTGGCAATGTTTTTCTTTAAATGACCAGATGGTAAATATTTTCATGTCACAAAATCTTCTTCTTCTGGTATTTTTCCAGCCATTAAATGTAAAAGCCCTCCTGAGTTCATGGGCTGTACCTAAACAGGTGTTGAGCCCGATTCTGTGGCACATGTGGTTTGCTGCCCCCTGGGCATTGGTCAGGGGGCCTGGGTTCTGCCTTCTCGATTGCTATCCGCGTGGGGGATCTGGGGGAGGGATCACTGTTCTTCTTGCTTTTGGCCTCCTTGGGGAGGATGGGGAGGTAGCCCAGGGGTGCTCACCCAGGCCCCGTGTCAGTCTTCTATGAAACTTTTAAAGAATAGTGATGACTGACTGTCTGTCTGTATGGTACTTTCCTTAAACCTAAAACTGGTCCCAAATAAAGTCTCTTAATTTGAAAGATGCTGAAGCCCGGGCCATACCCCACACTGATTCTGTGTCTGGGGATGGGGCGTGGGGCCTGGGCCTCACTCAGTGTTTTCTCTCAGTCACCTGGGGGAGATGGAAGTGGAGCCGGCCAAGAACCCTGCCTGCCTGCCTGCTGGCCGGGACTCCTGAGTCAGGCTCTCTGGCCCTGGGGTGTGGGCAGCTCCAGATGGACCCGCGATGTGCAGGTTCAGCTGGCCTGGCCGGAGGTGGGACACTGGCTTTGCTGTCTTTGGAGTGCCCCCTCCCTCTCTGGCGAGCTTTGGCTGGAAGCAGTTCTACCGTGTTTTGGAAATGAATGAGGCCTTCAGAAGGCATTAGTCAGTGTGTGCCTGCGCTGGCTCAGACAGTGCCTGGTGAGGGTTTGAGTCATCCTGGGGTGCCCCTGGCCCCCACGCCCTCCCTCTCCAGTGCAGGATCATTACCCAAAAATCTGGCAGGGAGCTGCCCCACCCACAGGGAGCAGGGGCCTCCTTCAGCAGTCTCACCTAATGTTGCTGGAGCCTTGGGGGATCAGGGCCCATCTCTTCTAGAGAGATGTCAGGGCAGGGCTGGGCGCGATGGCTCACACCTGTAATCCCAGAGCTTCGGGAGGCCAAGGTGGGAGGATTGCTTGAGCGTAGCCATTCGAGAGCAGCCTGGGCAACGTAGAGATCCCCATCTCTATGAAAAATATTTAAAAATTAGCTGGGCATGGTGGTAGTGCACCTGTAGTCCCAGCTACTCAGGAGGCCAAGGTGGGATGATTGTTTGAGTCCAGGAGTTGGAGGCTACAGTGAGCCATGATTGTATGACTGCACTCCAGCCTGGGTGACAGACCCTGTCTCAAAAAAGAAAAAGGAAAAAAAAGGGCAGGACATTTGTGATTCTGATAATATGGGACCGCACCTCCAGTTCTATCAGTGGGAAATCTAGACAGGGCTGCGGAAAGCCAGCTGGTGCGAGAGGAGCCACCGTGTCACTGACTGTGGGACACCCACGTGGGCTGACAATATGGCTTCTGCTTTTCAGGGTGCCTCGTGGCACAGCCTAGGGGCACACCCACGGCCGGCAAGCTGGGCGTCACCTCCTTCAGGCTGATTGTCACTGAGAAGTGTCACCATTTAGCATGAGGGATGCTGCCTCCTTTTTCAGAACATTGTCACCATCAGGGTCTCACCACTCCTGGGAGGCGGCCGAGAAGCTGGGGAACAGCAGGCACTCGGCTCACAGTTGCTCAGCAGTGCAGACCCTCTGAGCTGAGCATGGCAGAGTCACCCTTCGGAGGCCTGTGCCCGGGTCTCAGGACCTGCACAGAACCCTGGCCTGTCCCATCCGAGGGTGCTGGGAAGAGCATGGCCGTGGCAGAGTAGGGTGGGAGCTGCTTTCCTCTGTGGCTTGGGGGCCCCTTCTGAGCATCAGCTCCCTGGTGTGACAGAGGGGCGCACTCTGTCCCCATGCTGGGCCTGGAGGCTGGATGAGTCAGCAGGAGAGCCTGGGGCCTGCCTCACAGCACCAAGGGCTGCAGGTGTGAGTGTGCACATGTGTGCGTGTTTGGGGAAGGGGCCAGGGACTGCCCAGGAGCTGAGGATGGGTCACAGCGGGTGCTCGTCCCGCAGCGGGTCACTGGTGCCCAGGACACAGGGAGCTCCAGCCCCAGCTGCCAGGGTCCCACAGAGAGGAAGTTTCCTCTGGGGGTGGGTGGGGGCGCACAGTCTCTGATCCTGGCCCCAAGGCAGCTTCCTGGGCGGTGTCTCTCCTGTGCTGACTCGGCAGTGCATTTGCTTTCGGTGCTCAAAGATGAAGGGGAACCACCGTGGGCCTTGACGGCCTCATCTGCCCGCTGCAGCCCACTCCTGAGATGGGACCACCGCAGTCGTCAGGGTCCAGTGAGAGCCGCATCTTGCAGGAAGCCATTCCTGGCCTCTCTGGCCTCAGAAATCCCCTTTTCAATTCAACAAAATGTTAGTCTTCTGTTTAGCTATTTTAGAAATAGACAGTTAGGCTTTTTTCTCTTTTTTCTTAAAGACAGAGGCTCACTCTGTCGCCCAGGCTGGAGTGTAGCGGCGTGATTTTGGCTCCCTACAACTTCAGCCTCCAGGGCTCAAGCCATCCTCCTGCCTCAGCCTCCTGAGTAGCTGAGATTACAGGTGTGTAGCACCATACCTAATTTTTGTATTTTTTGTAGAGACGGGGTTTCACCACTTTGGCCAGGCTGGCCTTGAACTCCTGACCTTAAGCGATCTGCCCGCCTCAGCCTCCAAAAGTGCTGGGGTTACAGGCATGAGCCACCGCGCCCGGCTGACAGTTAGACTTTTGCTTCTTTGTTTATATAAGCTTTTTCTTCTGGTTCCAAAAGCAAGTTTGCCCTTCCTTGTGGTAGAGAATCCTAGCTCACAGAGCAGTTTAGAAGCCAGCACAGTATCCCACACACACATCTGGCATGGACAGACCCTTCCTTGCTGGGTGTGGGTCCTGTGTTCTTCTGAAAGGCAAGCTGTTCCCAGCCAACCCCTGCCCCTCTCTGCCTTAGCCTGCCTGGAGGCCTGAGTCTCCTGGGTGACTGTGAGGTGGGACCCCCCCTTCCCCTACCCCCACCCACATCCTCTGTATCTGCCTTCTGTCCTGCTCTTGACCTTTGAGCTCCTCTGCTGGCTTCAGGGTGCGGCTGTTGAGCCTATTTTTTGGATTAGGACTCTGGGGTGAGGGAAGTTAATTCACACACCCAAGATCACACTGGTGGGAAGGGACAGGCCCGGGGTGAAGGCTTCTCCTCTCCTTGGCGGTTGAGTCCCACACCTGCTGGCCGAGGCACCTGAAGGGGACTTGGGGTCCAGGGTCACTGGGAGGACGGGGGCAGGCAGAGGGGTGGCCGACCTGGTGGCGGCTCGTGGGCAGCAGCCGACCCTATCTTGCTCTGAACGTGTGGGGCCCTCACCCCCTTCTCTGGGTCTGGGTTTCCTCCCCTGTAAGTGACACCGTAAAAGCTTCACAGCCGCTTCCAAGTCTCAGGTCTCTCGGGCTTTGGATCTCACACCCAGGCTGGGTGGGGGTAGGGGCGGGACAGCCGTCCCCCCCGGAAGGCTCAGAATTCCTCGCACAATCGTGGGGCCAGGAGACCCGCAACACAGGCTTTCCCAGCTGCGCTGAGTGCCGCGGTGGCCGGGGGTCCGTCGGGCCTCCATGGAGCTGAGGGGAAGGGGCCACTCACCGCCTGGTCCCGGAGCACACAGGGCAGCTCCCAGGAGCACAGAGGCTCCTTGGGACCTGTGGGGCTGTCGGCCTCCCTCATGCTGCACACACAGCGCGTCCCCAGGGGTGTCTGCAGCCCAGCCCATCCCACTGCAGATTCCCGACCACTCAGATTCATTCATGCATCCTCTCACGCCGGTCCTGTGGGACAGAGCTCTGGGCAGCAGCCAGAAGTCCAAGTTCTGGTTCAGGGCCAGTGGAGGTGGGTGTTGGGGTGGGGCTGGAGCTCCCTGCTCTCCCTCCCAAGCTAGCCAGGAAAGGAGGTTGGGGGCCCCGCACGGTCATTGCTGTTTATTCACAAAGCGCGATGCTGAGCACAGGCGGGGAAAGAAAAGTGCGATCAGTGCCAGGAAAATGGGGCTCCCCCGACGCCGTCCAAAATGGGATCCCTTGCCGGGCGCGGTGGCTCACACCTGTAATCCCAGCACTTTGGGAAGCCGAGGCAGGTGGATCACCTGAGGTCAGGAGTTCGAGACCAGCCTGACCAACATGGCAAAACTCCATCTCAGCTAAAAATACAAAAATTAGCTGGGCATGGTGGCGGGCACCTGTATTCCCAGCTGGGAAGGCTGAGACAGGAGAATCGCCGGAACCCAGGAGGTAGAGGTTGCAGTGAGCCACAGTCGTGCCACTGCACTCCAGCTTGGGGGCTTGGGGGACAGCAAGACTCCCTCTCAAAAAAAAAAAAAAAAAGTGAAGTCGTAAATCAGATTAAATTCCCTTTTTAACCCTTTGAACCTCTGTCCTCCCCTGTTCCCAGCGGGAAGCCTCTGGTGAACGCGCCATGCACCCCACCTGCCCCCGCTCTCTGGGTCTCTCTCCCAGCTGGAACGGCCGCTTCCCCAGGTGCCTTCCCTGGGCCACAGCCTTGTGCCTCGGCGGCTGCTGGATGCCTGGGTGTGTGGGTGGCTCCCAGTGTGTGGGATGGCACACGAGCCTCTCGCCCTTCTGTGTGGGGTCGCACACCCACCGCAGGCCGTATTTTTGCTCACGTTCATGTTTCTCCACGGTGGACGCTGGGTTGCAGGGACCCTTCCTGTGTGCGGGTGAGGATCTGGGCAGCTGCTGGTGCCGGGCCCATGGGGACGCTGACCGTCCCGGGTGCCGGCTCTGAGGTGTGCAGTGGACGGCTGTCCTGCCGGGCGCTGCCAGGGCCCCTTAGGCCGACGTGCGTGGCCACCCGATTCCCCGCCGTTGTCTCAGGAACCTTTGCCGAGTGGGGTGGATCAATTTTTCGGGTGTGTTTTAATAGCATAATTACAGGGAGTATTTCAGGCTCCCTCTGACGGGCCGGCAGGGTTTGGCTGCCGGCTGTTTACCAGGCTCCAATCTGCACACTATTTTTCTGTGGGTATATATAGCTGGGGCTGCTTCTCCTTCCTCAGGTTCAGGCTAAAGAGGGACAGCAGCCGCCTCAGCCACCCCCTGTGGTTTCCTTTGCCTGTGGATGGGCGGCTAAAATGGGCCCAGGAAGAGTCAAGAACAAGGCCGGCTCTCGGTGCCACAGCTCTACCCCCAAAAGCAGGAAGGGGGCTCGGGCCATGCCCATCTGTGAGCTACACCGGTCCGGGAGCGGCATCAGGCAGGGGAGTCCTGGACCCCCGCAGTGCTGGGGTGTGTTTGTCCGCCCTCCCTCCCGTGTGTCTAGAAGCCTCCAGCCTCGGGGAAAACAATGAAACTCAACTGTGACTTAAACAGATTCCCAGGCCCGCAGGAGCTCCCGGAGGCTTGTGGCTGTGGCGAGACCTGGAGGGCCATGCGGGAGGGACAGACGCAGGTTTGCGGAGGCCGCCTGCCCAGGAGGGGCGTCAAAGGAGGGGACAGATGTGGGTTTAGGGAGGCCACCTGCCCGGGAGGAGCCTCGAAGGAAGGCACAGGCGTGGGTTTGGGGCTGCCTGCCCTGGAGGGGCCTCAAGGACCCCAGGTCTGGTCTTGGTCTCACTCACCTCCTGGACCCCCCAAGGCCTGCAGTTTGCAATCTGTCGCCTGGGACCCCCACTGTCTGCCTTTACGCAGCTCAGCCACCACGCGGCCCTCGCTCCCTCATTTACTTGATTTCTGTTTATGGTTAAAGTACCGTTTAAAACGACACATCATTAAAGCAACATGAAAGGGAGTTTTGAAAAGGGAAGCCATCGTCCATCCCACTGCCCCTGCCTCAGCGGGGATTTACTTTTCCTTTCCTGTCTGCGGGCCAGTGACAATGAGGACCCCGCAATGTGTCTGCGGGCCAGTGACAATGAGGACCCCGCAATGTGTCTGCGGGCCAGTGACAGTGAGGACCCCGCAATGTGTCTGCGGGCCAGTGACAGTGAGGACCCTGCAATGTGTCTGCGGGCCAGTGACAATGAGGACCCTGCAATGGGCGGCCTGTAAGGCTCTGCCCTGGCCTCCGCTGCCTTCGCTTTCTCCCTCCTTGGTGGGTGCACGCCCTTGTGCTTTTCCTAAAAGAGCAGGTCCTCCGGGCATGGTGGCTCACGCCGGTAATCCCAGCACTTTGGGAGGCCGAGACGGGTGGATCCCAAGGCCAGGAGTTCAAGACCAGCCTGGCCAACATGGCAAAACCCTGTCCCTACTGAAAATACAAAAATTAGCTGGGTATGGTGACAGGCATCTGTAATCCTAGCTACTCGGGAGGCTGAGGCAGGAGAATCACTTGAATCCGGGAGACGGAGTTTGCAGTGAGCCGAGATCACACCATTGCACTCCAGCCTGGGCAACAAGAGCGAAACTCCATCTCAAAAAAGAAGAAGAAGAAAATCCTGACACTTCAGCCTGGTGCAGGCCCTTCCCTCCTTCTAGTCCCTGCCAAGAAGTGAGCCGGGCCCAGATCTCCTGCCGGGCGGGGAATGAGCACACACATTCCCCTCTTGGGACAGACAGCAGCAGCAGCCCTGTTGCACACATGAGGACGTACAGGCTCAGGGGCCGTGGGTGGCAGAGAGGCTATCAGCGCCGGACTGGCCCGCCCCGAGCCAGGGTCCAGCCCCACAGTCCTGTCCCCAAGCCCTGGCCCTTCTGCGGTCACTCCCGTCTGCTGAATCCCCTACTCTGCCCCTGGTGTGTGGCCCCCCAGTTCCCTCCTGTGTTCATTCCCTGCTAACCTCCCGTGGCTTCGCCTCCCCAGATGCCCTGAGCACACAGCCTCTCCCCTTCCTCCCCTCCTAGATGTGCACATAGGAGCCGCCCAAAGGCTGGGGCAGCTAGTGGGGCCCCTCCAAGGGAAGCTGGGCCCCGGGCAATGCCCTGAGCCACCAGGTCCTGGCCCTGCGTCTCATCCCTTCTTTTTTTTTTTTGAGACAGAGTCTCGCTCTGTCGCCCTGGCTGGAGTGCAGTGGCCCAGTCTGGGCTCACTGCAAGCTCTGCCTCCCAGGTTCACGCCATTCTCCTTCCTCAGCCTCCCGAGTAGCTGGGACTACAGGCGCCCACCACCACACTCCGCTAATTTTTTGTATTTTTAGTAGAGACGGGGTTTCACCGTGTTAACCAGGATGGTCTCAATCTCCTGACCTCATGATCCACCCGCCTCGGCCTCCCAGAATGCTGGGATGACAGGCGTGAGCCACCGCGCCCGGCCTCATTTGGTTCCTTCTGTGCACCACAGTGTGGGATCTCGGGTCCTGGGTGGCACGTGTTTAACCTGAAAGGAAACTGCCCCTGCGCTCCCCAGCTTGTAGCCCGTGGGCCTGGCTCTGAGGCCCCGACTGCCCCACGGCCTGTGCTGCGCATGCTGGAGCCAGGCTCCGGCTCTGGTTGGCGCCTCCCGTGGCTTTAATCTGCAGTGACCTGGGTGCTTAACGAGGGCCTTTGCCTCTGCGTGTGCACTGCCTTCTTCTGAGGAGTCTCCTCAAGTCTCCCAGCTGTTTAAACAATGGGGTCTTTTGTCTTTTGACCTGTTGGTGCCATCAGCCAGCCTCCTGCACATACTCTCCCTACCCTTGGCTGCCACTCCTGTCCTGCCCTTCGCCATGTCTTTTTTCTTTTCTTTTTTTTTTTTTTTTTTGACAGCGTCTTATTCTGCCACCCAGGCTGTAGTGGAGTGGCACGATCTTGGCTCACTGCACCCTCCGCCTCCCTGGTTCAACCGATTCTCCTGCCTTAGCCTCCCAAGTAGCTAGGACTACAGGTGCCCACCACCACACCCGGCTAATTTTTGTATTGTTAGTGGAGATGGAGTTTCACCATTTTGGCCAGGCTGGTCTCAAACTCCTGACCTTAGGTGATCCGCCTGCCTTGGCCTCCCAAAGTGCTGGGATTACAGGCGTGAGCCACTGCGCCGGGCCCCCGCCATGTGTTTTTAAGAGCAGGCATTTCATTCAGATGAAGCCCGGACACTCTTGGGGGTTCTGCTCAGGGGCTCTACCTGCCACTGAACGTCCTCTCCCTGTGTGGGTGGCCATGGCATTCAGCCTGTGTTGGGCCTTGTTCTGCCTGGCTACTGGCCGCTAGGTCTGCCCCGGCATCCTCTGTGTCCTGTGTGGGCGCCTCTGCCTCCTGCTCCAGCCTGTGCCAGGCAATCCTGCTCACCTTCCAGGAGCCAGGCCTCTCCCCAGGGCCTGCGTCCTGTCAGGGTCAGGGACGGCCCCTCTGCCATGCTCCGGAGTCCCTGGTCCCCTCACTCCGTTACGTCCTGGGTGTCACGGGTACGGCCGGGAACTCTGTCGTCTTCACTGTCTGGGCCGGGGCCTCCCTGGGTGTCTGCTGGATGGAGTGGGTGCCTTTGGGTCCCTGCAAAGTGAGCCTGCCTCCCAGCACCGCCCTGTCGTTACATAGCCACTATCTTTGCGCCTGTTTTTCCTTCCTTTGACTGGTTCCTCTGGGGTTAATTCCCAGGCCTGGTATTACCATCTCTGAATGCCTGGGTGGTTTCAGCGCCCAGGAGGCTGTGCTGAGGTATCTTAGACCATGTGGGCACCGTTCGCTCCTGCGCAGCCGGCTCCGGGGTGCCCTGTTTTTGCGGAATCCTGCAGGGAACCCCATGTACCCTAAGAGTGCTCTCCCCAGCCACTGTGGCATAAGACAAGCGGTCTCTTTGCCCTTGGGCCCCATCCTTGTCTGGTCGGCCCTTCTTCATGGGTCCAGCGCGGGATTGCCGGCTTCCTTTTCAGGCTTCCTGGGACCCCCACTCAGACCTGCAGCTGGGCCAGCGATGCCCACCCGTTTCTCCTCCACGTGGTATACAGAGGTGCCCAGGCTGCTGCTGGGGACTCTGGAGCCCAGGAGTGAGTCTCCTTGACCCTGAGCTGTCCTGGCTATCACAGCTGGGTCCTGTTTTCCCCTTCAGCACCCACGGGTGTCTTTCTCCAGTTTATATTGTTATTTTTATTTATTTACTTATCGAGACAGAGTCTCGCTCTGTCGCCCAAGCTGGTGTGCAGTGGCACAATCTCGACTCATCGCAAACTCCGCCTCCCGGGTTCAAGCGATTCTCATGCCTCAGCCTCCTGAGTAGCTGGGATTACAGGCATGTATCACCAGGCTGGACCTCTAGTTTATATTATTACAGCCTGGTCAGGGAGTCACTGGGCGTCGCCATCCTGTGGGTGGGAAGGGGGCCCAGGCAGAGGCCAGGAGGAGGTGACAGTCATGCGCTTAGAAGCTCAGGCCACGCCCACCCAGCCCTGCCTGGTGACCGGTTCCTGCTGTGTTGGGAGCTGCATCCCAGACCTTATCGCCGGGCACAGAACTTCCAAGCCAGGGGAGAGGGAGGCCTGGAGGGGCCCCAATCTCTGAAGGTCAGCAGTGGCGGGGAGGAGGCTTGCGGTGCTGAAGGGACTCGGGGGACCTGCAGGGAGGTGTTGGTGGTCAGGGATGGTGGCACCTGAGGGGACTTTTGGCAGGGCCAGAAGTGCCCAGAGCAAGCTCCGGTGGGGCCCTGCACTGGAGGGCTGGGGTCGAGTGACCCTCTTCCTAAGACCACCCAGGAGGACACTGGGTGCAGGGTGGCCGGAGCCCTCACCCCCAGTAGGCAGCTGCTGTCCACTCCGCCGACCTGCCTGTCACCCAGTAGGCAGCTGCTGTCCACTCCCCCGACCTGCCTGTCACCCAGTAGGCAGCTGCTGTCCACTCCCCCGACCTGCCTGTCACCCAATAGGCAGCTGCTGTCCAGTCCCCCGACCTGCCTGTCAGCCTTTTCCCTGTCAGGCCCTGTTCCTAGGAGCCTGGAGACCTCAGGGGTGGCCTTGAGCCCCCAGGGTTTTTTTGAGGGGAAGCGCCAGCTGCTGTCTTCACCCTTCCCCTAGTGAGGCCAGGCTGTGCAGGGCCACGTGGAGGCAGTCTGTGCTGCGCCCATCGGTCGCCTGGCTTCCTGCCGACCCTCGGCCCCCAGCCACCTCTGGTCTCGGGCAAGGCCCCTCCCCCTGCCCACCTCCTCCCTGGCCCCCACGCCAGGTGGGCAGACCTCCTCTGCGGTTTTTATTCAGGGGGTCCCTCGTTGGCTGCCCACTCTTGGAGGGCTGTCCTGACTCAGGCCTCCCCTCTACTCAGATCCCCTGAGCGAGGGCCTGGGCGTGACGCCGGGAGTTACTGGGGGGCCAGAGGGGGAGGCTCAGCCTGAATCAATGAGACCCAGGAGGAAGGAGGCACGTGGACCTGAGGGCTGGCTGGAGCCGCTGGTGACAGATGGAGGAGTAATTGCTGCTTCCAGAGCACAGCGAGCTCGAGCTCCCTGGAGTGCCAGAAGCTTCTGGGTGGACAGACAGGCCGCCTCACATTCCAGAGGCTGACACAGTCTTCCAGGCACCCCTGGGGCCAGCTGGAAGCCATGTGCCTCCACTCACGTGTCCCGTGGGTGTTTGGAGGGGAGGCTGGCCCTGCCATGGCCCACCCCAGCCTGCGGCCTCAGGAGCTTGCACATTTGCAAGGGGGTGACATGAAGACTGAGCCAGGGCTGCGGCGGGCATCCCCCTCAGAGAACAGGGAGGAGGGGGCACAGGCCTTTTTTTTTTTTTTTTTGACAGAGTCTCACTCTTTGGCCAGGCTGGAATGCAGTGGCACGATCTCAGCTCACTGCCACCTTCGCCTCCCAGGTTCAAGCGATTCTCCTGCCTCAGCCTCCCCAGTAGCTGAGATTACAGGCACCCACCATCACGCCCGGCTCATTTTTGTATTTTTAGTAGAGACGGGGTTTTACCATGTTGTCCAGGATGGTCTTGATCTGTTGACCTCGTGATCTGCTTGCCTCGGCCTCCCAAAGTGCTGGGATTACAGGCGTGAGCCACTGTGCCCTGCCAGGCACGGGCCTTTTTATGAGGGAGGAAGCCGTGCCCTCTGCCACCTGCCTGTGGGCTGGGGCCTGCAGGCTCCCAGGGCCCTCAGCTCCAGCGTGGCTGTTGGTTATTGGCACCTGGGCCTCATGTCCACATGGAAAGTATATTCCGAGCTGGTGGCTAAGCCACAAGAGCCTGCTTACCTGTCCCAACCCCCGGCTCACTTGCTGCCATGATACGTCTGGGATTCTGGGCCCTCCTTCTGAGCTTGGACACAGACTTGGGACTTCAGCGCTGGACACAGGTGCTGGATCTGGGGTCTCAATGGCACCAGGGATGGTCATTCTGACAGCCATGCCCAGAGTCTCAGGAGGGCCTGGGGCCGCAGGTGGACAGGCATCCTGACCAGAGTCTCAGGAGGGCCTGGGGCCGCGGGTGGACAGGCATAGAGTCTCAGGTGGGCCTGGGGCCGCGGGTGGACGGGCATAGAGTCTCAGGAGGGCCTGGGGCCGCGGGTGGATGGGCATAGAGTCTCAGGAGGGCCTGGGGCCGCGGGTGGACGGGCATAGAGTCTCAGGTGGGCCTGGGGCCGCGGGTGGACGGGCATAGAGTCTCAGGAGGGCCTGGGGCCGCGGGTGGACGGGCATAGAGTCTCAGGAGGGCCTGGGGCCGCGGGTGGACGGGCATAGAGTCTCAGGAGGGCCTGGGGCCGCGGGTGGACGGGCATAGAGTCTCAGGAGGGCCTGGGGCCGCGGGTGGACGGGCATAGAGTCTCAGGAGGGCCTGGGGCCGCGGGTGGACGGGCATCTGGACGTCGGCTCCACTAGTGTCACCTCTGCAACCTTGTCCCACCCAGCACCTCCCTATGGCCCTGCTCTGACTGTGGGCTGAGGGGGACCCCCATGGCTAGCTTGGGACCTCCGCTGGACACTGTCATAGGGCACTTGTCGAGTGGCCCTGCTGAGGTTCAGGCTTGGGCGTGTGTGGCCCCTGAGCCCAGCAGCTGCGTGAGCCGTGGGGAGCCGAGCCCCCAGTCAAGAAAGCTGTGTGCTCCTTACCCTGCCTGCTGGGCTTGGGGCCTGCAGGGCAAGGGAGGCGGTGGGATGGGAGCCCCGCCTGGCCTGGTTTCTTGTTGTCGCCGCACTCCTAGCTGTATGTAGTCAGATGAGGCTCCCAGTCCTGGCTCTGCTGCTGAGCACCATTGGGCCGGTGGTTGGGTGAATCTCTCAGCCTCTCTGAGCCTCCAGCACTTCGTCCTTAAGAGTGGAACTGGTCTGGACCTCCCAAGGGGGGGTCACTGGGTGCAGAGTTCCTGCAAGGCTGGGCCCGGTGCCAGTAGCGGTCGCTCTGTGGGGCCTTTCGCACGGTTGATTTTTATCTCCCTGTGAGATTAGCGCCTGCCCTGCTCTGCCTCACGGCTCTGGCTCTCCGGGACTGAGACCACCTGCTAAGTGACAGGGGCGGAAGGACCTTGCAACACAGAGCAAGACGTGATAGGGTGGAGCTGCTCCGCCCAGGCCCCGCCTGCAGATGAGAGGGCCCAGAGCCTCTTAATCCCCTGCGCTCAGGGCATGTGACGGCAGGGAGTCTCTCCAGTGCCGCCCACCGGATTCCTATAGTTAGAGCTCCTCGCCCAAGCCCCCAGGGCACCTCACTGGCCTCCCAGGTGAGGACATGAGGCCCAGCGACTCTGGTGGTGGCTGGTGTCACCTATGGCAGGGCCGCGCGGGGCCCAGTGGAGGACGCCTGGCCCGGACCTGACTGCTCCGTGGGAACCGTGGGGCGTGCTCAGGGTGACTTGGTGCGGCTGGGCTGCCAGCCGGCCTGGCTGAGTCACTGGCAGTGAAGGCACCAGGTGGTGGACGTGCTCGGCAGCTGGCGGGAGAGTACCCCCACCCAGGACCGTGTTCAGGCTGAGGGGGAAGGGAGCGGCCCAGGCAGGCACCGCCCATGGCGGGGCCCCCGCACTAACGGCCACCTCTCCCGATGGACTGCAGTTCTGGAGCCGCCCCTGAGGAGAACGCCCTGCTCAGTGTCCTGGCAGACTCTGGACTCTTCACCGTGCCATCCTCGCTACAGCCTGGCCAGGCAGCCGCTCCCGTCCCCCCACCCCACAGACAGGAACTGCAGACTCCTAAAGGTCGAGCCAGCTCCCAAGTCCATAGCCAGAAAGTGATGCAGGCGGGGCCCGGCTGGGGGGCAGGTGTGACCGGGTCATGGGGGAGCGGGCTGTGCACAGGCATCAGGCTGAGAGGTCTCGGGGATACGTCCTGGGAGCCGCCTGCCAGGCGTCCTGTGGGGCTGCCTGCAGGCCTCCTCTGGCTTTGGCAGGTTCTGTCCCGACAGACCGAGGCTTGGGAAGACCGGATTGTGCACTCTCTGCCTGGAGAGAGGGTGGGGAGGGGCTGGGGCGTGTGGGCAGGGAGAACACCCTGGGAGGCATCAGTCCTCTTCCCTGGGGACGGGCCATGCGTCAACAGTCCCTCACTTCCTCTCTCAGGGGCAGAGGCGTGGGGGTCCCGAGCCTCCAGGTTGGAGTAGGTTAGGAGGGCCTCAGAGCCCCCTGCTGCCCCGCCATGTGGCATTGGAAGGGGTGTGACCCCCTAGGGGATCTGTTAACCACACTCCGCCCCATGCCGGCCTCTCTGTTCCCTCTAACCTGCGCAGGAGCAGGGCCAGCTCTGAGCTAGCAGAGGTGACATGAGGCTCGTCCTGGCCCCGCCCACCCTGGCCCCTCCCTGTTTCCCACCACGCTCCGCCCACCAGAGCTACATGTTGTGTTTGAGCCTCAGCCCCAGACCTGGCTCAGGTCCTCAGGAGGAAGCAGTGACAGCCAGGCCCGGGGTCCTCTCCCTGCTCTGCTCCCTGCGTGCTGACTGGAGGCTGCAGGTCCCCAGGCTTGGCCCTGACCCTCAGGAATGGAGCCGGCCGATGTGAGGTGGGGGCTCCGGTCATGTGCAGTGGTAGGAGAGGAGGCGGGACCGGTCCCACAGCTCCATTGCTGCCGAGGCGTTCCGCAGGTCTGTCTTCATATTGGTAAGGAAAATGCGAGGATGGTGTAGCCTGGGCATCCCAGTCCCCAAGTCCGAAATCTAAATCCAAGCGGAAAATTCCAGGCCTGACTTCATACGCCAGGTCACAGTCAGAAGCCAGAATTATTGAAAGTATGCTCTGGGCGTGGTGGCCTCACACCTGTAATCCCAGCACTTTGGGAGGCCATGGTGGGAGGATCACTTGAGGCCAGGAGTTTGAGAGCAGCCTGGGTAACATAGTGAGACCCCCGTCATTATTTACACAAAATTATGTGACTGCCTTTAGGGTATGTGTACGAGGTATATATTGAAATGTGAGTAGAATTTTGTGTTGAGTCCCATCCCCAAGATACCTCATTATGCGTGTGCAAATATTCCAAAATCCAGAAAATCCTAAACTGGAAATACTTCTGGCCCCTTTGGATGAGGGGCCCCCACTCTGCATAGCAAGTGTGGGCGCGGGTGCTGCTGTGTCCTAGCGTACTTCAGTGTGTGGCCTTTGCAGTGAATAGGGCTGGTGTCCTCACTGTACAGATGAGGAAACTGAGGCCCAGCTTGCTTTGCCAAGGTGCATCCGGCCCCGGCCATGGCTATTCTGGCTCCAGATCCCATGGTCTGCAGCCACAATACTGCTGTGCCCCGGACTGGGCCCTGCAGCTCGCGGTGTCGCTGGCCTGCCCATTGTGGGCACCGCCCCCACCCCAGACTGGCCGAGGCCTAGAAGGGAGCAGGGCCTGGCTGAGGCTGCAGGGGTGGGGACGGTCAGCCAGCCCCTCACTGCCAGGAAGGGCGCATCCATCCTGGCCTCTCCCCAGGGAGAAGGGAGGAGCGGCTGAGAGGGAAGCGCTCTTGCCCTGTGGACGAGCTCCTGCCCCACGGACTAGGGAGCCCCCGCCCACAACCTGCTTGTCAGGGCCACCCGGGACCCCCGGGAGTTCGGCTGCTCGCTCTGCTGTTAGGAATTGGATTAGTTTTCCATAAAAACAGGATGTGGTGGGTGAGAGGGCAGTGTGTCCGTCTTTCTCACTCCCCTTTTTCCAGGAACTGAGCACGCGCATAGGTTTTAGCCAGGGCCGTCCAGTCCCCTCCCCACCCCCCACAGGGAACAATCCACTCTCTGCTCTTAAGTGGCCACTTAATCAGCTTCTCCTCCTGGCCCGGGGAGCTTCTTGGAGCCGGCCTGCCGTGGTGGGAACAGCTATGGGGACACCCTGCCATAAGGTCCAGCAGCTAAGCTGGGATGTGGGGGGAGGGGCTGCGAGGCCCAGGCAGTGTGCCAGGCCGCACAAGAGGAGCCCAGCTCTTGCCCCACCAGCTGGCAGCCCTGGACCGAGGTTGGGCCCGTGAGGTTGGCTGGGCCCTGGGCCCTGGGCCCCCCTCCCCAGGACACGACTGTGGTGGCACATGGCTTTGGGGGCTCGTGGGTCCCACTTTGCAGACCTCTGCTTTAAGGGGTCTGGTCCACGGGGTCCCCTCTGGAGGGCCTGGGGGAAATCTCAGGGACCTGGGGTCTGGACCCGGGGGAGGGAGCGGGAGAAGCATGTGCGTGAGTCTCGTGCTGTCAGGGAGCCCGGGAAGTCTGCGAGGGCTTGGGGGTTGTGTCAGGGAGTGTGGGTTTTGCCCTTCAGTGGTGGAAGCTGGCTTGAGTCCCCTCGATCCCTCAAGGCTGTAGTCCTGACTCGGGGCTGTAGGGCAGGGCAGGGTGGGGTCACCCTGAGGCAGAAGGCTCAGCGGAGATGTTCTGGCTTGGCTCTGCCCCTCCCTGGCTGGGTGGCCTCACCCTGTGACCTTTGGGGACCCTGGTTCCTCTGAGCCAGGGGACAGCAGTGACTCCGCCTTCCTAGGTGGCTGAGGATGACATGGGCTCCCCCTGCAAATGTGGGTTCTGGCTCAGTGGCCAAGTGTATGATGGTATGTGGCTCTTGGGGTCCTGAGAGAGATGGGAGAGGAGCAGGGGTTTGTAGGGAAGCTGGCGGCTTCCACCCCAGCCAGTCACCTGCAGTGGGGGAGTTCCAAAGCTGACTGAAGCTTCGACCTTGTGGCTGGTCCCCTTCCTTCCTGCCTCAGTCATTCTGGTCTCTGGGGGATCAGGGCTGGGGGGCTCTGGGCTGTGGGGGCCTGTTTTTGTGACTTAAAGCTCTCCCAGCACAGCCCCCTGACCTCCTTCCTCATGGGCAGGACCTGGCCCAGGGGTCTCAGCACAGCCACAGGCCAGGGATGCCCTTGCAGATGGCCCTGGATGGAATTCCAGAACTCAGAAATGTCTCCTTCCCGTAAGGATGTCCCGAGACTCATGAGACCGTTTCCTTCTGGGAAGGGGGAGGAATGGGGAGATGAGTGAAGAGCGCACTGCAGCTCAATCCGGGAAGAAGCTAATCAATCAATCAGGGAAGCCAATCGATCGGAGAAGCTGATGGGAAAGCTGTGCTTGGTAGAATAGGCTCGTGCGGGCAGAGCAGTCGCGGCACTCACAGGCTGACTGTGAGGACCTTGGGTGTTACTTTGTGCTTCTCTGCATTTTAAAAACTTTTGAAAGTGGAGAAGAGGAAAGTGAATGTTCTCTGAGATTTCATGGAAAGGGGAAACTGAGGCCCACTCTAGCCAGTTTGGGCCCAGGGTTCCAACCTGGGGTGGCCCCGGCCCTCGTGGCCTGAGGTGATCGTCCCTGTGGCTCTGAGAGCAGCTGGGGCCGGGTCCCCGTTCTGGGGCTGGTGATCCTGGGGAAGAGCCAGGCAGTGCCCTGCCCACCTAGTGGTTATGAGCCCAGAATGTTGATTTTTTTCCCTTGGTTGCTTCATGACTTTGTTGAATTTCCAGAGTATGTGTGGGGGCCCCCGGCGTCCCACTCGCCCCAGCCCTGTGGCAGCAGAGCTGGCTGTCAAGCTCAGTCAGCTGGGCCCAGGGCCCCGGAGGTAGGTGGGTGTGTGCCTGAGCTTCCCCTTTGGGCCCTGCCAGGTGCTGGGAGGGACCACACAGGCGGCAGGAACTCGGGGTCCCCAGGCCTCGGCCACACCAGCCTGGTGCTTGTTATATATTGATATGTCTCTCTACCTGTGAAATGGGTATTTATTTTAAGGAGCTGACGCACGCGATTGTGGGGCTGTCACGTCTGAAGTTCGCAGGGCGCGCTGGCTGTCAAGAGCCGCTGTTGCAGTCTCGAGTCCAGGCTGTGCGCTCAGGCCGGGCTTCTCTGTGGCGGTCCTGGGAATTCCTCCTCCGGGCCCTTAGGCGACACTCCCCTGCCTTCAGCTGATTGGATGAGGCCCTCATGCCGTCTGCTGATTTAAATCAATCTCATTTTAAAAACACCTGCACACCAAATTGCGATTGGCGTTTGACTAAACTGGGCAGCGTGGCCCAGCAGCGCTGACACATGAATCAACCCTCACACCCCACCCGCAGGCGTGACCACGGCACCCACGCTGCCGACTGAGAACACAGCCGTGCGCTGACTCGCATGTGATGTCTCTGGTCGCACCTCCTCCATCCTCAGCACCCTGTTCAGAATGGAGATAGCGGCCGGGTGCAGTGCTCACACCTGTATCCCCAGCACCTTGGGAGGCCTGGGTGGGCGGGTCACCTGAGGTCAGGAGTTCGAGACCAGCCTGGCCAACATGGTGAAACCCCATCTCTACTGAAAATAGAAAAATTAGCCGGGTGTGGTGGCAGGTGTCTGTAGTCCCAGCTACTCGGGAGGCTGAGGCAGGAGAATCGCTTGAACCCAGGAGGTAGAGGTTGTAGTGCGCGAGATTGTGCCACTGCACTCCAGCCTGGGCGGGCGACAGAGTGAGACTCTGTCTCAAAAAAAAAAAAAAAAAAAATTAGAGATAACGACTTGGGCTCTCTAGAGACCAGGGAGCCAGGCTCCAGGCGCTGCTGTCCAGCCCCTTGCCAGCTATACGAGGTGCTCACCTGGCCACGTGTCCGGGCAGTGCTTCTGGGGTGGCATCCACTGGGAGGGCAAGATGGTTCTGGTACAGGTGCCCAATTCTGTCCCCATTTCACTTACTGGGAACTCAAGGCACAGAGAGGGGAGGGCTGAGCTAGGACCAGACCCCAGTCTCCTGCAGAAGTACACAGACATGATGTACGACCATCCTGGACACCTGCCCTGAGATTCCCCTCCCTCTCCTGCCCTGTCCCAGTGGCCTGGGGGGAAGGGGAAGCAAGGTTCTGAAGGGAGTGTGACCAGACACCTGCCCGTGACACCCCCTCTCCAGGCTGCCTCCGAGTGGCTGGTGACTCCCCTCCTGCCTGCGAGGGAGGTGGCCAGGTTGCATTCCTCTCTGAGTGCCGGGGAAGTCCCTAGAGAGCAGGCCAGCCTGTGACTGGGCCCTGGGGCAGTCTAGACAGGCCAGACTGGACAGGCCAGGGGGCTGGGTGCCGCTGGGTAAATCACAGGGTGAGGGCTCTGAGTCAGCACCCCATCTTCTGTCCTGGGTCCAGCACCGCTGAGGACACAGTGGGCAGCCGGGTCTGCCAGGGCCAGGTAGCTGTGTTGAGAAGGCAGTGCTCCTGAGAGGCGGCTACCGGGAGGTTTTCAATGGCCAGGCTTCTTAGGAAGCCCTTGTTGCCTCTCTGGGGTGAGTTGCTGGGGCCATGGTTGGAGTGGTCGCCAGTGTCTGCCCCTGGTGCCGAGGGCGGAGTCCTCGTTTTGGGAGGTCACGGCATGATGCTGGGAGTCAAAGGCAGGCCGTGGCAGGGGCATTCCTTTTTTCTTTCTTTTTTTTTTTTTTTTGAGACGGAGTTTCACTCTTGTCGCCCAGGCTGGAGTGCAGTGGTGCGATCCCAGCTCACTGGGATCCCAGGCTCCCAGGTTCAAGCGATTCTCCTGCCTCAGCCTCCCGAGTAGCTGGGATTACAGGTACGTGCCACCATGCCCGGCTAATTTTTGTATTTTTAGTAGCGACGGGGTTTCGTCATGTTGGCCAGGCTGGTCTCGAACTCCTGACCTCATGATCCACCCGCCTTAGCTTCCCAAAGTGTTGGCATTACAGGTGTGAGCCACCGCGCCCGGCCTGGCAGGGGAATGTCGACGCGTGATCTCTGCCTGGAGAGCACGTTCATGTTTCCCAGAGGACACTTTAGAACATGGCGCCTGGGTTTGGATGAACCTCAGCCTAAGAATCTACCTGCTCAGGATCCAGCGACGCTGGTGGTGTGGACTTCAGCTCTGGAGAATGGGTTATATGGAACCTGGGCGCCGGGAGGGCATTGCCACGTGCTTGCTGCTGGGGCTTCAAG
Organism: Homo sapiens; assembly: GCF_000001405.40. Lineage (NCBI taxonomy): Eukaryota > Metazoa > Chordata > Mammalia > Primates > Hominidae > Homo > Homo sapiens. The sequence continues at coordinate 88,764,245 of NC_000016.10, read as the reverse complement.
AGGACCCCATCTCCTGTGGCCGAGACCCCGTGTCTCAAGGCACATCCCCTTTCGTACCCCGCCCCACCCTCCGCAGCTTCATGACCTCTGGGTTTCCCCCAGGACCTTCGCATCTGATGTTCCCAGATCCTTCCTGCCACTGGGTCCTGCTCTGGTGCCCCCCGGGGAAGCCTTCCCTGAGGACCCAGCTCAGCATCTGGTGCTAACTGTGGCTCATCGTGCACTTTGGCCCCCAGGAGGCTGTGGGCTCCTGAAACCCCTCTGAACCACGGGCTTCCAACCACACCTGACCCCCTGCGTGCCGACCCTGTGTGCAGGTGTACAGGTGTGCCTGGGGCAGGATGGCTGTGACGGCCTCACAGAGCCCGGAGAGCTGCCTCCTAGCTTCCAAAGCCTTCATTTCAGGAATCTTACCCTCTCAATTAGTCTGGAATGCTGGGGGCGGGGCCAGCTCCAGGTCACAGAGCGACCTTGTTTACCCAGACCTTAACATCGGCCCTTCCATGCTAATCAATGTAATCATTGTGGTCCATGCGGCCTCTGGAATGTGCTGTCCACTCCCTGGGTCAGCCAGAGAGTGTCAGGGAGCACCTACCGGCTGTTACCCAGTGCTGCCCTGACCTGGTTCTTCACTCTGCACATTTGTATCACGCCAGACCCTGGCTGGCAGCTCCAGGTGACGAGGCATGTCAGTGCCTTCCTGTTCTGTTCTGTTTTGTTTTGTTTTTTAAATCGGGATGAGGCCTTCCTGTGTTGCCCAGGTTGGTCTTGAACTCTCAGGGTCAAGCGAACCTTCTGCCTTGGCCTCATAAACTGCTGGATTACAGGCAGGAGTCACCATACCTGGCCCACTGCTACTTTCTAGATGAAGAGACAGAATCCCAGAGAAGAAGCAGGGGTTTGGCTGCTGGTCTGGAGCCGGTTCTGCTCACCTCCAGCTTCTGCCTTGGGCCGCCCTGTTCACACAGGAGCTGCTCACAGGCTGAGACCTCGAGCAGGGCCCTCCTAGAGGAACTGGGCCCCCGTAAGTGCCCTGAGCCGCCAGGAGCCGGCCCTGCGTCTCATCCCTATCTCCGGAGGACATTGGCTGCTAGCTCACCAGCTGGCCCCTGGGCAGGCTTGAATCATGACCTGGAACGCCAGGTGTCTCTGGCTCTACCCCTGGACCTGCACCCTGTCCAAGTGCCCCAGGGCCAGACTGTTTTGGTTGCACCCTCTGGACGGGCTACCCCCATGATGGCTGCTCATGGAAAGCTGTGGTTCTTAGGGAGCTGCCAATTCCTAGTCCTGCAGCCTGGAGCTCCTGGGTATAAGGTGGGGGCTCGGGCGTATTGGGGACTGGGGGTCTCAGGAAAGAGCCTGTGGGACCTGTGAACTCATAGCTGCTGGCCGAGGGACCACCTTGTGGCTGTCCTTCTCAGCTAGGCCTGGTCAGGGCTTGTGTGCAGGGCGGCTGAAGCTGTGGGAGGCCACACTGTCCACACAGTGCCCTGTAAGCCCACCGTGCCTCAGTTTCCCCGTCTGACAAGTGGCACAACAGAAGCCACTTCCTGGCACACAGCTCAGGGTCAGGGCCGACACAGCACTTGTGGGCTGCCGGGAGACCCGAGAGGCTGCCCCTTCCTTGCCTTGGCTGCCACGGGTGACCTGGCAAACCCCTCTGGCCGTGGCACCACTGGGGGTCTACCCTTGGCAGTCAGGGTTGGCCGCTTGGCTGGGAGCCCCTTCTCCTCCCCAGACACATCCTCTCCTTGGGGCTGGAGGGGGTCCTGCCGTCCCCGGGATTGTCGAGCAGCAGGAATCCAGGAGGGCAGTGCCTGCAGCTCAGATGGGGGCCAGTGGGCAGGGCCGATCCAAGGGTGGCAGGAAAGTGCCCATCACTGACCTCAGGTGGGGGAGGCCATGGTGTGTGAAGGAAGGAGAGCTGAGTGGGAGGTCTTACTTTGTCACCGCCCCTCTGAGTGCCTGCTGTGTGCAAAGGCCAGCGGGGGCCCTTTCTTCAGCTGGGCTCTGCCCAGACCCCTGAGCTCTGGGTGGGCCGGGAGGGAGACCTTGCTGCTCACAGAGGTGGCTCTGCCTGACCCAGCTCCCTTCCCAGGGCACAGTGGGGGCATAGGGTCGGCTCCGTCAGACATTCCGGGACCTGCGTCCTTCCTGGGGCCACACCCTCTACCCACTGTCCCCCACCTATTTACCTGTATCTGCGCCAGAGATGGCTGCCCAGATAAGCCCTGGTTTCCTCCCTTTCTGGAGAGGCTGCGGGGGCTGGCGAGGAACCCACCTGCGCAGAGAGTCAGGGGATTGCTCTGTGTGGAACGCAGGCCTCACCCATGCCCTGGAATCTGTCCCCTTCTCTGTTGCTGAGGGATGAGTCCCAGATCCCTGACCCTGCAGGGGAGCCCAGCACAGAAAAACTCTGAGGCCTCCACACCCTGGCAGCGCTGCTGGTCGTCTGTGGGGAAGGACAGGCCCTGGGAGGGAGGGGGAGGTGCGGAGGGCAGTGGGGAGGGTCAGGAGGAAGTGGGGGAAGGGCCACCCAGGCCCCGATGTGGGGGATGTCTCACGCGTGGGGTGGGGCATTCTCATCTCTGCTTGGTCTCCTGCCATGCTGGGGGTCGTTCACTGCGGACCCCAAGTACCATGAAGATGGGGATGGGATGCTGAGCAGCATCGGGGAGAACGCAAAGGCACCTCCCAGCTCACCCGCCCCCACCCCGCAAGCACAACCATTGCCATGGTGTGGGGACCGGAAGGCGGCGGCTTTGGGACCAGACTGCTTCTGCCTCGGGCCGTGCCGCTGGGCCTTTGGTCAGCACCATCGTGCCCTGCAAGTCACTCTTAGCCTGGTGCCCTCCTGGGCAGGGCAGTGCCACAAGAGCTCAGGCCCAGATGTGCAGGTGCCACTGTTCCACCCACCAGCAGGTCACCTGGGGAACCCTCCCCTCCTGCAGCCTCTGTGTGCTCATCTGTGAAATGGGCGTGGTGGAGTCACCCCTGGCTTGTGGGAGAATCCCAGGGGCTGATGCCTGCAGGACCCTGTGGGCTTTGCCCCGCTCCCTGGGCAGAGACAGTTCCCCCAGTCCCACCCACGTGGCTGTGTGCAGCAGGTGCCTGCTGACCCTCTGTTCCTGCACAGTCACCTTCTTCACAGACGGACCCCCACCCTGCCCTGCAAACCCCTCCAGGGGCTGCGGGCTGAGTGTGTCCGGGAGGGTGTCCTGACTCTCCACGCCAGCAGGTCTGAGAGCAGATGGCTGTGGCAGGTGCGGTGGGTGCCCAGCCCACAGCAGCCACCAGGCCTGCAGGACCCTGCCCCGTGTAGGTCAGATGAGCCATAAAACTGAGTTTCCTGGACACTGAGCTAATTAAACCTGGACACCGAGCTAATTAAATGGTCCAGAAGCTCCTCAGTGCCCCAGGCTGCTGGCCGGGCTCCAAGTAGGTGAGGAACATTCCGTTTACCTCCTGCTGCGTCGAAGGCGGGTGGCTCCCCTCGGGCCCCTGCCTGTCCCGGGCCCCCTGGGTGCTGCTGCGTCAAAGGCGGGTGTCTCCGCTTGGGACCCTGCCTGTCCTGGGCTTCCTGGGTGCTGCTGCCTCGAAGACGGGTGGCTCCCCTCGGGCCCCTGCCTGTCCTGGGCTCCCTGGGTCCTGCTGCCTTAAAGGCGGGTCGTTCCCCTCGGATCCCTGCCTGTCTTGAGCTCCCTGGGTGCTGCCTGCCCTGTGGCCACGTCCCACTGTTGCCTTTGGACAAAGCTCTCCTAGGGCCTGGGGTTCTCCCATGAGATGACAGGGGTTGGTTCAAAGGTCTCTGAGGTTTTTAGAGCTTTGTGAAGTGTTCTAGAATCCATTTTCTCTCTCATTGCTGGACAGAGAGTATAGACTGGGCTTTTTCTTGAGTTTCTCTCAACTCTTCTTTGTCCATGAGGCAGGAAGAGGGGCTTCCTCAGTCCTCAGCTTGGGGTGGATTGGGATGGACAGAGAACCGTGCAGGATCCCAGCCTGAGACGGTCCAGCGCCCCGGGGGAGCGGAGCCCGTGGCTCAGCCGTCTGTAGCCACGGCCGGGGTCACTGTCACTGAGGGCACGGAGGCCCCGCCGGCGAGGTCCGAGGTGGGCGTGTGGGGTGGTGGGCGCTGGAGGCAGGACCTCTGCTTGTGGAGGGTGGGCCAGGCGTGGACCAGGTGTCACGTCCGCTGGGGCCTTTGAGGGGCAGGTGGGGATTGGCGCGGAGAAGGAGTGAAGCAGCTGGGGTTTTGGGAGCCTGTGCGGAGCAGGCCCGGATGCCAGGGTGGCTGGTGAAGGTGGGCCTGGCCGGGCTCGGCCTCCATTGGGGGAGCCCCCCAGGTCCCCTCCCCACACAGCTTCCCCCTCTGTCTGCTGTCCAAGGCTCCTGTGCTGGCACTCTGGGGTGGTAGGCCATGCAGCCCGTGTGAACCTCCATAGACCTTGCTGTGAACGCTGCACGGGGCGTCTGGGGGCGGGCTGGCTTCCCCCCGTCCCCTGGGCCAACCTTGCCAGCCTTCTTCTTCCATAAAAGTGGGATCCGTCTGAGCCCTCATGGCCCCTCTGGGTCTGGGTTTGCTTTTTGTGCTCTGCCTGGGGTCATGGCAGGGAAGGCCCAGCAGGCTCCCTTGCAGAGCAGGGCAGAGCAGCGGCCGCCAGGAGCTGCCTGTACCACGTCTGCTCTTCTTCCTCTCTTCCTCTGCCCGGCCCCGCCCACCGTCGAAAGCACTAGCACGGGAGTGTTTATCGGTTTCTCTTCCAAGCCAAATAAGGCAGAGAGCGCTCTTGCAGGAGTTGGAGCAGGCCAGGGGGAGGGCAGCTGGGGCTTGGACCAGGACCCCGGCTCCCTGTAGCTGCCCTGGCCTGGCAGCTGTCATCCGCGAACTCTGATCCTCGCCTGCCCTCACCCGGCCCCTTTCAGAGCTTCCCATGCTCAGCTGGTAGCAAAAGAAGTCAAGACCTAGCAAGGTGCCTGCCCCGGCCAGGAGGCCCAGGTTCTAGCCCTGCAGCTGCCGCTGTGAGCTCTGGGGACTCAGACGACTGATGTCCTTCCCAGCTTCTGTTTCCTTTGATGAGAGGAAGGTTGGACCAAGCGACCTGCCCTGCTTCTGTCTGTTTCCTCCAGTCCTTTTCCTTTTTGACCAGTTCACTTGTTGATAACTCCAGCAACGCATGAAAACATTCCCCTTGTAAAAAAGGGAAATGCCGTGGGTAGGGGGGACCAAGGACCTCTTCTGCAGGAGCAGACGCAACAGCTTGGTGTGGATCTTCCTCAGCCTTTTTGTCCATCCTAGACATGTGGAATTTCAGTTTTACACAAAAGGAATGGTAGGCGTCTGACTCTCTGTGGCTTGTATCACTTGGCAGTGCCACAGGGATTGGTGCATGTTTGCTCTCTCATGCTATGTGTCAGGCACTGTTGTCTCTGCGACAATCCTGTGAGGAGGGAGTTATGGTTCTTGATTTATAGACGAACAAACTAAGACAGAGGAGATTGGGCTCATCTGTGGTCATCTCAGCAGTTGTGAGAGGTCAGGGCCAGAGCCCAGTGGTGTCATTCTGCAGGGCACATACAGACACGACCCACAGGGTTCTGCCGCACCCCCTGCCGCTTGGCCTGCTCTGCAGGTGGGTGCCGAGGCTGTTCCTGCATCTGCTGTGTCTTGTGAGTCCGTGGGTGCCTGTGGAGTGGGGGCAGTGGGTTTGCATTTCCAAGCACTGCCTCTGTCATAGGCTCAGGGAGAAGCAGTTACGCATGAGCTGCTATGAGCCACGGGTATGACTGGCATCACAGCAGGAGGAGCCCTGGGGATGGCTGAGTGACGATGGGTGGGGACAGAGCTCACAGAAGCCAGGGTTGCCCCCAGGCCAGGCCACTGCTGGGGCCAAGGCTGGGATGCAGCACGATGTTGGTCTGTCAGGGAGTGGCAGGAAGCCCACAGGGTCAGCTGACACTTAACCCAGAGTGGTGGGAGCCTTGAATGCCAGACTGAGGGCCACACAGTTGGTCTCGGTGCACAAGGACTTGGGCTGAGAGGGCTGTTGCTCCTCAATGGCCATCTCCTTGTGGGAGGAGAGTCCGGGCAGCCGCTTCCAGGAACCCACCCATGCTTGAAATAGTGGGACCACAGGGCTGAGGAGGCTCCTGGGGATTCCTCCCAGGATTCAGCTGCTCTGTCCCCAACCCCGGAGGGCCTATTCGTCTAGCCCTATATCCTCTCTGCCAGTTAGGTCAGGGCAGAGAAGTAGAGGCACAGAGGGTGGCGGAGGGGTGTCCAGCCAGGCCTTTCTGTGGCACCTTCTGAGGCTGGCTGGAGTCTGTGAAATCTGTGATAACTGGCCCAGACCCTTCCTGCCTCCTGGGGCATCTGCTGGAGCTGAGGCTGCTGGGGGAGTCTGCCTGTGACTTGAGTCTCTTGCTGGGCCATGCTGGGCTCAGTTCGCCTGTCTGTGGGGTGGGATGGTGCCACCCTTAGGTTGTTGGGAGGACCCAAGGAGAGTGATGCCTCCAGCCATGGCAGCTGGCCCAGCTCCGGCCCGCAGCCTGGCTCCTTCAGGGCCAGGAACCCCCAGGTCATGGACTCCAACCCTCGGGCTCTCCTGCTTCCCAGGTGACGAAGCTTCAACCCATGGGCTCTCCTTCCTGGGTGTGGAAGCCCTGGAGAAGGTGGAGATGGGATCTCAGTCCAGCCCATTGGCTCCACTTCCTTTGAGAAGCTCTTTCCCCCGTCTTGGCCCCCAGCCCTTGTTCAAGCACCTGTCCCTCTCCTGTCTCCTAGGCCCCGTCAGTCCTTTTGGAGACCTGTTCCCACCCGCCCCTGCTCTCACAGGCTGCCAGTGTCCACACACTCTCAGGCACTGTCATTGGAGCCTTTTAACCACACGGGAAAGCAGGCAGGTTAGGTAACTACCCCCCACCCCCCCGCCAGCAACGCCCCCTGCATACCCAGGGCCTGCACCAGGTGCTGCTGCGCTGCCAGCTCTCTCGAGGTCCCTCCTCCTAACCTCAATGCATCGCGTCTTCCAGCCCCCGGCTCCGAGGGCTCAGCCTCCAGGTGGTCTAACCTGGAGTCTAAACCTGGATTGCCATCTGCCTGCCTCAGCCCTTCCCTTCCCCAGGGACCGAGGGCCAGTGCGGCTCCCCAGCCACCCATTTTTTGTTTGTTTTGAGACGGAGTCTCGCTCTGTCGCCCAGGCTGGAGTGCAGTGTCCTGATCTCGGCTCACTGCAAGCTCCATCTCCTGGGTTCACGCCATTCTCCTGCCTCAGCCCCCCAAGTAGCTGGGACTACAGGTGCCCGCCACCACACCCGGCTACTTTTTTGTATTTTTAGTAGAGACAGGGTTTCACCATGTTGGCCAGGATGGTCTCGATCTCCTGACCTTCTGATCTGCCCGCCTCGGCCTCCCAAAGTGCTGGGATTACAGGCATGAGCCACTGCACCTGGCTTGTTTGTTTTTATTTTTATTGTTTTTTGAGACGGAATCTTGCTCTATTGCCCAGGCTGGAGTGCAGTGACATAATCTCAGCTCACTGCAACCTCCACCTCCCAGGTTCAAGCGATTCTCTTGCCTCAGCCTCCCAAGTAGCTGGGACTACAGGCACCCACCACCACACCCAGATACATTTTGTATTTTTAGTAGAGATGGGGTTTCACCATGTTGGCCAGGCTGGTTTCGAACTCCTGACCATGAGATGGCGGGCTTGAGCCATCTTCCCGCCTCGGCCTCCCAAAGTGCTGGGATTACAGGCGTGAGCCACGGTGCCCGGCCCCAGCCACCAGTTTTGTACAGCACTCAGGTGGGTGTGGTTCCTGAGGACATGTCACACGAGATCCTTCCGGTCCATTAGCCCACCCCGCCCCATCAGTGGCCAGTGCGGCCATTGTGGGGTCCAGAGTCCCGAGGCAGAACGACTGACTCCAGGTTGTGGAGGGGCCTCTTAGGATCCTTCTAGGCACCCAGGTTGGGCAGGTGCCTCCATGCCTAAGACTGAGCTCCTGGTGGACATCGGGCTGGGTGTGGGCGTCCTGCACACCCTCCCTGTGGCCTGGTGCCCGTGAGGAGTGGACAGTCACCCCGAGAGCATAGACCACCCTCGAGGCTCCCAGATGGCGGCCGCAGAGCCCCACTTCCCTGCCTGGTGTGTGATACCTTCCATGGCTGAGGACACCTCTGACTGCTCACTCCTGTGACCCTGGACCCAAGTGCTGGGCCACACCTGGACTCCAGGCCCCAGTCCTTCCTTCTTCTGCTGTCCTGGCTCCTGGGTGGCCCCCGCCCTCCCCGCTCCGAGGCTCTGCCCTGTGCTGGGAACCCAGGAATTGCCACCCCCTGGCCCCGGTTTCTCATGTCAGGATCTGCTGGCCAGGTTGACTCCTGAGCGCCACTGTCTCCTCAGACTTGCTGGTCCCACCCGGTCCCCACCTGTCCACCGCCCGAGGCTCTCCTGTGAGGCCGCTCTGCAGCTCTTGGCCTGGGGGCCCCCGGCCTCTCATGGTGCCTTCTGCACTGTCCCCTTTGGAGATGGGAGCTTTGAGGGTAGGCGCCACCGTTCGGTGAAAAGGCGGTATAAGCAAAGCAACCCCCAGATACTGAAGGAGCCGGGAAATAAAAGGAGGCAGACAGAGCAAGTGTGTTGGTACCCGCCTATTTACTGGCAGGAACTTACAGACGGAAACATGGCCTCAGGCAGCCTCCAGGCAGGTAGAGCTCTGAACCCAAACGCCCGATCTGGGGCTCGTATCGTGCCCTGGGAGGAATGTGCAGGTGGCTGGGAACGTGGCGGGTGGGGTGGCCAGATTCCTGCTGCAGCACCGGGTTTGTTTAGGAAGAAACGTACGAGGACTAGACACTCTTTTTTTTCTTTCCTGCACGTGAATGCCAGGGAGTAGGTGCTCCTGCAGGAAGATGATGCATCAACCAGCCAGTCTGGAGGCATTCCGAGACCCGGGGTTAATCAGCAGATTAGCATTTAAATAAAGTTACTCTGTCCCCACAGCCAGCTAGGCCCGAGCCACATGGCGGGGGCGGCGGGGGCGGCTGTTCGCCGCATCCCAGGCTTGCTCCATCTCCTCGTCTGCAATGTGGAGGTGACAGTCGTGGTCCTCGGCTAGTGCCACAGGACTGTACGGGACAGATCACCCAGCCCCGTGCCTGCACTGGGGGCGGCGGTGACGTGATGGCCGCGGCGGTGACCTGATGGCCGCAGGTGTGTCCACCCTCTGGTTAGGCCTCTCCTCTCCCTGGGGCGCAACAGGTGTCCTCGGGTGGGAGGTTCAGCTGCTGGGCCTGGGGCCCCAGCTTTCAGCTCCTGTGCAGGCGTGGAGCGGGACGGCACGCCGGGGCGTTCGTTCACACGATGCCCCCAGCTCGTCTCTGCCTGCTCTGTGATGCAGCCTCAGCTCCTGTGGGTCCCGGGTCACCCACCCGTGTGGGCCGCAGTCTTTCTGCACCACGTCCTGCTCTCGGCCAGCGCTGGCCTGCGGGCCCCGGCAGTGTGGGGTCACACACAGGCCGCACCGGCTGTTTCACGGAGCCCCCCTGCTCAAAATCCTGGCCTTGGGTCTCTGTGTGGCTCCTGGAGGGAGCATGTATGAGGTGTCCAGGTTGTGAAAGCCCCATCCGGCAGCCCTCCCTGTGACAGTCCTTCAGGCCTCGTCAGGCTTGGTTCAGCCCGTGTTAGAGGAGGCCAGACAGCTCCTCCTCGATCACCACAGGGAACGAGGGTTGGGCAGTTTCTCCTCTCCCACCCGGGCGTGGGTCAGCTGCAAGGGTCTCATCCCAGGAACTGGATCCTGGCAGGGGGGCTCAGGCATCTGACATCCCCTGGCAGGTCTTCCTATGTGCCAGTGGGAGTGGGTGGTGTCCAGCCCTCTTTGTGGAATGTTCCGGTTGAGTGGTGTGTGGTCCTGGTTACCACCATGTGGCATTTGTGGCTTTCCTGGCCAGCACCCACTGAAAGCAGAGGCCAGCCCAGCCCTTGGACACCCAGGGGCCCAGCAGCTACCGTGGGGGCAGCCTCTCCCCTCCTGACTGTGCTCCTCTCAGCTGTAGGATGAAGGTCTGTGGATGGGTGATGGCTGGGCTCTCTGCTTCCCAAGGAGCTGGATGTGGGCCATAGTCAGGCGTGTGCTGGTGAGGCGAGGGGGTTGGGGGTTGGGAACCACAGCTCTCTCTGACCCCATCCCATTGCAGCTGACTCAGGAAAAGGCATTACCCCCACGGGGTCACAGGCCCAGCCTGGGCAGCTCCTGATGGGAACATGGGAGCCACAGGGCAGGGCAGGCTCCTGTCCCCGCTCCTTGGATTGTCTCAGGCCCCGCCTCCCCTTTGGCTGAATTTCTTCCTTCTCTGCCTGAGCCTGATCTGCGAAGCTTCCGACCTGCCCTGAGTTGGAGCCAGTCTTCAGGGCCAAAAGCAATGCCGTCTCCTCCAGGCAGCCTGCTCTGAAGTCTCCCCCTCTGGCTTTAGCCCACAAAGTCACAGCTGAGGCCACATCAACACACTTAGACCAAGAGCACTGCCGGCTGCATAGACAGCACAGGTAGATCCAAGGAGTGTTTCGAAAAGCCGTGGCCCTGCGGCCGGGATGCCCGGACCTGGGTCCTGACCACTCTTGGGAGCTCCTCCCCTCTCAGAGCCCATCCCATCTGAAAATGGGGGCATTGGAGCATTGGAGGAGTGCTCCTCACTCCTGCCCTGCTAGCCGGCTACTCCGAGGACCCCAAGACCAGATGATGGGAGAAGTGGTGGGCTGGGCTGTGACCCTGAGCCCCCTTCTCATCCCACCCGTGAGGCTGCCCCTGCTTGGTGTCTGTGGCAAGGCTGACAGAAGATGGCGCCAGGGACCAGCCAGGGCCCTCCTGTCTCAGCCCGTCCTTGGGTGAGTGGGTGTGCTCTGGGGGTGGCAGGTGTGCTCCGGGGGCGGGAGGTGTGCTGCGGGGGGCCGGGTACGCTCTGGGGGGGCGGGTGAGCTCTGGGGGGCTGGGTGCGCTCTGGGGGGGCTGGTGTGCTCTGGGGATGGACAGGTGTGCTCTGGGGGGCGGGGTGTGCTCTGGGGATGGATAGGTGTGCTCTGGGGGGGCGGTTGTGCTCTGGGGGGGCAGGGGTGCTCCGGGGGTGAGTGTGCTCTGGGGGGCGGTGGGTGTGCTCTGGGGGCGGTGGGTGGGCTTTGGGCTAAGTAGCCCTCTTCCTCTCTGAGCCTTTTCCTTGTCTGTGTTGTTGGTGAGTGGCCGCCACCTGGGACAAGCCTTAGCTGTCTGTCCAACTGTCCACCATGTCCCCGGACCCTAGACCAAGCCCGCTGCCTGGTGGGGCCTGCTTGGTATTGAATGAATGAATGAATGGATGAATGGATGAATGGATGAATGAATGAGTGAACAAACTCTGGGGGGCGTGTTGCTGATCACCCCAGGGCAGGCCCGTGGTGGGTCATGGTCTCAGGCAGGGGACTTGCCCTGCCGGGTGACGTTGGCCTGCCGGGGAACCCCTGCCAAGGTGCCTCCCATGCCCCCATCGTCCTCTGCCTTTGAGTCCACTCTGCCCCTCAAGGTTCCCCTCTGGCTCGGCCAGGGGCAGGGCGGTCAGGGAGGCCTCCAGCTCCAGCCCCTCCCTCATCTCCATCCTCAGCCCCTGCACCCGCCTCATCTCCAGCCCCAGCCCCTTGCAGCCTCAGGCTCGGGCTTCTGAGAATCCTTTGCAGATTTCAGGGCTGGTTATTTTTTTATTCTGGCAAAATATACATCCATAAAGCTTTGTTTCCTGAGATGATCTCACCCTGTCGCCCAGGCTGGAGTGCGGCAGCGTGATCATGGCTCACTGCGGCCTCAGCCTCCTGGGCTCAAGTGATCCTCCTGCTCCAGCCTCCTGAGTAGCTGGGACCACAGGCATGCACCATCATCCCCGGCTAATTTTTGAATTTTTTTGTAGAGATGGGGTCTCTGTGTTGCCTGGTCTGGTCTCGAACTCCTGGGCTCAAGTGATCCGCCTGCCTTGGCCTCCCAAAGTGCTGGGATTACAGGCCTCAGCCACCACACCCGGCCTAAAGTTTGTCACGTTAGCCGCATTGAAGGGCACAGGTCAGCAGCGGTAAGCATGTTCGCATTGTTGTGCAGCCATCACTGACACCCATCTCTAGAACTTCTTCGTTTTCCCAAAGGAAACTGCACGCACGGCACCACCTCCCTGGCCTCCCCACAGCCTCAGGGTCTGGTGACCTTCATCCCCAGGACCTACGCTTCTGACTCCAGGAGCCCTGCCTGGTGTCCACACCACACTAAGGTGCCCTGCCACGGGCTTCGAACCCAACCCTGGTGCACTTGTTGAGCATTGGACGTTCCTGGCAGGTCAGACCGTGAGCTCCTCTGCTCTGACGGATGCATGGACGGCTGCCACCTGGCTGGACAGGTGCAGAGGGGAGGTGCCACCTTCTCTGGGGACAGGACTGGGGCAGAACTCACCCGGCTGAAAAGTGCAGCTGTGGAGAACTTCAGAACTTCAGAAGCCTTTGCTGTGAATGCATTTTCCTCCTGCCTCTTGGGCCAGATCTTAGGGATTTTTTTTTTTTTTAATGAAAATGTATAATCGTCAAAAAACTTTAGATTTAAAAGCATGGAGCCGATGGCTATGCTTGGTGCGTTAATGGGAGGAAGAGGGGATCTTAACTTCAGGGAGGGCTCCTGGGGGAGCTGGGGGAGGCTGCTGTGTCCAGCAGGGCGGGCGGTGCCCCCCGGAGCCCGGCACTCCGCGATGTGTGCGCTAAGCCGAGGCCGCCTTGAGCCCGTAGCAGCGCCGAGCGCGATTCTTTCGTGTCTGCTTCCGGGAGGGTGGAAGGGTGAAGCTGTTGAGAGTGGGAAGGGAGGGGCTGTGCTTCTTGAGTTTGCCGTGTGCCCCTGACCCTTTCAGGTGCAAGCGTCAGCTCCACGGTGCCAATGGGGAGATGGGTCTGGAGGCCCCACCAGGCTGTGAAAGGCCCGGCCTCCTGTGCTGTCCGTGGAGGTCGGGGTCTCCCTCTGCCCTGCGCCTCCTCTAACTTGCCCTGCGTTTTCCGTGCCCCTGGTCTAGGGTGAGGCTCGGGTCTTGGGGACTGAGGGGCAGGTGGGTGTCAAGGTGAGAGCTGGGCTGGGCTGGGCCTCCCTCCAGAAGACTTCCCGGGGCTCCTTTGGCACCAAGGATGGGGCAGATGGTGGCACGCATGGCCTCCCCTGGGCACAGAGCCAGACTATGGAGGGATCTCGTTGGCTACATCCTGGCTGGGGCTTTGGGGTCATGGTGGGAGCAGCAGCCAGGGGTCTCGCTTGGACACGGGTCTGAGCTCACTGTGGCCTCCTTCCTCAGCCTCCTGACCGGGGTCCTGAGGCTGGAGGGTGGGTGGAGGGTGGAGGGTGGGTGGATAGTGGGCTGGAGGATGGGCTGCTGGCGCCCCTTAGGCAGCATGAGGCGCCTTTCCAGTCCCAGTGTCCTCCCTGGTAGCCCCGGAAAGGCTGAGTGGTCCCTCAGGTCCCCTGCGAGGAGACGACATCAGGCCCCACCCCTCATCTCCTGACAAACCTCACATTCCTAGGAGGAAGCAGGCCTGGCTAGCACGTGGCAGGCACAGCCTCCCTGACTCCAGACCTTATCAGATCAGTGCAAGTGCCAGGGAGACCCCGGGTGGGAGCTGTGTGGTTGGGACTGATGCAGGCACTGGCCGGACTCTCAGGATGAGGGTGGGAGGCCAGGCCCCGGGACCTTCTGGGACAGGCAGGAGGGCAGACACGGGACATGGTGTGGGGGCTGTGGCGAGTGCGGCCACGCAGAGCATTTGGGCTGAAGGCGCGCTGTGTCCCACTGCCCCATACGTGTGCGGGGGCTCCCAGACACGTGCTGGGGGCAGGAATCATAGCATTTTTTTGTTTGATTGTTTTTTGAGATGGAGTCTCGCTCTGTCGCCCAGGCTGGAGTGCAGTGGCTCAATCTCGGCTCACTGCAACCTCCACCTCCCGGGTTCAAGCGATTCTCCTGCCTCAGCCTCCTGAGTAGCTGGAATTACAGGTGCCCGCCACCACACCCAGCTAATTTTTGTATTTTTTTGTCAAGACAGGGATTCACCATATTGGCCAGGCTGGTCTTGAACTCCTGACCTCAGGTGATCCTCCTGCTGCAGCCTCCCAAACTGCTGGGATTACAGGCGTGAGCCACCACACCCAGCCAAGAATAGCATTTTCTTTCTTTCTCTTTTTGAGGCGGAGTCTTGCTCTGTTGCCCAGGCTGGAGTGCAGTGGTGCCATCTCAGTGTAACCTCCGCCTCCCGGTTTCAAGCAATTCTTCTGCCTCAGCCTCCCGAGTAGCTGGGATTACAGGTGCCCGCCACCATGCCCGGCTAATTTTTGTATTTTCGGTGGAGACAGGGTTTCACCACGTTGGCCAGGCTGGTCTTGAACTCCTGACCTCAAGTGATCCGCCCGCCTTGGCCTCCCAAAGTGCTGGGATGACAGGTGTGAACCACTGCACCCAGCCCAAGAATAGCATTTTTAAAGGAAAAAAAGCAAGGTAGAAAGATGGGTCAAAACCCCAGCGCCCCGCTGGGAGGCTGGTGCCCGTGTCGTGGCGTGTGTGAGATATGTACGGAAGCGCGAGGCGGCTTCCACGGCTCTGGCTCAGGGCAGCACTCACAGGGCACACGGCCTCGGCGGTGTGACGAGCTGGGCCGTGGGTGCGCTGTCCTCTGGGGTGGGGCTGGCCATCCTCTGTTGGCGACCTAGTTAACGCCCATCTCCCCGCAGCCTGCCTGCTCCGCTTCAGCGGACTCTCGCTGGTCTACCTGCTCTTCCTGCTGCTGCTGCCCTGGTTCCCCGGCCCCACCCGATGCGGCCTCCAAGGTAAGGCCAGGGGACCCTGCCCACGCTCTCAGGGTGGGAGGGGGTGGGCATTCGTTTGGGGCCAAAATTCGTACAGCTTTCCTCACCTTTAACAGCCCGGGGTGGAAGATGAGGGGTCCCGAAATAAAATTTTTTTTTTTTTTTGAGACGGAGTCTCGCTCAGTCGCCCAGGCTGGAGTGCAGTGGCGCGATCTCTGCTCACTGCAGGCTTCGCCTCCCAGGTTCACGCCATTCTCCTGCCTCAGCCTCCCGGGTAGCTGGGACTACAGGCGCCCGCCACCACGCCTGGCTTATTTTTTTTTGTATTTTTAGTAGAGACGGGGTTTCACCGTGATAGCCAGGATGGTCTCGATCTCCTGACCTTGTGATCCGCCCGCCTCGGCCTCCCAAAGTGCTGGGATTACAGACGTGAGCCACCGCGCCCGGCTTTTTTTTTTTTTTTTTTTTTTTTGAGACCGAGTCTCGCTCTATCTCCCAGGCTGGAGTGCAGTGGCACAATCTTGGCTCACTGCAACCTCCGCATCCCAGGTTCAAGTAATCCTCGCATCCCAGCCTCCCAAGTAGCTGCAATTACAGGTGTGAGCCACCACGCCCAGCCATCAAAGTTTCTTATTTTCATTGTAGACCCCAAGCTAAGCTCAGAATCTTTTCTGATCCGTGTTGCAGGGGCTGTGAGGGGCGAGGAGGGTCATGGGGGTGGAGTCTCTGTGTCCCTTGGGAGGCCACAGGGAGTGGATGGGCCCCAACTGCCCACTCTCTGCAGGCTCCAGGCACGTTTCCTGCCTGCTGAGGCTCTGGCAGCCTGGGAGTTCCAGCCGCCTGGACCGCCCTCCCGCTGCCCGCTGTGGGGTTGGACCTCAGTTGACTTTGATCCACTTGTGCGGGGGGGGGGGGGAGCTGAGACCCCCCTTGGGAACCACCTTGGGGTCTGAGCTGGGCCAGGACTGTGTTGCTCTCCCGTATCCTCCAAACAGAGGGCGGTGAGGCCACGTGCCAAGCCTGCAGCCTGGGTGACGAGGGTAGCAGCAAACCCTCCATCCTGTGACATGTCACCTACCTGCCCTGTGGGGGCCATGTCCATTTTGTGCCCACGTTTTAGGAGAGCGCGTTTTGGAGCAAACACTCAGAGACCTGTCCCCAAAGGCCATGGGCCAAACGTGGGTGGGGCCGGGCCCTCCGCTGGTCTTTGGGTTTGGAGGGTGAAGAGCCACTGAAAGGAAGGAAGGTCCCCAGGGAGGGCAAGTGTAGGCAGCAAGAGACCTTCCCCAGCAGAGGGCAGAGAGGAGGCCAAGCAGGACCAGGGGGCGTGACTGTGGAGACAGGCTCTTGGGTGCCGCCCTTCTGGGAGGTGCTGGACGCATCAGGCTGGCAGCGTCGGGGCCTGTCCATGGCTACGAGGTGTCCACCGGGCTGCGTTTTTCCAGGGGACTCTGGGGAGGATCTGCTTCCTCTTCCAGCTGCTCCAGGTGCCTACCTTCCTGGGCTTGGGGCCCCTCCCTCCATCTCCAGAGCCGGTGGGGTGGGGTCAGGATCACACCCTGTCTCTCCTGCTCCCTCTCCCCTGCGGTAACCCTGTGGCTTCGTCCCATCTGCCTCCCCGGCTAATCCAGGCCGACTTCCCTGGTTTAAGGTCAGCTGTTGGGCAGCCCCCATTTCCTCTGCTGCCTGGACTCGCCTCTGCATGTGAGCTTCTGCGTTCACAGATTCTGGGGACTGGGGTGCAGGCATCATTGGGGTCCATCGTTCTGCCAGCTGCAGGTGGAAGGTCGCTCTCCGGCCTCGCGACATCTGGCTGGAAGCATCCCAGAGGCTCCTCCTAGCTCGTGGTGCTGTGGGGTGGGCAATGGTCTTTTTTATTTATTTTTTTTGAGATGGAGTCTCACTCTGTCACCCAGGCTGGAGTGCAATGGCACGATCTGGGCTCACTGCAACCTCCGCCTCGCGGGTTCAAGCGATTCTCCCGCCTCGGCCTCCCGAGTAGCTGGGATTACAGGCGCCCACCATCATGCCTGGCTAATTTTTGTGTTTTTGTAGAGACAGGGGTTTTACCATGTTGGCCAGGCTGGTCTTGAACTCCTGACCTCAGGTGATCTGCCCACCTCGGCCGAGACTACAGGCATGAGCTACCGTGCTTGGCTTTTTTTTTTTTTTTCGAGTGGGGGTCTTGCTTGGTTGCCCAGGCTGGAGAGCAGTGGCATGATCATGGCTCACTGCAGCCTCCACCTCCTGGGCTCAAGCGATCCTCCTGCCTTAGCCTACCAAAGTGCTGAGATTACAGGTGTGAGTCACTGTGCCCAGCGCAGGCACTGATCTTGGATCATGGGTAGAATTCAGGGGTGCAGAGAGGCATTTTGGGAGGGGCCCAGTGCGGCCGAGTGCTGGGAGTCGCTGGGGCCCGAGGCCCAAACCCCTCCAGGATGCATGGCTGGGGTGGGTGGGCACCCCCACTCCCGGTCCCTATCCTGGGCCTCCCCTTTGCTCTGTGGAGCCGGTTCTGTCTGTTCCCAGGCCCCTGGCGTTTCGCCGTTTGTTCCGTAAATATTTCATGCCCAGGGCGCAATTGGAAACACTTTCCTTTAATCAGCAGTGGGGGAAGGCAGGCGCCCAGCCAGGCCAGGGGAGGAGCTGGGGTGGGAAGATTTGGAGAGGACCCGGGAGGACTTCCCTGCCTGAGCCTCGTCAGAGGCCCTTCAGAGACGGAGATGCTGCCCAGTTTTCCGGGAGGGAGAGAGGAAAGTGTGAGGCTTGCCCGAGCCGAGTGCCCGGGGCTTTATGATTTGTGCAGCTGCTGGGCTTGGCGTGGCCCTGGTGGAAGCTCTGACGCCATCTGAGCCTTGGTCCCCTTGTAGGCGTCAGCCTGATCCTTGGGGGGCTGGAGGTTGAGCTCAGACTGAACAGGGAGGAGAGGGGTAGGGGCTGGGGCTGGGGCAGAGGGAACAGACCCTGGTGCTCCAGGCAGGGCTGCAGGCAGAGCCACAGGGGGTGGCTCCCAGAGACCTGCTTGTCATTTAGGGACTCAGAAGCCCCATCCTGCCTTAGGATAAAACCCACCTCCAAGACTGACCCTGCTGTCTGGAGAGAGATCACCCCCCACCTCTTACCATGCCCCGTGCAGGGAGGCCCTGCCACCCTCTCCAGCTTCACTGGTCCCCCGGCTCTGCCAGCCTTGTGTAGTCTCCATCCTCTGTCTCAAAAGGCCCCTCTCGTGGCCCTACCCCGCAGCTCAGCCCTAGCTGTCGCTGGGTGGGCCTCATGGCTCAGCCTCAAGGCACCCTGGGTCCCTTGGCTGGTCCCATGCACACCCCATGGATCAGGTTCCAGGGGGCTCCCATGCACACCCCACGGATCAGACTCAGGGCAACTCCACACTCCCCACAGAACAATCAGGCCCAGCCCTTGTCCGGCAGGTGTGGGGATGGTGGCTATGGACCACGCATCAGGATGCTGCCGTGGTGGGGCCCCTCAGCCTTTGCAGGCCGTGCCGGGGTCCAAGGGCTCCGGCTCTGGGGGAGGTCCATGCTCTGTCAACCATCCGGTCTGCAATACCCTGGGGCCTCCCCGCCCCTTCCTGTTTCCTCCTGAGAGCCCTGCAAGCTGGAGGGGGAGCCCCGGCCCCTTTTTTTTTTTTTTTTTTTGAGACGGAGTCTTGTTCTGTTGCCCAGGCTGGAGTGCAGTGGCGCGATCTCAACTCACTGCAACCTCCGCCTCCTGGGTTTAAGTGAAAGTGATTCTCCTGCCTCAGCCTCCTGAGTAGCTGAGATTACAGGTGCCCATCACCACGCCTGGCTAATTTTTGTATTTTCAGTAGAAACAGGGTTTCACCATGTTGGCCAGGCTGGTCTCAAACTCCTGACCTGAGGTGATCCACCCACCTCGGCCTCCCAAAGGTGTGAACCACCACGCCAGGCCCCCTGCACCTTCTTCTGGGTGGGCAAGAGCCATGCTGAGCCCCTCCCCTGCCATGGATAGGGGTGGCAAGAATAGTCCATTCCCCATGGGCTCCCTCCGGCAGGCAGCGGATGGGTTGGGGCCCACACAGTGGTTCAGGAAAGGCTGAAGGGCGGTTGCCGGCCAGAGCTGGGCGGGTCCCTGGCCTGAGCCTCCTCTCACTCCCTTTCCCAGGATGGAAAGGCCACTGTGAGCTGGGTGTGTCCTGCCAGGAGGGAGTTGGAGTCGGGGGCAGGAGACCCACTGGGTCTCCTGGGCTCCTGGAAGAGGCAGCAGTGGGTCCCTGCGGAGGTGGCCTGATCCCCGGCTCAGCCTGGTTTTCCCAGCTTTGCATTTGGGGGTGGGACCTGCAGGGGGAGAGTGACGGGGTGGGCGGGGACAGGGGCTGCAGGTGGAGGCACGAGAAAGCCACCCGACCCCTTGAGGTCATGCTGTTTGCGTCGGAGAAGAGGGCCGGTGTCAGGGTGCCCCCTCGGCCTCTGTGTGCACCTCCCCGCTCCCCGCCCCGTGCAGGTCAGCAGAGCCTCGATCCCTCTGCACGTTCCGGCCCCCTCCCATCTCCAGCAGCGTCTCTTCCCGGGGTGCCCCTCGGACTCTCAGCTCCCTAGTCTGATCCAGCCCAGGCAGGGAGCGGGCGTGCCACGTGGCCAGGAGTGGCCTCCAGGCCCAGCTGCGGCCCCTTCGACCCTGCGGAGGGATCATGGCCCAGCTGTTCTAACATGGCCAGACCAGGACACTCTGGCCGGCCCGAGAACTGAACCGGGAAGGAGGCAGGGAAAGGGGAGGGAGGAAGACAATGGGGAAGCAGTGACATCCGAGATGTAGCCAGAGACGGACATCCTGGACTGTCGTGCAGGGCAAGGCGGGTGGGCGGGAGCCAGGTGGCCTGAGAGCCCCTCCCTGCCCAGGGGTCTCTGGTCAGGCAGTTCCTTCCCGGGCTGCTGGATCGTGTGTGCAGGGAACCCGTCAGCCTGGCTGCCCAAGGGCCCAGATGTCCTCTCAGTGCCCGGGGGTCCTTGACAGCCCCAGCAGGAGCCCCACGTGCCTGTGGGGCAGGCCCCGCAGGTCCCTCTCTGTAGGACTCAGAATACCTTCTCCAATGCCACGTGCTCTCCCTGAGTGCCCAGTGCCACAGAGGGCCCCGCTGGCGAGGTTACTTCAACGTCAGGCTAGAGGGTGCAGCGAGCAGGACTCACAGCCCAGGTTCCCAGGCAGGTGTGGCAGGAGCCCATTCCCTGGGTCGGTGTTCTCATGTCACCCCACGGTGACCCTGCTGTACAGAGGCGGGGGCGCGGGGCCCCTGGCTGGTGCCCTCCTGCTGCCAGACTTGTGCTCTGCTGAAGAGGGGCTGGCGCGGCAGGTATGAGCCCGGCACGGAGGTCGTGAGCAGTGAGAAGCCTGGCACCTATGGGTTCGGGGCAGGGAGGCCCTGGAAGGTCCTGTCCTCCGGGAGCCCTGCACAGCACCCCCTGGTGGTGGCTCCTGTTCGTGTCGGGGCTGCAGCCTCCCTTCCTGGACGGTTTTCCATTCCTCCTTCCCACTCTCCCTGCTGCTCACCCCTCCCATCCTCCACAGGTCAGAGGTCATAGCTGCAGGGTCAGCAGGTCAGGGCCTGGGGCAACCCTAGGAAGGTGTGAGTGTGAGAAGCTGGTCCAAACCTGCCTCGGCTGCCTGGTGGTGCGGACAGGGAGTCCTGGGCATCCGTGAGGGCTGCTTCACGGTCAGGCTTAGGGATGTGCAGGGTGACTTGGACGTGGGTCATGAGTCTTTGCTCCAGAAAGAGGGGGCTGAGTGTCCAAGGCCAATCCCGAGTCTGTCACCTAACACCATTTGTGCTCAAAAAACTGAACAGAGTGGACACAGGCCCTGAGTTTGCGCCCCGAGGCCGAGAGAGGGCAGATGTGGTGGTGACATTCACCACCTTGGACCCAGACCCAGATGCTACCTGTCCCTGAGCTCCAGGAAGTTGTGAGAAGGGCCTGAGCTGTTCTGCACTTTCTCGTGGCCGGGCGTGGCTGGTGGTGCAGGAGTTGCTGCCCCAGGGTGAGGGCCCGGAAGCTCCTGCCAGCACGTGCCGGGGTGGAAAGGGAAGCTGTCCACAGCCCTGTCAGGACTCAGAACCCGGTGGGTCAAGGACTTTGGTCCGGACCCCTGCTGAAGGGTGAGCTGTCCACATGTGCGCCGAGAGCAGAGGTGAAGCCAGGGCTCCTGAGTGCCCCCAGCCACAGGGTGCGCCCGCCCAGCCCCTGCCCTGCAGCCGAAGGCCTCCCTGCTGGGGGGCTGAGTCCAGTGGGGCCACAGGCAGCTGGGAGCAGGACAAGGCTGCCAGGCAACCAGATGGTGCTGCCGCTTCCTGCCAGGTGTGGGTGCACAGAGAGAGAGAGGATGCCGGTCTGGGGCCTGACCTGGTGCACAGCAGGTGCCTGAAATGCCAGGGTGGCCATGGGGACTGGGTACCATGCATAGGCCATGCATCGGGATGCAACTTCTCCTTGCAGCCCCTCAGCCCCAGGGAGGCAGCTGCCTGCCCCACTTTTCTCCAGAGCCATCATGGCCCTGCTCCCACCCCAGCCACGGCTGCTCAGGGGCGCTCCGCATGCTCTGGTCTCCATCCACCTGCAGCCCCCACTGGGGTGAGGTGGAGCTTCTTGCCTCTCCTTGTGTCTATTTCCTCTGCTTCCACAACTGAACGGTGACAGGTATTTGCTGGATGAGGGAGCACACCCCAGGTGGTTTCCTCTGAGCCTGGGAGGCCTTTTCCTGCCTGTGGGCCCCAGGCCCATCCTGCTGCCACCCCCAGGAGGATGCCCGGCTCCTTGTGACAAGAGTGACCCTCGGGAGGCGTGGGGAGTGGGGCTGGCCGGCCTGCCTGATGGGGTCCTGAGTCCATGGCGGGTTTGCATCTCAGGCCTCTGGGCTCTGGCCGGGCTGGGGGCTATTGTCCGGCTGAGCGGCCTGGGCTGCGGCCCCTCCCCGTCCCCGGGACCAGCCTCACCCACTCGCTCTGCCGCAGGTCACACAGGCCGCCTCCTGCGGGCATTGCTGGGCCTCAGCCTGCTCTTCCTGGTGGCCCATCTCGCCCTCCAGATCTGCCTGCATATTGTGCCCCGCCTGGACCAGCTCCTGGGACCCAGCTGTGAGTCGCTGAGGGGGCGGGGTAGGGATAGCCATCCTGGGGGTCAGGGAGAGGGCCCTGCAGTGACCCCGAGTCTCCTGGGGGGGTTGACTCAGCCTGATTTATGTCTGGCCTGGATGGTCCAGGTGAAACGCTCCAGGGATGACCAGGCCACGGTGCTGGCTGGGCAGAGCCTGACCTGGGTTCCCCCGTCTTTCTCTGCAGGCAGCCGCTGGGAGACCCTCTCGCGACACATAGGGGTCACAAGGTAAGACCATTCCTCCCACCCCCAACCAGCAAGCCTCCCTTGGGGATTTCAGGCCCCAGGAAGTGGGGGGACCCAGGAGGGACAGAGGGGGACCTGGAGACTCATCCACACTCCCACCCACACCTGGAGACCCATCCACGCTCCCACCCACACCTGGAGACCCATCCACACTCTCACCCGCACCTGGAGACCCATCCACACTCCCACCCGCACCTGGAGACCCATCCACACTCCCACCCGCACCTGCAGACCCATCCACACTCTCACCCGCACCTGGAGACCCATCCACACTCCCACCCGCACCTGGAGACCCATCCACACTCCCACCCGCACCTGGAGACCCATCCACACTCCCACCCGCACCTGGAGACCCATCCACACTCACACCCACACCTGTCCTCTTGGTCTGACCGCGGCTGCTCCCTGCTCTCCGCAGGCTGGACCTGAAGGACATCCCCAACGCCATCCGGCTGGTGGCCCCTGACCTGGGCATCTTGGTGGTCTCCTCTGTCTGCCTCGGCATCTGCGGGCGCCTTGCAAGGAACACCCGGCAGAGCCCACATCCACGGGAGCTGGTGAGGGCAGCTGCGTCACCCGTGTGTCAGGGAGGTCATTCGAGAGCTGTGGTCTCAGCCATTTTGAGGGTTATTTTAATCTTTTTAAAACAGATGTAGACGTTTTGGTTGTAAGTTGGTGTTAAAGAGAGGAGGAAGTTCCAAATCCCACCCCGGGGCCCAGCCTGCAGTTCCATCCGTTCAGACCTGTTTCTACTCGGGCTCTGCCTCTAGTCAGAAACCTCCACGCCCCGACATGGCATCTGTGCCCTTAGGAACTCTTCACAGGGGAATTATTTGGGGCCACGCGGTGGTGGAAACCTGCAGTGCTGGGCAGTGGGTCTGGCTGGAGAGCCACTGCAGAAGGGCTGAGAAGGGGCGGCCCCAGCAGGCCCCATGCACTTACAGGCAAACAGGCTGTCGGCCCAGAGCCCCAGCAGGGGCCTGGACCCCAGGAGCGACGGGCCTGAAGCAGGGCCTCTGTCCTCGGAGTGGGAGGCAGAGTGAACTTTAGCTGCTACAAGACTTGGAGGTCCGGCCCCGGGAATCTCTGAGCTATGGCCCCCTCACACGGACAGGGCATGAGCTGGGGCCTGCGACACCCAACGTTGACTGCTCAGACCCTCTCGTCCCTGCCTGGGCCCACACTTGCCATCCCCAGGCTCAGCCAGGATTTATGGCCACCTGGGTGTCCTGGCCCACGAACTCCCTGCCCCGGGCACCCAGCCTCCTCCCACCTCACCCTCCCAGTGCCCACTCGTCAGATAGCTGATGCTCGCCACGCACATGGGCCTCAACTTCTAGAGGAGTCCCGAGAGGGAAAGGGGTTCCCCAAGCCACACGGTAGGTCGAGTACACCTGCTCAGCCTGCAGAGGCGGCCTGCCCTCCTGCCTGTCCTGTCGCCACCCCATGGGGCAAGGCTGGTGCCCGCATTTCAGAAGTGGGAACGGGGACCTGGAGGTCAAGTGGCTTTTCCGGGCATTTGAGGGGGTCCAGCGCTCATGAGGACTGTGCTGCTGCCTGTCCTCCAAGAGACCCGCCCCTCCCTCGTCAGCCCCTCCATGCTGATGGGGGCATGGGGCATGAGCTTCCTAGAGTTTGGCTGCTGGGAAGGGGCTGGGTGGCTGGACTCTGGTCATCTTCATCTTGGTGTGATGGGAGCCTGAGTGTGCAGCTGCGCCCTGGGCGGCCAGCGTGGACAGACTTCAGAGTGAGCTGGGGGCACCAGGCACCTGCAGGATACCGTTCCGAAAGATCTAGAAGCCCCATGACCCGGCCTGGCAGGGCCCCCGGGCGACCCTCACTCCCACATATGGGCAACACACACACGTGTTTGCAGGCATGCGACGGAGTGTGCCAGCCAGCCCGAGGGGTGCTGGCCGCTAGAGGAGGGTGAGGGGCGTCTGCAGCATGGCTGCGGCACGTGGGGCCCAAGTCAGGGCCGGGCCTGCCCCTCGGTGGCCTCACACCCCAAGTCAGGGCCGGGCCTGCCCCTCGGTGGCCTCATACCCCAAGTCAGGGCCGGGCCTGCCCCTCGGTGGCCTCACACCTGTTCTCTCACAGCAGCTGCCTCTGTTCTTTCCACTCCCAGAAATGCTCATTTTTCACGGCTCTGCTCAGAAGATTTCCCAGGGCCAGGGCCAGGGCCAGGCTGTGGGTGGGGTGAGCGATGGCGCCCTGCGTTCTGATCCAGCCTCGCCCCCAGCTGCTGTGTGGTCTCTGAGAGGGGTGGGCTCAGGGCCTGGGCCTCTCCTGCCCTGATCTCCCTGTTACCCTGGCCTCGGAGCCTCCCAGCAGCCCCTGCAGCCCTGGAGGCCTGTGAGGACAGGACTGGTCTGGTTCATCTGTCCCGTCAAGCCCCCATCCCATTTGACAGAAGGGGAATAGGCTCCGAGAGGCTGTGACTTGCCTCGGCCTGCAGAGCACGGAGACTGTCAGAGCTGGGGTGGGGCCTATCGTCCAGCCCCACAGCCTGCGGTCTCAGCCCGGGCACCTGGCGCCTCAGCCACCAGGAGAGCCCCCGAGTCACAGATGGGGACACTGGGCCGGTGGCAGCCAGGCCAGAGCCAGGGCATCTGACGACAGCCGTGTTCTTTCCACCACACCTGGCTTTCCCTGGTGTTTGGGAAATGGCTGTGTTCTGGGAAATCTTTAGTCAGGTCCAGGGAAAACAGGCCCGGCAGGTCTCTCTCCCCAGCCCCAGGCCGGCCTGTCACTTCTTCTAGGCAGCTGGCCACCTCTGTCCCCCCAGAGGCTTGGGGAGGGCAGGAGTACCACCCCTATCTTCCAGGCAGAGCCACCCAGAAGGCTGGCAGGGGTACACAGGAGACCCTGGAGCCTGGCCATGTCCCTCAGGCCCCCTTGGTCTCTAGAGACCCCCCGGGGTATAGACAGGGCCCCGCTGCTCCCTGGGTGCGTGGTTCGGGGAGATGAGGTGGTATAGGACAGTCTGTGGTCTGTCTGTACCTGGCAAGGTCATCACGTGCCTGGGCTTGGCAGGACAGACCCTGGGTCTTCGGCCAGGGTGGGAGCTGCTACCAGGAAGGCCTGCAGGAACTGTGAGCTTGAGTGAGGAAGTAGGAAGGTGTCAGGCAGACCTCAGGGACGGCTGGGGCCTGTGCCCGGGGAGGCTGTCCTGTGGCCCTCAGAGGAGCAGCTGTGGATGTGGCCGCCTCCCACGCTCCTGGCTGGGCAGGTGTGGGCTGGAGAGGTGGCGTCAGTGCGATACACCTGACCTTGCCCCTGTCCGTGACCTTGGCAGGATGATGATGAGAGGGATGTGGATGCCAGCCCGACGGCAGGGCTGCAGGAAGCAGCAACGCTGGCCCCTACACGGAGGTCACGGCTGGCCGCTCGTTTCCGAGTCACGGCCCACTGGCTGCTGGTGGCGGCTGGGCGGGTCCTGGCCGTAACACTGCTTGCACTGGCAGGTACGCACCGAGGCAGGGGGCACTGGCAGTCACACTGGGAGGGGTCTTGGGAGTTCCCTGATGACTGTGGAGACAGCGGGACACATGGCACTGGCCAGGTACCACCCTGTGTGCCCCTGCCCCGCAGGCATCGCCCACCCCTCGGCCCTCTCCAGTGTCTACCTGCTGCTCTTCCTGGCCCTCTGCACCTGGTGGGCCTGCCACTTTCCCATCAGCACTCGGGGCTTCAGCAGACTCTGCGTCGCGGTGGGGTGCTTCGGCGCCGGCCATCTCATCTGCCTCTACTGCTACCAGATGCCCTTGGCACAGGCTCTGCTCCCGCCTGCCGGCATCTGGGCTAGGTAACGGCTTGCCACACAGCCCCTTTTTCCTGCCACCCTGGTCCCGCCCACCTGGCTCGTCTAGCCCCTGTGGCCCCACTGCCTCTGGGGTGGTAGGCTGTGACGGGTCTTCTCTGGACAGGGTGCTGGGTCTCAAGGACTTCGTGGGTCCCACCAACTGCTCCAGCCCCCACGCGCTGGTCCTCAACACCGGCCTGGACTGGCCTGTGTATGCCAGCCCCGGCGTCCTCCTGCTGCTGTGCTACGCCACGGCCTCTCTGCGCAAGCTCCGCGCGTACCGCCCCTCCGGCCAGGTGAGCACCTGCCACCCATGGTGGGTGGGCTGAGGCCAGGCCATGGGGCTGGTCTCAGGACCTCCTGCCTCTGGGTGGGGTGTGGAGCTGGTTTGGGCTCAAGACGCTGGTCTCTGCAGAGGAAGGAGGCGGCAAAGGGGTATGAGGCTCGGGAGCTGGAGCTAGCAGAGCTGGACCAGTGGCCCCAGGAACGGGAGTCTGACCAGGTGAGCAGCCAGGCAGGTGGAGACGCCAGCGTGGGGGGCGCCCGGCCAGCCCGTGCATGGCTCAGCGCTGCTTGCCCACAGCACGTGGTGCCCACAGCACCCGACACCGAGGCTGATAACTGCATCGTGCACGAGCTGACCGGCCAGAGCTCCGTCCTGCGGCGGCCTGGTGAGTACCGCACACTGCAAGGTATGGCTGGGTGCGGGGGGCGGGGCGGAGGCCGGTGCTGCCCCCTGGTGGCCGCCTGGCGCTCTCGCATGCTCGCGCCGCACCTCTGCCTGCCGCCCCCTCGGGGGCCCAGGACATCCACGGGTCGGTGTCAGTGACCCCCGAGACCCCCAGGGCAGCCGAGTGGCCATGTCACTGACCAACCCCCAAGACCCCCAGGGCAGCTGAGTGGCCGCGTCGTTGATCCCCAAGACCCCATGGGGGGCCTCCAGGTCCCCCAACCCCTCCCCAGAGAATGTGGCTATGCTGTCTTGTGCTGTTAGCTCTGGGAGCTGCTCCAGGTGGCCCAGTGGCCCCAGGAGGCCGCTCGTCCAGGGCAGGGGCTGGCCTGGGAACTCTGTGTTGGCCACGTCGCCTTGGGAGGGCCTGGGGGCTCTTTCTGGCTACTTTCTTTCTTTACCCTAACCCTTGATTTTCCATTTTGCAATGTGTTTCTGAATGAAGCAAATGAAGCCACGGCCCTGGGGTGGGGGTCCTGAGAGTCTTCAGGTGCGCAGAGCTGGAAAGGGGGTCAGGGCCACCTTTCCCACCCTTTCAAGGAAAGTGAGGCCCAGAGAACGGCAGGTGCTGGCAGGGCCATCCCTGACGCTCAGGGACGGTGTCAGCCCAATTGCCGGAGCCCTCGTGTTCTGCCCATAGCCCACCGGGGGCCTGTCTCTCCTGCTGTGTGCTTGCCCAGGGCCCAGATTTTAGGGCATAGTCAGGGTGGGGAGGCCTGCAGATCAACCTGCCGAAGCTGACCGCTGTCCCCACCTGCAGTGCGGCCCAAGCGGGCTGAGCCCAGGGAGGCGTCTCCGCTCCACAGCCTGGGCCACCTCATCATGGACCAGAGCTATGTGTGCGCGCTCATTGCCATGATGGTAGGCGGCTGTGGGGGTTGGGGTGGGCGGCCCCCTCTGCCGCGCAGGTGTGGGGCATCGCCTGGGTGGGGTGCGCTGGGCAGCTGTGCAGCCCCCTCTGCCGCGCAGGTGTGGGGCATCGCCTGGGTGGGGTGCGCTGGGCAGCTGTGCAGCCCCCTCTGCCGCGCAGGTGTGGGGCATCGCCTGGGTGGGGTGCGCTGGGCAGCTGTGCAGCCCTCTCTGCCGCGCAGGTATGGAGCATCACCTACCACAGCTGGCTGACCTTCGTACTGCTGCTCTGGGCCTGCCTCATCTGGACGGTGCGCAGCCGCCACCAACTGGCCATGCTGTGCTCGCCCTGCATCCTGCTGTATGGGATGACGCTGTGCTGCCTACGCTACGTGTGGGCCATGGACCTGCGCCCTGAGCTGCCCACCACCCTGGGCCCCGTCAGCCTGCGCCAGCTGGGGCTGGAGCACACCCGCTACCCCTGTCTGGACCTTGGTGCCATGGTGAGTGTGCACCACCACATCCGGGGGTGCCTGGGTGCGCAGACCCATCAGGGTTGTCGTCCTGTTCAATGTCCACTTGCCCGGGGGAGTGGCAGCGCCAAGAAGGCAGATGTGTCTGTCTGTCCCCTTCTGCCCACCCAGAGCCAGCCCAGAGTAGCTTCTCAGTGAGCGTTTGTTGACTGAATAAACAGACAACCTTGTGTTGGCACGGGCACCACCCCTGTGCCCTGACACTGTGTGAGCGTGGGCTCTGTTGGCACGGGCACCACCCCTGTGCCCCGACACTGTGTGTGAGCATGGGCTATGCCCATTGGCACAGGCACCACCCCTGCGCCCCTGACAGTGTGTGTGAGCGTGGGCTCTGCCCATTGGCACCATGCACAGCCCTGGGTCTCAGTGACAAGCTGTGCAGGCCATGTGTTCACAGGGTGCCTGCGTGTCCATGTGAAACGGGTGCCAGCATCGTGTCTGGACACCTGTTTGCAGGCCAGTGGGTCTCATCTTGTGAAACTTGTGAGCCTGTGTGCCAACATATGCACCTGTGAGCTTGTGTGCATATGTGAGCACGCATGTGGGCAAACATGCACTCCAGCATGTGGACATGTGTGCAGGTGCGTGCATGGATCTGTGCCCACGTGAACTAGTGAACCCGTGTGTGACTCTGCGTGTGAGCGCAAGTGAACCCATGCACTCATCCATGGATGTGAGAGTGTGTGCTCGTGTGCCTCTGAGTGGGTGTGAGCGAGAGGGTGTTCGGTGCCTGTGGGGAGGCTGCGGTGGATGGGCTGGTGCCAGCCGCCTGAGAGCTCTTGCCCCCTGCTATAGGAGGGTGCTGGGTCCCCCGGCTGTGGGAGGGGTGCTGGGCCCCCCGGCTGACTGTGACACCCTGCGCTTGTCACAGTTGCTCTACACCCTGACCTTCTGGCTCCTGCTGCGCCAGTTTGTGAAAGAGAAGCTGCTGAAGTGGGCAGAGTCTCCAGCTGCGCTGACGGAGGTCACCGTGGCAGACACAGGTGAGTGGTGGGCCAGAGGCGGGGGTTGCCCTCCTGCCTGCCCGCCCTGATGCCATCGCCTGCCCCTGGCTTGGCCCACAGAGCCCACGCGGACGCAGACGCTGTTGCAGAGCCTGGGGGAGCTGGTGAAGGGCGTGTACGCCAAGTACTGGATCTATGTGTGTGCTGGCATGTTCATCGTGGTCAGCTTCGCCGGCCGCCTCGTGGTCTACAAGATTGTCTACATGTTCCTCTTCCTGCTCTGCCTCACCCTCTTCCAGGTGGCTGGGGGGCCGGGATGGGGGCTGGGGCACGGACCCTCCCCGCGGTCCTCACCACCCCCACCTCACCCGGCAGGTCTACTACAGCCTGTGGCGGAAGCTGCTCAAGGCCTTCTGGTGGCTCGTGGTGGCCTACACCATGCTGGTCCTCATCGCCGTCTACACCTTCCAGTTCCAGGACTTCCCTGCCTACTGGCGCAACCTCACTGGCTTCACCGACGAGCAGTGAGTCCAGGCTGGGGCGGTGGGGCAGGGGCGCCGAAACCCCGTGCACTTCCCCGGGGCTGCAGCGGCTCTGCCGGGGGCCGGGCCGGTGCTGATGCTGCCCCTCCACAGGCTGGGGGACCTGGGCCTGGAGCAGTTCAGCGTGTCCGAGCTCTTCTCCAGCATCCTGGTGCCCGGCTTCTTCCTCCTGGCCTGCATCCTGCAGCTGCACTACTTCCACAGGCCCTTCATGCAGCTCACCGACATGGAGCACGTGTCCCTGCCTGGCACGCGCCTCCCGCGCTGGGCTCACAGGTGCGGCCCCGCCCTCCCTGTCCGGCCCTGGAGAGGTGTAGCCTCCTGGGCCAGGGAGGGAGCCAGGTGGGAGTTGGACAGGAGCCACATCTTCCACCTTCAGATCCCAAGGGGCATTTGCTCATACCAAGGGGATGGCAGTAGCGTGGAGGTCACAGGGACAGTGGGCATGAGTTGCGACACAGCTGTGCACCTGAACTGGCAGCTGCAGCAGAAGCGGTGCCGACAGGGCTTCTTCCAGCCCCAGGAAATGAGGGGCAGGAACCCAGTTGGGAGATGACATTTTCGGACCCTCTCCCAGGCAGGATGCAGTGAGTGGGACCCCACTGCTGCGGGAGGAGCAGCAGGAGCATCAGCAGCAGCAGCAGGAGGAGGAGGAGGAGGAGGAGGACTCCAGGGACGAGGGGCTGGGCGTGGCCACTCCCCACCAGGCCACGCAGGTGCCTGAAGGTGGGTTGGGCGGGCAGAGCACAGCTGCCACCCAGTCTGCTGTGCCATGTCCCAGCTCGGGGGGCGTTGGCAGAGTCCCCTCTGGGCTCCAGAGCCTCTTCCTCACAGGGGACCCGGGAATCCCCGTTTGTGCCCCGCACTGACCCTCACACCATCACAGGGGCAGCCAAGTGGGGCCTGGTGGCTGAGCGGCTGCTGGAGCTGGCAGCCGGCTTCTCGGACGTCCTCTCACGCGTGCAGGTGTTCCTGCGGCGGCTGCTGGAGCTTCACGTTTTCAAGCTGGTGGCCCTGTACACCGTCTGGGTGGCCCTGAAGGAGGTGAGTGTGGCAGGCAACTCAGCTTCCCATCTGGGGTGGGGTCGCTCTGGCCTGCCCAGCTGGCCTCCCCAAGCCCAGCCCCACGTGCCCACTGCCCTCCCCAAGCCCAGCCCCACGTGCCCACTGCCCTCAGGTGTCGGTGATGAACCTGCTGCTGGTGGTGCTGTGGGCCTTCGCCCTGCCCTACCCACGCTTCCGGCCCATGGCCTCCTGCCTGTCCACCGTGTGGACCTGCGTCATCATCGTGTGTAAGATGCTGTACCAGCTCAAGGTTGTCAACCCCCAGGAGTATTCCAGCAACTGCACCGAGGTACCGGCCCCCGAGGGCTGGGACGGGAGGAAGCTCCAGGCAACTCTGTATTCGCAGCCCGACCCTCCTGGGGCAGCTGCCTCAGTGCAGTGGGGCCAGCAATGGAGATGGAGGACTCTCCCCTGGGGGCGCCAAGGGGGCTTCCTGGAGGCAGCATCCTTCGACCTCAACTGTGGACCAGGGGCGCACTCCCTGCACACAAGGGTGTCCAGTAGGGGCGGAGTCCCAGGGTCTCCGGCAGTGAGGACGGGAGGGCCCCACCCCTGGACAGGGAGAGACAGTCAGGCATCTCTGCCTGGGACCTTCTCGCACATCCCTCCTTCTCCCTGGACCTCTCTTCACTCCCCCAGCCCCTGCCCGTGGTCTCCCTGTTTCTCAAACACCTGGTCCCCTTCCCCGTGAAGGTGGCTCCAAGGCTGGCAGCCCCCGTGTCCCTGGCTGGGGAGCAGTGGACCTGCCCCAGAGCTGTGGCTGTGGTGGGCTCCGGGCAGGGCCAGGGGGCACTGTGGCCTGGGAGGGGGCACTGATGCCTGGCCTCTTGCCAGCCCTTCCCCAACAGCACCAACTTGCTGCCCACGGAGATCAGCCAGTCCCTGCTGTACCGGGGGCCCGTGGACCCTGCCAACTGGTTTGGGGTGCGGAAAGGGTTCCCCAACCTGGGCTACATCCAGGTGAGTTGAAGGGCTGGTGGGCGGCTGGGCGGGCGAGTACCCGGCTGCCCCCTGACCCTTGCCCTCCGCAGAACCACCTGCAAGTGCTGCTGCTGCTGGTATTCGAGGCCATCGTGTACCGGCGCCAGGAGCACTACCGCCGGCAGCACCAGCTGGCCCCGCTGCCTGCCCAGGCCGTGTTTGCCAGCGGCACCCGCCAGCAGCTGGACCAGGATCTGCTCGGCTGCCTCAAGTACTTCATCAACTTCTTCTTCTACAAATTCGGGCTGGAGGTGAGGCAAGGACATTGCCTCCCCCTGGGGCAGGGCTTGGCCTTCGGGAGGGAGGGACGGCTGCACCGTGCAGGCACCGCAAGCCTGGCCCCACCTGGGTTTGCCTGGGCCACAGAGGGTGGGGGACTCAGGGCCAGGCACGGCTTCCCTGGACTCCTGTGGTGTGTCGGTGCTGACAACAGGCAGGGGGCCAAGTTAGATCTGCTCTACTGTACAGCCCACCTCCTGGAGCCTCAGTTTCCCCTGCACGATGGCAACTGCCAGCCACTCCTGCCCTCTTGACAGCGCCGCTGGCCCTGTCCTTGCTTGATGCCCGCAGCCTCCAGGCAGGGCTGCTGCAAGCCTGAGGCCTGCTGGGTGGGACAAGAAAGTCCCTCCCCCCAGACTCAGTGCATCCCCACACCCCGCCCTCTCCCCTCCCCAGATCTGCTTCCTGATGGCCGTGAACGTGATCGGGCAGCGCATGAACTTTCTGGTGACCCTGCACGGTTGCTGGCTGGTGGCCATCCTCACCCGCAGGCACCGCCAGGCCATTGCCCGCCTCTGGCCCAACTACTGCCTCTTCCTGGCGCTGTTCCTGCTGTACCAGTACCTGCTGTGCCTGGGGATGCCCCCGGCCCTGTGCATTGGTGAGGGGCACGTGGCTTGGGTGGGAGTGGGCTTTGTGGCTTTGTGGATGCCCGTGGGGGTGTTTCCCGCCTGCCCCAGACTCCTGTCCACCCTCCTAGACTTAGCCTTGGCCTCCTCCAGTCCCTCCTCTCTGCTCCACATCCTACCCAGGCGCCATCACCTGCATCCTGTCTCTCGGGGGCGGCCTGGCCCCCTCCAGGCTCTGCTGTTCTCTTTTCCTTTTTTGCCCAGTATTCTATCTTGAAATATTTCAAACCTTCAGGAAAGTTGTGAGTCACACAAGGAGCACTGCGTCCTCTCCGGGCCCCGTGCGGGTCGGCCGTGATGCCTCACACCCAAGTGCTGCCTCGAGCATGCGTCTCCTGGGTGAGGGTGTCTGAGCCCACAGCCCCACACCCGTGGTCCCGTCTCCTGGCAGTGCCATCGTCAAACGTGTCCTCTGCATTCAAACAGCCCCGGCCTCAGCACCCTTCTTTGTGGCCATTTGGTTTTCAGACGGGATCTGGTCTGATGTTTGCTCTAGTCTCTTGTCTTGGGTCTAAGCCGCCCCCGCCTCTCCTGTCTCTTGGGAAGTTCCGGAGGGAGGCCGGTAGCGTTGCTGACGCCGTGAGACTGGATTTGCGTGGCTGTCCTGGTGCTGCAGGTCTGCTCAAGGCACACAGCACCCTGCGGTCTGAGATGGGGAGTCACATTTGTGCACGTGGCCGGCTCAGGGGCGTCCCACCTGCCCCACAGTGGCACCCAGCCTGTTGGCACTGGTGGGCTGTGTGGGGTCAGCCTTGTGGTTTTACGAAACAGACTTTCTCTCTGCTGTCTCTGTGTGTCTGTCAGCTGGGATTCCCATCAAGGACAGCTGCCATTTGTTACTGGCTGCTTTCCAAGAATTCTGTCATCCGCAGACCCTGGGCCTCCCCTCTGCTGAGTGGGTCCTGGCCCCTCCGGCCACACACTGTTACATCATCTCCCCGTATTTGGCTGGGCATGGTGGTTCACGCCTGTGATGCCAGCACTTTGGGAGGCTGAGGCAGGAGCATCCCTTGAGGCCAGGAGTTTGAAACCACTCTGGTCAACATAGCAAGAACCCTTTTTTTTTTTTTTTTTTTTTTTGAGATGGAGTCTTGCTCTGTCACCCAGGCTGGAGTACACTGGCACAATCTCGGCTCACTGCAGCCTCCGCCTCCCGGGTTCAAGCAATTCTCCTGTCTCAGCCTCCCTCGTGGCTAGGATTACAGGCAAGCACCACCAGGCCCGGCTAATTTTTGTATTTTTAGTAGAGACGGGGTTTCACCATCTTGGCCAGGCTGGTCTTGAACTCCTGACCTCAGGTGATCCACCCGCCTCCCAAATTACAGGCCTCCCTCCTGGGATTACAGGCGTGAGCTGCCACGCCCGGCCCCGTCTTGTTTTCTGCTCCCAGGCGCTGCTGCCTCATCTTCTGCTACCCAGGCCCAGCCTTGTGCTCACAGCCATTGCTCCAGGGAGCCCAATCGAGTTCTAGGAGCGTGAGGTTTAGAGCCCGGGGTCTGGGCGCTGGGTGTGCCTGTTGCTACAGGGCTGCCTCAGCCTCTGGGCCCTCCAGCTCTTCCTTGTTGAAACATCTGCTTTCGAGCATCACCGAGGCCAGCTCCCCGTCTCCTGTCCACCTCTTCCTTGTTGAAATACCTGCTATCAAGCGTCACCTAGGCCAGCTCCCCTTCTTCTGCCTCCTTCCACGCGGCTGCGCCATGCAGTCGCCATCCTGTGAGATCAGCATGTCCTGGGTTCCCCAACATCGAGGGTAACTTTGTTTTTGTATCGTGAGGTTCCCTCTGTGGCAGATGGGGCTGTGGGTTCAGCATGTCCTGGGTTCCCCAGCATCGAGGGTCACTTTGTTTTTGGGTCGCGAGGTTCCCTCTGTGGCAGATGGGGCTGTGGGTTCAGCATGTCCTGGGTTCCCCAGCATCGAGGGTCACTTTGTTTTTGTGTCGCGAGGTTCCCTCTGTGGCAGATGGGGCTGTGGGTTCAGCATGTCCTGGGTTCCCCAGCATCGAGGGTCACTTTGTTTTTGGGTCGCGAGGTTCCCTCTGTGGCAGATGGGGGCTGTGGGTTCAGAATGTCCTGGGTTCCCCAGCATCGAGGGTCACTTTGTTTTTGGGTCACGAGGTTCCCTCTGTGGCAGATGGGGCTGTGGGTTCAGCATGTCCTGGGTTCCCCAGCATCGAGGGTCACTTTGTTTTTGTGTCGCGAGGTTCCCTCTGTGGCAGATGGGGCTGTGAGATCAGCATGTCCTGGGTTCCCCAACATCGAGGGTCACTTTGTTTTTGGGTCGCGAGGTTCCCTCTGTGGCAGATGGGGCTGTGGGTTCAGCATGTCCTGGGTTCCCCAGCATCGAGGGTCACTTTGTTTTTGGGTCGCGAGGTTCCCTCTGTGGCAGATGGGGCTGTGGGTTCAGCATGTCCTGGGTTCCCCAGCATCGAGGGTCACTTTGTTTTTGGGTCGCGAGGTTCCCTCTGTGGCAGATGGGGCTGTGGGTTCAGAATGTCCTGGGTTCCCCAGCATCGAGGGTCACTTTGTTTTTGGGTCGCGAGGTTCCCTCTGTGGCAGATGGGGCTGTGGGTTCAGCATGTCCTGGGTTCCCCAGCATCGAGGGTCACTTTGTTTTTGGGTCACGAGGTTCCCTCTGTGGCAGATGGGGCTGTGGGTTCAGCATGTCCTGGGTTCCCCAACATCGAGGGTCACTTTGTTTTTGGGTCGCGAGGTTCCCTCTGTGGCAGATGGGGCTGTGAGTTCAGCATGTCCTGGGTTCCCCAGCATGGAGGGTCACTTTGTTTTTGTGTCGCAAGGTTCCCTCTGTGGCAGATGGGGCTGTGAGTTCAGCATGTCCTGGGTTCCCCAGCATGGAGGGTCACTTTGTTTTTGTGTCGCGAGGTTCCCTCTGTGGCAGATGGGGCTGTGAGTTCAGCATGTCCTGGGTTCCCCAGCATGGAGGGTCACTTTGTTTTTGTGTCGCGAGGTTCCCTCTGTGGCAGATGGGGCTGTGAGTTCAGAATGTCCTGGGTTCCCCAGCATCGAGGGTCACTTTGTTTTTGTGTCGCGAGGTTCCCTCTGTGGCAGATGGGGCTGTGAGATCAGCATGTCCTGGGTTCCCCAACATCGAGGGTCACTTTGTTTTTGGGTCGCGAGGTTCCCTCTGTGGCAGATGGGGCTGTGGGTTCAGCATGTCCTGGGTTCCCCAGCATCGAGGGTCACTTTGCTTTTGGGTCGCGAGGTTCCCTCTGTGGCAGATGGGGCTGTGAGTTCAGCATGTCCTGGGTTCCCCAGCATGGAGGGTCACTTTGTTTTTGTGTCGCGAGGTTCCCTCTGTGGCAGATGGGGCTGTGGGTTTCGCAGATGCGTGGAGTCACATCCATGCCCTCAGTCCTTAGGGACCGACCCTCCCTGCCTCACACGCCTCCCAGGAAGTGTGGCCGGGGGCCGGCAGTGCCACGGCTCCCTCCCCAGCAGGCCCCGGCCGCTCCCATCCCCAGCACGTGGTCCTATCAGAACGCCACGTCAGCAGGACTCCCAGCAGGTGGCCTTTAGGTCTGGCTTCTTTCACTTGGCAGAGCACACTGAGGTCTGTCTAGGCTGTCGCATGGATCCCGGTCCCACGTGCTGAGCAGCGCGTTCCCAGCTGTGGTTGCTGCAGGTTGAACTTTTCCTGGCTGCAGGCGTCCGTGCAGCTTCTGGCCGTTGTTTTCAGAGCTGTCCTATCACACGCACTGTCCTATCATGGAATATGACGCCGTGTGGGCCACAACTCAGGCCCAGCAGCCCCCACCCCCGTGCTCTCTGGCCTCCTGCTCAGTTCCTTTGCCCCCAGGGGCTTGGTGCAGAGTTGAAGGAATCTGTGTGTGTGAACACACAGGACACTAGAGCTGTCAGTTCTCGAGACACCAGGTGTGCGCGAGGTGATTCCCATGGACCCTGAGGGCTGGTGATAGACTCGGGTCAACGGGTGGGGACCGGGTGTCTCAGGCCCCAGGCAGGCCCGGCCCTTCCTGACATGACACCCCTTCCCCCAGATTATCCCTGGCGCTGGAGCCGGGCCGTCCCCATGAACTCCGCACTCATCAAGTGGCTGTACCTGCCTGATTTCTTCCGGGCCCCCAACTCCACCAACCTCATCAGTGAGTGCCCCCCACCACCCCCGCCTCTGCAGAGGACCCTCAGAGTACATTCACGCCCCCAAATCTGCTCACAAGTGTGCACACAGGCGTGCACGGGCGGAGGTGTGGTCAGGCACATGGCGGCCTGCAGGCCCTGACCTCGCACGCACGCACGCAGACCTCAGCCTGTGTGCACGGCAGCCCTTGTGCAGATGCCCTCACACCGGGGCTCCCCCAGGGACACCCGGCCACTCACCCAGGCAGACGTGTGTCCGCTCCCAGCGGCTGCACGCCGACAGGCCTGGGGTGGGAGGTGGGATTTATGCGCCGTGCCCACCTCGTGTGGGTCCCCGTGTGGCACAGCGGCGGCTCCTGTGTCCTGCAGGCGACTTTCTCCTGCTGCTGTGCGCCTCCCAGCAGTGGCAGGTGTTCTCAGCTGAGCGCACAGAGGAGTGGCAGCGCATGGCTGGCGTCAACACCGACCGCCTGGAGCCGCTGCGGGGGGAGCCCAACCCCGTGCCCAACTTTATCCACTGCAGGTGGGTTCCACGTCACCCTCCACGGGGAACCTTCTGGGAGGGGTGGCCGGGGCGCCCGCCCTGACGCTCCGGCCTGGCAGGTCCTACCTTGACATGCTGAAGGTGGCCGTCTTCCGATACCTGTTCTGGCTGGTGCTGGTGGTGGTGTTTGTCACGGGGGCCACCCGCATCAGCATCTTCGGGCTGGGCTACCTGCTGGCCTGCTTCTACCTGCTGCTCTTCGGCACGGCCCTGCTGCAGAGGGACACACGGGCCCGCCTCGTGCTGTGGGACTGCCTCATTCTGTACAACGTCACCGTCATCATCTCCAAGAACATGCTGTCGGTGAGCCTCCGGCCCCCCCGCACCCACCGCCCTGGGGCCCCGCTGGCCCCGCTGACCCTGCTCTCCCCCAGCTCCTGGCCTGCGTCTTCGTGGAGCAGATGCAGACCGGCTTCTGCTGGGTCATCCAGCTCTTCAGCCTTGTATGCACCGTCAAGGGCTACTATGACCGTGAGTGGCCAGGACGGTGGCGGGGGAGGGCGTGGGGAAGCCCCCTGCTCCTGGGCCCTGGGCCTGACCCTTGCCGGTGCCTGCCTTGCAGCCAAGGAGATGATGGACAGAGACCAGGACTGCCTGCTGCCTGTGGAGGAGGCTGGCATCATCTGGGACAGCGTCTGCTTCTTCTTCCTGCTGCTGCAGCGCCGCGTCTTCCTTAGCCATTACTACCTGCACGTCAGGGCCGACCTCCAGGCCACCGCCCTGCTAGCCTCCAGGCAAGCTTGGGCCCAGACACAGCCCAGAGCTCCCGTCTTGGGGCTGGGAGGGGGCAATGGGAGGTTCCTCACTGTCTCAGGCCCCGGCCCGTGGAGGGCAGGCTCTGCCACTCTGTGACATGGGCGTGTCATCTAGAGGGAGAATGAAGGCCGGCAGATCCCCGGCACCATCACACTCTGCCCCAGTGCTGGGTCTGTCAGAGACCACAGGCTGCAGTGCTGACGGTGGCTGGTGTCTCACCCCCAGCCAACTTTCCCACTAAGGGCTAAGTTTCTCCACCAGCGGGAGGGCCACTGTGTGGTGTCACGACTGCCCCAGGGAGGGGTTCTGGCTTGGGGCCAGCTTTGCCTTCTTCCCTGCAGCTGTGGTGGGGTGGGTGCCACCAGACGCCCCTGCATCTGTACGGCAGAAGGGCCTGTCCTCGCCGCAGACAGCACGGAGGGTGGGGGCAGCAGATGCCTCCCCCGTGGGTGCCTCTTGTCCAGCGTGGGCAGAGAGGAGCAGGCTGAGCTGTCCCGGGCTGAGCGGGGAGCGGCGGCTGCCCATGTTGCTGGGGTCGAGTGCCTGGTGCTCACACCCCATCCCCGCCTCCCTACAGGGGCTTCGCCCTCTACAACGCTGCCAACCTCAAGAGCATTGACTTTCACCGCAGGATAGAGGAGAAGTCCCTGGCCCAGCTGAAAAGACAGTAGGTGCCTCTGGGGCGGGGACTCCCCGGCTCCTCCCCCCAATGCTCAGCATACCCCACCTTTCCCCACCACAGGATGGAGCGTATCCGTGCCAAGCAGGAGAAGCACAGGCAGGGCCGGGTGGACCGCAGTCGCCCCCAGGACACCCTGGGCCCCAAGGACCCCGGCCTGGAGCCAGGTGAGTGCAGCTGGAGTCGGGCACCCAGGGCCCCGTGTCCAGCATGTCTGTGCCTGCTGGCGTGTGCTGCGTCTGTGCCCATGTGACGTCCCACAGGGCTCCCAGCCCGCCTGTCCTGTCCGCATGATCACCCTCTGTCTGGCAGGCCCCATGGCCGCCCTGTGACTGTCCGTCCACGCACATGGGCTCTGAGCCCCATGGCCCCACACGGCCCCCGTCACTGTGGGTGTCCGTGTCTGTCTCCACCTATCCTGTCTCCAAGACGGGAGCACTCACAGCCCCGACCCCTCCTGGTGGCTTGACTGCTGCCTCATGCTCACCCTGCCCCTCCACAGGGCCCGACAGTCCAGGGGGCTCCTCCCCGCCACGGAGGCAGTGGTGGCGGCCCTGGCTGGACCACGCCACAGGTACCCCCAATTAGGCCGCCTGTGGCCACCCTCTCAGGCCCTCTGTGCCCCCATCTGTCCTCTGCCTGGCCTGCTATCTTCCCCTCCCTTCCCCCGACTCCCAGGCCCTGAGCGTCAGGACGTGCTCAGGCCTCCTGGGTCGGGGGGTGCCTCACTGGCTGCAGACCCCTGGGCTGACTATGTCCTCTCCTGGCTATGCCCCAGCCCTTCCAACAGTGGGAGTCTCGGAGCTTGCCCCGATGACACATGGTGGTCGAGCAGCGATCTCACCTGGGACCCAGCAGCACTGCGTTATTCTGTTTTTGTTTCTTTTTGAGATGGAGTCTCGCTCTGTCACTGCAGGCTGGAGTGCAGTGGCATGATCTCAGCTCACTGCAATCTCTACCTCCCGGGTTCAAGTGATCCTCCTGCCTCAGCCTCCCAAGTAACTGAGACTACAAGCATGTGCCCCACTCCAGGCCTTTTTTTTTTTTTTTTGGAGACGGTGTCTTGCCCTGTCGCCCAGGCTACAGTGCAATGGCGTGATTGCGGCTCACTACAACCCCCACCTCCCAGGTTCAAAGGATTCTCCTGCCTCAGCCTCCCAAGTAGCTGGGATTACAGGTGCCCGCCACCACGCCCAGCTAATTTTCGTATTTTTAGTAGAGATGGGGTTTCACCATATTGGCCAGGCTGGTCTCGAACCTCTGACTTCAGGTGATCCGCCCGCCTCAGCCTCCCACAGTGCTGGGATTACAGGCGTCAGCCACCGTGCCCGGCCTGTTCTGTTTTTCTAACTCTCACACAGCCTCCTGGGTTTTCCCCGGTCCTCTGCAGTCGGCCCACTCTGCACCCCAGCCCGCGCTGGCTCTGCTCCTCAGCTGCCCTGCCCACCTCTGTCTTGTCCCACCGCGCTGGCCTGTGTCTTGTGCCTGCACTGCTCCCGGCTACTCCGCATGGGAAGGGTGGCTCTCGGGCCTTGGCCCATGCAGGCGGAGGGGGTCTGGCTGGGAGTCTCCCTGCATGGAAGGCTGGCTCTCAGTGCTGCCTGCCCACAGTCATCCACTCCGGGGACTACTTCCTGTTTGAGTCCGACAGTGAGGAAGAGGAGGAGGCTGTTCCTGAAGACCCGAGGCCGTCGGCACAGAGTGCCTTCCAGGTGAGGTGGGAGAGCCCCGTCGGCCCCACTCCAACCACAGAGCTTGTGGTCCTGGACCAGGGCAGCATAGAGGGTGTCAGATGCCCCCAGGGCCTGGGAGCCGAGCTCCTCCACCTCCAGTTAGCCCACCCCGCCCCATCCAGGCCTCCCAAGTCCCATGGGAAACCAGGCTACAGGGACATGGGTCATGTGTAGCCTGCTGCCCCACGGTCTTGGCTCTGACCACCCAGGTTCTGGTGGCTGCCCGTGGCCTGACCTGTGAGACCGGCCCAACACCTTTGTGCTGGCCGCCTGGCTGTCCTGGGTCCATCTTTGGGCCCCTGGCTCTTGGTGTTAGACCAGCCCACCCAACTCCTGAATGGGTGGGAGTCTTCCCCCACAGCCCCTCAGGGTCCCCATCCGGGAGGGGCTCAGGGACACGGAGGTCCCTGGGAGACACAGAGCAGGGATCTGGATCTGGCGCCCGGCTTGCCCAACCCCAGCTTCCCGCCTGGGTCTGATGGCTCGGGAGGCCGGGTCCTAACCCGGGGGCTGGCCGACAGCTGGCGTACCAGGCATGGGTGACCAACGCCCAGGCGGTGCTGAGGCGGCGGCAGCAGGAGCAGGAGCAGGCAAGGCAGGAACAGGCAGGACAGCTACCCACAGGTGAGCTGGGGGGCGTGGGGACTCTGAGGGGAAGCCGCGGGACTGCCAGTCACTCACCAGCATCCTGTGCCCAGGAGGTGGTCCCAGCCAGGAGGTGGAGCCAGCAGAGGGCCCCGAGGAGGCAGCGGCAGGTACGTGGGCCCGGGGCTGGGGAGTGGGAGGTCTCTCTTGGCCCCACAGGCTGCCCCTCCAGCGCCCCCTCCCGCCCTCCCGCAGGCCGGAGCCATGTGGTGCAGAGGGTGCTGAGCACGGCGCAGTTCCTGTGGATGCTGGGGCAGGCGCTAGTGGATGAGCTGACACGCTGGCTGCAGGAGTTCACCCGGCACCACGGCACCATGAGCGACGTGCTGCGGGCAGAGCGCTACCTCCTCACACAGGAGCTCCTGCAGGTGAGCCTGCCCGTGCACCACGCTCGTCCCTGCTCTGCCTGACTACGCCCCTGCCTGCTTAACAGCCTAGTCCCGCGCCCACTGCACGAAACCCCGTGTGGGGACAAGAGCTGGACGCAGCCCTGAGCCCCCTGCTGTGCCCTGCAGGGCGGCGAAGTGCACAGGGGCGTGCTGGATCAGCTGTACACAAGCCAGGCCGAGGCCACGCTGCCAGGCCCCACCGAGGCCCCCAATGCCCCAAGCACCGTGTCCAGGTAGGTGCGGGGGTGACCCGAGCCCCAGCTGCTGCCCCTGGTGTGTGGGCATCGCCTAGCCATCCCCGACCCTCGCCATTCCCTTGTACCCCAAAGGACCGTGGGCACTTTCCACCCTGACCCTCCCTGTAGCCTGGGGTCAGGCCATAGAGCAGGATTCTCTGTGACTCGGCTTCCCTCCCCAGTGGGCTGGGCGCGGAGGAGCCACTCAGCAGCATGACAGACGACATGGGCAGCCCCCTGAGCACCGGCTACCACACGCGCAGTGGCAGTGAGGAGGCAGTCACCGACCCCGGGGAGCGTGAGGCTGGTGCCTCTCTGTACCAGGGACTGATGCGGACGGCCAGCGAGCTGCTCCTGGACAGGTGGGGGCGGGACGCGCACAACACCAGCCTCACCATGGCCCTCGGGGAGCAGCCGAACAGGGGCAGGAGACTGACTGTGACCGGCAACAGATCGGGCCGTCATGCCTTCGGGCAGTCCCAGACTCCCCCAAACACGCGGGTCTCCCTGTAGGCGCCTGCGCATCCCAGAGCTGGAGGAGGCAGAGCTGTTTGCGGAGGGGCAGGGCCGGGCGCTGCGGCTGCTGCGGGCCGTGTACCAGTGTGTGGCCGCCCACTCGGAGCTGCTCTGCTACTTCATCATCATCCTCAACCACATGGTCACGGCCTCCGCCGGCTCGCTGGTGCTGCCCGTGCTCGTCTTCCTGTGGGCCATGCTGTCGATCCCGAGGCCCAGCAAGCGCTTCTGGATGACGGCCATCGTCTTCACCGAGGTGGGCCGAGGCCGCGGGGGAGGGGGCGCCCGGCCCACCGCGCCGTGACCCTCCCCGCGTGCTGAGCCCCCTCCCCCACAGATCGCGGTGGTCGTCAAGTACCTGTTCCAGTTTGGGTTCTTCCCCTGGAACAGCCACGTGGTGCTGCGGCGCTACGAGAACAAGCCCTACTTCCCGCCCCGCATCCTGGGCCTGGAGAAGACTGACGGCTACATCAAGTACGACCTGGTGCAGCTCATGGCCCTTTTCTTCCACCGCTCCCAGCTGCTGGTGAGTGTGAGCCTTGG
Source organism: Homo sapiens (assembly GCF_000001405.40). Lineage (NCBI taxonomy): Eukaryota > Metazoa > Chordata > Mammalia > Primates > Hominidae > Homo > Homo sapiens. The sequence continues at coordinate 88,721,520 of NC_000016.10, read as the reverse complement.
CTGGCAATGCGGGGCTGGGCAGGCCCTCTGGGCACCTGTGCTCTCCACCAGGGAGGCAAGGCCCCCTCACCACACCCTCCCGCCCCTCAGTGCTATGGCCTCTGGGACCATGAGGAGGACTCACCATCCAAGGAGCATGACAAGAGCGGCGAGGAGGAGCAGGGAGCCGAGGAGGGGCCAGGGGTGCCTGCGGCCACCACCGAAGACCACATTCAGGTGGAAGCCAGGGTCGGACCCACGGACGGGACCCCAGAACCCCAAGTGGAGCTCAGGCCCCGTGATACGAGGCGCATCAGTCTACGTTTTAGAAGAAGGAAGAAGGAGGGCCCAGCACGGAAAGGAGCGGCAGCCATCGGTATAAGCGCCCTGCCTCACAACCTCCTGCCTACCCAGTTTTCTGAGTGGGGCTACTGCAGGGAGGGTCTTTCTCAGATGAGACGGCCAAGCCCAGTGCGAGGCCCACCTGGATCCCAGGAAGGTGCCACTTCTGAGCCACAGCTCCCGGCTCTGCCTACAGAGCCGTCCCTGACTGCTGCCCCCGGGGATGCTCCCCACGTGTAGGGTGACTGTTGGCCTGGGCTGGCCCCTCACAGTTGCCCCAGACAGAGGACACAGCCCCAGCTGTCTCCTTGCCAGTGACACTGGGAGCTTTCCTGTGCTCCGTCTGCTTGTCTGTCAAACAGGGAGAATGCCAGCCTCTTAGGGTGGTCAGGAGCCATGAGCCAGGCCCAGTCCCCAGGGGGCCCAGGCAGAAGTCAGCTTTTCCCTACAGAAGCTGAGGACAGGGAGGAAGAAGAGGGGGAGGAAGAGAAAGAGGCCCCCACGGGGAGAGAGAAGAGGCCAAGCCGCTCTGGAGGAAGAGTAAGGGCGGCCGGGCGGCGGCTGCAGGGCTTCTGCCTGTCCCTGTGAGTGATGGCGGCCGGGGGCAGCTGGGGAGTGGGGGTGGGGAGGCGGGTACTGGGCCCAGGCTGAGCGCCCCCTTCCGCAGGGCCCAGGGCACATATCGGCCGCTACGGCGCTTCTTCCACGACATCCTGCACACCAAGTACCGCGCAGCCACCGACGTCTATGCCCTCATGTTCCTGGCTGATGTTGTCGACTTCATCATCATCATTTTTGGCTTCTGGGCCTTTGGGGTGAGCCAGGCCCGGGACCCAAACCCAGTGTACGCAGAGCTCAGCAGCCACCCACATCCCCTGGGCTTGGCTCCCCCTGACCTGTGCTCTCCTGGCCACAGAAGCACTCGGCGGCCACAGACATCACGTCCTCCCTATCAGACGACCAGGTACCCGAGGCTTTCCTGGTCATGCTGCTGATCCAGTTCAGTACCATGGTGGTTGACCGCGCCCTCTACCTGCGCAAGACCGTGCTGGGCAAGCTGGCCTTCCAGGTGGCGCTGGTGCTGGCCATCCACCTATGGATGTTCTTCATCCTGCCCGCCGTCACTGAGAGGTGGGCCCACGCGTGGGGGCGCTCGGTCTCCAGGGGCGGGGCAGTGCAGGCTGGGGGCCCTGCGGGGCTGTTTCTGATGGGGTCCTTGACCTGGCCATCCCGCCCCAGGATGTTCAACCAGAATGTGGTGGCCCAGCTCTGGTACTTCGTGAAGTGCATCTACTTCGCCCTGTCCGCCTACCAGATCCGCTGCGGCTACCCCACCCGCATCCTCGGCAACTTCCTCACCAAGAAGTACAATCATCTCAACCTCTTCCTCTTCCAGGGGTGAGTGCAGGTCCGCCGGGGTGGGGGTCACGGCCCGGGCATGAGGGAGCCCACCTGACGGGAACCCTGGCTGTGGGCAGGTTCCGGCTGGTGCCGTTCCTGGTGGAGCTGCGGGCAGTGATGGACTGGGTGTGGACGGACACCACGCTGTCCCTGTCCAGCTGGATGTGTGTGGAGGACATCTATGCCAACATCTTCATCATCAAATGCAGCCGAGAGACAGAGAAGGTGCCTGGGCCCAGGGCGGGGGCCGGGACAAGGGCCAGGGATATGCCCTCTCCCTAAGACAGAGGCACTGCTGCCACGAGAACCCGTGGTGCTGGAGGCCCTCCCAGGGCTCGGAGCCCATGGGGACATGAGGCGAGCCCACCCACTAGCTGATCACGAGGCCAGTGATCTTGGCAGCTGCGAGTGAGTGCTGGGCGCAGAAGTGGGCAGCGGAGTTGGTCCTGTTCCAGGCAGGCTGGCAGCAGAGCAGGGCCTGGTGCAGGGAGGACCGGACAGCCACTGTTTGCTGCATTCTTGTTTAATGGCCTTTCTCAGAGAGAATTCGTGCGTCAGACCACTCCCCCACGTAAAAAGTACAACTCAGGGGTTTCTAGTGGATTCACAGTTGAGCATCTGCCTTCTCACCACTTCAAAAAGAAACCCCGGGCCGGGCACAGCGGCTCACCCCTATCATCCCAGCACTGTAAGAGACCCAGGAGGGAGGTACTGCTCAAGGCCAGGAGTTCAAGATCTGCACGGCCACAAGCGAGACCCTGCCTCAGCAAATGTAAAAATAAAACAATTAGCTGGCAATGGCAGCTCATGCCTATGGTCCCAGCACTTTGGGAGGCCAAAGGAGGAGGATCAGTTGAGGCCAGGAGTTTTAAGACCAGCCTGGGCAACATAGTGAGTGAGACTCTCTCTACAAAAAAATAAACGTTAGCTGGGTGTGATGGTGCACACTTGTGCTCCCAGCTACTCTGGAGGCTGAGGTGGGAGGATGGCTTGAGGCCAGGAGTACAGGGCTGCATTAAGCCTGATCACACCACTGCACTCCAGCTTGGGCAACAGAGTGAGACCCTGTCTCTAAAAAAGTAAAAAGAAGAAACCCAGTGCCCATTGGCTGTCACTCGGTTTCCCCTCCCCTGGCCCCTAGTAACCCCTTGTCTAGGTCCTGGTTCTATGAGATTTGCCTACAGTGGATATTTCATGAAAACAGGCTCAGACAGCGTTTGTCCTTTTGTAATCAGCTTTCCTTGCTCAGCATGGTGTCTCTGAGGTCCACCCACGTGGCAGTATGGCCTTCCTGTTTATGGGCAAATGATATTCTGTGGCATGGATGGACCACAACATGCTCATCTGTTGATGGGCTGTTGCCCGTGATGCTGCCAGGCACGCCGGTGTACACGTCTGTGTGCCCGTGCCCCTGGTCCTGTGGCTGCACGCCAGGGCCGGAAGTGCTGGTGGTGGTTTCCATCATGAGGAGCTGCTGGTTTTCCATAGCAGCTCCACCATCTAAGGTTCCCACCACCAACACGAGGTTGCGGTTTCTCCACATCCTCAACAACCTGTTACTATGTCTTTTTTGTTCTGGCCATGCTGCTGAACGGGTGGCTTGCTGTGGGCTCTTCTCAGTTCCCTGTTGACCGACGCTGAGCGTCTTTTCATGTGCTTGGCCATTTGTGTATCTTCTCTGGGGAAATGTCTATTCAAATCCTTTCTCCATAGTTTAGTTGGGCTTTTGAGATAGGATCTCAGGCTGAAGTGCAGTGGCATGACCTTCACTCACTGTAGCCTCTGCCTCCCAGGTTCAAGCGATTCTCCCACCTCAGCCTCCCGAGTAGCTGGGACTACAGGTGTGCACCACCAGGCCTGGCTAGTCTTTTGTATTTTTGGCCAGGTTCGTCTCAAACTCCTGACCTCAAAGTGCTGGGATGACAAGTGTGAGCCGCCACACCCAGCAGTTGGGTTGTTTTTTATTAGAGTTTTTTCTGTTTTTCTGCAGATACATTGGCTAGAAATGACTGAATTGGAAGAATTCTCTGTATTCTCTGGTTGCTAGAACCTTATCAATTAAAATTTGCAGAAAATTTCTCCAATTCTATGGACTGTCTCTTAAATTTTCTTGGTGTCTTTGGAAGCACAAAGTATTTATTTTGGTAATATCTGGTTTACTTTGTTTCCTTCGCCAAATCCAGGTTCATGAAGATTTGCCCGTTTTCTTCTAAAAGTTCTATAGTTTTAGCTCTGAAGTTTCGCTCTTTGATCCACTTTGAGGTAAATTTTGGCACATGGTATGAGGCAGGAGTTGCGTTTCATTCTCCTGCCTGGGGCGGTGCCTGCACCGTGTTGAAAAAGGTTGTCCGTTCCCACTGAACGGTCACAGCTCCCTTGTCTAAGATCAACGACCCCTGAACATGAGGGTTCCAACTGGACTCTTAGTTCTACTCCACTGGCCTGTGTCTGCCCACCATTACTACCGCTGTGCCATACTGAGGTCAGGCTGGGGCTTTTCTGGGCTGCTGGGTGAGCTGGAGAATGCGGTTGTGTGACCCGCAGGAAGGGCAGAGCTGAGCGTATGACCTGTGTCGTTCCCCTCCAGAAATACCCGCAGCCCAAAGGGCAGAAGAAGAAGAAGATCGTCAAGTACGGCATGGGTGGCCTCATCATCCTCTTCCTCATCGCCATCATCTGGTTCCCACTGCTCTTCATGTCGCTGGTGCGCTCCGTGGTTGGGGTTGTCAACCAGCCCATCGATGTCACCGTCACCCTGAAGCTGGGCGGCTATGAGGTGAGCATGTGTGGGTCCGCCTGTCCATTCCCATCCCCTGGGGGTTCTGGCCAAGGTGGTGCACCACCCCCAGCCGCTCCTCCACGCTCATCTTCGTGGCCCCGTGTCCCCGTGCCTGCCCCAGCCGCTGTTCACCATGAGCGCCCAGCAGCCGTCCATCATCCCCTTCACGGCCCAGGCCTATGAGGAGCTGTCCCGGCAGTTTGACCCCCAGCCGGTAAGTGGCCTCTGCCCTGTGAAAGCTGGTGTGGGGAGGCGGCTGCAGTCACTGAGGGTGTCACTTGTACCCAGCTGGCCATGCAGTTCATCAGCCAGTACAGCCCTGAGGACATCGTCACGGCGCAGATTGAGGGCAGCTCCGGGGCGCTGTGGCGCATCAGTCCCCCCAGCCGTGCCCAGATGAAGCGGGAGCTCTACAACGGCACGGCCGACATCACCCTGCGCTTCACCTGGAACTTCCAGAGGTTCGTCCTGGACTTGGGGCAGTGCCTGGGTGGGTGGACCCACTACAGTGGGTCACGCTGTGTTCCCACCCCCAGGGACCTGGCGAAGGGAGGCACTGTGGAGTATGCCAACGAGAAGCACATGCTGGCCCTGGCCCCCAACAGCACTGCACGGCGGCAGCTGGCCAGCCTGCTCGAGGGCACCTCGGACCAGTCTGTGTGAGTGAAGGGCCCGGGTGGTGGGCAGGAGGGCTGTGCCAGGTTGGCTGGGCCAGGCCTGACCTGCCAGCACCTCCCTGCAGGGTCATCCCTAATCTCTTCCCCAAGTACATCCGTGCCCCCAACGGGCCCGAAGCCAACCCTGTGAAGCAGCTGCAGCCCAGTGAGTATGGGCGTGGGGGTTGGGGGAGGCTAGAGAGGGGTGACCTGCGGCCTCAACGATCTTCTCCCTCCATCCCAGATGAGGAGGCCGACTACCTCGGCGTGCGTATCCAGCTGCGGAGGGAGCAGGGTGCGGGGGCCACCGGCTTCCTCGAATGGTGGGTCATCGAGCTGCAGGAGTGCCGGACCGACTGCAACCTGCTGCCCATGGTCATTTTCAGTGACAAGGTCAGCCCACCGAGCCTCGGCTTCCTGGCTGGCTACGGGTGAGTGAGTGGCTGGGGGGGCACCCCGCAGCTCGGGGGGCTCCGGGCGGCCCCAGGACTCACCAGCTTCCCCCGCAGCATCATGGGGCTGTACGTGTCCATCGTGCTGGTCATCGGCAAGTTCGTGCGCGGATTCTTCAGCGAGATCTCGCACTCCATTATGTTCGAGGAGCTGCCGTGCGTGGACCGCATCCTCAAGCTCTGCCAGGACATCTTCCTGGTGCGGGAGACTCGGGAGCTGGAGCTGGAGGAGGAGTTGTACGCCAAGCTCATCTTCCTCTACCGCTCACCGGAGACCATGATCAAGTGGACTCGTGAGAAGGAGTAGGAGCTGCTGCTGGCGCCCGAGAGGGAAGGAGCCGGCCTGCTGGGCAGCGTGGCCACAAGGGGCGGCACTCCTCAGGCCGGGGGAGCCACTGCCCCGTCCAAGGCCGCCAGCTGTGATGCATCCTCCCGGCCTGCCTGAGCCCTGATGCTGCTGTCAGAGAAGGACACTGCGTCCCCACGGCCTGCGTGGCGCTGCCGTCCCCCACGTGTACTGTAGAGTTTTTTTTTTAATTAAAAAATGTTTTATTTATACAAATGGACAATCAGAGGCCAGTCCCCCGTCCTTGCCTTCCGGCTCCAGTGTGGTGTACCAGGTGGCCACTGCCTGCTGTCCCGGCAAGCACGTCCTCACGCTCAGCTCTGGCCCGCCTCGTCGTCACTGTCCTCAATCAGACAGTCCCGGATCTCCTGCAAGCCCCAGGCCCTAGAGAGAAAGCTGCAGTGGGCACCAGCCCCGAGGCCCCTTACCCACGCGCCACGGCAGTGTGGGCCCCAGTACCTCTGTGTGCGGAGCTGGGCCTCAGCCAGGATGTACGGCGGCAGGGGGTCCAGTGAGGGCTGCAACAGAGGCCGGTGTCGAGGGGCCAAGAAACCTGCCAGCACCCCCTCAAGCCACCCACGAGGTGACGGCCTTCCCGCGTCCCCAAGCCCGGCCCAGGACAGGTGGGCACGTACTCACCAAGTCCTTCATGTTCACGCGGCAGCTGTAGCACAGCTGCTCCTCAATGCAGGCTTGGGGGTCCTCCCTGCGGGAGCAGAGCTGGCTGTGTGCCCACCTTGGCACCTCAATGCCGTGCAGTGTGGGGTAAGGACAGGTCCCCCTCCCGCCCCATGCAGCTGGCCATGGGTGGCAGGGACAGGGACTCACCTCCTGCAGGCCCCCTGGCCACAGCGCTGGGCCCAGCCCACCCCTGGAGAACAGCAGGGCCCCGGGGGTGTCCGGGTCTCAGTCAGGGGGATGGGTGACTGCATCTGGGAGAGACGCGAGGAGGTCTGAGCCCCAAAAGCCGTGGCACTGTCTGCAAGCAGAGAGGGGGTGACGGAGCCTGGGGCTGCTGAGCCCCCACACCCACTCCCTGGCTCCCTCCCCGCATCACCCCAAGAGCATGAAACACAGACCAGCGGCGTCGACGTCCAGGGCACACATGCAGAGGAGGCAGCGGGGGCCGGAGTCGCCAGCAGCAGGGCCATCCCGGGGGCCCTTCACCAGCTTCTCACTTGTCCTGTGGCCGGATTGTGGGAGGAGCAGGTGAATCACACGGGCTGGGGCTCCACCCTAAGCCCTGGCCTGAGCACGAGTGGTGAGCTCACCACCCGCACACACCCGCGCACAGCACACACCCGCGCACCCCCCGCACACACCCACACACACCCACACCTGTACACAGTGCTGACAGTGGAGGGGAACTGGGTCTGCAGCCTGAGGATGAAGGCCTCCATCAGCCGGTGGATGCTGGCCTTTTCAGGGGCCTAGGGACAATCAGATTGGAGGCTATGGGAAAGCCCAGAGGCCAGCCCCAGGCTGGGGCAGAGTCCCCAGGACAGGTGCCGTGGGTTCCACGCTGCTGGCCCACATGGGTCTGGCTTTGCTGCGACTGCTCAAGGCAGCCAGAGAACCCGCTTCAGCAGTGCACCCACTGTGGGGTCCTCCTGTCACCCCCACACCCTCACGGCACAGGGTGGGCTCAGAGGATGCAGCACTGCTGGGGGCCACAGCAGGAGTCACTGAAGGTGTGCTGGTGACCTGAGCCTGTGAGAGGCTGCCCAGCCCACATGGCCCACCCCGGTGTCAATGGTGAGAGAGGTTGCCCAGCCCACAAGGCCCACCTTGGTGTCGACGGCTGGTGTGAAGACAGAAGGAACGGAGAACAGGCGGTTGTAGAAAGCGACCTCCTTCAGGGTGTGGTCCCGCATGGGCCGCACCACCACCACGTCCCCGTGCCGCTCATCCGAGAAGCCCTGCGGGAGGCAGGGGCTGTGTGGTCCAGGTCAAGGCCCGAATGTGCTTGCCCCTCCTCCCCTGCCAGGTAGGGGAGGTCACAGACCCCACCACCATCCGAGGCCGCAGGACTGATACGCGAGAGGCTACTCTCCAGTAAAGGTGGCCGAAGGGGTGAAGGTGAGGATGGGCCTCCTGAACACCCAGGCCCCTGCCTACCGTATCCCAGGCCAGGAAGGCCCCTCGACCCAGCGCCAGGTTGGTCATGAGCTTGATAGCCAAGCGTGTGCAGCTGTCCCCAGTCATGACCTTGGAGTAGCCGTGGGCTCGGGCCATGTGGAGGATCAGGTGGGTCCTAAAGCACAGAGCGTCTCAGGGGCCTGGGGGGTGCAGGACCCGGGGAAGGGGGGCTCTCGGGTATGAGTGGGGGTCAGGGCCCGGGGAAGGGGGGCTCTCAGGGGTATGAGTGGGGGTCAGGGCCCGGGGAAGGGGGGCTCTCAGGTATGAGTGGGGGTCAGGGCCCGGGGAAGGGGGGCTCTCAGGGGCATGAGTGGGGGTCAGGGCCCGGGGAAGGGGGCTCTCGGGCATGAGTGGGGGTCAGGGCCCGGGGAAGGGGGGCTCTCAGGGGCATGAGTGGGGGTCAGGGCCCGGGGAAGGGGGGCTCTCAGGGGCATGAGTGGGGGTCAGGGCCCGGGGAAGGGGGCTCTCAGGGGCATGAGTGGGGGTCAGGGCCCGGGGAAGGGGGGCTCTCGGGGCCTCACCGCAGGGTCTGCAGAAGCTCCTCCTTGGCAGTCAGTGTCCTCACTGAGCAGAACAGTTGGGAAAGAGCCTCAGTCTGGGCAGGGGCAGGCGGTCTTGCCAGGTTCTGGGGGTCCAGCGGGGGCTGGGGTGGCTGTTCCTCCCCTTGAGTCGGGCCAGGACCACCCCCGGCCCCCAGCACATGCTGCTGCTGGAGGAAGCTGTCCACGGCCGCCTTGTAGGCCCCCTCGGATCCCACCAGCTCCTGGGCAGAGCACCAAAGCACCGACGGTGGCAGGCTGAACACCTTCCGGGATGAGGGAGACGCCAGTGAGGCCCGGGACACGGGCAGGTGCCCCCCACAGACAGCCCCACCTTCCGGGATGCGGGAGACGGCAGTGAGGCTGGGGCACGGGCAGGTGCCTCCCACCCCCCACCGACAGCCCCGCCTTCTGGGATGAGGGAGAGGCCAGTGAGGCTGGGACACGGGCAGGTGCCCCCCAGGGGTCACCTCCGGGACCCCTTTCCAGGGACAGCCCTCCCACCTCCTCTAAGGCCACCACATGCCATGGGAACCCAGTTGCTTGCAGAATGGGCTTCACTTCGGCCAGGGTCTTTGATCTCTCCTCTAGGCTCTGGCCACAGGCTGCTCCCTCTGAAAAACCCAGGCAGAAAGAGTCAGGGCTCAGAGAGGAGCCAGGCAGGGCAGGCTGCAGGGCCACCTCCACCTGGGAAAACCCTTCGAGGCCTCGCTCCGCAGGGCGGTGCTTCCTGGCGGAGCTGTGGGGTGTCGGCCATTTTCCTTTGGGCAGGGGTTTCTCTCTTGCGGCTGACCTCAGCGCTACAGTCAACACCCCAGGAGTTCGTTCTGCAGGAGCAAGGGTCGGGGAGTCGGCCCCTGGGCCCCCGCTCACCATCAGCACTTAACTTGCCCTTCTTTGTCCCCAGACCCCGTGATGGGGGCTGGGCAGCCGCCACTCCTGCTCCCACCCCCGACTTTCTAAGGATGTTCTTAGATTCCAGGAACAGTGATGCCACCTAACGATGGATACATCTGCTGCCTCCTTCAGGGAGATGTCCCCACCAGGCCCTCAGTGCAGGGGCAGCACCAGTAGCTCAACACATCCTACCAGAGGGAGGACCGGCACCAGAGGGAGGGTCCACACCAGAGGGAGGATCCGCAGGGCTTACCCCAAGTGGCCAGGGACTAGGAGGAGCAATGGCCCCACATACCGTCAACAAAGATGACTCCTGCCACAAAGCGCAGTCTTTTGGCAGAATCTTGGCTCAGGCCCTAGAGGGAGAAGCAGCAGGGACTCAGCCCCCAGCCATAAGCCACAGGACACTTTTCCAGCTCAGAACATTCTTCATCTGGATTTAATGCCATCTTGGAAGGTGAAGTGGTCTTCCCCTGCCATTGCGTTTATTGGACAAAGCCATTCAGACTCAGGTGCCGGGCAGGCCCAGTAGGCGAGGCCGCACGCCCGACTTATTTTAAAGGGTAGCCTGGGGGTCTTCATCCCCCTGGTAAAACATGCCCCTCACCAGCTGGTCCTGGATGTCCCAACAACGCCCCAGGAGAGGGGGCTGGGTTACGGGGCCACTGTGCCACCATCCCACACGCTTCTGACCACTAAGGAAGCACTTGCTCTCACAAGCAGAAACCAACAGCCTGCAAGAGGCAGGGGCGCCGCTGGGCACAGGAAGGGCAGCACCAGCGTTACACAGAGGGCTGGGCCAGTTCCCTCACAACACCCTCCTGGCAGGTTCAGGGGACCTCAGAAAACAGAAAACTAATTTCAGCAGTGTTGTGCCATGCGCCCATCCTGAGACCAACACCCCACTCCTCAACCCGGCAAAGCCGACCCCTCTCCTCTCAACCACCCAGCCCACAGAAACAGCCTCCTCCGGTCTGCACCTCTCATGAGAGTGCAGAGAAACCAAGCACATCCCGCTCCTGTGCCCTCCTGAGAAGCCCGACCTGCCTCAGACTTCCTGAGCTGACCCTTGACAGGCCACGGGCACAGCCCCACCACCCCCAGCCGAGCCCTGTGTGCAGCCTAAGCCCGCCTCCACCTCCCTGCGCGGGCCGCCGCCTCCACCTCAAACGCTGCTCCCTTTGCTTCTCCTGGCAAACCCCCGCCCCTTTCCCAATCTTCCCTCGGGTCACACATGGCTGAGCCAAGATGCAGCTTTCCACTGACTGTGTTTCTACGCAGGTTGAGCAAATGGACAGAAGTCAAGTGGGCCGCACACACGCACTCTGGACCCAGCTTCTGATTGGTGCACCTGCTGTAAACACATCTGAGAGTGGGCCGCACACACGCACTGTGGACCCAGCTTCTGATTTGTGCACCTGCTGTAAACACATCTGAGAGTGGGCCGCACACACGCGCTGTGGACCCAGCTTCTGATTTGTGCACCTGCTGTAAACACATCTGAGAGTGGGCCGCACACACACACTGTGGACTCAGCTCCTGATTGGTGCACCTGTTGTGAACACATCTGAGAACCCCCCAAGTGTCCAGGCCGCAGGGTGGACTGCTCTCTAGCCCCAACCAAGAGCCCCTCAGCAGGCTGAGAAGGGAGGCCCCCAGCCTGAAGCTCAGCCCAGCAGCCCGGGCCCACGGGGTGGTGAACACGCACCTCAAGAACCTGCCAGACCATGGAGCTGGACGAAGGCCCCCCAGACCACGCCAAGAGCACCTGGGGGAGAAAAAACATCACTCAGGGCACCGCACCTCCAACACAGGCAGACACCCCACCTCGTGGACATCTAGGACATCGAGTCTGTCCTCAAAGGCCAAGGAGGAGCTGGCGGGCTGCAGCAGGCCAGGCTGCCTGTGGGAGGGACAAGCAGGGACCTCGAGGGGCCAGGCTGCTCAGTCAGACCCCCAGGACCCAGACGCTACCTTCTCGCCTGGAAAGATGAGCCGGTTCTTGCCCAGCATGGCTCTGAACTTGTGGACGTAGAAGGCCTTGAAACAGTCCCTGCAACACAGACCTGAGATGAGGGAACCGCCTGCTACCCGCACAGTGAGCAGCGTCCTGAGGCGCTGCCAGGTGACGACGTCCTTTGCCAATCTCCATCTTTAAAAGCAGCATCTTCACATCCAGGCTCTGTCCAGAGACTGGTGAAAGGGGCGGGGTTGGCCCCTCTGGCAGTGGCTTCCTCAGGGTGAACACGAGGCTCACCGGCCCCTCCCACGACCAGGTACAAACTGCACAGCCACGGAGGCTGCATCCAGCAAACGAGGGCAGAGCCCCGGCACCCCTCCCCACAGGCGCTCAGAAGGGCCCAGCTGGTGGAGTGGACAGACTTAGGCACGTACAGGGCAAGGCCAACCCAGACCCCATAAAAAAAGACCCACCACATACAGACACCACCTCTTGGAGGTGAAACGTGGAAATGGAGCGGGCCACAGCGAGGACCCACCATGCAGAGACACCACCTCTTTGGGGTGAAGTGCGGAAATGGGGTGGGCCACAGCGAGGGCTCAGTATCCTGGGGCCCCAGAGCTGGCATCTTTAGTGTGCTGGGCTCAACTGGGCCAGGAATGGCTAAGAGGCTCACTCACAGAGTGGCCTGGGCTCCTCCCCTAACCCCACAGAATCAGAACTTCCAGGCCTGGGAACTGCATTTTTAAGAGACAGGGTCTCGATGTGTCACCCAGGTTGGAGTGCAGTGCCACAGTTATAGCTCACTGCAGCCTCAAACTCCTCGATTCATGTGATCCTTCTGCCTCAGCCACCCAGGTAGATAGGACTACAGGTTACAGATATATGCCACCATGCCTAGCTAATTGTTGTATTTTTTGTAGAGACAAGGTCTCACTTTGTTGCCCAGACTGGTCTCAAACTCCTGGCCTTAAGTGACCCTCCTGCCTGGGCCTCCCAGAGTGCTGAGATTCCAGGTATGAGCCACTGCGCCCAGCTGTAATCTTTGTTCATAATAAACTTTCCAGCCATCTGACTCTGGCTCACTACGTCAGGGGTTCTTGGCCCTGGCTGTATGTTAGAATTGCACAAACCAATTAAGTCAAATTGTCTAGGGGTGAGGCCTAGGAGTCTGCATTTTAAAGCTCTCCTGCAATCCTGGCAGGCAGGGTGAAGAGCAGCACCCGGTACAGAGCGGACAATGCCACTGCAAGAGTCACCCTGCACCTGGGGCTCTAAGTCTCTTCCTTCCTGTCAGACACACTTGATGTGCACAGCAGTCCCTCCCTACGTTGAATGGATACCACGTACAAGAGGCCGAATGACCCCCCTGTGGTTCCTTTACAGACAGTAAAGCAAGTCTGTGTTTAACAGCAAGATGCCAGGTGAGGGACTGCAGGTAACTGGCAAGTATCAAGGCTGGGACATGGGAAGTGACCCCCAGGACCCAGCTTTGGGCGTGGGGAGTCTCATACAAGGAGACACAGGTGCTGGGCTTCACCTCCGCACTGTGGACCAGGAGAGCCTCTGCGCCCTACACCACCAGCTGGGATTCAAGCGTGGTGGGTCCACGTGTACATGCTGCGTCTGGGCTCCTGAAACCACGCTGTCCCCTGTGGGTCAGGGAAGGCCAAGGTTTCTCCCACGTGCTGACCTGAATGATCCCTGGGGATCCCAGCTCGATGTAGATTCCTAAGGCCTTCCCCTAGAGAGCCGGCTCCCCACTGTTCCTTGGGACCAGCAAGCACAGCAAAAGCCCTTCTGGCCACAAGGGCCTAGCATACAGCCACAGCAGCCTCTCCTCAGTGAATTCTGCCGGCAGCCTGGTGTTCTTGGCAATTTCAGATGCTCCTGGGTGGTTAAAGAAGTACCTATCTTGGCCAGGTGTGGTGGCTCATGCCTGTAATCCCAGCACTTTGGGAGGCCGAGGCAGGTGGATCACTTGAGGTCAGGAGTTCGAAACCAGCCTGGCCAACATGGTGAAACCCTGTCTCTACTAAAAATACAAAAACAATTGGCCGGGCATGATGGCAGGCACCTGTAATCCCAGCTACTCAGGAGGCTGAGGCAGGAGAATCACTTGAACCCAGGAGGTAAAGGTTGCAGTGAGCTGGGATCATGCACTCCAGCTGTTGCACTCCAGCCTGGGTGACAGAGGGAGACTCCATCTCAAAAAAAACAACAACAACAACAAAAAAACCACGCACCACCACTGGGAATTAAGAGGGCTAAAAGGAGAGAGACCTGGTCCTCCCTTCAGGGAGCTATGAGTCTAGTGGAAACAACTGAACAATACAATGGCTACAAGCCAAGAAAGACATGACAAGCGCCTGGGGGAAAGCTAGAGGTCTTCCAAGCCTCTATCCTGCCACAGATGAAACAAGCATCTCACACGAGATTAAAAACTTTCACCCAGACCATCTGCCAAGTTCCCAAGATGCTCTGATCCGCCCCTAGATGTATTCCAGCTGCCCCCAAACGCCTGGTCCTCCTACAGCTTATCCCAGTCTAGACACCACGGCCCCACTTCCAACTGTCCCCATAAGTTCCATCAGAAACCTCATCAGGGGATCTGTGGCTAGCTCATGGGAAACTTTCCCAAGCAGGAAACCAATGCTTTCGCCTCCACTTCAACACCAGGGGCACGAGGGACCCCATCAGGAGCAGGAATAAAGTAAGTACATGTTTTTAAAAAGAATTAACAAAGCATCACAAGTTGCGGCTATCCTGTCTGCTAGCGAGGCCATGTTTGCCAGGGTCTCAGCCACCTCCAGGCCTCACCTGCAGAAGGCATCTCCGGCTCGTATCACCACAACGGGCTGCGCTTCCTTGCACTTCACACACTTCTGCTCACGGCTTTGGAGATGGGAGGGGGGAGAAGAGAGAAACACAGATCACATCTTCCCCACGCCTAGTGGGCTTTGGGGAGACAGCTCCTGTTTCTCACCCTGAGTTGGGTCAGAGAAAGGCACCTCGGTACACACACAAACCCAGGCTTGTGTTCTGTCCAAACTTCAAGAAAAACAAAGGCTCTGGGGGGATGTTTAGCCTAGAAAAGCCGGCTCAGGGGGCACATAAAGGCCGCTTTTCAGTCTCCCAAGGCTGACACGGGGAGGCGAGACAGCTTCACGGCACCAGTTCTCTCCGAATAAGGACAGCACTGTCAGCGGCAGAGCCGTCCCCAGTGGCTGCTAGGATGAGAGGCGCGAGCCAGTGGAGTAAGTCCCCTTCTAGGTGGCCGTCACCGCTTGACAGGCATTCCCCGAGTGCTAGGGAGCGAGGTCCCGCTCTCCACGCGGGGCTTCCCGGAGCAAGCCCGGCCGGGACCCTTCGGGGCAGGAGTGCGGCGGGAAGGCGAGGGGCGGCCTGGCGGGTCCGGCCGCCAGCTCTTACCTGGGCCGCGGCGCCGGGGGCGGCTCCTCAGGCGCCGGCTCCCCGTAGTCCTCGCCCACCTGACACATGGGCACGCCGGGTCCCGTCGCAGACTGTGGCGGCGACAGCGCGAGGGCGCGCCCCGATGACGTCGGAGTGGCGCCGTGACGGCCGCGAAGCCCGGCTGGGGGCGGCGCCCTACGATGACGTCAGCGCGGCGCAGTAGCGGCTGTGACTAGCGGGCCGGCCCGGGCCAGGACAGCGGGCGGCGGGCGGCGCGGGCCTGGCCCCGGGATGGCTATGTTCCGCAGCCTGGTGGCCTCGGCTCAGCAGCGGCAGCCGCCGGCCGGGCCGGCGGGCGGCGACAGCGGCCTGGAGGCGCAGTACACCTGCCCCATCTGCCTGGAGGTCTATCACCGGCCCGTGGCCATCGGCAGCTGCGGCCACACGTGAGCGCGCCCGCCCAGGGGCCGCGGGGAGGGGGCCGTGCCCCGCCGCGGGAGGGGTCGCGAGGCCGGCGGCCGCCCCGGTGCAGCTCCGGACTGGGCGCGCGGGGACTCGGGGCGCCGGGGCCTCGGGGCGCGTGGGGTCCGGGTTTCCCTGTGCCGCGCCGCCTCTGCCCTCTGGGCGCGTTCATCCCCCGCCCAGCCTCCTTCGCGCCAGCCGCAGGCGCCCGGTCCGACTGCTGCTTCGGTTCACCGGGCGACCTGCGGCCCTGCCCAAGCTCGGGGTCCCCGGCGGCTGCGGCGGGCGCTCCGGTACTCAGAGGGCAGCAGGTGCCACCGCTCCGCCAGTGGTGGTGGATTTGGGCTTGTGCGGCTGGAATGGGCAGTTGTAAATAAATAACTTGTAGTTTTTGCTATCAACTCTTGTTCGGACCCGCTGTCTGCCTGTTTTGACTACAGAGGAAAGGAGTTCCCTAAAGTTTAGAGGGGCTTGTTTGGAGTCTGATGTTCTTAGTTTTGTTTGAAGGAGAACTTGAGTCACACCGATCACTGAGTAGCCAGGCAGGCTGGTCCACAGAGGAGCAGACACTGACCACCTTGCTGGGGTTTCCAGCTGCACCAGGGCTCACAGCCGGCTCCTCCAGGGTGTTTCAGGAACAGAAACTGGAGGACGTGGCTCTCCTGGCGGGGAGCTGTGCTCAAGTATTCTGGAGCTGCCAGCCCCGTTGGGAGGAAGCCTAGATCAGTGTCTGCTCCCTCCTAAGTGCTGAATAATACAGCTCTTGAGCAAAATCAGCAGTGGCAGGGGAGAGAGAGAGCAGGAGGGCTTCCCCGCAGACATCCAAGCTGCTGAGGTGGTGGAGTGGAGGGGGGTGCACCCAGACTGGTAGGAGGCTCTAGAACATTTTGCAAGCAAAGTCAGCTGACTTCAGGGGCTCCTGGTACAGAGGGAGCTGGGACTGCTAGGTGGATGTGTGCTGGTCACCCACGGAGGTGGCAGGGCCAGTGTCAGGATGCAGAGCTGCCTTCATTACCTGTGTCAGGCAGCACAGGCGCCTGCCCACGCTGGGACAGCTCTACCTACTTCTCTTGTGAGGCTGCTACAGGCTCTGCCCCTGCTCCTCCATCTCACTTAGCCGTGACATTTTGGGGGGGCAGCCTCTGAACGGGAATATTTTTTTTTGAGACAGAGTCTTGCTCTTGTCACCCAGCCTGGAGTGCAGTGGCGCCATCTCGGCTCACCGCAACCTCCATCTCCTGGGTTCAAGTGATCCTCCTGCCTCAGCCTCCAGAGTAGCTGGGATTACAGGCACCCGCCACCACGCCCGGCTAATTGCTGTATTTTTAGTAGACAAGGGGTTTCACCATGTTGGCCAGGCTGGTCTCGAACTCCTGACCTCCGGTGACCTGCCCGTCTCAGCCTCCCAAAGTGCTGGGATGACAGGCGTGAGCCACCGCGCCTGGCAGGACTTCCTTCTTGTGAGCAGGTAGCGGGTGTTTGAAGGTGTGTTCCGCACCTTCTCATCTGTTACTGAGCGCTGTGAGGCTTGACTTAGGCCTTGTTTTAGAAAAGCCTCCCGTAGGCTTTGGGTGCCAACACCTTCACCGTGTGGTCGGCCACAGCATCTCCACTTTCCTAACCTGCACAAATTGGTCTTTGCCCTTCTTTTTCAAATATGTCTTTTCCTAAAATGTAGTTTCCATAACACAGAATGCAGAACCACATGGAATTGTGGAGCATCTTTCCTATAAAACTCCCCTCTGCCATGCTTTTCTTGGTAGAATGACGACCATCCTAGTCTCACCGCGGGTCCTGCAAGAGCTTTTCACACAGCCTTTGCCTTTCAAAGATTTTTCTCCCCGACTTTTCCTGCTGGCTTTTGTTTTCTGGCTGTTCTCTCTCTGCTTCTAACTTTGTTTCTTGTTGGTGTTGCTAAGGCATGCATGCAAATGACCACAGAAAGTTTAAAGGCTCTTCAGGTTCCCTTCGGAAGTTTGTTGCTGGTCTGGTTCTGTCCCCTCCGCAAGCTCCCCAACCAGAGCAACTTCCTCCTCCAGGGTAGATCTCTCATGGCAAGAGTATCCCAGTGTGGGGGCATGCACCCTGCTCTAGCCCTCGCGCAGGAGGCCCCCTGGGGGCCCAGCAGGAGCTGTTCTCAGCCAGGGGACAGTCTGAGCAGTGAGCCACCTCTGTAACCAGAAGCCTGTGGGCCAGGACACGCGTGATCACGAACCTGCCTGGAAGGGCTGTGTGAGCAGCCTCCACTCGTGCAGGACAGCTGTGGGGCTTGCTGAGGGTGCTGGCCTGCCAGCCAGGCAGATCCCTGAGGCACGGGCCGTCCCAGCTTCTCAGCTTGTGCAGCGGCCAGTGTGGGAGACACATTGGCAGTCCCGGGTGCCTGCTGGGAGGGCCAGTGCGCGATCGCCCCTCCCTTTGTAAGGCTGTCGACGCCCCCACACCCATCGCCCTCAGCCACTTCCTTCAGCTGAGAAGCTGCTCAGCACCAGCCCCTGGGTGGGCGCAGACAGGAACTTCCTGTGGGGGAAGCGGGCACTACTCCCGGCTGCTGGCTCTCTGAACACCAGGCTGGCAGTCACTGGAAACTAGGCCGATAGAGCACCCACCCTGTGGGTGCCTCGTTCTGCCTCCTGCTCCTCGGGCCCAGCCGCCCTGCCAGTCGGGCTGGGTTCCCTCTTGTGTCTTTCCTGAGTCCTTCCGGGGAGGACGAGGCTGTCTTCCTCCCAGCCAACCTTCTGGGCACCTTTCCTCTCTTCCCAAGCTCTGCCTGGGACCCTTTTCCTTCCCCTCAGCCCGTGGCCGTGCTGTGCAGCCGAGCCCCGGCCTGGTCTCTGGCAGCTCAGGGTTCACTCAGGAGGTGCACCATCCAGTCGTTTCCAGTGTGTTTGCAATTATGCAACAATCGATGCAATTCTAGAAGATTCTTCCCACTCCAGAAAGAAACCCAGGACTCTCCCCCTCGCCTGGCACCCACCCGTCTGCTTTCTGGTCACTGGGTTTCTCTCTGCTGGACGTTGAGCGTGAGTGGACCCCCACGACACGGGTGGGACGTGCTTGCTGTCTGCCCTGCACTGTTTTCCAGGCCTTCCGGTGCGTGGTGGGGCTGCACGCCTCTTCCCGGCCGAACGCCCTTTCCATGGGTGTGCACGCCACGCCGTCTCTTCATCCGTTTACCGACGGGCACCTGAGCTGCTTCCGCTTCTCCTGCCATGAGTGCCTGAGTATGGGGGTCCCCTGAGGCCTCCCCAGGTGGACCATCTTGCCAGCACCTTCCTCCCGTGAACGGGTGAAGTAGGCGGCCCCCCCGGCTCAAATCCAGGGGTCAGTGCCAGGGATGACCCTGGAAATATCTGCTGGGGCGCCTGGTGAGAACTCGGGTGAGGTGGGTAAAGTGAGCGACCTCTTTACTCTGCAGAAAAAGGCTTGTTCACTTTCTGACGGGTCTCAAGCTGAGTCCCGCTTTCTCTCACACGAAGTTTCATGTGGGAGCCACCAGCCAGGTGGTGGCTCTGTGGGAATCCAGTGGTGGCAAAGAGGGCCTGGGGGACAGCAGGAGGGACTTAAGATGCCTGCTTGGCCACCTTTGCCTGAGGCCCTCAGACTTCCTCCTTGCAGAAAGGGCCTTTTCTTGAGGGATGTGGAAATCTCTTGACAGCAAAGAGGACTCTGGCCCTGAATTCAGCTGAGTCGTTTGTGAACCCAGGGCCTGCCCACAGCCCCTCTGTCCAGTGGGGCTCCTGTACCAGCCCTGTGGCCTTGCCAGGGAGAAGGGAAGCTACACCCCCGGGTGCTGTAGCCTTCCTGGGACTGGGGGGCTCTGCCTCAGTTCCAGCTCCTCGCCGCAGCTCAGCTGTCCCCACAGTGCTCCTCACAAGGCCAGATGTGGCTGCCCCAGTATTAAGCTCCTTCTCTGTGTTTGCACTGGGGGCTCTCGCGCCTGGTGCTCCCACTGGCTGGTGGTGCACCCCTCCAAGGGCTGTGTGCGTCTGCAGAGCGGGAGGGTGTGCGAGCCCAAGGAAGCCCCTGCTGCTGGAGCCCGGAGTGCGCACGGGGCTGTGGGACGCTCAGTCTGTCCTCACGATGTGGTGTCCCCAGGGGCAGTGCCAAGAGCCAGGGCCCATGGGTGCCCAGGACCCGAGCCTCCGCCCAGATGGAGCAGGACCCCCTCCTGCCTGCGAAGCTGTCCCAAGCCTGGTGACTGCCACCCAGCCTCAGGATGTGCTGCCACTTGGCTAGCTTTGGCCCTTCCCTGTCCAGTGCATCTGGAGCCCCTGGGGCCTGGCCGTTTCCTTTCCCACGATTGTTTGAGGTTTTATCCCCCAGAGTGTGGAGCCGGGAGAGTTTCCAGAGTCCCCGGGCTGTCCCTGCGCCCCACAGCCCACCCAGGTGTTGTCGCCACGTGAACGTGAACCTGGTAGCCCGAGCTGGGGCCTCCTGCCTATGGGAGCTCCTCTGGCCCACTCGCGGGGACAGCCATAGTGACGGCTCTGCCGCTAGCCAGAAACCACAGGGGCCTACTGTCAGGAGGGACCGGGGCCACCCTTTAGCCAGATGGGGCCCATCCAGCTGGTGGGCCCCGGACATAGGAGTGACCATCTCCAGAGACGGCGACAGCGGTAGGGGGAGCTGCCCCTGTGGACCCCACAAATGCTGGGTCCTAAGAAGGGCCCCGAGCAAGGCCTGCGGTTCGGGAGACCCGAGGGGCGGGCTGGCACTCAGGCCCCTGTGCCCTGCAGGTTC
Source organism: Homo sapiens (assembly GCF_000001405.40). Lineage (NCBI taxonomy): Eukaryota > Metazoa > Chordata > Mammalia > Primates > Hominidae > Homo > Homo sapiens. Next base: position 88,701,414 of record NC_000016.10, on the reverse strand, counting down.
TGCGGGGAGTGTCTCCAGCCCTGCCTGCAGGTGCCATCCCCGCTGTGCCCACTCTGCCGCCTGCCCTTCGACCCCAAGAAGGTGGACAAGGCCACCCACGTGGAGAAGCAGCTCTCATCCTACAAAGCGCCCTGTCGAGGCTGCAACAAAAAGGTACCCGCCTGCTTGGGCCGCCCTGGAGCCGGGGTCACTTGATGGGCAGCCTCAGCCCACGGGTTCTGCAGAGGGTGGGGGCCGGGGCCCTCTCTCTTTCCTGTTGAGTAATCGCGGTCTCTGCTCCTGCACCAGGAAGCCAGCCCCGGCGCCTCCCTCCCCTCCCGTCTTCATCTCTCACTTCCTGTGGTGACGGCTGACGGGGGGGCCAGCCCGGTGGGGGTAGCACTGTCAGAGCCGCCTAGCCCGGGCCAGGGGAACCCACGTGGGTTGTGGCCAGGGTAAGGACCAGGGGGCTGAGCTGAAACCTTCCCAATGCAGCCTTCCCCTGCCAGCCGATACCGGGGACGGCGCTGGGGGCTCCAAGGTCACAAGGGCCGCGGGCACAGTCAAGGACATCTAAGGGCCGAGCACCCTCCAGCTGCCAGGAGGGCCAGAGCCGGGCTGATGGGCACTGCCACACCCACATCAGAGCAGCGTAAGGGCCTGCAGCTTGTCATGGGCCTCATTGGCCCCCATGTCCATCCTGTCCTGGTGCCTGGCCCGTGCCCCGTGGCCCTCCCTGGCACATCCGCTTCAGGGTGGAGAGGCCCCAGCCAGCGCCCCGTTCTTTCAGTGGCTTCCGGAGGACTGAGCAGCTAGAGGTGATTTTGCATTTGCGTTTCCCGACGTTGCCACATCTCAGGTGAATAAGTTCTATGAAGCGCTCACACTAGTACGTGGCCCCTCGGTGGTTTGTCCTCGAGGTCGAAGGTCCAGATGTCCAGGGGCTGCCCTGGACTCCAGAGTGGTGCGGCTGAGCAGGCTGTGGTCTTGGGTGCTTGGGCACCTCCCGTCTCTCCCTGCTCAGAGTTCTTCTCTCCTGGGCAGCCAGAAAGGATCAGAACCGGTCACATGCAGAGCGGCCTCCCGTATCCCACAGCAGCTCCGTTCTCTAATCTGGGTCTTCAGATGCGGCTGTGTCTCCCGGCACCTTGCTGGAATGTGGTGCATCCCTCGGAGTCCAGCAGCCCTTAGGCAGAGCTGGGTGCCGAGCTTGAGTCCAGGAGGGCCTCAGACACCTGCGATCTTGCAGCCTGTTGCCCTGGACAGTGGGTGTGCTGTGGGTGGAGGATGGCGCCCTGCCTCCACGGAAGCATCCCCAGCTTGCCCCTCAGTCACACGAAGCGTCTGTCCCCAGCCTGGGGCATTTCTGAGTGGCCTCCACTTGGCCTCTTCCTTTTTCTGGAGCAAGTATTTGAACTCCTGCAGGCGCCAGAGATCTCCTTACCTGTTTCCCGCTACCCTTCTCCAGCCAGGTTTCTGCCCTCGGCCAGATTGTCCTGCAGTGACTTGCTTTTGGCCATGGAGTAGTGGCTGCTCAGTGCCTGAGATTGTTTTAGCAGCAGAAGGGACCGGGTCCCCCTGCTGCTGGCAACACAGACGCTTGCTTACAGTTCTCTGGTCCTGGACACCTGAGGTCTCGGCCTCCCCAGGACGGCCCTTCCAGATTCTCAGGACCGCCTTGCCCTCCCTGCCCTGTCTCCTAGGTGACCCTGGCAAAGATGAGAGTGCACATTTCGTCCTGCCTGAAGGTCCAGGAGCAGATGGCCAACTGCCCCAAGTTCGTCCCCGTGGTGCCCACATCACAGCCTATCCCCAGGTAGGCACGCTGCCGGGCAAGGGAGAGGAACTGTCCTCGGCGGTTTCCTCGTTCTGGGAGCAAGCGCAGTGCCCCATCCCAGAGAGGCTGGGGGAGTCACCCGGGGCCGGGTCCACTCTGGGGAAGTGGACCTTCCTTGCCACCCTGCAGGAAGGCTCCTGTGCTGCCCTCCCTGGCATACCCACCAGGCCCCCTGGGGTAGGGACAGCTCAGCTGTGGGGAGCAGGAGGAGGGCGCAGGCCGGGCCCACACATCGCCTCCCAGCAGGTGGATGGGCCGAGAGACGGCTCCTGCCAGGGCAGCGCCAGCAGAGTCTCTGCCGTTTGGCTGGCCTAGTTGTGTGGGGTGGACGAGGGTCCTGGGTGTGTCCTCAGGAGGCCATGGCGTGCAGAGGCACGGGGGGCACCCAGCCACTGCCACGCTCTTGCAGCCTACAGAGGGCAGGCCTGGGGCCACGCCTGTGTTTGAGAGAAGCGGGGAGGCAGAGCCCCTAGACACCTAGCCGTGCCACTCACTCTACCCCCGCCCCGCCAGCAACATCCCCAACAGGTCCACCTTCGCCTGCCCGTACTGTGGTGCCCGCAACCTGGACCAGCAGGAGCTGGTGAAGCACTGTGTGGAAAGCCACCGCAGCGACCCCAACCGCGTGGTGAGCAGTGCCTGCCCCAAGCGACGCCTGCGCCAGGGGAGGCCTGTGGGGGACAGTACAAGGCCCAGGAGCCTGCTCGCGGCGAGTCCGGGGGTGCCCAGGCCACAAAGGCCTCCTGGGACCCAGGGTGGGAACTTGGCTGCCCGAGCAGCACCTGGCGGAAACCGGGGAGTGTCCATGAGTCCTTCAGGGTGACGCGCACTGAATAACTCGCTTGTCACCGGGACACGCGCCTCCAGGTCTGGGGTGCCTTCCCAGGCTGAGGCAGCACTGACGGGGCTCAGTGGAGGGCCCCCAGTCCTACTGCGGCTACCCCGCCTCTCCGCGGTCCGGCTCGGCTTGACCCCAGTGCCTGTTCCAGGTGTGCCCCATCTGCTCGGCAATGCCCTGGGGGGACCCCAGCTACAAGAGCGCCAACTTCCTGCAGCACCTGCTTCACCGACACAAGTTCTCCTACGACACCTTTGTGGTAGGCATCCCGCCAGCACCGTCCTCCCCCACGCCCTCCTCATCCACCCTCCTCCTGCTCGGGCCCCTCGCCAGCCTCAGGGTCCGCAGGGTTCAGAGGAAGCCAGAAACAGAAGCCTCGTTTCAGGTGGCCACATTCCCCCAGGTTCTGTGGGGGCTGCCTGCAGGTGGGGAGTGATGGCAGCTGAGTTTGAGTGGCCACTAGAGGGTGCCCAGGCCTCTCGGGGACATGGACCGCACAGGGCAGGTCCCTGCCTGCCCACCCCACAGAACCCCTCGAGGGTGAGCCAGGCTTCCTTCTGGAAGCTTTCTAGAGAGCGCGGGAAGGACTTTCATCAACATCGAACACTCCAGCCCTGTCTCCTTTTCCCACCCGCCGCGGGTCAGGCACACACCTGGCCCCCGGGCCTGCAGACCCTCGCACAAACTCCTCACTCCTGGTGCGGCCCCTCCCTGCGCCGCCCTGTTCATTCCTGGCCCTGGCTAACAGTCCTGGCGATGGCTGTCACTCCCTCTGCCAGTCGTCCGGGACCCACGCTCCGCCTGCCTCAGGATGGAAATTGTTAGAGGTCAGGGAGCCCTGGCCGGCCTGCTCACCTCGGAAACCCCGGGCTTAGAGTCCGACCTGAACCAGCAGCCATCCATTCCGAGTGCCCCCGTACCCAGCGGGTGATGGACACACCTTCACCTTCTCACCCCCCAGAGGACCGTGCAGGCCCCGAGCCTGTGGGGACAGTGGAGCTGGGTCCTTCCTGTGTCCTGCTGGAGGGAGGCAGGAAGGGTGGACACGCCTGTGTGGGTGATGGGCAGAGGGGACCTCTCCTTCCTGTCTCCCTCGAGCCCGGTGCATCTCTCCTTCCTGTCTCCAGGACTACAGTATTGACGAGGAGGCCGCCTTCCAGGCTGCTCTGGCCCTGTCTCTCTCTGAGAACTGAAGGGAAGCGCAGCCACCCGCCTGCGTCTGGGGTCAGGGATGTCCCCGCTCCTGTGTCGCACCTGGCACCTGCTCGGGAGCGCACCTCACCGGACTGAGCTCACAGGAGGAGCCTGCACCCGCGCAGAAGGGGAGCCGGGGCCGAGCCTCCGGGCCTGAATACGGGCCAGCCGCCGAGGCCGCCAGAGCAGGGCCGCCTGGTCCCACCGGCGTCGCTGGGTTCTTCGGTGCTTCTGGCCGAGCAGGCGGCCTACTTGGGCAGGGCTGGACGCTGGGACCTGGAGCTGCCGCCGTCTCTTCAAAGCCATGATACCCCCTCGTGGGAAGAAGGGACCGACGCGCGAGTCGCGCTCCGCAGTCGAGCCGGGAGGAACCCAGGCTGCTGCCCTGCCCAGCCCGACCCTGCCCCGGCCCCACTTCCACCTTGCGCATTTGGTACTGGCTTTTGTGATACTTAGGAACCCTGGCATCTTTTCTATATTATCCAGTGTGATAATCTTTTCACGTTTTATAGAGCAAAGACAGAGCAGTTACTCTTCATATTGCAATATCTGTGTTTGACTAGGAATAATAGTATTTTTATGGAACATTTACAAAATTATATTTTTTAAGAAAACAATCAAAACAAGCATTGGGGGATTGGGGCAAGGATGGAAGGAGCAGTGGGGCAGCTGCCAGAGCTCAGGCGAGCCATGGGGTCTGCTGTGGGGTCTGCCCTGGCCACCCACTGTGTGTCTGGGTCCTTGAGGTTTGTACGTTTCTCTTTGATGACCAGGAAGAAATCCCAGCACCCCAGCCACAGGCTGTGGCTGCTCCCAGCAGAGGCGGGGCCGGCAGAGAAGGGGCCTCCTCCACCCAGAGTCCTGGCCTTGGCCCGCTGTCACCTTCAAAGCTGACTGTGCCCCGCTGCGGGAGGGGACGGCACCCCAGTGGTGGCAGAGCTTGGGGGCCTGGGCAGGGGCCCGCTTGGCGGGCCGGGCAACACGTCAACATTCTTTTCTGTTCTTGGCATTAATTATTGCTGTCTTTTTTTTAAAAAAAAAAGTTTAAATAAAATGTCTCAGAGCATCTCTAGCAGCCTCGACTGGCTTTTGTGCTCCACGGTGTGGAATCGCCAGCTGCTGTCTGTGTTGGAGGTCGGCTGTGTCCTCCCCAGGCAGCTCACGCTGGGGGTACAGCCTGGGCCTGAGCCTCACTCAGCCACGGAGGGTCCCACAGAGCCACCTACACATTGGCACTGGGCCCTCCTGCCTCAGAGAGGACCACCCTGTTCCCACACCCACAGGGCTGCTGGGGTTCGGACTCCTAGGCTGCTTGCTTTTTCTTAGAGGTGGGGTGTCACTCTGCTGCCCAGGCTGGAGTGCAGTGGTGCAATCAGCTCACCACAGCCTCGATCTCCTGGGCTCAAGTGGTCCACTCGCCTTGACCTCCCGTGTCACTGGGACTACAGGTGTGCGCCACCTCAGCACCTCCTGGATTGGTTTCTGAGCATACTGAGTGTTACACTAACTGCCTGTAGTTCTCTGAGGGGCCACCACCAGGGCCATGGGATGTCCTGTTCTCCAGTGTCCAAGGGCCTCAGGCCAACAAGAATCACCTGTTCGCCAGCCAACCCCAGGGCAGCTGGTCATTATAGCTCAGTCACTGCCTCCTGCCTCCTCCCTCCCGCACTCAGTTAAGGAGTGTTTCCAGCCTCTGTTCTGGATTCCTTACTCGCAGGGGAGGTGGCTGTCCTGACCCTGAAGGCCACAGCTTGGGCCGGACACACAGGAGCCTCTGCCAGTTGTCACTTGAAGGGAGACACCCCCAAGGGAGCAGGGCTGATTTCCAGTTGCCCTCGCCAAGGGCCACTGGAGTCCCCACCTCCCCTTCCCACTACTCTTTGACCCCTGATGACATGGTCCTGTGTCTGGGAGGCCCTCACCAGGCAGCACCAAACTCCAGGGAACATCAGAGACACCTGCCAGCCTGCCCTTCCCTGTGGCCTTCCAGAAGGAGGCTCAAGACACAGTGTCCCCCGGAGCCACGTGGGCCTCTGACTGGTGCCCAGTGAGGCCGACAGTTCGCCACCTGGCCACTGGCCAAGCCTGTCTCACCCCTTGGGCAGCCTACCCGCCACCCACCTCCCAGCAGGAGCAGCGACGGGGGCAGCTCTCCACGTCCAAGCCGCCTCCACATCTGACCCGAGGGTGACACGGAGCCGTCACAAGGGCATGACCCTGGGTGCCCAGGAAGGCTGAAGACAGCTCTGGGCCCTGTCTGGGCAGGCCGTGGTCTCAACAGCAGCCCTCGGGGAGGTGATGCCTAAGTCTCTACGCCTCACCTGAGGAGGGCAAAGCACCTTCCAGTCACTGAGCGGCACCTCACTGCCCTGGGGAAGGGAGAGGAGCCGGCATGTTGTGGGAGGCATGGACTGGCTGGGGCTGGGAACTGCCTCCCCTTGCTCTGCTCTGCCCCAGGCCCCCAGTTCCGTGGCAGGTGCCTCAGGGGACGAATCCCGACTTAGGCTGGTCTGAGGCCCCCTGCTCTGTGTCACCCTCAGCTCTGAGGCCCCCTCTTGGCACCGCACTGTGACCGCTGTGCTGGGGACTCAGCAAGGCCAGGGCAGGCACTGGGCCCGGGGCGGGAAGGAGAAAGACCCCCCGGGGGCCCACTGACGCTCATGCTACGGATAGGAACGGTTTTAACATACTGCGGCCTCTGAAAGGGGCAGAAGCCTGTCCCTGTGTGCTTGTCCCGCTGGCCGCAGGCGACGCGACTGCCCTCCCTCCCTGACTGAACCGCAGCCACAAGCCTCCTACAAGCCAGCAGTGCCCAGACTGAGGGGACAGAGAGCGGAGCCCAGACAAGGAGCCGTCCCCATCACATTTGGCCTGCCCCGCTCCCAAACCCTGGGCCACCTCCGAACTCTCAGCCCTGCCGAGCACCTGCTCCCAAGCCCCGTGCCACCTGCGAATGCCGAGGAAGCAAAACCCTGTCCCCTCCTGGTTGAACCCAGGCCTCCCGCTGCTGCCGTGCCCAGGAGGGCTGTCAGAGGAAGCCCAGGACCCCCTCCTCAGGACTCTCTGTGTCCCTGCACACAATTCTGGAGGGAGCAGGCCTGTTCCCACCAGGTCCCCTCATGGAGGCCACAGGAGAGCTGAGAGCCACAGGCCAGCGTCTGGGTGAAGGTGCGGCCTCAGCTTTCCTCACGGGCCCGGCCGCCTCTCGGGTGACCTGGTGTCTGGGAGAGTCTGCCCAGGGGAGGACTCCAGAACGAACCCCAGCAAAGTGGGGAACTCAGGTCCGTCAGAGCTCAGCAGATCCTGCCATGGTGGGACGAGACCTCAGGCACGGAGCAAGACCCCTGCTCCATTTTTCTTGTTAACAAAGCCCTAGATAGAGCCAAATGTCTGCACCCCCGATACCCGTGGGGGCTGTCCCAGTGAAAGTGGGGAGGCCGGGACCCCTCCTACGGCCACACGAGGGAAGTGGGCCGAAGCCCCTCACGTCGGGGTGTGAGGGCGTGCACAGCGCCGGAGCCAGAGGGCCGCCCGCTCTGACCACCGGGGCCGCGGCAGCTCGGATGTGGACCCACCGCGCTCAGGCAGAGTCCTGGAAGCCTGGGTCTCCCTCCCACCCTGGAGTACACCAGGGCCTGACAGCGAGGCACAAAGCCAGATGTGGCTCGCCCTGGAGGAGCTGGGGCTCCTGCCCTGCGCGGTCCAGGCCCGTCGCAGACTTGGGGCAGCATGCCCTTGTTTTCACGTTATGCAGCTGCATGGGAAGCATGAACCCTGCTCCCCAGAAAGCGCGTCCAGGTCTCAGGGACCAGGGAACTTCTCCATTAGAAAGGGGTCAGGTGGGAATGGAGAGCCCCTGGCCCCAGGCCGGGCCCCCAAGAAACTGCTGATAATTCTTATACCTGGATCTCAGGAGCCACGACCAGCATTTTGGGTACTCCAAGGCGGCGGCAGCAGGGTGTGGTTCGCGAGACTCAGCCCAGGCCTTTCCAGAACTGCAGGTGTGCGCGGTGGCCGGGGGTGGGGAGGGGGTGGGGGCTCCCTCCAATAAGGGGCCTCCCAGCTGCAACTCCTCTACCCCAGGGCCCAGCACACCTGCCGCAGCAGCCTGACCCTCCCAGGATCCTCTGGGTGCGTCTGGGTGGTGCCTGAGGATTCCTCTAATTTGGGGCCACCTGGGTTTAGGCTCCTGAGGCCCTAGGGAAGGAAGCAGAAGCCACTTTTCCTGTTTCATGGATGAAAACAGATATTCAGAAAACCTGCCCCAAATCTCCTGCTAACAAGAGGCAAACCCGGCTGACATTCCACCCTGTGGTCCAGCCGGGGCACCTACTTGGCAGCCCACCTGGAAAACCCCAGAGGCCTCCATGGGGGACCCCTAACTCTGCCCAGGATGTGATGCAGGGAGGAGGAAGGTGGGAAGGGAGGGTGCCCTCAGCTACAGTCAGCCTCCTCCGATCCGAAACACCTGGGAGGACCCGGCCCCATCGAGGGATGGCCTGAAAAAGCCATCTCCGGTGTTGCTGCCTCCGCCGCCCTTCCTTCTATAACCACATCCCCAGGGTTCGCCACTCTCTAAACTCACTCTAGGAAAAAGAGGCCTAAATGCACTCAGCAAGGCATCACAATGTCAAAGGCACTTTGGTATTTTGACAAAAATAGCCTAAGGAATGCATCTCTAATTATCAGTGGGCTCTCGGGCACAAGTAGAGATACTTTTGAGAAGGAGTCTCCCAGGTTCAAGCAATTCTCCTGCCTCAGCCGCTCGAGTAGCTGGGATTACAGGCACGCGCCATCACACCTGGCTAATTTTTGTATCTTTAGTAGGGGCAGGGTTCCACTACGTTGGCCAGGCTGGTCTTGAACTCCTGACCTCAAGCAATCCGCCCAGCTTGGCCTCCCAAAGTGCTGGGATTACAGGCGTGAGCCACTGTGGCTGGCTGGAGATACATTTTTGCAGGGCAAGGGGAGACTCCACATGGCACCCACTCAGAGCCAGGGCCTCGGCAGGTAGAAGCCTGGCTGGAAGCCCACCCGGACCCTCTGACGTGCAGTCCTGGTCTTGGCCGCGGTTTGGGCTCTTCCAGTGGTGGATGGCATGCTGAACCCGGGGCCAGTGCAACCCCTGCAGAGTCTGCCGTGTGAGCTTCCCAGAGTCTCTGGAGAGGAGCGGCTGTGGCGCCAGCCCCAGGAAACGGGAGTGGCACCCACGTGGTGCTTTTCTCGGAACCCTCAGTGCACCTGCTGTGGGTTTGTGGGGACTGGGGTGTGTTCTGCATGGACAGCAGTGGCCTGTTTCCACGAGTCCCTCGAATCAGGGGCAAGCCAGGGCCTGTGGCCTCATCCCGGTCTGGACGCTGGGTCTACTGGGCCGCTGTATCAAGGGGCCACACCCTGGGGTGCCGAACACAACAGGAGTCTAAGTGTCGCCAGCTCAGGAGGAAGTCTAGTACCCAGGTGTGGGCGGGCTGTGCCATGGGGCAGGGGTGGGGGCCGGGGGCGGCCGCAGCGGCCTGGTGCTTCTTGGCTGGCTCCTGTGGTCAACACACAACTCCTCTGCACCCGCACGTCACCCTCCCCCTGCGCTCTGAATCCAAGCTTCCTCTTTTCATCAGAGCACCAGTCCTTGGATTAAGGCCCACCTAATGGCCTGACCTTGACTTGATGGGACCTGTGAAGACTCGATTTTCAATAAGGCCCCATGCCCAGAGGTTGGGGGGACCCCAGCATCTTTTAGGGGGACACAGTTCAATCCACGGTGCTGTCCGTCAGCACGCTGTCAATGCTGTCCCTGGCATTTCTGCAGGCACTGGGGCTCCAAGGACCCTGCTGATGGGGTGACCCAGGGCGCAGGCCACAGAGAAAGCACCTTTACGAAGGGCCTGTGTAACCTGCTGCTGGCCTGCATCCGGAAGGGATGCCAAGTCCCTCTCCCCCAGGGGTCCCCTCTCCTATGTCTCCCACCCCAGGTCCCCCTGTCCCAGGCCCGCCCCTGTTCGCAGGAGCCCTGGACAGTGCTCATCCGGGTCCCAGGCATGATGCGGCCCCAGCCCCTCGTCCGGCAGGCATTGCTCCCTTTGTGGCTGGACAAAAGAACACTCAGCGGGCCTGAGTTCTTCCTTCCCTCAGCTGCAGGGCGTGGCCCCACAGCCTGCCGCGAGTAAGGTGTCAGCTCCCTCACACGGCAGGTGGGAATCTCAAAGGACCCTGGCAGAGAGCGGATGGTGTTGCTGGAACCGAGCTCAGGTATCCAACTCGGCAGGACGATGCCGGGGACCCCACAGATCCCTCTCCTGGTGCCCGGGACTTACCCGCTGATGCCCAGCCTCCATGTCACCTCAGAGCAGCTACTGCGACTTCCCACACGCATACGCCCATGGACACACGCACGAACACGCCTGTGGCCTGCAGACTCACACGCACGCTGCCTCGCTGCTTGATGGCTCAAGTCTCACCTCATCTGCCGCAGGCCCAAGGGCTCCCCTCAGCACCGGTCACTCTCCCTTGCCTGTGCTGAGGCATTGTGCAGTTTCATGTGTCTTACGGTTGGTGTGGGTAGGGACTGTTCTAACGGGCAGCACAGCCAAGCCTGCAGCCTGGGCACCAGGAGGACACCACGCTCAACCGCCCATGTCAGGGGCCAGAGATGAGCACTTAGGGGCGTATCTCCCACCCAGGAGCCTGGGCTGCCCGCACTCCCTGCACTTCCTTTAATCAGACCATTCAGGCATTTGCTTGTGAACCTGCAGTGACCACTCCCCATTCCCTGTGCATACGGCCCGTTACCACACACTGTCTTCTCTCTGCCTGACTCTTCACTTCTGCCCTGTGGGATCTGGGGACGGAGGATGGCCCTTCCCACTCCTGGCGCCCTCCCTGCCCAGGACCTGTGAGTAGTAAGTCTTTGAACATGTTTCCTACTGCAGTGGGGACTGAATTTGCACCTTCCACAAGGAAGAACCAGGGGCTGCCCAGGCTGGGTTTTCTCGGGGACGTGGGGGACAGAGGGCAGGCTCCCAACACCAGAGCGATGGTCAGGCAGGCATAACCTGGACGTGAATCAGACAGGAGCCACGGGGCGTCTGCCAGTGTGAGCAAGTTTCCTGGGGGGACTCATGGTTGCAGGTCAGACAACTAGGCATTAGGCCATCTGCCAGGCAAACGACACATCCCGGGAAAGGCACACGGCAAATACCATGTCCATCCCCTTCATCTCCCAAGAGCACAGGGCTGCCAGCCACCTGGCACTGGCACTGAAAGCCACTTTCGCTGGGGGCTCTGAAAACAACCCTGTCTGCCTCTCAGAACCCCCATATCACACAGGATGTGTCCACTGAACCCCAGCTTAAGAACCACCCTTCCTGGCCAGGTGCGGTGGCTCACGCCTGTAATCCCAGCACTTTGGGAGGCCAAGGCAGGTGGATCACCTGAAGTCAGGAGTTGGAGACCAGCCTGGCCAACATGGTGAAATCTTGTCTCTACTAAAAATACAAAAATTAGCCAGGCATGGTGGCACATGCCTGTAATCCGAGCTACTTGGGAGGCTGAGGCAGGAGAATCACTTGAACCCAGGAGGTGGAGGTTACGGTGAGCAAAGATCACGCCACTGCACTCCAGTCTGGGTGACAGAGTGAGACTCCGTCTTAAAAACAAAAAAAAAAACAAAAAAACAAAAAACCACCCTCCCTCTGACAATCCGGCCCTCAGACGGTGGTGTGGGCAGCCATAAACAGTAGTGAGTTCCCCTTCACGGAGGGGGACCAAGCACACAGTGGCGCCCGGTCTGGCTGGATGTTGAGATTTCAAGCACTGGGTTCAAGTTTCCATGGGCCCATGACCTTGGGCCGCATGGGATTGTCCCTCGATGTCTGCCTCCGCATGGGATGTCTGCCTCGATGAACTGCCTTTGCTCCTACAAGAGGGGCCATCTCTCTGAGTCCAAGGACAAGCAAGGCCCAGCTGCCAGACTCTCCTTTGAGGGCCTGGGTCTTCACCTGAGTGTCTCCACTCGAGACAGACAGGGCCTACGTGCCCCCAGAGCATGGGGCAGGGCCTCTAGAAAGGCCACACTGTCTGCAAGCTCCTGCTTCTCTTCCATCCAGTTCAACAAGCCCTGCTGAACCCCCAGCATGCACCTGACCACAGGCGGGCATTGTGCAGGTAGCAAGGGCTGAGCCCCTCCTGGTCTAGCTCTCAAGGACTGTGTTCTAATTCGGAGTGAGGGTTTCCAAGGTTTGGGTCATAAAGCCCTATGAGTAAAAAACGAGCAGTGGCTCCCGCCTGTAATCCCAGCACTTTGGGAGGCCAAGGCAGGAGGATCACTTGAGATCAGGAGTTCAAGACTAGCCTAGCCAACATGGTGAAACCCAGTCTCTAGTAAAAATACAAAAATTAGCCTGGCATGGTGGTGCACACGTGTAATCCCAGCTACTTGGGAGGCTGAGGCAGGAGAATTGCTTGAACCTGGGAGGCGGAGGTTGGAGTGAGACTCCATCTTAAAACAAACAACAGTCAATGGTGACAGAGATGTCTACCGTGTTGGATACCTGTGTGCACATCTCCAGACACTATGGTTACAGTCACTGTAAAACCAGAAAGGCAGGAAGACATACGTGTAGGAAGGATGAAAATGTCAACATAAATGGAACTCTAACCGTTTTTGCCCTGACCGGCAATTCTTGGGGTGGGCTACCCACTGGAAAACCGCTCTTGGGTGTCGGATGGAGGCAGATGGGAGGGGCCAGGCTGCCGGGCCCAGCACAAGTCATCATCCTGATGTCCTAGATGTCCAGGGAAGGGGGCAAGGACCTGGGTCGCCTGCTGCAGTTCAGGAGGGCGGGTCTAGCAGGCTGTGGGCCGTGGGTTTCCCCACTCAGGGGCACGTCAGTTTAACCCCCAGAGCCAAGCTGCCGGCAGTGAGGAACGGAAGACACGGAAAGGATGGAGACGGCCGCCCTCCCCCAATCCCCACCCCCGAGGCTGCACCTGTGGGAAGGGGGACGCTGATGTTTCCCTCTGTGGGGCCTTCTTGGGTCCAGCCTGGACACCGCCCTGTGCATCACAGCTGAAGAGTGAGTCTGCAGCCGACTTGAGTGTCCCTGGGGGGCAAGTTGTTGCGGCAGCCCTGGGACCCCACCCCAAAGGTGCTCGCAGGCCCTCTAGGGCGTTCCCGGGATGAGATCAGCCATTCTCCTCGGGAGGGCTACAGCAGCCCTGAGTAACACCAGGCTCTAGCTGGGATTAGGAGATAAGCTTGCTGGGGCTTGGCGGGTGGCCACACAACGGGTAGGTGGGCGGGGAGGGACGGTGTGGGTGGAGGCTTGGCTCAGGTATCTGCAAGCGTTATCTGTGTCTGCGAGGGAGAGAGAGAAGGAAGGGAGGCTATAAATAGAAACCTTTCCAGGCGAGGAACAGGTGAATAAGCAGAAGGCAGGCATGTGTCCTCTGAAATCTACACTCCCGGCGTGGTGGTGCCAGGCCATGCTTGCAGGAGAGGCGGGCACCTTCTTCCAGGGGCACCTCCACCTGTCCTTCCACTCCCCCTCACCAAGTGGCAGACAAGCTGGAGTGTGGCTGGGTCCCAATCCCACTGTGTCCTAACCTCTCACAGCCTTGGTCTTCTTTTTTGTTTTTTTTTAATTTTTTGAGACAGGGTCTTGCTCTGTTGTCCAGACTGGAGTGCAGTGGGGTCATCATAGCTCACAGCAGCCTCCACCTCCTGGAGGCTACTGCAACAAGCAATCCTCCCTCCTCAGCGTCCTGAGTAGCTGGGACTGAAGATGGGTGTTGCCACGCCTGGCTAATTAAAATAATTTTTTTTTTTTTTTTTGTAGAGACGGGGTCTCATGTTGTTTTTCAGGCTGGTCTCAAACTCCTGGGCTCAAGCAGTCCTCTTGTCTCAGCCTCCCACAGTGCTGGGATTACAGGCGTGAGCTGCTGAGCCCAGACTCACAGCCTAGTTTTTTTTCATTGGCAAAGTGGGGCTGATACTAGCCCAGCTTTTCACACCCTGGACGTGTGATGTGGGACGTGGGATGCTGGTGTGGCACGGCCCTCCTCCCTGCTGTCTGTCCCTCAGAGCTTCCATGGACTCACCACCCCCCACCTTCTCCACCCCCGGCCCACAGGGGGCAAAGGCCACCCAGCTCTGAGGTGGAAGCCCTGCTGGGGAGGCAGGCCGGCGGCACAGCCAGGGACACCCTGTGTGCACGCCAGCCCAGAGACGGCCCCACCTGGCCCCCAACGTTATGAAATGTCCATGTCAAAAGAGACCCAGACACTGGACACAGCGGCTCCCAGCTTTTTATGACCCTGAGGGCTCTACAGGACCACAAAGGAGGGAAACGGATTGCCCAGGTCACACGTGCAGCTGTTGCAGAATTCACGTGATTCACCGGTTTTATTAAACTTCCCATAACCATGTCTGACCCCCTGGGAATTCCAGAATTCCAGGCCAAGTCCTCCGTCCCCCAAAAAACAGCTTTCTGGAGGCACTGGACAAACTCCTAAAGGGCTGACTCCAGTGGGGGAAGCCTTCGGAGACTGCAGCCCATCCAGAAAGGACCACTGTCTCCAGGCCACCGGTCCCGGGCCTGTTCCAGAGCCGCCAGTAGGGCTGGTCACTAGGGTCAGCTTCGTTTCGCCTGGGCTCTCCCCATCAATCCTGTCCTGTGAGTTTGCAGAAGGGATGGGGAGGCGAGGCCAGGCCGCAGAGTGAGCGTCATTCTCCGCAGCAAGGGTTCTCCAAGGACCGCGCTCGGCCGACGCTTCCACATTCTGTGGAAGAGATTCTCGCTCGGTTTCCACACAGCTTTGAACTCTGCCCTTCACTCACGGCGAGTGGGTGGCCAGGCCCGACGGGTCGGTGTGTGACTCGGCGGCGCGCACGCCAGAGAATTCCCGTGGGGAGGACACCGGCGGCCACGCGCTCCCCGCCCCGTCCCGCCCGCGCACCTGTCCTGGGCGTGTTGCCCGAGACCCCGCCTCGCCCTCAGTTCCGCCCCCGTGGCCCCGCCCCACTCGCGCCGGGCGCTGGTTGGCGGAGGCGGCGCGCTATGCTAATGAGCCTGACCCCTTCAAGCGCCGGCGGACGCAGCAGTCCGGACCCAGGCGCGCCCCTCCCGCCCCAGCCCACCCCGGCCTGCCGCCCGGGAGGGGAACATGCCGCGCTCCTTCCTGGTGAAAACGCACTCCAGCCACAGGGTCCCCAACTACCGGCGGCTGGAGACGCAGAGAGGTACTGACTACCCGATCCCCGAGCCCCTGCCGGGACTCGACCCTGAGGGGCGGGAGAGAGAGAGAGGCCCCTGGGAGCGGGGGCTGGGGAGACACCTGTCCCAGGTGGGAGGAGAAGGAGCCAGCGCCTCTGCGCAGCGGCTGCGGCTGCAGGGAGGGAGGTGGCCCACGGGCGCCTCCACTTCAGGGCACTGAGCCCCGCCTCCGGCAGGGCGGGCGGGATTCTCTCCCAACTTGGAGAAGTTTTCTAAGTTTTCTAAGCCCCCAAGTCTCCCTGGAACTCACCCCTGATATACAGCCGCCCGTCCCAACCACTACAGCCCCAGCTAAAGGCACCCTGGAGTCATCTTCCTGGCGCACACGTTTGGGAGGGGTCGCGGGGTGGTGGGTGGGAGGGAAGGAGGGCCGTCTGGGGCGGCCCGGCTCAGGGACCCCCGGAGCATGCTGACTGGGGGTGTAAGCACAGGGGATGGTGAGAAGGACACATGGGCTCTTTCTGGTGCAAAGGCACTGCCCCTCCTGCATTCAGTTCAGGTGAGCCTCCGCCCGTGGTCTCCCTCCCTCCCCCACCTCCCTTCACCCCAGAAGCCCTCCTGCTCACCCCGGCAGGCTTGCCTGGGCAGGCTGGGCTAAAGGGCTGCAATCCTCCACACACCGGCTAGGCTGGGGAGATGGGTGCCCAGCAACCGGGCTGCCCGTTCATTCCCACTGCCTGCTAGGCTTAGGGACACGAGAGAAGAGGACTCTGTCCTTCAGAGGACAGCCTGCCACACGGGCGGTGAGAGCAGTCCCCACCTGGCTTGGCAGCTTCTTGGGACAAAGGCCCACTGAGGGGCGCCGGCGGACGCGGTGGTCGGGACTCACGCTCTGTGGCCGGTGGGGGAGAGCAGGAAGGGCGCTGTTGGGGCTGTGGCCCCCAGCAACACCGCCAAGAGGCCTTTATCCCAGCTCAGAACCCAGAGTTGGGGATGGGGGGGATCCCACCTGGACCCACACCCGAGGCCCGGGCTGCCACCAGGGGGTGCCAGCTAGGACCATGCTTTTCAAATGTGCATTTTGAAATCAGTTTCATCAGTCACCCCCAGCAATTTTGTAAAATAAAATAGAGCAGAAACTGCCGGAGTGCCTGGCTCATGGTGAAGGACACTGGCTTCTGTTATGTGTATGTGGATGCGCATGTGACTACACATGTGTGCGGAATTTACATGGGTAATAGTTGCAAGTTTCAAAGTGTTGCTTAGGGTCCATCCCAGTGTGCAAATCTGGGTAGCTGTGCTGGGCCCAGTGGGCAACTGTCGTGAGTAGCCGTGCTGCCCCGCAGTGCTCTCTGCTCCCCGCCCCCGCTCCCCTCCTCACTGTAGCCCCAGCTGCCTGGCTTTCTGACAGCCAGGGGGCCCTGGCAACTTTCTGCCAAGATGTTACCCCAGGATAGACCTGAGGTGCTGGGATTTGGGGCCCCTCAATCTCTCCTTTTAAATAAATGGCTCCTATGGCTCCCCAGGGAACCCCTGAAGCCAGCAAGGTACTTAAACAGTCTCTTCAGCTGGGTGTGGCGGCTCATGCCTGTAATCTCAGCACTTTGGGAGGTCGAGGACGGCAGATCACTTGAGGTCAGGAGTTCGAAACCAGCCAACATGGCGAAACCCCGTCCCTACTAAAAATACAGAAGTTACCCCGGTGTGCTGGCGGGTGCCTATAATCCCAGATACTCAGGAGGCTGAGGTAGGAGAATCACTTGAACCCGGGAGATGGAGGTTGCAGTGAGCCACGATCGCGCCCCTGCACTCCAACCTGGGCGACAGAGCGAGACTCTGTCTCAAAACAAAACAAAACAAAACAGTGTCTTCTCCCCAGGATCTGGACCGCAGCATGAATAAAAAGGCAAGCAAAACCCAGAGAGTATGGGGAAAGCATTTAAAATCCCAGCAGAAACACATGGTCAGCCTGACGGGGCGAGACTGTCTCTTGCCCCGTCCTGCCTCTGGGCTCAGCCACTGGGCCCACAAACAGGGTCCTGGCTCTGTGACAATACCTGGAGGCAGAAAGGTGGCCATGTCTTAGAGATGGAAAAAAGAAATGGTGACTTTTTCCTGCAGAGAGGCCCCAGCAAAGCCGGGAAACCTGGGGCTCCCCCAGTGCTGTCTCCCCAGAACTCTCTTGGACGCTGCCTCTTAGCCTGTCATTGCCGTCACTTCTGGGTGGACAGAAACCTGATGACTCTGTAATTAGGAAAACTGAGGGTGGGAGGAGGTCAGGTCAGGAGAGAGTGGCAGATGGGAGGCGTTCCTTTGAATCCCCTATTCCTCCTCATCCTCACAGCACTGGTTATTGTCAATTTTTTTCAGTTCTACTGGGTGTGAGCATCTCATTGTGATTGCGATTTGGGCTTCCCTGATGGCATTGAGCATCTTTGCATGTGTTCATTGGCCATTTGTGTATCGTCTTTGGAGAAATAGTTATTCAGATCCCTTGCCCAGGCCGGGCGCAGTGGCTCACACTTGTAATCCAGCACTTTGGGAGGCTGAGGTGGGCAGATCCCTTGAGGCCAGGAGTTTGAGACGAGTCTGGCCAATGTGGCAAAAACCCGCGTCTACTAAACATACAAAAATTAGCTGGGCATGGTGGCAGGTGTCTGTAATCCCAGCTATCAGGAGGCTGAGGCAGGAGAATTGTTTGAACCTGGGAGGCGGAGGTTGCAGTGAGCTGAGATCACGCCATTGCACTCCAGCCTGGGCGACAAGAGTGAGACTCCAGCTCAAAAAAAAAAAAAAAAAAAAAGGCCAGGCGCAGTGGCTTATGCCTGTAATCCCAGTACTTTGGGAGGCTGATGCAGGCGGATCACAAGGTCAAGAGTTCGAGACCAGCCTGGCCAACATGGTAAAACCCTGTCTCTACTAAGAATACAAAAATAAGCCAGGCGTGGTGGCGCATGCCTGTAATCCCAGCTACTTGGGAGGCTGAGGCAGGAGAATTGCTTGAACCAGGGAGGCAGAGGTTGCAATGAGCCCAGATCGTGCCATCGCACTCCAGCCTGGGTGACAGAGCGAGACTCCATCTGGGGGAAAAAAAAAATTAGCCAGGCATGGTGGCGCACACCTGTAGTCCCAGCTACTTGGGAGTCTGAGGCAGGAAAATCATTTGGACCTGGGAGGTGGAGGTTGCAGGTTGCAGTGAGCCGATTTCACGCCACTGCACTCCAGCCTGGGAGACAGAGCAAGACTCTGTCTCAAAAAAAAAAAAAAAAAAAGGGTGGGGGGCCAGGTGCGGTGGCTCACGCCTGTGATCCCAGCACTTTGGGAGGCCAAGGAGGGTGGATCACGAGGTCAGGAGATCGAGACCATTCTGGCTAACACAGTGAAATCCTGTCTCTACAAAAAAAATACAAAAAAATTAGCCGGGCGTGGTGGCAGGCGCCTGTACTCCCAGCTACGCAGGAGGCTGAGGCAGGAGAATCGCTTGAACCCAGGAGGTGGAGGTTACAGTGAACCGAGATCACGCCACTGCACTCCAGCCTGGCAACAGAGCGAGACTCCGTCTCTAAAAAAAAAAAAAAAAAAAAAAAAAAAAAATCCCTTGCCCATATTAAAATTGTATTATTTGTCTTTTTATTGTCGACTTGCTAACATCCTTTATATGTTCTAGTGTTCTAGATGCTATTCCTGATCAGAAGTCTGATTTGCAAATATTTTCTCCTATTCTATGGGTTGTCTGTCTCTACCCAAAGCCTCAGCATGGAGGTAGAAACAGAGCCAGAGATCCATTTTAACACATATAGAGTAAGAAAGGGATTGAGGGCTGTTGGGAGATTTTGGCTTTGGGGACATACAGAGTTTAACTCTTACCTGCAGACTAACCTGTTTATCTGGGGGCTGCTGCCCTTACATGGATCACCCATGTGGTGTGCAGTGTGCCAGCCCCCAGATAGAGGAAACACCGTCCTGGGGAGGAGCCCAGCCGGGGTAATTCTGAAAGCCCAGGCCAGAGCACCCCAGCCATGTGGCTCAGCTGCATTCAGAGCACAGTAGAGTGGGCACTGGTCAGCGGCCAGGGAGGCTTCTGAGCTCACTGCCTCGTTATCCACAAAAGGAGATGCCCGAGGGGCGACTGTGGGGTGACTGGAGGGTGATTAGTTATGAGTGGGCTGATTTTACACTCAGCCGGCACCTTGCTGCCAAGCGTCTGACTGATGGCTGCTGCATGGGCACCTGGAGGATGCCGGCCCAGGCTGGGACCCCTCCAGAGGTGGGTGGGGCTCATCAGAGGGTCCTGCCCAGCCGAGGCGTAAAGGGCCCTCCTTTACCCACGAGGCCTGTTTCATGTTCCTGAACACAAAGGGTCCCGTCAGATGTTTCTTTGTGTTTAAAGAGGAAGTGAGATTCGCTCTCTAGACCGCGGGGCCTTCTTGTTCTAGATGACTCCACTCCTGGCCACGCTGTCACTTCCCTGCACAGCACCGCCAGCTCCCTTGCAAGCTGGGTCTGCATGCAGGTTCCCGGCTACACCTCCCACGCCAGGCTGCTGATGGGCTGTGACTGGGTCCACGAATCAGAGTTGGAAAACACAAAGTGCTGGGGATTCAGTCTTCATCTTTCTATTCTCTCCCCTCCACCCCTCTAGAAATCAATGGTGCCTGCTCTGCCTGTGGGGGGCTGGTGGTGCCCCTCCTCCCCCGAGACAAGGAGGCCCCTTCTGTGCCCGGTGACCTTCCCCAGCCCTGGGACCGCTCCTCGGCCGTCGCCTGCATCTCCCTGCCCCTCCTGCCACGGATCGAGGAAGCTCTGGGGGCCTCTGGGCTGGACGCCTTGGAAGTCAGCGAGGTCGACCCTCGGGCCAGCCGGGCCGCCATTGTACCCCTCAAAGACAGCCTGAACCACCTCAACCTGCCCCCACTGCTGGTGCTGCCCACACGGTGGTCCCCGACCTTGGGCCCAGACCGGCACGGGGCTCCGGAAAAACTGCTTGGGGCTGAGCGGATGCCCCGAGCCCCGGGCGGCTTTGAGTGCTTCCACTGCCACAAACCCTACCACACGCTGGCCGGGCTGGCCAGGCACCGGCAGCTGCACTGCCACCTGCAGGTGGGGCGTGTCTTCACCTGCAAGTACTGCGACAAGGAGTACACCAGCCTGGGTGCCCTCAAGATGCACATCCGCACTCACACGCTGCCCTGCACCTGCAAGATCTGTGGCAAGGCCTTCTCCAGGCCCTGGTTACTGCAGGGCCATGTCCGCACCCACACAGGTAGGACAGGGTGAAGGTCTGCAAGGACGGTCTGGGCTGGGGGAAGAGGGTGGGCTGCGGGAGTTAGAAAAGGAGGAGGGGTGATTTTATAAACAATAGCATGGGCATTCACATTCAGCTTCTGCCTTTTGACTTATCTGTACAAAGTCCCACAGACCACAGACTAGAGGCCAGAAGTCCAAAATCCAGGTGTCAGCAGGGGCCAGTGCAGGAGCCACGCCTGTAATCCCAGCACTTTGGGAGATTGAGGTGGGAGGATCACTTCAAGCCAGGGGTTCAGGACCAGCCTGGCCAACAAGCAAGACCCCAGTCTCTACTAAAAATCCAAACAGCTGAGTG
Organism: Homo sapiens; assembly: GCF_000001405.40. NCBI lineage: Eukaryota > Metazoa > Chordata > Mammalia > Primates > Hominidae > Homo > Homo sapiens. The sequence goes on along the minus strand of NC_000016.10, from coordinate 88,680,754 downwards.
TGGTGGCACGTGCTGGTAGGCCCAGCTACTTAGGAGGCTGAGGCAGGAGGATCACTTGAGCCCAGGAGGTTGAGGCTGCAGTGAGCTGTGGTCATGCCACTGCACTCCAGCCTGAGCAACAGAGTGAGACCCCAACTCAAAACAAAAAAACAAAACAAAACAAAAAAACCCACCAGGCATGGAGGCTCACGCCTATAATCCCAGCATTTTAGGAGGCAGAGGTGGGTGGATCACCTGAGGTCATGAGTTTGAGACCAGCCTGGCCAACATATGAAACTCTGTCTCTGCTAAAAATACAAAAATTAGCCGGACGTGGCAGTGCACACCTGTAATCCCAGCTATTCAGGAGACTGAGGCAGGAGAATCATTTGAACCCAGGAGGTGGAGGTTGCGGTGAGCCAAGATTGCGCCACTGCCCTCCAGCCTGGTGACAGAGCGAGACTCTGTCTCAAAAAAAAAAAAAAAAAAAAAAAAAAAAATCAAAAACATAATGCCATTAAAGTACAAAAGTGGCCTGCCCTTCCCAAGAGCCGGCCAGCAGCCTCTGCCCGGGCTTTCTGTCAACCTCAGCGTGCAAAGAATAAAAACAGAAAGGAAGAAAGGGCGCCAGGAATAAGCTTCAGTCTCCACATCAGGCCCAAAGGTTCACACTTTTTTTTTTTTTTTTTTGGTCTGAGGCAGGGTCTCACTCTATTGCTCAGGCTGGAGTGCAGTGGTTTGATTGCAGCTCACTGCAGCTTTGACTGCCTGGGTTCAAGTGATTCTCCTGCCTCAGCCTCCTGAGTAGCTGGGTCCACAGACATGCATCACCATGCCCAGCCAATTTTTAAATTATTTGTAGAAACGGGGGTCTCGCTATGTTGCCCAGGCTGGTCTTGAACTTCTGGGCTCAATCCATTTTCTCACCTTGGCCTCCCAAAGTGCTGGGATTACAGGCATGAGCCACTGTGCCCAGCTAGTTCACACTTTTTCTTTTTTTTTTTTTTTTTTTTTGAGACAGAGTCTCACTCTTTTGCCCAGGCCGGACCATAGTGGCTCTATGTCAGCTCACTGCAAGCCCCGCCTCCTGGGTTCATGCCATTCTCCTGCCTCAGCCTCCCGAGTAGCCGGGACTACAGACACCTGCCACCACGCCCAGCTGATTTTTTGTGTTTTTAGTAGAGATGGGGTTTTCACCATGTTAGCCAGGATGGTCTCGATCTCCTGACCTCGTGATCCACCCGCCTCGGCCTCCCAAAGTGCTGGGATTACAGGTGTGAGCCACTGCGCCCGGCCTGCTAGTTCATACTTTTTCTAACTGGAGGTTCCCTACCCCCTAAGTCATGACTTTTGTGACTGGGACCCTCTGAGTCACACCTGGGTGCAGGCCAGAGGGAAGGCCTTTTCCAGGTCTCTGGGAAATCCTTTCTGGTTTTTCTCAACTCTTTGATGACGACACCCCCCACACACCCCCTTTCCGTGCCAAAGGGCCCTGGGGCTTGGTGCCCTCAGCCTGGGAGTGAGGAGTGTGGGGAGGCCCTGCGGGAGGCTGGCCTGGCCAGGAGCATGCCCAGTGTCCCACCAGCAGGAATGCAGGTGCTCTGGGCCCCTCAGGGGCTGCAGGCTGAGGTCTCTCAGGACTCTATGGGGCTACAGGAATGAACAAACGATTCCCAGTCACACTTCCCTTTACAGGTGTTGGGCCAAGGTCCCAGCAGGACTTTGTCCAGATCCCCTGTTGTCCTGATGGGAGGTGGTTCCTAAATTCTGCCTCCTCAAGGTCCACAGCTCTGCCCCTGCCCTGGATTCTGCTGGAGCTGGCCAGACCCCCCCACTTGCCTGTGAGTGGCCAGAAACAGCTGCCAGAGGCCCCCAGTGCTTCTCCCGTCCTCTCCCAGTGGCCAAGGGCCCCGGGAGGGCTACTGCAGCAACACTAGGAGATCTAGCACCTGTGGCTGCCTGTGCTCCTGGGAGGGGCTTCAGGTGATGTGGCGTGCCACCCCGTCCCCACACAGCTCAACCTTGGGTGCTCTGGCTGTGAGCATTTGTGGGGAAGGGATGGGAGTATCCATTGATGGGCAGGGTGGGTGCTTTAGCCTTCACTCCATCTTCCATGGTGTCACTGGCCGCCGCCTTCCTCCCACAGGGGAGAAGCCCTATGCCTGCTCGCACTGCAGCAGGGCCTTTGCCGACCGCTCCAACCTTCGGGCCCATCTGCAAACGCACTCAGACGCCAAGAAGTACCGGTGCCGGCGCTGCACCAAGACCTTCTCCCGCATGTCCCTCCTGGCGCGGCATGAGGAGTCTGGCTGCTGCCCGGGCCCCTGAGAGGCACGTGGTCGGCGCAGGTAGGAGGGATGGTCCTCACCGGGAGAGCTGGCGTCCCTCCTGCCCCCAGAGGAGCCAGGAGTCTGGGAGGGCGGGGCCTGGCCTCACACTTGGTGCGTCCTCCACATCTGCGTCCAATCAGAACCAAAGAAGTCCAGCGGGGGCCACTGGGCCGGAGGACACTCCCCCAGGCATCCCACCGCGCGGAGCCCACTCAGAGGAGACTCCTCTCCCGGGGAAGGCTTTCATCAGAACAAGAGCCATGGTTCCATTTCGACACGGCCAGGTCTCCGGGGCTACCCTTCCAAGAGTCAGAGCCTCGGGGAGGTGGCCGCCAGCATGGGCCGGCACTGCCGCCGGATGGCTGGCAAGGCTGCCTAGTTCCATTGCAGCAGAAATGAACAGTTCTGACTTATAGTGAGCACCGCCCTGTGGCCCTTCCTCAGTAGGCACAACTACCTCTCAGCCAGCCCCCGCCAGCCTTTGGTTTGGGGTCTGGGACGAGCTGCCCCATGTCACACGTCTATGTGCATGTGCACACACACTCAAACATGTACACACACGTGCCCTCCCCACCTCACTAGACTCTCCGGGAGATGGGGCAGGACTGGGAGAGCCCACGATTGGTGATTTGGGTGTGTTGGGATGAGGCGGAGTGCCTGTGGGATTTGTCCCGGTCAGAGCCTCAGGGGGCTGGGGTCTCAGGGCACTCAGCTTCCCAGGCAATAACAGCCGTGGGGTAATAAATGGTCTCTGCACACCTGCATGTTCCGTTCTTCGAAGCTTTGAGTCTTGGCCAATCCCCTGGTTCTGTGGAGGAGGTGGGACTCTGAGAAACTCCCTGAGACAGCAGGATTTGGGGATCGCCTGGGGCCTTTAGCCACCAAGTAGGCAGGAGACTCTGGGTCAGGGCCTGCCACTGTGAAAAACTCTTCTGAGAGGTGGGGACACTGCCAGTGGGTGAGCAGGGGCGCCACTGTGGGCAGAAGCCAGCGCAGGAGTGGGAGAGTGTCCCATGGCACAGAGGAATGGCCAAGAGGCTCCAGCTGGTGCCGGGTAGAGGGCCAAGACCAAGGCCGGGGCAGGCGTTGTGCAGCTGGGGGCAGCGAGTCCTCCCTGCTGCCTGGTCAGAACAGAGGACTCAGGGCTCCTGCTGCAGCCCTCAAGCGCTGCGAGGGTCTGACATGATCACTGCTGTCTTGCAGAGGGTCTGGGCCTCTGTCCACCCATGGTACCTGGGGCATCCGTGAACTGGAATCCCAGACCCTTGCCCTGCCCTGTTGAGACACTGTGCCAAATCGACATGGTTGCCTACACTCAAGACCCCCCTCCCTGGAGTCCTGCTCCCACCATCCAGTGGGGTGGTGGCGTTTCCTTCTTACACGTGGCCTCTTCTCACCGCCGAGCTGTTGGGCGGCCGCCCACTGGGCTGGTCCTCCTCTTCCCAGCATGTCTCAGCCTCTCCAGCTCAACCCCAGGGGCAGCGTCCAGGAAGGAGCAAGGAGGCCCCTCCTAGTCCCTGACACCTTCGCTGATGGGGATGGTGGAAGGGAGGTTTCTGGGAGCGGACACCTGTCCCTCAGGAGGGCTGGGCCGCTGTCAGCTGCCCTGCTTCTGGCTGCAGACAGGAAGACATCATTGTCCTGGTCCTGGAATGGAGCCACGTGGAGAGCGGCAAGCGCTCCCCTTGCTCCCAGAGCCCACTGAGCCTCCCGTCCATCCGTCTGTCCATGAGACTATTCAGGGGGGCTCACAGGGACCACACATGAAGCACCTTGTTGCTCAGCCACTTGGCTGCTCCAGTCCCAACCCGGGCAGTGGGAGCCCCACTCGGGGCAGCCCCGCCTGCAGATCAGCCTGGCTAACACCTGCCAGGTGCTGACGGGCCCTTGGGCAGATGGCTTGACGACACCTGTTTGAAGAGCCTTGGGGACATCCCAGAGGAAGCTTGACCTAGACCTTGGGCTCCGCTGGATCAAGGGTGACCTTGAGTAAACCGGCTCCCCAGAAGAGCTTGGGCTCCAGCCGCTACCAGTCTCCACGTGAGCTGGCGAAGTGAAGACACTGAGAAAGCCTCTCTCACCTTCCTGGACCGGGACCACTGCCTCCCCTACAGGGATTGGCCGTCCCCAGAGAGGGAGGCACCCACTCAGCTGCCATAACAAAGCACCCCAGCCTGAGTGGCCGAAACAACAGAGTTTCATTCTCCCCCAGTCCTGGAGGCTGGAAGTCCCAGATCCAGGTGAAGGCAGGGCTGGTTCCTTCAGAGGCTGTGAGGGCGGGGCTGTTCCAGGCTTTCTTGTGGCTTTGGGAGTCCCGTGGCATCTCCCTGTGTGTGTCTGTTTCTGTCTCTCCTCTTCTTATGAGGATACAGTCATGTTGCCCTGCTCCAGGAGGCCCCCATCTTAACTCATGACATCTGCAAAGCCTCTACTTCCAAATATGGTCACAAGCGGAGGGCCCGAAAATTAGGACTTCAACATACGGAAGCGGGGGGACGCAATTCCACCTAAACAGCCAGTGGAAACATGGGGCTTTGCCAAGAGTTGCCTTGAGGGTCCTTGCACTCAGCGCTGAGGAGAGGGGAGGCCTCACCCTCTTCTTTTGTCCCTCAGTCTACAAAGGATCATGAGGGCCAGGCATGGGAGTTCACTCCTGTAATCCCAGCCCTGTGGGAGGCCAAGGCGGGTGGATCACTTGAGCCCAGGAGTTTGAGACCAGCCTGGGCAACATGGCAAAACTCTGTCTCTACTAAAAATACAAAAGAATGAGCTGGGTATGGTGGCACACCCCTGTAGTCTGAGCTATCCAGGAGGCTGAGGCAGGAGGATTGCTTGTGCCCAGGAGGTGGAGGTTGCAGTGAGCCAAGATCACACCACTGCACTCAGCCTGGGCGACAGACCGAGACCCTGTGTGAAAACAAAAAAACACACACAAAGGATCATGGGGGACAGCTGATCTTAACCGATGGGGTTTACTGGAAGCATCTCTTTCAAAGGTTGCATCCAAGTCACCTTCCCCAATGGCCATAGCTGTTCCCTGACCCATCTCCTCTCCCTCATCCCCATCGGGGCAAAGGCAGGGGACAGGCCAGCACCCGGGTCTTGAGGAGGAGTAGGGCTAGGAGCCTGTCCTCCAGGGCCCCCTCCCTCCCGACTGTCTCCCGGAGCTCTTGCCTCCTCTGCTTCACGGTCAGGCTGCCAGGGGTGAGGGTCTCCACCGGCCTGGAAAAAGGCAAGAGCTCCAACCACGGTTTCTATTAAGTCTCGGCATCTCACAGGAGGGCTTTTTTTGTTTGTTTGTTTGTTTGGTAGCATCCAGATCCCTAAAGGAAGCTATATTGTAAATTGTCTTCTATTTCTGGGTCCCAATATCTAAATGAGGCGATTGCACCTGTTGGGAATGAAGGACAGGAATTTCACAAGCCGAAAATAAAGCTGAATGTTTTCCCTTCTGTCTCAGCCCATGGAAAATGCTCTTATATTTATATCTGGGCGGGCAGGGGCTGGGAGGGAGAGGATGGGTTGGCAGAGAGAGGGGCAGAGGAAAGGCAGGGCACCTGCCAGGGGCCTGGGGTGTAAAGAATGGAGGAGCCACTCCACTTAACGCAGGTCTGGCCCAAGTCAGAGGCAGCGAGGGTGGCCAGCCCCACCCAGGACACCCCCAGCCACTGCCCACCAGCCCTGCCCTTCACTGCTGGCCTCTCCTCCTTGTTCTGCCTGACCATCCCCAGGTTAACCTGGAGCGGTCATTTAAAATCTGGGCTTCTGGAGGCCTATCCAACACCTGCAGCTTGAGCACCAGGAAGGAGGCGTCTCAGCCTTGCTCACAGTCTCCGGGGGCTCGGGGCGGGGAGAGCTCTTCCTCCCAGGACTCAGGCCTTCCTTTCCCCACCCAAATCTTCACTCATCACATCCACTCTCCTCCCTCTTCCAGGGGCAGTGTCAGAGTCTTTCCTCCGGGCGGGAGGCGGGGCAAGGATGGACAGGAGGCTGCAGGACCTGAGCACACTGGAAGCGGGTGTTTCAGTGACGGTCCAGTGATGTCTGGGTGAGGGTGGAAGCCTAGGAAATCCCTGAGGATCCTGGACAAGAGGAAGAGGGTGTCCTGAGCTCTGAAAGGCAGGGGCTGCACCCTCCTCACAGCAGAAAAAGTCCCCTGATGACGTCTTCCCTAATAGCACACGGCAGGCCTCAGACAGGACCCACACCAGGGTGTGCAGGAAGGAAAATTAGTAGGGCCCTGCGTGCCTCTCGCTGTTCTCTGACTCATAGTGTAAAAGCAAAGAAGACGCCTGGCCTCCTGGAAACAGGTGTTGAGGGACAGCGGGCCTCTGGGTGACCGGGTCCCTCTCTCCACTCCCCGTTGATAGAAACTTATCCCGAACGCCAAAAGGCGCTAAGGTTATTGCCTTCATGTCCAAGGGCCCAGAGCATCCTATAAATATCATTTTGGCCCAGAATAATCATGGGGGTTCTCTAGGTGTTTGAAAATAGCCTGCTTGCTACTATCTATATTCAGAGAACCCACTCCTGGCCTCCACTCGCGTGGCTAAGTATAGCTCCCTGGCAGAGTTCAATGGAACAAAAGCTTCCAGGCGTACACGACCTCACGGATGGCAGAACATTCTCGGAGGAGCACCTCAGCTGCCACGACTCAGAGGAGCTCAGAGAGAGGCTGGCACTGACCTGGTCACCTCCCATCTCCCAGTCTTGAGCCGGGTAAATCTGTGGACCTCTCAGCAAACAAGAGGCATTCTTGCCAGACCCAGGAGCAAGGGGCTCTGATGCTAGTTTTGTCCTTCTTGAGGGGTTGAGTTAGTCACAAAGCCTTGGTTTCTTCATCTGTAAAAGAGGGATTGTGCGAACTTCTATGTCAGAATTAAAGAGAACTCCAAGTAAGCCATAGAAAAACCAAAGGCTGGCCGGGCGCAGTGGCTCACGCCTGTAATCCCAGCATTTTGGGAGGTTGAGGTGGATAGATCATCTGAGGCCAGGAGTTCGAGACCAGCCTGGCCAACATGGTGAAACCCTGTTTCTACTACAAATACAAAAATTAGCCAGGCGTGGTGGTGTGCGCCTGCAACCCCAGCTGCTCAGGAGGCTGAGGCAGGAGGATCACTTGAACCTGGGAATCGGAGGTTGCAGTGAGCTGAGATCGCCCCACTGCACTCCAGCCTGAGTGACAGAGCGAGACCCTGCCTTAAAAAACAAAAAGAAAAGAAAAGAAAAAAAAAAACCAAAGACATTTAGGACACCCAAAATAAAACTGCCAACCTAAGGAACACTCTCAGCTTTGACTCCTCTTAGGATCTCTATTTCTGGACGCCAGGTTCTAGTTGCAGCGAGTCTGTCTTCACAGCCACCCCTGGCCCGGCCCACGGCAATGCCTGAGAGCAGCTCAGCACCTGCCCCGGGGTTGGGTAGAGCTGTATCATGCGAATGGGTAAAGGCGGCAGAGTTTCAGACCCAGGGCCCAGCCTAACGGTAGATAGACGCCTCCCATCTTGCCAGGGGTCATGCGCCATCTCTGGGAATCCCAAGGAAATGCAGGGCCACCTTCCCACAGGATGTCAATCAGCACTGCCACCCCAGCTCCTTCCCAGAAACCCCCACCTCAACGCCAAATCTGGGAATCTTAAAGCAGCCCCTTCTCTTCAGCAGCTCCCCTGCTTCTCCCTCCCCTCCCCTCCCCTCCCCTGTGCTTGTTCTCTGAGTGAGGGTGAGCCTGTGATACATCCGCAGGAAGACGCAGATCACTGCAGTGTTGCTTATCCAGCCCCAAATACCAGCTCCTTTTTGCTTCCCCTGGGAACAGGCAGCGGGGAGGCCCAGGAAACTTCAGAAATGAAGCTGAGAGGCGAGAGAAGGTGGGCAGTGAGATCACAGGGCACTTCTCATCCGCACAAGGCCCTTGTGAAACTCAACTGTTTTGCATTGGCAAAAAGAGGGGCTGAGATGGAGACACAGCCCAGCCAGCGGGTCCTGGTCCCGTTGCCGTCCCATCCACCAAGCATCATTTCTGCGGTGCCGTGACAGGGTGTGCCCCCCCACCGCACCCCAGCTGGGCTCTGCCCAGCATGGTGGGGTCTCCCTCGTCTCAGAACAAGTTGTTCTTACAGGTGGTCTGCAGACCCCTTGAGACCCTCTAAGTGGCTTCTGCTGGGCAGAGCTGCTCTCCTGTTTGGCACACGCACCCATGGTGCAAAAGCAGCCATAGCCACGTGAGTGCTGGCACATTCCCCACACACCAGAAAACAATCACAGCTCCGGGATGGCCCTCGTGGTCACAGCTCAGCCCTGGTTCTGGCACATCCCCCACATACCAGAAAACAATCACAGTTTCGGGATGGCCCTCATGGTCACGGCTCAGCCCTGGGTCCACGGCAGCTCGTCGGGATAGCCCTCATGGTCACAGCTCAGCCCTGGGTCCATGGCGGCTCGTCGGGATGGCCCTCGTGGTCACAGCTCAGCCCTGGGTCCACGCCGGCTCGTGTAGAGGGAGCGATGGCAGTGCACGCAGCCCCGCACACACCGAGGTCCACTCTCCGCACAGCCCACGCTCACACGGAGGAAAGATGGCAGCACTGTGAGAACACGGACCTGGGTCTTGGCAGGAATGAGGTGAGCCGGCCACTTCAAGAGGAACAACAGACAGAACTTACTGCCAATGGTAAAACTTACACAGTCTAATGAAAAAGAAAATTTGGAAACTTTCACCTTCCACTAAAAGCCTAACAGCTTCCCATGCTTACTTTCTGAGGGGAAAGTGATTTCCTGATACTGTAAAATGAAGCAGGTCAACATCTGGAAGCCCCGTGTAAGGCAGTGAACCAAAAGCAAGGCTGTCCGAATGACCGATGTAGATGTTAGGAACCCCTGCCTGGGTCAAAGGCCAAAGTGAGACAGACCAGTAGATTCCATGGATACCAGGAGGAAACTCTTACTGACGGGTGGGCCTCAGATTCCATCTTGCAGCTCACCTTGAAGAAAGCCCACTGCTGGAGTTTTGGTGCAGCACCCAAGAACAGCCACCCTGATCTGAAGAGGCCAGGAAAGCATGTTGCCCCTGCAGTTGTGGAGAGCACAGATTCTCTCCAAATGCATCAACCAAACGACATAACGCAGAGGCACCCAGGAGGGTCCAGCTATCCACATCTGCCACACCAGACCTGAAAAAGATTTAGACAAACTTTTCTGTTTTTGCTTTTTTGAGACAGGGTCTTTCTCTGTCACCCAGGCTGGAGTGCAGTGGCACAATCTTGGCTCACTGCATCCTTGACCTCCCAGGCTCAAGGGATCCTCCCACAGCCTCCCAAGTAGCTGACACTACAGGTGCACGCCACCAGGCCCAGCTAATATTTTGCATTTTTCGTAGATACTGGGTCTCATCTTGTTGCCCAGGCTGGTCTCAAACTCCTGAGCTCAAGGATTCTGCTGGCCTCGGCCTCCCAAAATACAAGGATTACAGGTGTGAGCTACACCGTGCCCCTAGTCTAATTTTATTTTCTTCTTCTTCTTGAGACAGGATCAGGCTCTGTTGCTCGGGCTGCCGTGCAGTGGTGCAATCAGGGCTCACTGAAGCCTCAACCTCCTAGGCTCAAGCAATCCTCCTGCTTCAGCCTCGTGAGTAGCTGGGTGTGTGCCACATGCCTGGCTAACTTTTTATAGAGACAGGGTCTCGCAATATTGTCCAGCCTGGTCTTGAACTCCTGAATTCAAGTAATCCTCCTGCCTTGGCCTCCGCAAGTGCTGGGATCACAGATGTGTGCCCCTGTCCCTGGCTGATACTAATTTTTTTTTTTTTTTTGAGACGGAGTCTTGCTCTGTCGCCCAGGCTGGAGTGCAGTGGTGCGATCCCAGTTCACTGCAACCTCCGACTCCTGGGTTTAAGCGATCCTCCTGCCTCAGCCTCCCAAGTATCTAGGACTACAGGCACCCACCACCATGCCCAGCTAATTTTTGTATTTTTAGTAGAGATGGGGTTTCACCATGTTGGCCAGGCTGGTCTCGAACTCCTGACCTCGTGATCCGCCCGCCTCAGCCTCCCAAAGTACTGGGATTACAGGCATGAGCCACCGCACGCACCCAGCTGATACTAATTTCTAATGAGGGTAAATACAGATTTGTTTCTCTTCTCTGGAAAGGGATCTGCTTGTTTGGCAAAAAAATTTAATCCCACTAGTCCCAGGAGGCTTGGGCAATCCCGCCTCTCTGTCCACCCAGGCATCATGAATCAAGCCCCAGATATTCCCACCCAGGAGCACCATGGTGCGGGAAAGCGAGCTGGAAAACTGTGAGGTGGATGCTTGTGTCCCTGAAGGGAAATACTTTCCGAGGTGAGTGGCTCGAACACAAGGACGGCAGGGCTATTTGAGCCACCAGCCCAGCTGGCCAGGTTTCCGGCCACGTGCATGCTTTGCAGCTTTTGGTTTGGAAAACTGGAAGCTACAGAAGAAGCTGTATTTACTCACTGATTTAACCAAATGCACATTGTTTCTTCTGAAAGATGACCACACTCACCCAAGAGCTTCTCTGTGGGTCAATAATAATACTCCCTGCAGATAAACATGGGTGGGCCCCTTCAGAGGGCTGTATCATCTACAAGAAACCATCCTTATCCCCACAGGTGAGGAAACGGGCACAGAGAGGTTAAGTAGCTTGCCTGAAGTCACACAGTGAATCAGTAGCAGAGCTGTTCTTTAAACTCGGGCAATTTAGACCCAGAGTTTGTAATTTTATTTATTTATTTATTTATTTATTTATTTATTTATTTATGATGGAGTCTCATTCTGTTGCCCATGCTGGAGTGCGGTGGTGCGATCTCAGTTCACTGCAACCTCCACCCCCCAGGTTCAAGCGATTCTCCTGCCTCAGTCTCCCAAGTAGCTGGGACTACAGGCACGCACCACCATACCCGGCTAATTTTTGTATTTTTAGTAGAGACGGGGTTTTGCCATGTTGGCCAGGCTGGTCTCGAACTCCTGACTTCAAGTGATCCACACGTCTCGGCCTCCAAAAGTGCTAGGATTACAGGCATGAGCCACTGCACCCAGCCAGAGTCTGTCATTTTTGTCTCTAATTTATATTGTCACTCGGTAAGAAATTCTGAGATTTCCTTTCACTTCTTTTTTTTTGTTTTGTGAGACAGAGTCTTGCTCTCTTGCCCAGGCTGGAGTGTGGTGGTGCGATCTTGGCTTACTGCAACCTCTACCTCTCGGTTCAAGCGATTCTCCTGCCTCAGCCTCCCAAGTAGCTGGGACTACAGGTGCATGTCACCACACCCAGCTGATTTTTGTATTTTTTAGTAGAGAGGGGGGTTTCACCATGTTGGCCAGGCTGGTCTTGAACTCCTGACCTCAAGTGATCCGCCCGCCTCGGCCTCCCAAAGTGCTGAGATTACAGGCGTGAGCCACCGTGACCGGCCCCTTTGACTTTGAAGGCAGAGTAGGGTATCTGATCAGGACCGCAAATATGGTGCTGCTTTTTATAGTGGGGCCAGTGTGTGGGGTGATATGGTGGGAGGAGCTGCAGGAAGACAGCGGATTGAGATCTGGACTCAAGCAGTCCTGTGGGGAAGCCAGGTTTCTCTACTGACTCTTGTGTAGAGGAGAAGACTAGGCGTGGTGGCTCATGCCTGTAATCCCAGCACTTTGGGAGGCCGAGGTGGGAGGATCACTTGAGCCCAGGAGTTTAAGACAAGCCTGGGCAACATAGCAAGACCCTGTTTCTACAAAAAAACAAAAAAATTAAAAAATTGGTTGGGTGTGGTGGCTAAGTCTGTAATCGCAGTACTTCAGGAGGCCAAGGCAAGAGGATTGCTTGAGCATAGGAGGCCAAGTCTGCAGTGAGCCGTGACCTTGCCAGTGCATTCAGTCTGGGCAACAGAGTGAGACCCTGTCTCAAAACAAACAAATGAAAAATAAAAAGTAAGTATCTAACGCAGGAATAGAAAATCAAATACTGCATCTTCTCACTTATAAGTGGGAGCTAAATGATAAGAATTTATGAACACAAGGAAATAACAGACACGGGGGTCCACTTGAGGGGGGAGGGCAGGAGGAGGGAGAGGAGCAGAAAAGATGGGGGGAGGGCAGGAGGAGGGAGAGGAGCAGAAAAGATGGGGGGAGGGCAAGAGGAGGGAGAGGAGCAGAAAAGATGGGGGGAGGGCAGGAGGAGGGAGAGGAGCAGAAAAGATGGGGGGAGGGCAAGAGGAGGGAGAGGAGCAGAAAAGATGGGGGGAGGGCAGGAGGAGGGAGAGGAGCAGAAAAGATAACTATTGGGTACTGGGCTTAGTACCTGAGTGATGAAATAATCTTTACAACAAACTCCCGTGACATGTGTTTATTTATGTAACAAACCTTCACATGTACCCCCAAACCTAAAATAAAAGTTAAAAAAAAGTATCAAATTGTTAACTCCTCTGGAATAAACATTTCCTTGTCTTTTTTTAATTTAAATTATTATTTTTAAAATGCCCATATTCCCTGAGTCCTCGCTTCTTTTTACCTCTCCAATCGCCTGGCTTCATGGTGTTTCACATTTGCTGACTGCTTCCAGAAAAACATTCCCACTGAAGGCCTCCCAATGCAAGGCAGATATAGAGCAAGCTAGACACATGCCTTCCTTTCCAGTTGCTTTCTGACTTTTTAAAGTCCCAGATGCCTGGGCTTGGGGAAAGGACAGGAAGCGCCAGGACGCAGGAAGCCCCGGGGATCAGCAGTAGGATGCTGTGCAGGCTGTGCTCGGGGCCCCTCTGCTGGCCTGTCCAGGCCAAACCCCCAGGGCTGCAGGCCTGGAACCAGGCAGGACATGCTCAGCCCTGGCTGGGCTTCCCCTCCTTGCCCCAACACCAGTCAGGGCCCACCCACGGGCTCCAGCTGTCTGGCTTCCCATTCATCTCCCAGACCCTCTCCCCTCATGAATCAGTGCCACACACAGCCTACCCATACCATACTCAGCAAAGCACCCATGCCTGTGGCTCAGGTGCGGTGGTGTGATCAGAGCTCACTGAAGCTTTGAACTCCTGGGCTCAAGCGATCATCCTGCTTTAGCCTCTCTAGTAGCTGGGAGTACAGGTGTGCACCACTACGGCCAGCTAATTTTGAAAAAATTTTTTTGTAGGCTGGATGCGGTGGCTCATGTCTGTAATCCCAGCACTTTGGGAGGCCTAGGCGGGTGGATCACGAGGTCAGGAGATCGAGACCATGACCATCCTGGCTAACATGGTGAAACCCCGTCTCTACTAAAAATACAAAAAAATTAGCTGGGTGTGGTGGTACACACCTGGAGTCCCAACTACTTGGGAGGCTGAGGCAGGAGAATCACTTGAGCCTGGGAGGCGGAGGTTGCAGTGAGCCTGGGAGGCGGACGTTGCAGTGAGCCTGGGAGGCGGAGGTTGCAGTGAGCCGAGATTGCACCACTGCACTCCAGCCTGGGCAATGGAACAAGACTGTGTCTTAAAAAAAAAAAAAAAAAAAATTTTTTTTTTGTGGATATGGTGGAGTCTCGCTATGTTGCCCAGACTGGTCTTGAACTCCAGGCCTCAAGCAGTCCTCCCAAATCCCAAAGTGCTGCTGGGCTTACAGGCATGGACCACCATGCTTGGCCTATTTTCGACACACATACAGGCTGAGGTTCAGGAGAGCTGGGCTACAGGCGTCAGGGTGGGGATCGATGTGTGACATCTTTCAGGGAGGTAGTTTATCCTAGTTCTCCACTCAATAAGGGAGTCTGCCCACAAGCACACTGTCGGCACCCATTGCTACATGGCTCAACTGTGAGTATAACTTAGATAATTGTAATAATGAAAATAAGGAATGCTGATGGAGGGATAGGATAAGAAGGTATGTGACTGGGAGATGGAAGAGAATTCCTTATTTCTATTGAGTCATAATCAATAGAGGTTATCTAAAACTTAAAAAAATAGGGCCAGGCACAGTGGCTCACGCCTGCAATCGCAGCACTTTGGGAGGCTGAGGCGGGCGGATCACAAGGTCAGGAGATCGAGACCATCCTGGCTAACACAGTGAAACCCCGTCTCTACTAAAAATAACAAAAAAAAGTAGCCGGTCGTGGTGGTGGGCGCCTGTAGTCCCAGCTACTTGGGAGGCTGAGGCAGGAGAATGGCGTGAACGTGGGAGGCGGAGGTTGCAGTGAGCCGAGATCACGCCACTGCACTCCAGCCTGGGTGACAGACCGAGACTCTGTCTCAAAAAAAAAAAAAAAAATAATAATAATAAAAACGCCAGGCATGGTGGCTCACGCCTGTAATCCCAGTGCTTTGGGAGGCCGAGGCAGGCGTATCACTTGAGGCAAGGAGTCTGAGACCAGCCTGGCCAAACATGGCGAAACCCCGTCTCTACTAAAAATACAAAAATTTGCCGGGCCTGCTGGTGCACGCTTGTAATCCCAGCTACTTGGGAGGCTGAGGCATGAGAATCACTTGAAACCAGGAGGCAGAAGTTGCAGTGAGCTATGATTGCCCCCCTGCACTCCAGCCTGGGTGACACAGCGAGACTCTGTCTAAAAAAAAAAAAAAGAGCAGCCTGGGCAACACAGTAAGACCTCCATCTCTACAAAATAAAAAATAAAAATTAGTCAGGAGTGGTGGCACTTATCACAGCTACTTGGGAGGCTGAAGTGGGAGGATCACCTGAGCCCAGGAGGTTGAGGCTGCTGTGAGCTGATGGTGCCATCGCACTCCAGCCTGGACAACAGAGTGAGACCCTGTCTCTAAACAAAAATAAATTGTTTTTTTTTCTACTGGACTTAAACAATCTGCCCTCCTTGGCCTCCCAAAGCACCAAGCCTGTGTCTTCTTTTTCATCACAGCCGTGGCAGAAGGAAGGAGGTGACTGGAAGCCCCACTCTCTCTGAGTAGCTGAGGGAATACACCCTGACTATAGGCCGAGACAGTCCACATCAGCTCTTCAATAGGATTTAGTGGCTTTGCATAAAATGGAAAAGCAGCTGTGATTGCAAGAGAAATTAAAAATAACCACCATCTGAAATGCAAATTGAAAACAGTGAGACAACACATGTCACTCTGGCAGGTGACCCACTGTGCTGGTGAAGGCATGCAGGCACTCTCAGACTTCCGCAGAGAGACCTGAGTAATCAATTGACTTCCACAAAGGGCGACTTGCCAACAGCTATCAAAAGTACTCAGGCACATCCCACTTGGCCCAGCAATTCCACTTCCAGGAATTTCTCCTGCAGAAATACATGTGCACAAACAACGTAGGAAAGCACTGTTTATAGTAACAACCCAACTAGGACAGACCAGGTATATTTAGACAACAAACAAGGAAGCTTTTTACTAAATTGGGATGATCTCTAAGAAGAAGGTACGTAGAAAAAGCAAGGTGGGAGAACACGCTATGTGCTTGTACTATGCACGTCAATGAAAAAATACACAAAGAATTGACAGGCCAGGTGGAGTGGCTCACACCTAATCCCAGTACTTTGGAAGACTGAGATGGGAGGGTTCCCTGAGGCCAGGACTTCAAATCAGCCTGGGCAACATAGCAAGACCCCCCCACATCTCTACAAAAAAATTAAGAAAAAAATTAGCCGGGCATGGTGGTGTGTACCTGTAGTCCCAACTACTGAGGAAACTGAGGTGGGAAGATCCCTTGAGCCAGGAGGTCGAGGCTGCATGGAGCTTTGATCGTACCACTGCCCTCCAGCCTGAGCAACAGAGTGAGAAAAAAAACAGACTTTTTTTCTATTTCTGGAAAAAAATAAAGAATTTATAAGTATGATGGTTCTGGTAATAGAAGTAGGTGGCTAGGCAGAGTGGACACTTCACACTGCATACTCCCCTATTTTCCGAAATCTGAGTTTTTTTTTTTTTTTTTTTTTTTTTTGAGATGGAGTCTTGCTCTGTCACCCTGGCTGGAGTACAGCAGCACCATCTCGGCTCACTGCAACTTCCGCCTCCTGAGTTCAAGCAATTGTCCTGCCTCAGCCTCCCCAGTAGCTGGGATTACAGGCGTGCACCACACGCCCACCTAATTATTGTATTTTTAGTAGAGACAGGGTTTCACCATGTTGGCCAGGCTGGTCTCAAACTCCTGACCTCGTGATCCGCCCACCTCGGCCTCCCAAAGTGCTGGGATTACAGGTGTGAGCCACCATGCCCAGCCAATCTGAGCTATTTAAAAACTAAAGGTAAAATTTTAAAAGGGGAAGGGGAAAATGGGAAGTCATTGTTTTAAGGGGACAGAGTTTCTGTTTGGGGTGAGAAAACTCTAGAAATAGTGGGGGCGTGGCACATGATTGGAATGAATGGCAGGGAACGGCACGCTTAAATGTTCCTGTACGTTTCACAGGAGAAGTCAATGCACACACAAGCGCCGCAACCCAGTCCAAGGCTTTGCTCCTACAGGGCCTTACAGGGGGTATTTGAGACGCCCACCTTAATGCAGGTTGGACCCAGCTCCGGGCTGCGGGGCTTCCCCGCCCCGGGGTCTTTCGTGTGAGCCCCGTGGCGGGGGATCCTGGCCCAGGACATGGCGCGGAGAAGGCTGTGGGCGGCGGGACAGGGTGCCTTCGGCTGCCGGGTTAAGAGTGGATCCCGGGATACATCCTCCAGCGCCTGCCCTCGGGCCTGTGTGCACCCCCATACCCAGCGGGGCCGTCCAAGAGCTTCAAGGAGGGCACAGCGCGACCCGCCCTCCCCTCAGCCCCGCACACCGTCCCACGGCCCCGCACAGCCTCCCTCCCACACAGCGCCCCACGGCACCCGCACAGCGCCCCACGGCCCCTTCATGGTCCCCGCACAGCGCCTCACAACCCGCACACAGCGCCTCACGGACCCTTTACGGCCCCCGCAGAGTCTCCCACACGGCGCCCCACACAGAGCCTCACGGACCCCGCACAGCGCCTCAAGGTCTCCGCACAGCCCCCAGCACAGCGCCTCACACAGCCCTTCGCACAGCCCCCCGCACAGCTCCTCACGGGCCCCACACAGCTGCCGCACAGCCCCGCACAAGCCCGCACAGCACCAGCAGACAGGTAGCCCCCACAGGCAACAGCGCCCACCTCGCCGCGCCCAGACCCCGGATCGCCGACGCGGACGCCAGGCGCCTGGGCACACGGCGCCTGCGCAGACAACACCACGCCCCAGGCCTGGCGAGCGCACCCTGCGGGTGGGGCGGACCTACGTCAGCAACCCATCGTCCGATCCCGTCCATTGGCTGAGAGGTAATGCGTGCGCCCGACTCGCCGCTGATTGGTCGGCGCGCGAGCAGCCGGGCTCGCACGGGCCAATCCTGTGGTAGCGCGTGAGGAGGCAGAGGCCTCTGGGGTGGGATCGCGGGCCGTAAGTGGCTGTGGAGCTGGGGTCACTGCGCGGTGGGACCATGGCCTCGGAGAAGCCGCTGGCGGCAGTCACTTGTACAGCGCCGGTCAACATCGCGGTCATCAAGTACTGTGAGTGCCGCGGGCCGGCCTGGGACGGGGATGGCCGGGAGCGAGGCCGGGTACGCGGGGGTCGCGCGCTGATTCGGCGGCGCGCTCCGTCCTGCCCTCCCAGGGCCTCGACAGACGGGGAAACTGAGGCTCAGGGAGGGGCGCGGCGGTGGTCGGGCGGGGCCGCGCGCTCCTTCGCGTGACAAGCTCGGCGCCACCCGTTCCCCCGCGACGGCTGCCGCCCCTGCAGGGTCGCCCGGCGCCTGCCCATTAGCGATTACCGAACTATCGAAATCATCAATCATCGATTCCCATGAATCGTAAGAATCCGCCGTGGTGGTGCGCGTTTGTGGCTCCAGCTACTCGGGAGGCTGAGGCGGGAGGATGGCCAGAGCCCGGGAGGTCGAGGCTGCAGTGAGCGGAAATCGCGCCACTGCTCCCCCAGCCCGAGACCCTGTGTCCCTCCCTCGCCCCGTTTCTCCCAGCGGTAACCTCCAAGGAGCGGTAATGGGGGGCCCGCAGGCCCACATCCGTGCCGGGGAGGCCGGTCCGCACCTGTGCGTTCACAGCCCCGCCCCTCCCCTCGCGCCGGGGTTACCTGGCCGCCACTGACCACTCATTTCTGTAACGTCATTTCAAAATGTTCTGAAACTGGAATCGCAGTTATGTGGCCCACCCAGTATCTTTTGAGTTTGGCTTATTTCATTCAGCATAGAATGTGGACGTGCCCCGGGATTGTATCAGTGCTTTGCCCCTCTGTTGCTGAGCCAGTCCGTGGAATCCATGGACCACCCTCTCTCTAGCCAAGGCCTCACCCCGCAAAGAGCATCTAACGTTTTCTTTCTTTCTTTCTTTTCTTTCCAGAAGCCGCCACCACGACTGGCTAATTTTTTTGTGTTTCCCTTACCAATAAAGCTGCCATAAAATGTTGTATACAGGTTTTTGTGTGAACATACATTTCCATTCTTCTGGGATAAATGCCCAGGAGTGCGGTTGCTGGGTCAGATGGTAGATATATATATATGCCTCTCTGTCTCTCTCTCTCTTTCTATGTATATATGTATGTTTGTGTGTGTGTATATATATATACACCTGTATAGATATATGTGTGTGTATATGTATACACCTATATAGATGTATGTGTGTGTATATATACATATATATATTATATATATACTTTTTTTTTTTAAAGAAACTGTCTAATTGTTTTTCAGAGTGGCTGGGCCATTTTGCATCCCTACGGTGATGCAGATTTTCCGCATCCTCACCAGCATTTGGTGGAGTTGCTGTTTTTCATTTTAGCCGCGTCCTGGTAGGGATGTGCTGGCAGGGTGCTGTGGTCCTCATTCGCGTTTCCCTGTTGGCCAGTGACGTGGAGCATCTTTCTTTGTGCTTATTTGCCATCTGTGGGTTTTCTTGGTGAAATCTCTCTTCATATTCTGTGTCCACGCTCGAACTGGATGGTTTGCTTTTTTACTATAAGTTTGGAGAGTTCATTACACATTCTAGGCTGGGCACGCTGGCTCAAGCCTGTAATCCCAGCACTTGGGGAGGCTGAGGTGGGCGGATCACCTGAGGTCAGGAGTTTGAGACCAGCTTGGCCAACATGGTGAAACCCCCGTCTCTACTGAAAAAAAATAAAATATGTATTCTAGATATTAGTCTCCTGTTGGACATGTGGTTTGCAGGTATTGTCTCCCAAACTAGCTAATCTTTTTGTCCTCTTAACAAAGAGCCAGTTTTTCATTTTAAAGAAGTTCAGTGTATCAATGTTGATGTCAAGTCTAAGACCTCTTTGCTTAGCCCTATGTCCTGAAGATTGTCTGCTTTCCTCCAAGTTGTACAGGATTGCCTTTTATATTTAAGTCTGTGATCCAAGGTTGTCCAGTTAGCCCAGAAAGGCTATCCTTCCTCTATTGAATTGCTTTTGCACTTTTGTAAAAAAAAAAATCAGCTGGGCATGTTTGTGTGGGTCTATTTCTGGATTTTCTCTTCTGCTATTTTTTTTTTTTTTTTTTTTTTTTTTGAGACAGAGTCTTGCTCTGTCACCCAGGCTGGAGTGCAGTGGCACAATCTTGGCTCACTGTAACCTCCGCCTCCTGGGTTCAAGCAATTCTCCTGCCTTAGTCTTCTGAGTATTTGGGACTACATGCACGTGCCACCACACTTGGCTAATTTTTGTATTTTTAGTAGAGATGGGGTTTCACCGTGTTAGCCAGGCTGGTCTGAAGCTCCTGACCTCGTGATCTGCCCACCTCAGCCTCCCAAAGTGCTGGGATTACAGGTGTGAGCCACCGCGTCTGGCCTTTTATTTTTATTTTTTATATTTATTTATTTTATATTTATATTTTTATATTTATTTGTATTACTTTTATATTTATTTTTTTGAGACAGACTGTCACTGCGACACCCAGGCTGGAGTGCAATGGCGTGATCTCGGCTCACTGCAACCTCCGCTTCCCGGGTTCAACCGATTCTCCTGCCTCAGCCTCTCGAGTAGCTGGGACTACAGGTGTGCGCCACCACACCTGGCTAATTTTTGTACTTTTAGTGGAGACGGGGTTTTGCCATATTGGCCAGGCTGGTCTTAAACTCCTGACCTCAAGTGATCTGCCTGCTTCGGCCTCCCAAAGTGCTGGGATCGTAGGTGTGAGCCACTGAGGCTCACCAACAGTGATATTTATGGAAACGTGTCCATTTTCTTGTAACGTTCAGAGACTCTGGTCTTCTTTAAACCTTACGTTTGAGCTGGTTTTTGATAGCGCGCTGGTGGAGGAGGGGGTGCTGGCTCAAGATAAGGAGGCAGAAGTCCAGGTTCCCCTCCCCACCAACGCTGTCCCATCCCCACCAGGCCCTCAGGAATTCCTGAGTGTCTGCTTGGCCTCTGACAAGAGCCGGCAGGTCAGGGGAGTCCAGTCTCCCGTGTGCTCTCCAATGACTCCTGGGGAGGTGAAAGTCCCCACTCCTTCAGGGAGGGAAAGGGGGCGGGGCACTGTTCCAGCCTGGAGTGTGGGAGGGATCTGTTTCTTTTTTTCTTTTCTTTTTTTTTTTTTTTGAGAAAGGGTCTCCCTCTGTTGCCAGGCTGGAGTAAGGCTGGAGTGCAGTGGTGCCATCTCGGCTCAGTGCAACCTCCGCCTCCCAGGTTCAAGCGATTTTCCCGCCTCAGCCTCCTGAGTAGCTGGGATAACAGGCGTGCGTCACTACAGCCTGGCTAATTTTTGTATTTTTAGTAGAGATGGGGTTTCACCATATTGGTCAGGTTGGTCTCAAACTCCCGACCTCAGGTGATCTGCCCACCTCGACCTCCCAAAGTGCTGGGATTACAGGCGTGAGCCACCGCGCCCGGCCAGGAGTCTGTTTCTGTGTTGCTAGGCTGCCCTTCCTGGTCCTGCTAGGGAGGGCTGGCTTTGGTTGGCAGTTCCAGCTTCTGCAGGGCTAGGTCTAGGGCAAGCAGAAAAGAAAGCCCCGGGCTCCCCCTGCACTGTCCCACAGCCGCCCTCTGTCACCCGTGAGAGTCTCACCTGTGATGTCCAGGGTCTCAGTTGTCCCCAGTGGGAGGAAGCGGGAGAAGTCCCCTGGCCCACCTTCCTGAAAGCAGAGGTTCGCCCGGCCTGTCAGGGCAGCGGCGTCCGCCTGCAAGGGGGGCCGCTCAGTGCTGTGCGTGAAAGAGCCTCGCGAGCTGCAGGGCGTGGTTCTCTGCCAGGTGTCCGCGTTTATCACCCCTGGAACTGTCCGCCATCCTCAGAGACCTCCCCTCGCACAAAACCGAGCAGATGGTGTGCTTAGCGAAGCCGCCGTGGAATAAGACTTCAGCTGAAGCACCACGCAGCGCTCCCAGGGCAAACGTTTCCTTTCGGGCTTTCTGGAAGTTTGATTTCACGTGCTGTCCCATGGCCGTGCTGGGCAGAAAGGGGTTTATCCTGGATGTTCCTGGGGCATATGAGCAGTGAGATGTGAGGAGTTCTCAGAGCTGGGCTCCTTTTGTTTGGGAAGGTGGAGGGGAGGCAGGCCGCGGTGGGAGCGATCCGCACCTGGGCACTCACGGATGCTGGAGTAGAAGCGATGAAGGAATGGGGAGCGGGGACGGAGGTTGGCTGGCCTCCAGCTCTGCTCTGGGAGCCTGAGCTCAGTGGGGTGGGAGCAGTTCTTGCAGGCCGGGGTCTGGCAGGAGGAGGGGCACACAGGTTGTGCGGTGAGAGACGGGACTGAGGCGGATGGGGGCCGTGGGTGGGGGGTGGGGGCACCTGTGGGGAACACTGGGGGAGGGTGGGCCGGGAAG
The DNA here is from genome assembly GCF_000001405.40 of Homo sapiens. Classification (NCBI taxonomy): domain Eukaryota; kingdom Metazoa; phylum Chordata; class Mammalia; order Primates; family Hominidae; genus Homo; species Homo sapiens. The sequence goes on along the minus strand of NC_000016.10, from coordinate 88,658,752 downwards.
CCCACCGGCCTGGCCCTGGCTGTTCATTACAGGGGGCAAGCGCGATGAAGAGCTGGTTCTGCCCATCAACTCCTCCCTGAGCGTCACTCTGCACCAGGACCAGGTATGTGTGGACTGACGACTAAACACCACAGTGCCATTTCCAGAACATTTGTAGAACAGTTGGTACCCGTTGGGTATGGTGGCTCACATCTGCAATCCCAGCACTTGGGGAGAGTCTCTTGAGCCCAGGCATTGGAGACCACAGTGAACCATGATCGCACCACTGCACTCCAGCCTGGGTGACAGAGTGAGACCCTGTCTCTGAAACAAAAAAAAAATTGGTACTTTTTTACCTAAAGGCTAGGATGAGATGGCCTAGCGACGACTCCCAGCCAGCACGCAGTGTCTGTTCCATCTCCCAGTATTAGGAGAGCTGAGCACAGCACACATGTGCCCCCAGGTCTCGTCACACATGCGCACACCGTGCCCCAGGGGCTCCCCTGGGAGTCCCCGTCTCTTTATTCAGGATAAGGCCTGGTTGCTCCACAAGGTGTGGCCCACGCTTTCATCCCCCACGGGCTTCCCCACTGCCCAGCTGAGACTGGCCTTTCCCCCCCTGCCCTCAGCAGGGCTGACCTTGCTCGAGTGGGCAGCCATGAGGCTCTCTCAGTAGAAAGGGGTACCTGGCTGGCATCGGTCCTCAATGCTGGCCTCTGAGGTGGCCCTGGGTTTCCTTTTCAGTTAAAAACCACCACAACAGCCGTCATCAGCAAGGACTTCACCGAGGACCGGATTTGGCTGAATGGCCGGGAGGAGGATGTGGGGCAGCCGCGGCTGCAGGCCTGCCTGCGGGAGAGTGAGCTGGGGTCCCCATAAGCCCATCCCTCCCTGTTGTCAGCAGGGTCCGAGCATCCAGAAAGTGCTTCTGCCTCTGTGCCCCTCCTGAGGCAGCAGGCGGGGTGGCTGGGAACCAGACATGCCCGCTGGGCCGCCAGCTCCAGGGCAGTGGCCCACCTCAATGACCAGCTGGGCTTGGGTCAGTCTGGGGTTTTCCCGGGTAAGAAACTCTCCACGAGGAGTCTGGCAGGCAGAGGCCTGGTGTTCAGCTGTGACCCCGGGCAGGTGGGCAGGAGCAGGGCGGGCAGGGTGCTGACGGCTGGGCCACACGCTGTCTCATTGTCTCTGCAGTCCGCTGCCTGGCCCGGAAGCGGAGGAACTCACGGGATGGGGACCCGCTGCCCTCCAGCCTCAGCTGCAAGGTGCACGTGGCATCGGTGAACAACTTCCCCACGGCTGCGGGCCTGGCCTCCTCAGCGGCGGGCTATGCCTGCCTAGGTGGGTGCCCACAGAGACCCGCAGGGGTTCTGGGCTGTGGGCGCAGGAGCCACTTCATGCTCTTCCCGGGTCAGGGAGCCCACTGCTGGGCGTGGCTAAAAGAGCATCCCCTCACCCCAGGCCTCCCTGGCCTCTCTGGAGTTGTTCAGTCTCTTCCCAGAGCACATCTGAACATTTTCATCTTCCAGTTGCAGCTGGCGTGGGGCTCTCGCCTGTAATCCCAGTACTTAAGAGGCTGATGGGGGAGAAGCACTGTAGGCCAGGAGTTCAAGACCAGCCTGGGCAACATAGTGAGACCCCCCCCCATCTCTACAAAAAATAAAAAAATCTTCCCGTTGCTGTATGTGGAGCCCCTCTAGATTGTCAGTGATAGAAACCACTTCAAACTGGCTCAGCCCTAAAATAGCGATGATTTTGTGGCTCACGTAACTGAGGATTCCAATGGGCACAGCTGGTTGCAGGCCCCGCTGGACCCAGCTCTCTGCTGGCCCCAGGCCACTTGCTGGCAGCTTCCCACCCACTGTCAGAGCCTGTCCCCCCGGTGGTGGTCTCACACCATCTTCACCCCTCAACTCCAGGGGTGACGCTTCCTGGCCCACCTGGGCTCCTGCGCCTTCCCTGAACCACCCTCGGTGACCAGGGTGGGTGACCAGACCTGGAGGTGGGGTTGCCCTGCTGGAGCCCTGTGGGAGGAGGGGAGAAGGTGGCTCCCGTGCTGGGTGGGCAGGGGGCGCGTCTTGTGGAGTCCAGCTCTGTCCTGGCATCGGTCCCTGCCCCACACAGCCTTAAAATTCCTTCCCACCCTCAAAGCCCAGCTTGGGTGTCCTCGGGGGCCTTTCTCCCGCCTTCCATGGGGCTTCCTGCTCTGCCGCAGGTACCTTTTGTTGCCCTTGTCGCGGGCCGCAAGCTCTGCAGGCCGTGAACAGAGAGTGTCCGAGAGTGGAACTAGCGGAGGTGGGGGACAGACGGCTGGGCCGGTGAATGCTGGCCTCAAAGGCTGATGGCCCAGAAGCCCTGTCATCTGGAAATCCCCATTTGCCGTGGGGTGTGGGACGTTCCTGGGGCGGTGAGCTGTCAGGGAGCACAGCGCAGGCAGCTCTGAGGACCCTCCCTGAATCCGCATGCCTGCAGCCTACACCCTGGCCCGTGTCTACGGCGTGGAGAGTGACCTCTCAGAAGTGGCTCGCCGGGGCTCAGGCAGCGCCTGCCGGAGCCTGTATGGGGGCTTTGTGGAGTGGCAGATGGGAGAGCAGGCCGACGGGAAGGACAGCATCGCTCGGCAAGTGGCCCCCGAGTCACACTGGCCTGAACTCCGCGTGCTCATCCTTGTGGTGAGTGGGGTGGGGCGGGTGGAGCAGCAGCCCGGTGGCCTCTGTCCCTAGTCAGGGCTGCTGCCGGGAGCAGGAGCGAAGGCGTCCATCCAGGCTTTGCTTGGCTCCTGGGGTCAGCGGGGGCTGAAGGAACAGAAGCGTGGTTGAGTGCTCAGGAACCGCTCCCATGCGGCGGGCGCCACCACCCGCTGGGATCTGGAAGTTGCCCCTGCGTCACCCCTGCTGTGGCCGGGAGGCCTCTGTGGTCAGGCAGGTGGCACTGACTCCCACCCCCGCTGCCTGCATTGGCTGAGGGAGGGCCGAGTGTTTGAGGCTGAGGTCCTTGGGGCTGGCCCCCTGCAGGGTGTGGCCCAGGCTGTCTCTCCCTCGTGCAGGTGAGCGCTGAGAAGAAGCTGACAGGCAGTACCGTGGGCATGCGGGCCAGTGTGGAGACCAGCCCCCTGCTTCGGGTAAGGCCAGGAGCGGGTGGTCCCGGGGCCCTGGGAGTCACGCTTGTGCCCGGCTCTGCCCTCAGCCTCTGTCTGGGCCCGAGTGTTCTCACACCTGCGGCAGCCCCGCCAAGACCACGTGCAGGAGCCAAATGCAGAGATGGGGCTCGAGCCGGGCCTCCAACCCCGGAGTCTCTCCTCGAACCCTCTGCTGTCGAGACCCCCAGCGGCTCCATGGGAAACACCCTGTGCCTTGCAGTTCCGGGCCGAGTCCGTGGTGCCCGCGCGCATGGCGGAGATGGCCCGCTGCATCCGGGAGCGAGACTTCCCCAGCTTCGCCCAGCTGACCATGAAGGACAGCAACCAGTTCCACGCCACCTGCCTCGACACCTTCCCGCCCATCTCTTACCTCAATGCCATCTCCTGGCGCATCATCCACCTGGTGCACCGCTTCAACGCCCACCACGGGGACACCAAGGTGACGCGGGCCGGGAGGGCAGAGGCTGCGCTCGCGCTGTAGCGCGTGTCTAGGCTTGTGCTGCCGTGGAGACGGCCCCGGGGCTCGCGTGCAGGGCAATCTGTGTCTGAAAGCTCCACCCTGCTGTGTGCGAAGCTCACTGACCATCTGGGTTCTTCTGTTTCATTTTGTTTCTTGACTTGCCCGGGTCACGGCCCCACCACCTTCTTCCTGGGTTCACAGGCAGACGTGTCAAGTACCAGGCACTTGGGGTCACAGCTCCACTCCAGTGTGGCCCTGAGGGCCTAGACTGAGCTCTTGGAGAGCCCAAGGCCGCCTGGCAGACCAGAGGGTTGGGGAGACAAGGGTCAGGCACCACGTGAATAGCCAGGGTGACTGCTGTGGGTTCCAGGTGGCGTACACCTTTGACGCGGGCCCCAATGCCGTGATCTTCACCCTGGACGACACTGTGGCTGAGTTTGTGGCTGCTGTGTGGCACGGCTTTCCCCCAGGCTCGAATGGAGACACGTGAGTGTGGACCCCGCCCCTCCTCCTTTTTGGGAGATGGTGCCAGGAACTCTGGTCGGAAGAGACGGAGGCACCTGAAGGCTGTGGCGCTGAGACAGGGAGTCCCAGGGCAGGCAGCAGTCCCCCGAGTGTGGGAGCCACGGGCAGGGTGTCCCCATAGAGCCATCCCACAGCCCACGTCCACAGGGAAGAAAGAGAGGCCGCTCACGCGTGTGTGAGCAACGCCCAGGGTCTCCCACCTCCTGAGTGACAGCGTCCCCTGCAGCTCGGGACCCCGCAGGCTCTTATTCTATAGAACAGTGGCTTAGGAAACACGCCTGCACTCCCAGATGTGTGCGTAAGTGTCCGACATTTTGAAGGAAAGGAGTCAAAGCCCCTGATTTCCTTCTTACTGAAGCGAGTTAGAGCCAGTCAAGGCGGCCGGGTGTTGACCCCGCCCCGGCAGTTGGGTGTCTTTTCTTGGGTGGGGTCCGGCAGCTGCATCTTGGCGCCACAGAGCCCCCATGTACGCCCTCCTCGGTGCACAGCTTGGCCCTGAACCGCCTCTTCCCCTGCGCTGCTCTGTGGGGGTGCCACAGAGCCCCCATGTACGCCCTCCTCGGTGCACAGCTTGGCCCAGCCTCCTTACGCCCCGGGGCTGTTGATTTCTTCCCTCCCGTGTTTTCATGGTGTCTTATTCTCAATGTGAGAGGCGCCTCCCATTTAAGGGTGTCTGGAAGCGTGTGGGGATGTGCGTCTGTCCCGGGTGGGAGCAATAACACCTTCTAATGGTCAGGGGCCTGCCCTGTGGGGTGGACTCAGACCCACACCCCAGGACTGCCCGCCTGGGAAGCACCAGGCTCGTGGCTGCTGCTCCGGGTGGGGCTTGCAGGCTTCCGCTGTTCTGCAGAACACGGTGACGAACGCACCAGCTTGAATTGGGCGCTTCCCTGAGCTGTTACCCCATGGGGCTTGGCAGCACCCTTGGCCAGATGTGGGTCCAGCCTGGGCATAGCTGTTTACCACATAACCTAAAATTTCCTGTCTCAGCCATTCGAGAGCATATAATCCTGCGGTGTTGAGGACATTCACAGGGTCATGTGAGCACCACCTCAAGCCACCTCCTTAACTTTTTCATCACCCCTAAAAGAAACCTGTCCCCACAGCAGCCACCTGCCGTCTCCCCCTCCCTGAGCCCTGACGGCCAGGAATGCACTTCCCATCTCTGGACTTGCCTGTTGTAGACTGTTGTAGACGCTTAGAGAAACGGATGCATTCACCGTGCCCCTGCCCTGCTTTTCCAGGTTTCTGAAGGGGCTGCAGGTGAGGCCGGCCCCTCTCTCAGCTGAGCTTCAGGCTGCGCTGGCCATGGAGCCGACCCCCGGTGGGGTCAAATACATCATTGTCACTCAGGTGAGGCCTGGGGCTCACCCAGTACCCCGGGGTTTCCTTTCCTGCCAGGGGGGCCCGCCCAGCCCCCAGGGCCCTTAAAGGCTAAGCGCGGCTCCCTGTCCCTACCGTGTCTCAGGCAGGAAGCCAGAACGCCTTTGTCCATTCATTTGCTCTCAAAGTGGACATTACAGGCCACTGGTGATGCTCAGAGCAGCAGGGCTGCGCTGAGGGTGGGAGGGTGAGTCTGACACAGGCTCCCAGGGAGACAGGTGGGGAGTATCAGACCCTTGAATAGGGAGCGCCTGGGGTGGGGGCTGCTGGGGTCCCTGGGACCCCCCCACCCCAACCACCCCAGCAGACCGGAGTTCCTGCCCTCTGACCTGCTCCGAGGGCCAAGCTTGCATCCAGTGATCACGGCCGCCCAAGCCATTGCCGCCACCTTCCTCTCAGGGGCTGCCTGTTCCCAGGCTCTGTGGTTCTCTGTCCCCCCTGTGACAGAAGCAGTGCCCAGGGCAGGGGGCTCGCAGCTGGCAGGGGCGGCTGTGCCTGCAGGAGCTGCGTGTGGGTGTCACCACTCAGGCGCTTTACCTTCTGACCAGGACCCACAGGAAGGGCGGGGGCACACCGCTACCCTCCTGTGTCCGGCCCTACAGATGCTGGGCACAGGATGAGGCGCTGCCATTCCTGGTGACCTGACATGGATTTCTATCCCCAGGTGGGGCCAGGGCCTCAAATCCTGGATGACCCCTGCGCCCACCTCCTGGGTCCTGACGGCCTGCCGAAGCCAGCTGCCTGACTGCCTCAGCAGGGACCGCATGCCGCTTGGAGAAGGGGTGGCCTCGCCGGAGCTAGGGAGCGGATGTGGTGGGCTGGCCGGACTCCTGGGACATGTGGGTGGTGGCTTGACCCCGGGCCCATGGGCAGCTTGCTGTGGGGCAGTGCAGGGAGTCCTGCGGCCGCCCAGGTGTCAGGAGAGGTCCCCGCCGAGTGCTTCAGCTGCCCTAAGCTGCACCAGCGCTTTGCCAAGATGGGATGGGGAGGGGGTATGAGAACTGGCAGAGCCTCGGTGCAGCAGGGCTGAAGGGCTTTCTCACCCCAGCTCTGGCTATGCCCAGTTCTCTGAGAAAGGAGCTCAGTGGGGAGGTGGTCCCTCCAGCGGACCAGGGAAGGGGTCACCGTGCTGGGAGCAGCCTCCTTGGGCCTCAGGAAACCACCAAGTGCCTCGGATGGTGGCTGCCCACGGCGCTTCTGCTGAGACCCTGCCCCCGGCCCAGGTGTCTCGGAGGGTGGCTGCCCACGGCCTGGGTGTGGCTGGAATGGTGGCAGGAGTGGGCACCAGTGCGGCCCCGGTGGCCATGGGGAATAAACCAGCATTGCTGCCTCCGGCCTCCGCCGTTTTTCTGTTTCGTAAACCAGCATCCCGGGGTTCCTGCTCTGAGTGACCCTGGCACCTGTCAGGGAGTCCAGGTGTGCCCCATGAGGGCCTGGGGGAGGGGCAGGCTGGGCAGAGCCACAGAGGGGCTCCCCTCAAACCCCACATTGGCTCAGGTGGGACCCTCAGGAGCAACCCCAGGTCTAAAGTCTTCCCATGGGCGCTGGGCTCACCACCCCCACGCCAGCCCCTGCCTCCCGTACCCAGGCCGGACGTGACGGGGCCGTCCCTGCATTCTGTGCTTTCCCAGTTGTACACATCCTGTCCCCTCCCTCGAGTCTCAGTCACAGTTCAGTGACCTGGTGACGGGAGGCCCCCTGCAGTGTCTGACCCAGGCCACGCCTGTGCCAGCCCAGAGCCAGGGGGAGGAAATGGGGGCTGGGCCTCTGGTCCCCATGGGGAGGCCACCCTTGTCCTTGGTAGCATCAGGGTGCAGAGGTGTTCCCGGGCTGTAGGGGTGACTCCCCCACCCCCCAAGGCTCTGGAGAGGCCGATTTGCTCAGGAAGCCGACCTTCACACCTTGTCCTGCTATTAATAGACGCCTGGTTGACACGGGACCCTCGGTTGGGTCCGGAGCATTGGGCAGGGGCACTTGTCAGTGTTTGAGAGCTGAAGTTTGGGAAGCCCTGGGGAAGCGCAGGAACTCCCCGCCTGGGCTGGGGCTGCCGGGCAGGGCCCCTCCTATGCCTCGGCGTGGCTAGAGAGGGCGGGGGCAGAAGGCTCCGGGACAGCCCTGCACCCTACAGATGCGGGTCTCCGCCCAGCCGCGGTCACCTGGGGGGCTGGGGGCGGGGCCTGGGCGGGGCGGGGTTCGGCCGGGAGCGCAGGGGCGGCAGTGCGCGCCTAGCAGTGTCCCAGCCGGGTTCGTGTCGCCATGGGGCAGATCGAGTGGGCCATGTGGGCCAACGAACAGGCGCTGGCGTCCGGCCTGAGTGAGTGCACGTCAGGGACGGTGGAGGCTGCAGCCTGGAGGGGTGTCCCAAGACCCCAGCCGGGACCTCGGGCTACTTACAGGGTGGGGAAGTGGGGCGCCAGGCGGGCCAGGCCGGGCCGGGGTCAGGCCAGGAGGGTGCGGGGAACGGGGGCGGGACCCTCAGGCCGCGGGCTGGAAGGAGGAGTTCTGAGACCCCCAGTAATTCCCTTGCAGACCCTGCGGAGCGCGGCGCCCCTCCCCCATTCCCTTCTCTCGGTCCCCCGACTCCGCGAAGGAGGAAGTTGCAGCGCAGGGGAAGAGGCGGTTCAGCCCCGGTGGTTTCCGGGGTCACCGCCCCGAAGCCCCCGAGTGGGGGCTCCGGCCTGGGCATCGGGAGAAGCTCCCCTGCCCCTCGGTAGCCAGCTGGCCTGGAGGTCGCTCTCCCTGGGCTTGGGGTGGGGAATGGGCTCATGCCCTGGGGCTCAGCCCTTCTCATCTGGAGTCTGCGCTGGAGGCGGTCTGAGATTTCACAAGGCGCCGAAACCACCCAGTGACGGCCCTGCCCAGCCCAGCTGCACAGGCACTTTGCTCTTGGGGTGGGATGGCACAGCCCCCAGTCACCCTCCTGTGCATTTGCTCAGAGGTTCTGGTGAGGGCAGCGGACTCCATTTGGAAATGGACCCTCTCGGGACCAGGGCCAGGGAGTGTCTGGCCCAGCACGGGTGAGGCTGGGCTCAGGCGAGGTCTGAGGGCAGAGGCACCACTGCAGCAGCTCCAGGAAGGACCTGCACCGGGGGAGGAGTGCCTGGGAAGGGCCTGGGGGCTGAGGGTGAGGAGGAGGGGCCCGCTGCCACCACTCCCCTGGGGCTCTGAGCGCCCTCCCTGTTGTCTGGAGGGTGCGTGGCAGCTGGAGTGGGAGCAGAGACCTCAGGGTGGGAGGGCTGGAGGACGGGGCCCTGCAGCCTGTCCTGTGCCCAGGAAAGTGACCGCCTGCTTCGAGTCAGCGGCCAAGAAGTCGGTGGGTCAGTTCAGACAGCTCTCCCCAGAGCTGCCCCGTGAGACTCACCCTGCCTGCCCCGCACTCCCTACAGGAAGTAGACGGACTGAGGGCACCCAGCTGGGAGCCAGGAGACCTGGGCTCTAGTCTGGCCTCCTGCTGAAACCCTCCAGGGGCTCCTGGCCCGAAGAGTTAGAGCCAGACTGGACGCCCTGCACTGCCCGCCCTGGCCTCCCGGCTCTCCGGCCCCCTCCTCCAGCTGCCGTGCTTCCTTTCTGTTCCTAGATCTCCTGAGCGTGCCCCAGGGCCTCGGCACAAGCTGCTGCTTCTGCAGAGCCTCATGGCTGTCTCATTTATTTCTCAATTCAAATGCCACCTGCCTGGGGAGGTCCTTCCAGACCGTGCAGCCCCAGGAGGCAGCTGGCCCGGAGACAGCAGGGCCTTGACAAAGAGTCCCCCCTGTACACAGCAGGTGCTCTGTAAATGTGGCTGGGTGCCAGAATACGTCCTCAGACCTCCCTGGTGGCACCAGCGGCAGCTTTGCACCCTCTTTCGGATGGCAGGCTCGGGACCAGGACGGTCCCCAAAGATGCATGGACAATTGGCTGAGTAGACTCAAGGACACTGCCCTCCCCTCCTCCGACGCAGACAGACAAACCCAGAGAGTTAATGTGTAGCTGGGCTCAAACCAAGGATAGGAAATCTTCCAACAAGACCATGTGGAGACAAAAACAGAATGGCTGGCAGGGCAAGGTGGCTACACCTGTAATCCTAGCACTTTGGGAGGCCAAGGCGGGCGGATCACGAGGTCAGGAGATCGAGACCATCCTGGCTAACACAGTGAAACCCCGTCTCTACTAAAAATACAAAAAATTAGCCGGGTATGGTGGCAGGCGCGCATAGTCCCAGCTACTCGGGAGGCTGAGGCAGGAGAATCGCTTCAACCTGGGAGGTGGAGGTTGTAGTGAGCTGAGATCACGCCACGGAACTCCAGCCTGGGTGACAGGGCAAGACTCTGTCTCCAAAAAAAAAAAAAAAAAGAAATAAAATAGTAGGAAGGACCAGGCGCCGTGGCTCATGCCTGTAATCCCAACACTCTGGGAGGCCAAGGCGGGCGGATTCCCTGAGGTCAGGAGTTCGAGACCAGCCTGGCCAATGTGGTGAAAACCCTGTCTCTAATAAAAATGTAAAAATTAGCTGGGCATGGTGGCGGGCGCCTGTAGTCCCAGCTACTCAGGAGGCTGAGGCAGGAGAATTGCTTGAACCCTGGAGGCGGAGGTAGCAGTGAGTCGAGATCGCGCCACTGCACTCCAGCCTGGGTGACAGAGCAAGACTCCGTCTCGAAAAAAAAAAAAAACAGTAAGGGGGAATATTGGACAATACCCCCCCAAAAATGTGCAGAAATAGCCATATCAGACGAAACCGAAATTAAGGCAAAACCGCTGACGGGTTAAGAGGAACTCCGTATCGGGGGGAAAAAGACACTCCCCCAAGAAGATGCAGAAACCACACTCGGCCTGTTAGCTTTCAGTGCATCAAACAAAGACTCATGGTGACAAGGGGGTCCATTTGGGGGTCCCAGAGCCCACTGGGGCCTGCAGGTCGGGCTGTCCTTGGCCACTCCTGGGACCCAGAGCCCGGGCATGTCCAGCACCCCCTCCGCCAGCCCGTGCGCCACAGGCTCTGCTCTTCACCAGTGCAGAGGGGTGCCTCCTGGGGGTGTCCCCGACCCTGTCACTGTGCTGTGGGGATGGGTAGGGGGCAGCTCTGGGTGGCCTGGTGGCCCACAGTAGGTAGAGAAGGGGGGTGGCCCAGGCCCCCGGGACGGGAGCCCCACAGTGCCTGACCCACTTCTCCCCGCAGTCCTCATCACCGGGGGCATCGTGGCCACAGCTGGGCGCTTCACCCAGTGGTACTTTGGTGCCTACTCCATGTATCCTTCCACCTGAGGCTGGGGTGGGCGGGGAACGCCCAGGGCAGAGCTGGGGAGCCACTTCACAGTGAGCTGTTTGCCTCCGCTCCCCACCACCGCAGCCAGGCTGGGACACAGGGTGGGCTGTGCACGGGTTGGGCAGCCCAGGCCCCAGCAGCCAGGCCCCTCGCCAGGACCATGTGGCGATCAGCGGCAGACCCGCCAGTCTAAGTCCTGGTGAGTGGTGGGCAGGGGGTGTCACCAGAGGGCCAGGGCCAGCACTGAGGCCTCCCTGTTGGACTGCTGGGATCCCCTCTGCCCGCTCCTGTCAGTCATCCCCCTTGACCGGCCCCTCTACCTCCTCTGCCCCATCTCAGCCCTGCCGCCCAGCCGGACCTTGCGACAAGGAGCACTGGGCAGGGTGGTGGGAGGGAGGGCGTGGGCAGCCCCGAGTGCCAGACCTGTTGGAACCTCCCGTGGCTGCCTCCTGGCTCTGTGACCTCAGGCAGTGGCTGCCCCCGACCTTTTTTGAGACAGGGTCTCGCTCTGTCCCCCAGGCTGCAGTGCAGTGGTGCAGCTGTGACTCATGGCAGCCTCCACCTGGGCTCAGGCCACCCTCTTACCTCAGCCTCTGGAGTAGCTGGGACCACAGGCACACACCACTGCACCTGGCTTTTAAATTTTTTGTAGAGATGAGGGTCTCACTATGTTGCCCAGGCTGGTCTCAAACTCCTGGGCTCCAGTGATCCTCCCGCCTCAGCCTCCCAAAATGCTGGGATTCCAGGCATGAGCCACCGTGCTCGGGCCCCTCTCTGTGTTGTCTTCAGTAAAGGGAGTTCCCTGTGGCCCCTCAGGCTGAGCTGGGCTGTTCCTTAACCACATGGCTTCAGTGTGGCGGGCGTGTTTGTGTGCCTGCTGGAGTACCCCCGGGGGAAGAGGAAGAAGGGCTCCACCATGGAGCGCTGGTGAGTCTCCTCCTGCTCTGGGGTCTCTCCGGGGGCTGCGGGGCCCAGGCAGGGCTCACAGGGTTGGGTGGAGCTTGGTTTCTCACTTGGAGGCTCCGGAACCAACCCTTTGGTGCTTGTGGGTAAACCAAGGCCGGTGCCTGCCCGGTGTGTTTTGTGGGAGGAAAGAGGCCTGGGTGCCCTGGGGTGGTCAGCAGGGCAGCAAAGGAGTCCCGAGTGGGAGAGGCCCAGCCGCGCCGTCTCGCCTTCCTCCCTCCCCCAGGGGACAGAAGTACATGACCGCCGTGGTGAAGCTGTTCGGGCCCTTTACCAGGAATTACTATGTTCGGGCCGTCCTGCATCTCCTGTGAGTCCCCGTCCCGCACCCCCTCTAGGGCTCAGGAGGGCTTGGAGCCGACCCTCCCCACTGTCCCACCGGCCGGGCTGCCTGGACAGGAGCCACCCCCACTTACCTCAGTGTTTTTCCAAACAAAAATTCGGGTCCCTGGCTCTGGCAGGGCCTGTGTCTGCTGTCTAGTGTGCAGGATTTGTAAGGATCCACTCCAAATCCGAGGAGCTCCGATCCGTCGCCAGGGTCTGGGGTCAGCATGCACTGCTGGGGGGTCTTGCCTGGGCTTCCTGGTAGGGTGGAGGGTTCCGTGCTGTGTGTCTGCTGGTTACTGCCGGCTGAGGCCAGGACACCCACACGTGGCTGCTTCCTCCGAGCAAGTGCACCAGAGCCGCTAGTGTCCACATCAAGGCTGAGAACACCCAGGACCGAAACAAGCCCCGGTCCGCGCACGTCCCCTGGGTCTGCAGTCTGCCTTGTCCTGAGACTTTGTGGCCTTGGCCCCCAGACCTGGGGCTCCGTTCCCCTTTCTGAGTGCCCTTCTGTGTCCCTGCCTCTCACCCGCTGTCCCCCAGGCTCTCGGTGCCCGCCGGCTTCCTGCTGGCCACCATCCTTGGGACCGCCTGCCTGGCCATTGCGAGCGGCATCTACCTACTGGTGAGTGGCGCCCTCTGAGGTCGGCCCCGGCCACCCCCATCCCCAGCCCCTGCCCTGACACCCTCGGACACGCATGGCCCTTGAAGCCGGCTCTGTAGGCTGAGCCAAGGCTGGGAGCAAGTGTGAGCCTGGGCGTGTGCTCACAGCACGGCGGGGACGCAGCGGTTGCTGCTGCCATTTTTGGCGTGTCTAGTGTGTCGGGTCATTTCCTTGCATTTCCTCATTAACCCGCACCACAGCCCTGGGAGGGGTACTGGGGTCCCCACTTTACAGACAAAGATGCGGAGGCTCAGGGAGGTGCTGTGACTGGCCTGGGGTCACGCAGCCGGCCGAAGACCGTGCCTGCGCTTGGGTCCCATTATCAGGCTTTTCTCACCTAAACCCTATTCGCGCTGATTCATGGGCGGTGCCAGGACGCAGACATTTTCTTAAACTGCCGACACCTGCGTTTGGTTTATGACTGCTGCACCCTGTTAGAAGGCTGCCCATCCCATGGGATACAGTGATCTCTCTGAGAGGCCAGGGATGGGTGGGAGGACAGGGCGCAGCCTGGCCAGGCCTTGGGTGAAATGCCCTCTGCCTGCCCTGGGCTCCGGAACAGACGGCTGCAGGCCACCTCTCACTGCGGGGGTCTCTGGGTGGACAGAGCCCTCAGACTTTGCTTATTTAAATCCTTTTGTCCATAGAGCCAAGTCCCTCCTGCCCGCAGAGGCAACTGCCCTCCCCTTGCTGTGCGTCTTCTAGTGTGTGTGCGTGGGAAAGGTGCAGCACTTTCTGTGTACGCCTTCCGCGTATGGAAGTGGAGTTCTGTTTCAAGCCTCACTGACCTGCCACCGGCAGAACTCTCCTTTAGAACCCCTTCCTGTTGCCAAGTGCTCATCTGGGCTGTTGCTTTGTTTTCCGGGGGCCACCCGCATCCCCCCCGTCTCCCTGCTGCCACGCACAGCTAGTGGCTCCTGGAGACCTCGGGAGGAATTCCTTGTGCTAAACCCAGAGAGGAATTGCTGGGTCAGGCATCAGCCTCTGCACCGTTCACCCTGCCGGGCTCAGCTGCTCCTCAGCAGACAACCCACCACCAGCCATGTGGCCCCATCTCTCCCACCATGCACTAGGCTTTCTCCCACGCTTGCCAGTTTCACAGCACGAGCTGGCCGTGTGGAGCTTGGACTCGCCCTTCTCTGACTGTGGATTTGAGCTGTTGGAGTTTCTTCTCCCTTGAGTTGCCTGTTCAAATCCTTTGCCCATTTTTCTATTGTGGTTTTTGTATTTTTCTTTTTCTTCTTTTTTTTTTGAGATGGAGTCTCGCGCCATCGCCCAGGCTGGAGTGCAGTGGCGTGATCTCGGCTCACTGCAACCTTCGCCTCCTGGGTTCAAGCAATTCTCCTGCCTCAGCCTCCCGAGTAGCTGGGACTACAGGCACGTGCCACCATGCCTGGCTAATTTTTGGTATTTTTAGTAGAGACGGGGTTTCACCGCGTTAGCCAGGATGGTCTGGATCTCCTTGACCTTGTGATCCGCCCGCCTCGGCCTCCCAAAGTGCTGGGATTACAGGCGTGAGCCACCGCGCCCGGCCTGATTGTCTTTTTCTTAAGTTGCAGGAAGTCCACATATATTTTAGCTATTTAGCCTTTGTAACCTTTAAACACTGGGGATGCCTTCATGCTTTCTGGTGAGGGTCTGTTAACTTGGCGCGTGGAGTCCTTCACTGCACGGAAGAGCAGAGGTTTCCCTGTTCACCTGCTCTATGGTCTGTGCTTTGTGAAAACACCTTTCCCTGGCCCTGGGTCCTGCCTTCACGTTCCTGCCTTTTCTTCTATCAGCCTTCTAGTTTTGCTTTTCAGAATGGAATGTTTCCGTTTTGGAGTCAGGTAGGATCACACATGTCCAGTTTCTCTTTCTGTTCATGACGTATATGATGTGACATATTTTTCCACCAGATATTATGGGATAGAAGATGAAAAGCACACACTCCCAGGTCCACTTGACCTGTTGCAGTGGAACCTCCGGGCATGGGCCCAGGAGTCTGTATTTTTAGTAAAAGCCAGTGGAATCCCGTGGTCTTCAAGCTCTCCCCCCACCACCCCCATGTGCAGAAATGCCTGGGCACCCTTGGGGGGCTGCCGGCCAGCGTGGGTGAATGGCGCCCACCAGACGGAGCAGGGCCTGCTACTCTCCTGGGCCACCCCTCCTGCTGGACCTCGGGCCTGCCTCCCTGCCTTCCCTGCCCTTGGCACCTTGAGAGGAGAATTTGAGTACTAGAATTTGCATCTGGGAGTGTCCACCACGGGATCTTCCAGAAGCCCAGGGGTTCGGGCCCCACTCCTGGCATGAAGAAATAGCTTGGGCTGGTGTCAGGCCGACCCAGGTCCTGGCTGTGTGGCCTCGGGCGCGTCACTTAACCTCTCTGAGTGGCAGTCACACCATCCTGCGTGGGATTCAGACTTGAGCCTGTCCCAGGGCCCCTAGCGGGGTGGGCCTCCGGGGAGGGAGGGAGGGAGGGAGGGCGGGCGCTGGGGCGCGGCTCAACCCTTCAGTGCCCCGCAGGCGGCTGTGCGTGGCGAGCAGTGGACGCCCATCGAGCCCAAGCCCCGGGAGCGGCCGCAGATCGGAGGCACCATCAAGCAGCCGCCCAGCAACCCCCCGCCGCGGCCCCCGGCCGAGGCCCGCAAGAAGCCCAGCGAGGAGGAGGCTGCGGTGGCGGCGGGGGGACCCCCGGGAGGTCCCCAGGTCAACCCCATCCCGGTGACCGACGAGGTCGTGTGACCTCGCCCCGGACCTGCCCTCCCGCCAGGTGCACCCACCTGCAATAAATGCAGCGAAGCCGGGAGCGCGTGAGCCTCTGCCTGGGGCCGGTGGGCGGGGCTGGGGTAGCGATGGTTCCCGAGGCCTGGGCAGGCACCCCGTTTCCTGCCAGCCGGGCCGCATTCCAGTTTCATTAACATCAGCATCGCCTTCCTTCTCAGCAGCACACGAAATCCCGGGTACCGTATATTCCACGAAATATAGTACCTGGATTCCAGGTGTGTGCCTCCCTAGAAAGGTCCTCCCGGGCCTGGAGGAGGCAGCAGAGTCCTCCCTTGACAGCTCCTGCAGGCCCTGCAGGCCCTCCACACCTAACGCCTCCCTAAGGGGCTTGGATTCCAGAGGAGGCCGCTGGCGTTAAGTGAAAAGGGAACAGGGTCGGAGCCACGTGGTGAGCCTCTACCCTGCGCCTCTTTTCCGTAGAAGCTGGGGTGAAGCTGGTGGCGGATGTGGCCTTGTTTGCCCCCACACTGATGCTGGGGGGCCCCCCAGCTGCCCAGGACGCTCAGGCCAAGTTGCAGGGGCTTCTGGCCACCCCTTCCCCTCACTTGTGCGGAGGCTGTGGCTGGCTGCACACACACCTGCCCACAGGTCCTCACCACCACCCCAGCCCGGTGCCCCCAAAGCTTTGCCCGGCGTCAGCCACGTCCCCCACCTTTGGGCTCTCGCCAAGGCACCCACTCCCCTGAGGCCGGAGAAGCCCTTGCCTGCTGCTTGTCCACCTGCTCTCCCAGCAACTCACACTTCAGAGCCAGGGTCCTCTGTTCCTGGGGGCCTTCAGAATCCACCCCCCACCAGCCAACACTCGGCACCATACAGACGTCTCAATCCAGCCTCATCTCAGCCGTCCCCCCAGGTCACCAAGCTTCAGGTCACCCTTGAAACCCCCACACCCCACATCCAATCCTGGCCCAAATCCAGACCCCAGCTACATGGGCCATCCCCACCCAGGCCACCTGCCGCCTCCCGCTCTGCCCTCATCCCCTGAAACCATCCTGATGCTGCCATTGAAACCCAAAGCCTCACCCCAGTGCCTCCGGCTCAGAATCCGCAGGCTCAGAACCCACAGGCTCAGCTACCTCCAGTGACAGCCACAAGCTTCTGATGGCCCCAGGGCAGACATGATCTGCACCCCCAGCGCCCTGCCCTGCCCCTGCGGTCCCCCTCTCACCTGGCATCAGCCACGCAGGCCACTCTCTGACCCTTGGACACACGCAGCATGTGTCTTCTCAGGGCCTTTGCATGGGCTCTTCCTGCTGCCTGGAGCTGTTCCCTGCATGGCTGCCTGGCTCCTTCCTCCTCCCCTTCAGGTCTTCGAGGCCTCCCTGACCCTCTGCTTAGAACTGCAGCCCCTTGGCCGGGCGCGGTGGCTCACGCCTGTAATCCCAGCACTTTGGGAGGCCGAGGCGGGCAGATCATGAGGTCAGGAGATCGAGACCATCCTGGCTAACACGGTGAAACCCCGTCTCTACTAAAAATACAAAAAATTAGCCGGGCGTGGTGGCGGGCGCCTGTAGTCCCAGCTACTCAGGAGGCTGAGGCAGGAGAATGGTGTGAACCCGGGAGGCGGAGCTTGCAGTGAGCCGAGATCGCACCATTGCACTCCAGCCTGGGCCAGAGCGAGACTCCTCAAAAAAAAAAAAAAGAACTGCAGCCCCTCCCCCAGAGCCTCTGTCCTGGACTCACTCACAGACTACACACCACTTGTTTCATTAGTCACCGTGGAGGCAGGAAGGGTTTTCACCATTTTGTTCTCGGCCTGTTCCCAGTGCCAGGTGCTTAGTAGAAACTCATATGGCTGGGTGCGGTGGCTCACGCCTGTAATCCCAGCACTCTGGGAGGCCGAGGTGGGAGGATCACTTGAGCTCAGGAGTTCGAGACCAACCTGGCCAACATGGCGAAACCCCGCCTCCACTAAAAATACAAATATGAGTTGGGTGTGGTGGTGCACGCCTGTACTGGGAAGCTGAGCTGGGAGGATCGCTTGAACTCAGAAGGTGGGGGTGGCAGTGAGCTGAAGTCATACCACACTGCACTCCAGCCTGGGCAACAGAGCGAGACCCTTTTTCAAGAAAGAAAAGAAACTCAATAAATGTGTTGAATGAAAATTCCATCTCCTGGACAAGGGCCACCACCTCCAGGAAGTCTTCCCTGAGGCCTCTTGCTTTGGGAGTCTGAGTGGAGTCCTTGTTCTTCTGTGCAGCACCCCCACCCCCATCTCCAGGCACCTGGACGCAGTAGGTGGGTGAGCCAGGGGGCCAGGCAGGGGAGGGGCTAACAACTGCCCAGCAGCCCCATGGCAATGTCAGCCCTTGGGGCCGGGGGCCTAGAGACTGAGACCCTGAGACTGTCACAGGCCTGGGCCCCCTTTCCACGACTGGGGCTGCTCCCCCCGGGGCCCCTTAACTAAAATCTCCAACAGAGCCTGGGTCCCGAAGCGTGGCTAGTTCACCATCAGGGAGGGCGCTTGGCCTTGGATGTTGATCCGAACCACGAAGGCTGGGGGCCCTGCCTTGAGCCGACAGCCCTGCAGTTCATCCTCAGAGACTTGCCTTGGGGGCCGAGAGGGTGCCCCTAGGCGCTCACATCATTACAAAGCATAGGGCTCAAGGCACTGCTTGAGGAAGGAGGCTGGTTCCTGTTCCCAGGGGTGTCCTCAGGGGAGACACTGTGTGGGCAGAGCAGGGACACCTGTGACCCCCCCGTGCTACAGCTCAGTCCCACCTGCATGCACTGCTCGCGGCTGCGTAGACCTTTCTGGAAGGACACCCCAGAATTGGGTCCATGGCTGGCCTGGACCAGGGCTGAACGGGAGAATGTCGCATTGAATGTTGGCCTCTGGGGATGTGTTCATCAGTTTAATAATACACGTACACTTAAATAATTGTTTAAGAAACAGGGGTACTTCCAAGGAGGTTGGGAAGAGGCAGCCTGCGGGGGCCTGAGGCCAGTGATAGGGTAAGGGAAGCCGGGAGCAGGACAGGGAGCCAAGGTACAGGCAGCCGTGTGACACCTTTTCTGCAGCTTTAAGGGCTGGAAGAGGTGCTGAGCTCCTTCTACCCCCAACTACTGAGGCTGGAGATGAGGAGAACAGTGGGGGGCTGTCCTCCAGACACGGGGAATGCCCAGACCCCAAGGGTAGTGTTGGGGGAGGCATATAAATAACAATAAATACACATAAATAGGGGGTGCCCTCTGGGGAGCACACGTGTCCAGTCTAGGGGCCCCACGGCCTCGGCGGTCACACTGAACGGGGCAGCACGCAGGTGCAGCCGACGGGGACGTGGATGAACTCGGTGTGGAAGGCAAAGGCCCCAGGTGTGGGGAGCCCCGAGCCGTCGCGGGAGCAGGGCCGGCGGCGCAGCACCAGCAGGCTCTGGAGCAGCCGCACGGAGTTGAGCGCAGCTGTCTCGCGGCCCGTCCGTGCATCGATACAGCCTCTGCACAGGCACTCGGCGAAGGCCAGCTTCTGTGGATAGCGGTCCTCATCCGTGTCCACACTGCGGGACGGGGTGCACAGTGAGTCTCTGGCCCTACCCTGTCCTCCTGGAGGCCCCTCTCCCCTCAGGGCCCCTCTCCGTGTACTCAGGATAGGACCTGAGGCAGCGAGGGCTGAGCCACACGGGCTTGGGGTGCAGTCGGGCTCACATGTGGTGGTAATCCACGTCTCCCCAGGGCCCTCCAAGAGCACAGAGCAGGGTCCGGAGGCCTCTAGGAGCCTCCCTTCCACTTCATCACCCAGCCCCACTTCTGCAGGAGCTCAGGTGACGGGCCCAGAATTTCCCCAGGGGACCCTGGCCACCTAGGACAGTGGGAGGCAGGGCACGGCCAGCCGCAAGCAGCAGCTCAGCCGTCCAGGTCAGGAGGGCCGGAGGGAGGGAGCTCAGGTGGCCACGCCCACTTGACAGGTGAGAACCACCAAGGCCCAGAGAGCTCTCCGGGCAGTCAGGGCCCCGCCAGGGGAGGGGCAGCCCCACGCCACAGCGGAATCCCCAGGTCCTCACCGGTATCTCCAGGGTGAGATGGAGCGCTGGTGGGTGTCTGCCTCCAACACCTCCTCCGGCCGCAGCACCGGGCACTGGGTCGTAGCTGAGGGCCTCTCGTGCCTCCCCCTGTGGCTTGCTGCCTCCAGGCTGGACACCAGGGCTACAGGCAAAGCCTGCCCCCACTTGGCACCTCGAGCCAGCAGGTGTGGGGGGGCCTGGCCGAGGGGCAGTTCCTCAGCCGAGTAGCAGTGTGGGGTACCGTGACTGTGGGGGTGCCCCCTGAGGGAGGGGTCATGGTGGGCCAGGCATGTGTGCAGCCAGGTCAGAAACAGGAGGCCGGGGAGGAGCTGGTGAAACAGGCAGGTGGGTGGTTAGGAGGTGCCCAGGGCAGGGGGCACCTCACTTCCACCTCAGCTTTCCTTGTTCCCAGCGGAAAGATGGAGTACAGCCCTCCCTCTATAGATGGGGAAACTGAAGCCCAGAGAGGCTAGCCCTTCAGCCCAAGACACCCAGCATGCCAGCGCTCCGAGGATCTGCAGCTGCCTCCCCTACCCCCAGACTGAGGGGTTTCCCAGACCCCATCCCAACACCCTCCTCCCAGGCTCAGAGAACCCCAGCCCTTCCATGCCAGGCTGCACATCCAAGCAGCATCCATCCGAGCGGCATGTGGAGAGGCTCACCGTCATGGTGGCGGCAGCGGGGCAGGCTGGGCTTGGAGCGGCCTGCACACCTGGCGGCAATCCCACAGGTGCACCTGGCCATGCACCTGGCAGCAGCCGCTCTTATACCTGAGGCCACACCTGGGGGAAATTCCGGCACCACTTCCTCCTCGGGAAGTGCCCAGCTGGGGCGCTTCTTCCTTCTCTGGTCCCCGCAGCCCCCGCCTGCTGTGCATCAGGACACAGACATGCAAGGAGGCCCCGGGAGGCGCTGTCCTGTTACCCCCCTCCCCCGAGAGAGACTCCGCCCAACCTGAGCACCTACACAGGGTGCTGCCTTGTCTGACATTCTCAAACTTTTTTTTTTTTTTTGAGACAGGGTCTTGCTGTCACCCGAGCTGGAGGGAAATGGTGCTGTCCCAGCTCACTGCAACCTCCACATCCCAGGTTCAAGCGATTCTCCTGCCTCAGGCTTCCGAGTAGCTGGGATTACAGGCACCCCCCACCATGCCTGGCTAATTTTTGTATTTTTAGTACAGACAGGGTTTTGCCATATCGGCCAGGCTGGTCTGAGGCTCCTGACCTCAAGTGATCTGCTCGCCTTGGCCTCCCAAAGTGCTGGGATTACAGGAGTGAGCCACTGCGCCCAGCCTTGAACCTCCTATAAGAGGGTTTCTGCTTGCGTATCCGTCAGCACCTTGCTGATTCAACTTGTAGGTTTTCATCTGGACCTGATGGTGGCGGGGCGCTTTTGCACCCTATACAGTTCTTCTCCGTCTGCTGCTGGTGGGTGCCAAGGGTGGTTCAGTGTTTTAGCTGAGATGGTCAAGATCAGGTGAGGCTCACGTGCCCCCTTCACCCAGGTGGGAGAGGTCCCGGAGATGGGGGAGGCAGGCACGTCTTCAGGTCTCTGTTGGGTTTCTGTGTTGTTTTTTTTTTTGTTGTTTTTTTGAGGCGGAGTCTGACTCTGTCGCCCAGGCGGGGAGTACAGTGGTGCGATCTCGGCTCACTACAAGCTCAGCTTCCTGGGTTCACGCCATTCTCCTGCCTCAGCCTGCCGGGTAGCTGGGACTACAGGCGCCCGCCACCACACCTGGCTAATTTTTTTGTATTTTTAGTAGAGACGGGGTTTCACCATGTTAGCCAGGATGGTCTCGATCTCCTGACCTCGTGATCTGCCCACCTCGGCCTCGCAAAGTGCTGGGATCACAGGCATGAGTCACTGCACCCGGCCTGGGCTTCTGTGGTTTTATTGAGAAAAAAGTTCAAGCTAAAAAGTCTGAGTTGGAGGTGTGAGGAGTGAGGTGTGAGGTGTGAATGAGGCATGAGGCGTGAGGCGTGAGGTGTGAGGTGTGACCAGCACACACAGGAAGCTTTATGTAAGCGGGGCCGGGAGCTGCCTTTGGCCTCCTTGATCGGTGAGGCTGGCTGGGGGTGGGGGCGCTGGAGGTGCCTTTGTTTCCCCGGAAAGGGACAGCTGCAGCCAGAACTTGGGAAGGTTTGAATGCCGGGGGTTTGACGTCATCCTGAGGAGGGTTGTCCTGGAGTCCCCAGGGCCCCTGGCCACATCAGAGGTGGGGGAATCTGTCCGCCCTGGTCCCCTCAGCTTCGGGGTGAGGGCGGGAGGGAGGGTGCTTGTGTGCCCCCAGCCTTTCCTCCCCTGCCGCGGTGCAGATGTGTTCCACGGAGGTGTCCTCTAAGCTGAAAACCTCAGTCTCTCTGAACACAAAAGCTCCCAAGTCGGGTGGGGCTGAGGCAGCACTGGGACCCCTGGGCCCTCCAGCACCTCCTCTTGGCCGCTGTGTGGCTCTCAGCTTGTCTGCTGTGGGCCTCTGGGGGTGAAGGAGGCTGTGCCCCAGGGTTAACAGTCTGGGAGGAATCAAAGACAGATTGCTGGAGTCCCCAGGGCTGCTCCTCCCGACAGTGCCCCTGCCCACCCACCCTCTGCTTGCATACCTCCTGTGACGGGGAGCTCACTATCCGTGCTGGTTTCCTAGGGCTGTGCTAACCATGCACCACAAACTGGGGGGTGTGAAATGGGAGAAGTTTATTCCACGAGGCCGTGGAGCTGGGCGTGTTCAGGGCTGGGTCCTCCTGGAGGCTCTTCCAGCCCTCAGTTTCCCGGGCTGGCGGCTCCTCCCGTGGCCTCTCTGCTGCACCCGCCTTTTCCTCTTCTGTGGTTTATAAGGACACTGGTTGTTGGATGTAGGGCCCAGTCTAAAAGATAATCCCTCCCCCCTTCTCAGGACGTGGGACCTGCCTTAACCCAGGATGAGCCATCTCAAGATCCTTTCCCTAATTACATCAAAGCAAAAGCCCCTTTTCCAAATGAGCGCGCGTTCACAGGTTGGGTTAGGGTGTGGGTAGAGCCTTTTCCAGGACACAGCAGAACCCACTGCATCCCCAGCAGGACAGGTGCTCCTGTGTGGGTTGGCCCTGCCTTAGGCTGGGCTGATACAGGCCTCTCTGCACGGGCGCTTGGCTGTCTCAGAAAAATTCCAGCCCCTCACGGCCCTCCCCAAAAGGCGGCCTGAGCGCCTTGAGGGCCACGTCTGTGGCAGCCCCATCTGTGTACCCAGGGTTGAGAGTAGTGCAGGGCATACAGGAGGGTGCTCTGTAAATAACACAGAATGGAAAAAGGAGGGAGGAGAGCGGCTCTCCCCATGGGTACAGTGGGATGATAGCAGCTCCAGTGCCAGGGCTGCCCTGAGGCGCATTAGCATCACCTGCCTGGCTCAGGTGGTCGCAGGCCGCAGCACCTGCCGCCAGGAGGCTGACAAGCACTCTTACTGTTGGGAGACAGGGCGGCGGCAGTGGGGCAGGGGTGTTTGTCTTTTCTCCAGAGTCCACTCAGCCATTCTTCTGGGGACAAAAACTCAAGACCCCCCGCAATCTCTGCATGCCAAGCACAGCCTGGGGGTAGGGGGCTGGGCCCCTCCCTGGCTCCGGAGTCTCTGGGGGCCTCCCCTGGGTTGAGACCTACGAAGCAGCCCCGGGGTCCCTTCTGCCACAGAGAGGGGCCCAGGGGAGCCTCATTGGAAACGTCCCGAGGGGCCTGCAGCTGGGTGCTCAAGATGTTTTGTGGAAACCCTGACGAGTCACCGGGCTCAGCATGGCCGGGCCTGGCCTCCCCAGTGCTCTGCCCAACCTGCCCAGCTGCGGCTTGGGGCTAGGGCTGCAGGCCAGGCCGGGTGGGGAATCTTGAGGAGGGGAGGAGGGTGCCTTCGTGCAGGGTTAGGGAACGCACAGTGTTGGGAGGGAAAGACAAATTGATGTCAGTCCTCGTCCTCTGCTGGGAGTCCTTGTGCAGTGCACGACCTGCTCAACCATACCCAAGAAAGAGAGGAAGGGGGAGGGAATAGGAGCCAGAGGGAATGGAGGAAAACGCCAGGAAAAGACGGGGAGAGCGAGAAGCCCCCCACCTCGGCCTAGTGCCCTCGTCCCCCATCCCCCGGTGGAGCCAGTGACCCTCCCTCCTGGCATGGGGAACAGGTCTGTCCACACGTGGGTCACACACGCCGTTCCCTCGGGCAGGACCTGGTCGGCCTGATGAGGGCAGCCAGTGCCTGAGGAGGTAAATGGCCGAGTGGAAAAGTTCGGCAGGAGGGAGTGAGCAGAAGAAGCCGGAGCCCTCGGGCACAGGAGTGTCCTCCCCGGCCTCCCTCCCTCGGCTGGGCGCCCCCGCATCCTGCGCCCCGCCCAGGGGAGGATGGAAGAAGGCAGCCCCACCGCGGACTCCGCTCCGCCCCCGCCTCCTTCCTCCTCCGACCCGGGGCTGCCTTCTCCCCAGCGGCCGCCGCCCCATCTCCCGCTTTGCTCTGGTTCTGAGGTGGGACGGCCGGACTCCCAGGCACAGGCTGCACCGCGAGAACGGCGCCAGGGACCCGGCCAGCGCCGCGCGTCTCCCCACCTTCCGCGTGTTCTCAGCGCTGTCCCGGGGGTCGCAGGGCCAGGAAGACACGCCCGGGGGGACCTGCGGGACCTGCGGACTGGGCGGGGCCCGGGGTCCTGTGGGCGCAGAGGACGGGAGGACGAAGGGCGGCCTGCGCTCCTGCGGGTGGCTGAGGCAAGCGCAGAAATACCGGGTTGGGCAAGACTGGAAAAGCGGCGGCAGGAAGGCTGGAGGGCGACCCGGAGGCGGAGGCCCAGACAGGCCGAGCGGCTCTCAAACCACAACCCGGGCCCGCCCCCAGCAGACCACGCCCCCGGACCCTGGTCCGGAGATGCGGAACGAGGGGCTTCAGACAAACGCAGGGCCGGGCGGGTCAGAGGCAGCGCGGGGGACGCCCCCCAGACGCAGCGAAGGACGGACCCACGGTCAGGAGCCCTTCAGCGCCCTGAGCGGGCCTGCGGGAAGAGGGGTGAGGCAGGGAGGGCACTGGACAGGGCGGAAGGAAGCGCTCTCTGCAGGGTCTCCCCCCTACATCAAGGCGCAGGTGCACAGTGGGTCACGCGCTGCCGGCTGCCCACAACGCAGGTGTGTCCAGCCGAGGGCACTGCTGGCGGGGGTGCAAAATCGTCATGGGACGTTGGCTGGGACAGCAGAGGGCCCCTCCCTGCGGCGCGGCCGCCCCCACCCCCTCATGGGTTTTCCCCGGCAGGAGTGGTCTCGTGTGTCTCGGCCTTTTCCCCATCTGTGGATCCCTCTAGGGCCACCGCCTCCAAGCAGGGTCTACGTCTGCCTGCCCACCCAAAGCCCAGCCGAACGGGTGGGTGGAAGCGTGGCTGTGGGGGAGGAGCTGCGGGCAGAGGGCAGAGGCCCTGGGGCACCCCCTGGGAGGGGCTGGCGGGCGGATGCCGTTGCCAGAATCCCACACAGGCTTTCTAGTCACTGCATGGGGAGCGAGGAGAACGTGAGTGCCAACCACCTGGAGCAGGACGTCCCTGGAGGGCGTGGACGCCCATCGATGCCTGTCACACAGCAAGGCCGTCCTTCCCAGCTGCCTGACCAAACATCCTCTCCACTAGACCACATGGGGGCAGTCACCCTCCTAGGACAGGCCCCTCTGCACCAGTGTCCAAGAGCCAGAGGGATGGGTAGCCACACCTGGGGTCCACTGCCACCCGGTGCGAGTTCAAACCCAGCTCCAGACTGAGGTGCCTAGGGCTGTGGCCGGGGGCTGAGCAGCCGCAGAGGGGACCTCGCCTGGTCCCAGTCCACAGGTGAGCTGTGGTGGGTTCACCTGTCTGCTCCTGGCCGTTGAGCTGTGGTGGGCTCACCTGTCCGCTCCTGGCCGTAAAGAGACAGTCACTGCAGATGCTAGCTTGAGGTGCCCCACACTGGGGGCACAGAGCGCCATTTCCTGGCCTCCAGCCCTCATGGTGCAGCTCACAAATGACAGGCTGCAGGCTGGCACCCAGGGTGGCCTGGACTCCAGCTCTGTGGCCTTGAAGGCCACCCTTTTCAGAGAATGGGAATTCCCTTGCACCTGGCTTTGACCTGATGGCAAATCGGATAAGCCTCAAAAAACTGTGGCCGGACGCGGTGGCTCACGCCTGTCATCCCAGCACTTTGAGAGGCCGAGACGGGTGGATCACGAGGTCAGGAGATCGAGACCATCCTGGCTAACATGGTGAAACCCCGTCTCTACTAAAAATACAAAAAATTAGCTGGGCGTAGTGGCGGCCGCCTGTAGTCCCAGCTACTCGGGAGGCTGAGGCAGGAGAATGGTGTGAACCCGGGTGGCGGAGCTTGCAGTGAGCCGAGATCGTGCCACTGCCCTCCAGCCTGGGCGACAGAGTGAGACTCAGTCTCAGGAAAAAAAAAAAAAAAAAAAGAAAAGAAAAAATTGCTGAGACACATGATCCAGGCCGCTGGGACACAAGATGAACTGCATGGCCTGCGCTATCGGAGGGAGGTGGACATAAAATGGGAAACAGTCCCCTCAGGAGTGCACAGGCGGTCCCCCTGTGGTGCTCGCTCACGCCCAGCTCCTCTGCCTACACTCTAATTGTCATTTAATCCAGGGGAAGAGTGGCATGGACGCAGGTCATGCTGGGAGCAGAAGCACGGGATGCTGCCTCCCTGGGGCTCAGCTCGCGGCCCCGTGGGAGGGAGCTCTCTCTTGGAGGTCTCATCCTGAACCTCGGGTCAGGAAGTAGATGAGGGAGATGGGTGGGCCGCAGGCCTGGGCACCACACCGCGGCTACCTGAATCTGATTAAAGGAGGCGCTGGAGGCCCTGGAGCGTGCACCTGGGAGGCCGCTGCCCAGGCGCAGGCCTGTGGCTTTCAAGGTGGAAAGCAGGGAGCAGCAGCGGTGGGTCCTGGGGGGCTCTGCCGGTGGCCCCTGCTGTGGAACGTGGCATCACACGCGGGGCCTGGCTCAGCAGGTCTGGGGCCTGCACACGGAGCCGGTGGTGGTCACTGCAGTGGTGGCAGCTGGGCTTGGGGCTGGGAGTCAGCCCTGGACCTCTTCCCCTCCAGCAGCTCCACGGCCCCTGCAGGGAAAGTACCTCCACCTCACGGACCAAGGAAGCCCCAACCCAGCCCCACGAATGGGGAAACTGAGGCGCAATGCTCTCCTGGGCTGGGTCTGAAGGCAGGAGCTGCTCCACAGCCGGTCCTCCCGGGGGGAGTGAGTGCACAGCCACACCCTCGCCCCCCAGCGGCTCCCGAGTGCTGGGCCGAGTGCAGTGCACGACACAGAGGCAGCCCCGGCTGCGCATGGGCAGAGGGCGCACACACCACGAGGGCAAGGACAGCTGCTTATCAAAATATTTTATTTTAGGAGACCCCTCAAAAAAAGACCCACCACATTAGACAGACGCCCCAACAACACCCTTGGCCTTTTTTTGGTCTTTTCTGTATTTTTTCCTTTTTAAATCAACTAAAACAATTTGATGCTTAAAATAAAAGACAGGAAATATTTCCTGATGAGACTTTAGTCGAGAATATAGATATATTTCTGATCCGGGGGCGGGTGATCAGGGGCGGGGGAGGAGAAGGATGTGCCACCAGTGGTTCGCGAGGTTCCGTTTCTCAGCTCAGGAGGGAGCCTGGCTGCCTGGACCCGGGCTAGGGACCCAGAGCTGGGGCTCCACAGGCCTGACCAGGGCCAGGGAAGAAGACGGAGGAGGAGGAAGAGAAGGCGGGGCTGGCGGCTGGGGCTTGTAATTTACATGAGAACCGTGCTGGTCACTAGCGCTGTCTGTGTCTGTCTGTCCTGCGGGACTTCTGCTCTGGGGAGGGAGGCTGGGATTCAGCGTCGTTGTCATTTCCTGTGTGGCTTCTTTTCCAGCTGAGAAACTTTTTTTTCTTTTTTACTTTTTAAAAAGAATCACAGCCAAAATAAGACATTAACTGCAAAATCCAAAATGGCTGCGCTTACCCTATGTATAAAAATGCGTCCAGTCCGGTCGGGGCACGGCCTATGCTTTCCCGGGGATCTTGGCCCGCTTGCGTGCAATAGCATCCTCCACGGCCTTCAGCTGTTTCAGCAGCTCCTCCCGCCGAGACAGCGTGCTGGCCTTCCCTGATTTGGTGCTGGCGGCGCCGGGATCCGAGGCTTTGCCGGGCACGCTCGTGACCTTGCTGGAGCTCTTGGACTGGGGTGACAGCTGGCGCTTCCTACAAGGGGGTGGGGAAGACCTTGAGCCCCCAGAAGCCACGTCTGCAGGTGGAAGGGGTGACCTCCCCGTAGGGGCGCTTCCACTGTGTCCTCAGCGGCCACCAGGACAGGCAAGGGGCTCCCTGGATGGCCAGGCTCCCACTGCCACAAGCAGGCCTGGTCCTAGCCACTGGCTCCCGGGCTTTGTGGAGCAGACTGGGAGGGTCCTGGGCTGGCCCCGCACAACCTCCTGTTATTCTTCCCACCTCTGTGCCCAGGGATCTTTTGCCCAAGGGCATGCGGAGCAGAGGGCACCCTCCAGCCTCAACCAGGGCAGGAGCGTGTGTGTGTGTGTGGGGGGGGGTGGGGGGTGGGGCTGCAATTCGCTGTCCATGCCCCTCACCCCGTCAGACCAGCAGGAGCTGTAGTGACGCCTCCAGCCTGGCCCAGTGCTAGCCCTGCTGCTGCTGGCCTCCCTGGGGAAGCGACTGGGGCTGGCCCCCTCGGTGTGCCCAGGGCACATGCTGGGTGGGACTCACCTGTCAGCCGGGGCTGCAGGGGCTTTGGAGTTCTGGCCTCTCTGCCGCTCTGGCTTCGGGGAGCCCAGTCTCCCACCTGACTTCCGGTCCCGAGAACCTGGGTGATAGGTACAGAGTGAGACCACCCTCCTGATGTACAGGGAATGGCTGTGTGGGTGGCCTCACCGATGCCAGGGACTCACTTCTAAAGCCTGAGGCTGCTTAGTTCACCACCTTCATTTTTATAAAGAAATAAAAAGGGGAGAGCCAAGTAGGAGAAGAGAGATGTGGGCACCAAGGCATCTGGAAATGAGGCTGAGGCCAAACCTGGGCCCCAGGTTCCAGCAAGCAGCCAATATCTCACGCAGAGAGACAAAACTCCTTCCTAGCTTTGAAGAAATTTATCACATGGGTCTTCAAATACGGAACAACAAGAAAGACATGGCAGTAAAGAAATACAAGCAAAGCCGAGAGACTAGGAGTGTTTCACTCTGGCAATGTTAGGAGGGAGGCGCGGCAACCGAGGGGGGGGCCACTGCCCAGCGCAGGCCCAAGGCTGGTGCGAGAACAAAGGTCCGCAGGACCCCAGAGGCCCTGGTTCCAACCCCAGGCAAGGGCAGCAAGGCTGTTCCAGACCAGCCACACAGGGCACAGGCCCTGGGCTTAGGGACAAAGGTGAGCAGCTTCCTCTTCCTGTGTCCGACAAACCCAGAGAACTGCTTGGGAAGGGGTCTGGAAGCCCCCTGCCTGTTCTCTGTGTCTGGGAGTGTCTGTGCGGGTGGCCAGGCCCCCTTGTCCTCTATCTGGTTTGAGCTCCACCCATCAAAGCCAGCCAGGACAATCTCCCTGTCTTTCCATCTGGGCCCCAGCTCTTGGGGTGTGGTCAGCATGGCTGGGGGTCCCCGAGGCCCTTTCAGGTCTGTGTGGTTCAACAGTAATATAGACACTATCTGCCTCGTCACTCAGTCCGCAGGAGCCTGGGAGGATCTCCAGAAGGCACGAGGCATGTGGGTCCAGCCGTCTTCCGTCAGCCAGACTGAAGAGATTTGCAAAAATGGAAAAACCAATGCCATTCCTGCTCATTTGTTTTGGAAAATATATTTTGCAAAAATGGCACATGTGTAAAAAAAAATACAGTTGCTCTTGTTGCCCAAGCTGCAGTGCAATGGTGCAATCTCAGCTCACTGCAACCTCTGCCTCCCAGGTTCAAGCGATTCTCCTGCCTCAGCCTCCCAAGTAGCTGGGATTACAGACGCACGCCACTACGCCCAACTAATTTTTTGTATTTTTAGTAGAAACAGGGTTTCACCATGTTAGCCAGGCTGGTCTCAAACTCCTGACCTCAGATGATCTGCCCACCTTGGCCTCCCAAAGTGCTGGGATTACAGGCATGAGCTACCGCGCCCGGCCTAATTTTTGTATTTTTAGTAGAGACAGGGTTTTACCAGGTTGGCCAGGCCGGTCTGGAACTCCTGACCTCAAGTGATCTGCCGGCCTCAGCCTCCCAAAGTGCTGGGATTATAGGCGTGAGCCACCACGCCCGGTCCTGTTATTTTTAAACAAATATTTAAAACCTTTTCTTCGTTTTAGTTTTCAACACCCTAAATACCGACAGGCATCATCTGCAAGTCAGATGTTCTCTGGACCCTCCTCCTACTTGTTAAGAGCAATGGGGTCTCAGACCCAGCTGCTCCGCATCCCCAGGCTCCCGTCCCTCTGCCCTGCCCCCTAGGGGCTGGGAGGCTCACCTCGGTCTGGGGATGTGTTGGGCCGCTTGGCTGGAGGAGGGCTCTGCCTGTCCTTGTCTGATGGTTCATAGCGCTTCCTGCTTCCTTTATCAGCCGCCTGGGACAAGAGAGAGGCCAGTGAGGACAGCAGGGCCAGGAGCCAGAAGCCGTGTCCTCGCCCCAGAGGACATGGGTTCCTTGCCAGCAACCTGCTCTGCTCCCAAAGGTCCCACCACACACCCATGAGACCCCGTAGCCCTGAGTGAGGCCTCCAGGACCCGGACCAAGGGCACCCCCACTGTGCACTTGGGGCCCTTCACGTTCCAGGGGAAGCACCCTGCAGGCCTTCCTGCTCCCCACGGGGGCCACTCTAGGAGGACCTGGGACCCATGAAGCCAGGCCTCTTGCCCTTCCAGCAGAGGACAGGGATGTGTCCTGCTGAGGACAGAGGACAGGGACGGAGGCTTCCTGTATTGTGTTGAGACTGCATGGCAGGGAATGGCGGCCACAGGCACGAAGAGAACGCCCTCTCTGTTCAGAGAGAGGCCAGCAGCACCCAAACCTCCCCAGATGCTCACACTTCCCAGCCCAGGCCGGAAAGATGGAGTCTCGCTTTGTTACCCAGGCTGTGCTGACACCTGCAAGGCCCCACTCGCCCTCACTCAGGCTCCGTCCCCCAGGAGGAAGCTGTCTCAGGAAGCAGATGGACCCAGGCCTAGACGCTGGGGCAGCCACCAGGAGGGCCCTTGCCCTCACCTTATTCAACAGTGTCAACTTGATCTCCTTGTGGGCCACAAATGTGCCCTGCTGGGGCTGCCCGGGGGGTGCCTGCTGGGGTGTCGAGGGCTGCTGGGAGGACTTCCCCCCTGCTGGAGGTTTTGCAGATTTGGGTGGTTGTGTGGACGAATCCCTTTTCCGCTTTTCCTCTTTAACACCGTCTTCTTTCTTAGATTTTCCTACCAATGATAAATCCGCAGTCATGGGGGTACTGGTGATTTTCCCATGGCCACACCAACAGCCAGGCAAAGTCTGTGCTGATGCCGCCCTCCTCCCCCGGGAGCTGCTCCCCAAAGGTACCAGGGCTCCTGAGTACCTTTCTCCTTCCTGGTCTGGGCTGGGGCCGGGGACCGAGAGCTGGCTGAGGACACGGGGCTAGCCAGGTCTGCGTACATGTCCTCCGAGTCCACGCTGTGTGCAGAGCTGCTGCTCGACGTAGCACTGGACACTGAGGAGACGCTGCTCACGCTCAGGGACCTGGACACACAAGCACATCTCACCACACCCCAGCCAGACTGGAGGGAGGGGCCAGCAGGGGGTGCTCCATGGTCCACTTTTACGCAGTGTCCATTTATGGATCATGTACCCACGGAATGTGTGATTTTGGGGGGACACTGGGCAGTTTCAGGGTTACAAAGTAAGGGACGTCCCCATGGCTAGGCCAGGGCCCCATTTCACTAATCAATGTCAGGTTGCAGCCAGGCACGGCTGCTCACGCCTGTAATCCCAGCACTCTGGGAGACTGAGATGGGCAGATCTCGTCACGAGCAATGGGGTCTGAGACCCAGCTGAACTGATGTCAGGAGTTCGGGACCAGCTTGGCCAACATGGTAAAACCCCATCTCTACTAAAAATACAAAAATTAGCCGGGCGTGGTCGCAGGCGCCTGTAATCCCAGCTACTGGGGAGGCTGAGGCAAAAAAATCGCTTGAACCCGGGAGGTGGAGGTTGCAGTGAGCCGAGACCATGCCATCGCACTCCAGCCTGGGCGACAAGAGTGAAACTCCGTCTCAAAACAAACAAAAAACAAAACGAATGTCAGGTTGCTTTTTGGGAAGGGAAACAGGACTGAGCTGACTCAACAGCGGCAAGGATGGAATTTAAGCAGAGTCCCTGGCTTAGACAAAAGGGAGATAGCCTCAGCCCACAGGGAAATTAAAAACACAAGGAGCAATTCCGCAGTCTCAGGGAATGCCTGAGGAACACACGGCAGACAGACTGGAAACAGCAGGTCTGTAGCTTCACTGGCGTGCACTCAACACGGACACAAAGCACACAGGACTGGCACCTGAGTCTGCCCTGCCCATATGCTGCTCGAGAAAACACCAACCACGTCTTCCAGGTACATTGGGTACCGGAGCAAGGAACGGGGGAATGTAAGAGAACCATTTTTTTTTTTCAAAAGTCAGGTCTTTAAAACATTTCAGACTTATTAAGAAACATTTAGGCCAGGCGCGGTGGCTCATGCCTATAATCCCACGAGTTTGGGAGACCACGGTGGGAGGATCACTTGAGCCCAGGAGTTTGAGACCAGCCTGGGCAACACAGCAAGACCATGTCTCTCCAGAAACAAAACAAACAAAAGAAACAAAGAACTGTGACAAATATATAAACGACCTGCTGCCTGGAAATGAAAGAGTTCTATGCAAGGAATCTAAGGACTGATTTAATACTTTCTTTTAAAACAACTAAATAGCAAAAATCCTTTTTTTTTGTTTTGAGACAGGATCTCTGTTGTCCAGGCTGGAATGCAATGTCGTGATCACAGCTCATTCAACCTTGACCTCCCAAGTAGCTGGGATCATAGGCACACACCACTATACCCAGCTAATTAAAAAAAATTTCTGGGCTGGGTGCAGTGGCTCACACCTGTAATCCCAGCACTTTGGGAAGCCGAGGCGGATGGATCACCTGAGGTCAGGAGTTCAAGATCAGAAACGTGGTAAAACCCAGTCTCTACTAAAAATACAAAATTAGGCTGCGTGCGGCGGCTCACGCATGTAATCCCAGCACTTTGGGAGGCCAAGGTGGGTGGAATGCCTGAGCTCAGGAGTTTGAGACCAACCTGGGCAACATGGTGAAACCCCATCTCTACTAAAATACAGAAAATTAGCTGGGCGTGGCAGTGTGCGCCTGTAGTCTCAGCTACTCAGGGGGCTGAGGTTGAATCCGGGAGGCGGAGGTAGCGAGATCGCGCCATTGCACTCCAGCCTGGGCAACAAGAATGAAACTGTCTCAAAAAAAAAAAAAAAAAAAAAAATCTTTTTCTGTGGAGATGGGGTCTATGTTGCTCAGGCTGGTCAAGTCCTGGGCTCAAGCAATCCTCCTGCCTTGGCCTCCCACGGTGCTGGGATCACAGGTGTGAGCCGCCGCACCTGGCCCACAAAGCTTTTCCATGTATTCTCTTCTCAGATGTTTTTATCGGCTTCCCCACCCCCTCAGGCCGGTTCCCTCGACAGGTGTGATAGGTCACGCAGGCCCAGCCTCTGCCCTGCTGGGCTGGAAGCTGCCGGCTCCTCCCCAGGTGCAGGTGCTCTCTCAGGGTGCTGGGCATCAAGTCAGCAGGGCAGAGGCACCTCCTCCTGACCTGAGTGCCCCCGAGTTTGTGAATCTTTTTTTGGTGGGGGGAGGGGGTCTTCCTATCACGAGTCCTGGCCCATTTTCTCCTGTGTCAAAGCTTCAACCGCAGCCTTCCACAGCCCCAGGGTGACTCAGATCCAGAAGGGCCCCAGCCCACCTGTGGGAGACAGCCCAACCCACACTGGCTGCTTCTGGGACTTCCTGGCCCCGACGGGGAGGGAGAAACAGAGGCACAGGGTGATGGGGATGACCTGGATCGGGAGCTGGAACCACTATAGCTGCTACCACTGCCACTGCCGCTGCCGCTTAGCGTCCGCCTGTAATACAAGCAACAGCGGGGCTCAGGGGGCGTGGCCTCCACAGCCCCTCGCGGCCTCCCCTCCCCACCAGCAGCCCTGTGAGGTGAGCCTCCAGACTGGCCTTGCTACCACCTTGGAACAGGGCCTGGGCCTGTCTTCCTTTAGGCTCAGTGTTTTGTCAAGATAAAAAGTACAGTCTCTCGGGGGCAGCACCTTCCAGTGCAGACGGGGCCATGGCGGGAAGGCCTGTGCTCCGTGCCACGCTGTCCCTTCCCCTTCACGCTCCAGAAACACAGGCTCAGGGAGGGGACAGGGCAGGTTCCCGGGTAAGGGCTCACTGGGTGCTGCTCGGCTAGGGGGCGCTTCCCACCACCTGGCTCTGGACCCTGGCACTCTGGATTTCCAGCAGTGCCAGCATCACAGTGGCACCAAGAACACGGAAAGCCTGAGGGCCCCGGACGCCGGAGTGCTCACCTCCTGGGGGGGGTCCTGGCTGGCCGCTCCTTCCTCCTGGCTTCCCGAGGGTCTCCTGGCTTGGTGGGCTCGGGGACAGGAGCAGTGGTTTTGGTGGCCTGTGGTGGGGCTGGAGGCGGGGCCGGCTTCTTCACTGACTTCTCTCTGTGAGACAGGGAGGCTCGAGCAGGGCAGGGCTGGTGGACGGGGCCCCGCTGGCCTACATCCCCTTTCAATGGACCCACAGCTCGGGGAACGACACTGCATGCCTGTGACGCTCGGTGAGCACGCTCGTGCCTGGACACGGCTCCCCACCCATCGGTGTCAGAGTGCTTGGGAACGGCTTCAAAGCCCCCAGCAGCCCTTCCAGGCTCCCCTCTAACAGGCAAGAGCTACAGGCACCGCCAGGCAGTGGGGAGAGCAGGCTAATAGGAAGACCCCTTAAGAACACCCGGCTGCTGCCGTGTCCCCAGGGCTGTGCTCTGTCCCCAGGGTTCCCGAGGGAGTGCTGCTGTGTAAGGGTGGCCCGTGAGAACAGGAGCTGTGCCCAGTGCCTCCCAGCCCAGTCACCCCCTGGGGCCAGCCCCCTGAGGCATCCTCACCTCTTTGGTCCCAAACACAAATGAGAGATAGAGACGGAGGGAGGAGGCTGCAGCCTGTGGAGGCCTGGCCGGCCAGGACTTGCCCACAGGCTGGGCACTCACCCTGCTTTCCCGGGCGGCGGGGCCGGCTCTCCCTTGGTTCTGATGGAAGGTCTATGTGGGGAAGGTGTTGGGGACGGGGACGGGGACGAAGAGAAGGACCGGGACCTAGGGGAGTGAACAAAGGTGTCGGAAGGGGCCTGGGGGTGTTTCTTCACCAGCCCAAGCCCACTGAGGACCCACCCAGACCCATGGAGAAGGCCACGAATTTCCATTTATGTGCCTCAGTTTTAACTTCAGTTCTGGACTGTTCTGTCATCTGCTAAAAACACAGGCCCAGAGTAGACCAGAGAGCGTGGAAGGTGTCAGCATCCACTGGCGGGTCCTCCGGGAGGCGAGTGTCACGTTCATGTGTGTGCAGGACAGGAGGAGACAGGCTCCTTGGCAGTGGGGCAGCAGCACAGCTCCCATAGAAACACCCACAGGACAGGGCTGGGTCTGGCCCCTTCCTCGGCCTGTCTGCGGAGGACTGGAGTGCCTCAACTCGAGGATCTCAGGCTGTGGCCCTCAGTGACAGCACGCATCTACACAAGGACGAGGGCCCGCAAGGCTGGTGTTTGGTGGGGGACACAGGACACGACCCCCTGGCCATCCTAGTTCAGCTGCCAGCAGGGACCTTCAATACCCCAAGGGGCTACTGGCGCCACAACTAAAGCCACATCCGCAGGTGCCCTTGCTCACTGCACCTGCTGAGGGCCCTTCATGGGCCCTGGGGACATACCTGGACCGGCTTCCTGAGAACGAGCTGTGTCTGGAAGAGCGGCTGGAGTAGGAGCTGTAGGATGAAGACCGGGATCGCGACCGGGAGGAGCCGGAGCCAGAGTAGGACGATGACCGCGAAGACGACCTGGGGCGGGCGGGACGGAGCGTGGCGAGAAGTGAGAAGGGCCCTCCCTGCCCCACACGCCCTGACGCACACATGCACAGCTACACACCCACAGACGCACAGCTACACACAAGCGCACAGCTGCGCACGCGCGCACAGCTGCAGACGCGCGCACAGACGCATACAGCCTCCCCCAGACACTCTTCAGTGCCATCCCTCCTTGGTGCAGAACGGCATTTAGAAATCAAGACCTGGGCGTGGGGTGTGCCTGCTGTTACCGGGTGGCGCTGCCTGAGTGGGCAGACCCAGCTCACGTGGGTCCGTGTGTGTGTCTATCTGTTCATCTGCATCCACTTTCAGTGAAGCCTGGCCTCCCACCCACACCTCCTGTTCCTGCCGAGCATGATGGGGTCTACCCCGGCCCCCTGCTTTCCATCATCCCTCACTCGGGAGCCGGGCTCCTGTGTGCTGAGACCAGGACCGTAGGTGGAGGGGCAACAGTTTCAGGTCCAGTCTGGAGGAACAGATGGACTCACTGGGCCCCAGGTCTGTGCGTCCTCCCGCATCCAGGTGCCCCTCCCTCCAGTGTGGCCTGTGACTCCCTGGGAGCAGTCAGGCTCAGTCGCCGGGGTCTGTGCCCCATTTGGGGTCACTGCGTCAGTCCTACTTGGCATTGATGCTCTTTGCTGAAGGTATAAACGCCGGGTTAGTCCCACTGACTGGTCTGCAGGTAACGACGCCACAGCAAACAGTGGGGCTGGGGTGTTCCCCACCTGACCCAGTGAGGTACATGGTGTCAGCTGACGGCTCCAAGGTGCTGACACCCCAGCCGTCCCACGAGCCCTCCTTACCTGGAGGAATTAGAGGCAGAGGCTGACGAGGCTGATGTTTTCCGACGCCTTCGAGCCCGGCTCGGGGAGACCGACACCCCGAGTTTCTTCTTGGGAGACTTGGATCGGCGCCAAGGGTCCTTCCACTCATCTGCTCTCTTCACCTGCGGCCCCGTGGTGGCAGCCTCCTTCTTTGGTGGCTCAGCTTGGCGGCTGAAATTACAGAGGCATTAGCAACTCTCAGGCCACCTTCCGCTTCACAGCAATGCCAGGTGTGACAGCAGCGGGAGAGACTATGGATCTCATACCTGGCTTATTTAAGGATCACCTGAGAAACAAAGGGTCCTAAGGGGAAAAAAGGCCACTCACAAAACCCATCACCCCATGGACTTGGGTGATGTCCATGGCCCTTGGCTCAGTGTCTGTTACTCAGGGGAACACCCAGATTTCTCCTGAACCAGAATGGCAGTTACTTTCTGTGAGTGTCATTACTTACTTAATTTCCATCTTTCCAACTACGCTGTCAGCTCTAGGAGGGACAGGGATGGTGTCTGCCGTGTCTAATACTATCTCTAGTGCTGATATACTAGTAGGTTCATAATAAATATTTATGAAATAAGCCCAGGTATGGTGGCACACGCCTGCAATCCCAGCACTTTGCGAGGACGAGGCGGGTGGATTACTTGAGGTCGGGAGTTCCAGATCAGCCTGGCCAATATGGTGAAACCTGTCTCTATTAAAAATACAAAAATTAGGCTGGGCGCGATGGCTCATGCCTGTAATCCCAGCACTTTGGGAGGCTGAGGTGGGCGGATCATGAGGTCAGGAGTTCGAGACCAGCCTGGCCAACATGGTGAAACTCCATGTCTACTAAGAATACAAAAATTAGGCCGGCTGCGGTGGCTCACCTGTAATCCCAGCACTTTGGGAGGCCGAGGCGGGCGAATCACGAGGTCAAGAGATCGAGACCATCCTGGCTAACATGGTGAAACCCCATCTCTACTAAAAATATATAAAATTAGCCAGGCGTGGTGGCAGGCGCCTGTAGTCCCAGCTACTTGGGGGGCTGAGGCAGAAGAATGGCGTGAACCCGGGAGGTGGAGCTTGCAGTGAGCCGAGATCGCGCCATTGCACTCCAGCCTGGGCGACAGAGCGAGACTCTGTCTCAAAAAAAAAAAAATAAAAACAAAAACAAAAATTAGTTGGATGTGGTGGCGGGCGCCTGTAATCCCAGCTACTTGGGAAGCTGAGGCAGGAGAATTGCTTGAAACTGGGAGGCGGAGGTTGTAGTGAGCTGAGACTGCGCCACTGCCCTCCAATCTGGGCGACAGAGCAAGACTTCGTCTCAAAACAAAACAAAACAAAAAACAAAAAAATTAGCTGGGTGTGGTAACACGTGCCTGTAATCCCAGCTACTGGGGAGCCTGAGGGCAGGAGAATGGTTTGAACCCAGGAGGCAGAGATTGCAGTGAGCTGAGACTGCGCCACTGCACTCCAAACTGGGCAACAGAGTGAGACTCCATTATAAAAAACAAACAAAAAAACCCAAACACAAATGATATTAAACTGACCCCTTATATATAAATCTTTATCTGACTTTTTAAAGGGTAAACTCCTGAGCAATGGAATTAATGGGTCAAAGGAGATACACATTTTACAGGTTCTTGGTGGGTTATCAGATATTTTTTCCTCATTCAGCCAGCAGTGTGCGGTGCCGAACCTGGGCTCGGTGTCACCACTAAGAACCACAACCACCACCCAGACACAAACTAACCCAAAATCCTGGCAATTGTATAAGCAGAACGTGGCTTTTTTTTTTTTTTTCTTTTTTAGAGACAGGGTCTTGCTCTGTTACCCATGTGGGCTGGAGTGTGGTGGCATAATCACTGCAGCCTTGAGCTTCCAGGCTGAAGGGATCCTCCCACCTCAGCCTCTTGAGTAGCCAGGACTGCAGGTGTGCACCACCACACCCAGGTCATTAAACATTGATTTGAGGTCTCCCTATGTTGCCCAGGCTGGTCTCGAATTTCTGGCCTCAAGTGATCCTCCCACCCTGGCCTCCCAGAGTGCTGGGGTTATAAGCTTGAGCCGCCATGCCTGGCCTGCAAACACATTTTAAAAAGCTGTTTTAGTTCCTGTGTTACTGTGAGTGGGATTCTCTGCCCTACGTCTTGCTCACCTCTGGCTCTGCTGTGGTAGCATCTGCTTACGTCACACGACAACACATGAAACCACCAAAACCATCAATGTTTATGTTTTCAGAGCTTGTTTAACCAACCGGCTGGCAAACATGCCTGCTATCTGCTGAGAATGCAGGATGGGGGCAGCTCCCCACTTAACACTGTCCTAAGGACACGGACACGCGACATCACAGCTTCAGCTCCTGTACGTCAGCCCAAAACCCCAAGAGCTATTGCCACATCTGGGTGTCTCCTGGAAAAGTAATCCAGGAAGGAAGTAAACACCTGTCTGATGATCCTCCCTGTCACAGGCTACTAGAGAGCTACTTTCACCTTTATACTTCCTGTATAACTCTCATCCTAACACCCCAAGAGGAAAGGGAGCACCAATAAGTCACAGGGACAGCGCGGCCCTTCCAACACAGGGAGAGGGAACGGGCAGAAGTCAAGGCGTGGTCAGGACCACCTCTTCTTCGGGTGAAGCTGTAACAGCATGTGGAGTCCTAGCTGCGGTGAGGGGGAAGGAAAAACAGCGTCTGCTTGCCCCCTGCCACGGCATGGAAATAAAACCAGCTGAGGTCCAGAGAGGCGGGCAGTGCAGGCCTCCACAATCTCAGGGCAGCTGGTGCTTGCCCCCCAGAAAGAGCTGCTCATTCCCTCTGGAGACAATGATACCGAATTTCAAAATGAAGATGGCCAGAGGCAGGCCCAGCAGGGGTCAGTGAGGTCTCTCCTTCTCTGGGCCAGGGCTGTGGACGGGCCTGCACCATCTCGTCACTGCACAGCGCGCCCTCCGCTGCCGCCGGCCGCACCACCTTCCTTCTGAAGCAGCTGCTTCCAGGCCCATGGAGCAAGGAGGTCCTATCCAGCAAGTCCATGTTACCACGTGTGGGACGTGGTGGTACTGATTTTAACCAGGATGCAGATAACCATTTTTTTCCTTTTTTCTTTTTTTTGAGACAGAGCCTCGCTCTGTTGCCCAGGCTGGAGTACGGTGGTGCGATCTTGGCTCACTGCAAGCTCTGCCTCATGCCATTCTCCTGCCTCAGCCTCCCATTGGACATTATCTCCACTGCACTTTGATAGCGAGTCTCCGGGCACCAAGTCTGCGGCAGAAAGCAAGGCTGAGCACTGGCTTTCTACAGCCCAGGGAACCGAGGCATGTGCCCTTCTCTCAGCAAAGAATGTCACCCCAGGGGACATCCTGATTAGACTTGGAAAAACCAGGCAGATACAAAATAAACAAAACCAAAACACACAACATGGGTGCCCCAGGACAGCCCACCGAGTGCGGCTCAGCTCCTTCACAAGTAGGGGCCTGCGCAGAGGGAGCCAGTGTGGGCTGAGAACGCTCGCAAGGGATGGCCCAGTCAGGAAGGCCCACCTCCAAGCTGGGCCAGGACAGATCTGGAATTTGCATGAACACTTCCAACCGCAGGGGAGAACCCTCCAGATGACCTCTGACTGAGGAAGTAGCCTTTCCCGCAGCACAAGGCCCGCGCTATCATCTGGCCCCCATTCCCCGTTGAAGGCCACAGGAGACTCTCTAAGGGGCAAAGGTCAGCTCCACCACCAATGCAAACATGCCAGAGGCAGACAAAACCAAGGGCCCGAGGCTGGCACACTCATAGCTCATGCCTCACCGATGCCAGCAGCCACACGAGGCGCCACAGATGCCAGGCTGCTACAGGCCACGTGTCCAGAAACTCCAACCCCAGCAGCTGTCAAGTTTGGGGTCAAAGGTGAAAAAGGATAAAAACGCATGAAGGTTCTTTCTTCAATCAAAAGAGCTAAGCATCTACATCAACAAGGGAAAAGGGAGATGGGAGCCTATGGGCCTCCCCGGGCTGAGCCTGCTCAGAGGCAGCTCTGGGAGCACCTCCACAGCAAAGCTTCTCTCCTGGCTTGTTCTGTGAGTGCCTGTGGAGCATTTAGCTACGGGCCACATGCTCTCCCCACCTCCCTTAAAACGTAACAGAAAAAGCCCAAAGCAGACCTGGAGTGCCCGCCCCATGTCTTTACACTTTGCAAAAAAAAAAAAAAGTGGAGTCCAATGGACGACCTGAGTGGCCGTCACCTTCTCTGTGACTTGTGCAGAAGGCCAGGCGGCCTCACTCACACCTGCAAGAGCCAGTCTCAGCGCAGAGCAGATACAAACACCAGCAACTGCGCCTTCTGTGCGTTCAACTGCACATGAAAATC
Organism: Homo sapiens; assembly: GCF_000001405.40. Lineage (NCBI taxonomy): Eukaryota > Metazoa > Chordata > Mammalia > Primates > Hominidae > Homo > Homo sapiens. Next base: position 88,618,027 of record NC_000016.10, on the reverse strand, counting down.
CCTAACTCCACTAGTCCCTTACCCAGAAGGCTGGTCTAAAATAGGGTTTCTTAACCTTTCTAGGGGAGTCACAAATCCCTCTGAAGAAGACTGTGTAGCCTGGCCCACTCCCAGCAGAGATCTTGAGACTCCTGGGGTGCCTCAAACTGGCAGATGAGAGGGCTCAGCCCAAAAAACTGAGCATGAAGCGGTGGCCCAGGAAGCAGGCGCCCACTGGATGGGCCGCCAAAGGGGTGCGGACTCTGCGGTGTCCGGAACTTACCAGGGAAGAGTGAGAATGAAGAGCCCGGGGTGAGTAGGTGCTGGGGGGCGAGTGCTTCCAGTCTCAGGGGTCCACCCCACAACCCCACCGCAGGAGCCTGCCAAGCTCAAGCCCTGAAGGGGCACCCAAAGCTGCAAAGGTAAACCTGGAAGTTGAATAGCTTGGAGACAGCAGGCAGCCCAGACAGCTCCTGCGGGAAGGTCCCCAATCAGTGTTTACATTTCTAATGACAATGACTAGCCAAAGAGCATCGTAATGACGTGCCTCGGCGGTGAGCACACCCATCGGCCTAGCTATAAAGATTAGGTTTCACATAAGGGACCGCCCCCTTAGCTCTACAGATGCATTTGATAGAATTGATTGAAAGGTTCTGCTCTAATCATTTTAAAACAGCCCAGGTGGAGGAGTGGGTAAGCCTCAAAAGGCAAACTAGGACGGAGAGAGCGGCACAACTCCGTCTCCAGCCGCAGGTCCAGGGGGGAGCTGGTCAAGAAGCCCTGCCAGAGATACCGATGGGGATGAGATCCCGACGGGGACAAGCTAGCCAGTAACTCCCAGAGCCAAACAGCTTAGGCAGTAAGAGAGAACCTCAGGAAAGAGGGGTATTAGCTTAGAGATAAGGAAAAGAAATGGCTCCCCCATGGACAGAGGGCTGGCCATCAGATAGCTCAGGGCAGTGTTTCCTATTGGGGCTCAGCATTATCCTTCCCGGGGGAGGCCCTCAACTCTACCCAGGACACCCATGGCACCCAAACAGTGGCCGACTCTCGCTCCTCCCGCTGCACGACTGTGCCCCCTCTCGTGAAGCTTGGGGTGGTGAAGTGCCTGCTATAACGAGCCTGGGCCGCGCTTCAGACCAAACAAAAGTGACTGCGCTTCACTAGGGTGTAGCCCCCATGCAAGGCCTAGCCCTGGTGCAGCCGTGCTGGACACTGCAGAGCCCCTCATTCGTGTTCTGCTTGGTAGCTGAAGGCAGAATCTTCCCAAATGGATCTCCCTGGGTAAAACTGTGTCATTTTCTTCCAGTTTAGGTGAGAAAAGTTCTTTCTATCCACCTAATGATTACAAACTCCCAACCTGCCAAAGACCCACCCATTCAATACGTGTATTACTGCAAAGGGAATTCAGCTGCTCCTGAAAAGGCAGCCAGGCCAGTTCTGGCTGATAAGGGAGAAGGAAGCAGGAGCACTGGCTGGAAATTCTGCGCTGGGGAAACCCTTGTCCTCCAGGCAGGTAGCGGGCCTGGCAGGGCTCCCGCAAAGGTGAGTGAAGCCAAGACCGGGGACTCCCCAGCACCCGGAAGCCGGCTGAATGAATCCAGGCAAGCGACGCAGAGAACGTCAGCCCTGCTGCTGGCAGCTCCGAGAAGGGGCTGAGGGCAGCCCCAGGAGCACAAGCAAGTGCTTCAGGAAGGAAAGAAAGGGACGTGAGCCTCGCAGAAGGGAAATGAACCAGGTCAGAAACAGGTGGGAAGAGCGGCTCGGCCCAGTTTGGTGAGAGCAGCTGTGTTTGATTTTAAGAAAAACTCATTTAGTACAGAGTTTCCTGAACCCTAGCTGTGAGCCCAGATCAGGCCAGACAACGTCTGAGCACCTCCCAGTCCCTTCCTGAATGTAAGACTCCTCTGTGAAGCTGAGGGCTCAGGGGCTGGCGATGGCAACCTGCTGCCTGGTGGCCATGCTGGCAGAGTTACCCTCTCCAAGCCTCCTGGGATCCGTCACCCGCTTTCCTCTGGGGAGGCTGAGCACACAGGAGACGGGCACAGCAGTCGGGAATCTGCCCTCCCATTCCGCGGGTCACTAAAGTGCGGGCCACAGCAGAGGAACACAGCAACCTTAGGCATGGCGGCCCTCTAACGCGTACTCCAGAAGTACATTCTTGTACACAGAAAACATCCCTGAGTTGGAATTACAGACTCCTGACTGGGAAGAGCCCCCGGCTGCTTAGAAACAGGCAGAATACATGACTAGGGGCTGGGGAAGGGGGTCTGTGGCCAGGCACGTGTGCCCATAAGCCACCAAAGTGGACATGCTGACGGACTCATAAACCCAGAGCCACACAGCACAGTGACCTTCCACGTGGATATCACTGCCTTTCTATGTCTCTGCTTCTAAAACCAATGATCTGGGTGGCGTGAAAACCCCTATTTTGTGAATCTGGAAAGCAGACTCAGCTGGTTCTGTTTGTAGAAATCAATGTGCAATTTTAGCAACCCTGTAACAATCAATTATGACATGCAGGTAAAAATGCAGGCTGATACCAAATCCAAAACTCACGGACAGCACCCCCAAATGTGGGTAAGCACCAACCTGTGCGGGACTCTGGGACAGGCACAGAGGCTGCAACGGGGAGCAGGGCAGACGGTGGTGCCCCAGGACCATCTGCTGCAAGGGCTCCAGATGGGCACTGAGGGCCATGAGGAACAAGAAAGCAGGCTGGCAAGCAGGAGGGGATGGGGAGACTTCCCTGTGCAGAGGAATCTGAGCAAAACCCTGGAGGAGGTAGAGGCAGCCCGTCCGGGCAGAGGGAACGGAGGAGGTGGGGGCAGCCTGTCAAAGGCAGAGGGAACGGAGGAGGTGGGGGCAGCCTGTCAAAGGCAGAGGGAATGGAGGAGGTGGGGGCAGCCCGTCCAGGCAGAGGGAACGGAGCAGGTGGGGGCAGCCCGTCCAGGCAGAGGGAACGGAGCAGGTGGGGGCAGCCCGTCCAGGCAGAGGGAACGGAGCAGGTGGGGGCAGCCTGTCAAACGCAGAGGGAATGGAGGAGGTGGGGGCAGCCCATCTGGGCAGAGGGAACAGGAGGTGGGGCAGCCCGTCCAGGCAGACGGAATGGAGGAAATGGGGGCAGCCCATCTGGGCAGAGGGAGCGGCTGGGGGTGTGTGCACGGGGTGCTGGGCTGCACCTTTGCAGTGGGGTCTCAGGGGAGAAGGCAGCCTTAGGCTGAGTGCACACTGAAAATACTGTGTGTGCTGTAGGGGAAGGGCTTCTATCCAAAAGGGCTTGAAAGGCTGAAGAAGGCGGCACAATGTCAAGGTCAATGACGGTTTCCCCGTTTGGATGACCATGTAAACTTCAAAATAACTTAGAGATTACTGTAACATAAAAGGATTAAAAACATCTGAAATATGTCACTTATTCTGAATGTTCTTTAAGAAGATTACTTTGCCTAGTGTTAGGAAAGTATGACAAATACAGCACATTTAGGGAAGTCCATTCACTGTGAGCTGGAGAATGAAAACAGTCAAAACTGGCACTTGCCACCGGCTAAGCAGCAGCTACAGCCATGAGTGACCCTGAAACAAAGGCCTGCGAAGTCCTGCCTGAGAGCTGACTTTCAGAAAAGCGTAGATGACTTGTGTTCCACTGTACACAAGAGCGGGTGTCGTCCAGCCACACGGACAAGATGAGGAGGACAAGGGGCTTGTTTTTGTCCCGTGGTGGAAAGCAAATCCTTCCAGAGCCACAGTCGCAGGTCCTGATGGCTGCCAGGTCTCTGAGGGGAGCATGAGAACTGTGGCCCCTCCAAGTGTGGCCACTGTGTGGCTCCAGCCACGAAGCTGCCCATGCCTGCAGGTCTAGCGGAGTCCAGTGTTACTGGAAGGTGTAGGCCCAAATGTGGATTTTTATGAGAGCCAAGTCAAACAACATCCCTGAGTTGGAAGTACAGACTCCTGACTGGGAAGTCCTGCAGGCCATGGCCCTGGAAGGATCTCGGGCTGTTTCCCAATAAGGAACTGCCTTGATCCCTCCTTGCATTTCACCCCCACGGGGACGGTGACACAAACCAACCCTGAGACGGAGCAACGTTCATGCTCTCATCGACACCCCCCCTTTTTTTGAGACAGGGTCTCTCTCTGTCACCCAGCCTGGATCAAAGACCTATGTGTAAGAGCTAAAACTATGAAACTCTTAGAAGAGAACACGGCAGTAAATCTTTATGACCCTGTATTAGTCAATGGTATCTTACATGACACCAAAACCATAAGCAACAAAATAGAAAACATTAATTGGAACTGCACATCATGAACCTGATAAGGGACTTGTATCTGGAATACATAAAGGACTCTTACCACTCAATAATAAAAAACAAAAAATGAGCAAAGGATCTGAATAGGCGTTTCTCCAAAGAAGATATACAAATGGTTGATAAGCACAGAAGAAGATGCTCTCATTATCATCCATCATCAGAGAAATACAAATCGCAACGGCAGGGAGACGTCACACCCACCAAGACGGCTGTCATCAACAAGACGGACCGCAGCAAGTGCAGACAAGGATGCAGAGAGATGGCGCCCTCCTATGCGGCTAGCGGGAATGTAAAAGGTGCAGCTGCTCTGCACAACAGTTTGAGGGTTTCTCAAACAGCTAAACATAGAGTGACCATGTGATCTAGCAATTCCACACTGAGGTATATGCTCAAGAAAAATGGAAACCTATGTCCACACAAAAACTTGCACACAAATTCACAACCACAACAGCCAAAAGCTGGAAACAACCCAACGTCCATCAACAGACGAACAGAGAAATGCAATGCGGTGCATCCATGGAGGAATAAAGCACTGACCCACGCTACAACGTGGACAAATGTTAAAAACGCTCGGAGTAGAAGAGGCCAGTTACAAAACGCTGTGTATTGCACACTTCCGTTTCTACAAAACGTTCTGAATGGGCAGATACCTAGAGACACAAAGCTGCTAAGAGACTGGGAAGTGTGGGGAAAATGGAGAGTGACTGCTGATGGGTACAATGTTTCTTCTTTTTATTTTGAGACAGAATCTTGCTCTATTACCCAGGCTAGAGTGCAGTGGTGCAATCTCAGCTCACTGCAACCTCAACCTTCTGGGCTTAAGTGATCCTCCCGTATTAGCCTCCCGAGTAGCTGGGACCACAGTGGTGCACTACCACGCCCTGCTAATATTTTGTATTTTTTTGTAGAGACGGGATTTTGCCATGTTGCCCAGGCTGATCTCAATTCCTGAGCTCAAGCAATCTGTCCATCCCGGCCGCCCAAAGTGCTGAGATTACAAGAGTGAGCCACCGTGCCCAGCCTAGATTTTTTTAAAACAATTTTTAATTTTTTTTTTTTTTTAGATACAGGGTCTCACTTTGTCATCCAGGCTGGAGTGCAGCCGTGCGATTGTAGCTCATGGCAGCCTCCAACACCTGGGCGATCCTGTAATCCTCCTGCCTTGGCCTCCCGAGTAGCTGGGACCACAGGCTCATGCCACCTCCCCCAGCTAATTTTTAATTTTTTTTTTTTTTTTTTAAATAGAGATGGAGTCTTGCTTTGCTACCCAGGCTGGTCTCAAACTCCTGGCTTCAAGCAATCCACCTGCCTCAGCCTCCCAAAGTGCAGGGTGCAAGTGTGAGCCACCGCAAGGTTTCACTTTAGGGGGCAAAAGTGCTCTCATGTTGATTGCGATGATGGCTGCACAACTCTGTGAATATTCTAGAAACCACTGATTGTACACTTTAAATGGGTATGTTGCAGCGTCCATTAATTATATTTCAATAAAGTTGTAAAAAACACCCACCAAAAACATCATCCAGTACTCTAATGTCCACTGACGCCCATCCATTCTGCTCTAACAGTCAAGTATATTTGAGAGAAAAAAAGGGCTGTCCTGAGCCCCAGCGCCTGCCTGTCTCATGGGTCTTGACTGTGCCCCCAGCAGTTGGCAGCAAGGATCATTCTGCACCCAAGGCACCCACTCCGCAAAGGAAAAACAGCAGCCCGCCCGGCCCTCCCCTGCATGCTGGCTGCTAGAGTGCCTCACCCTGGCCAGCAACACGGATGCCCCACAGCACCTGAGCCCAGTCCCAAGCTCTGGGGGCCAGGCATGCTTTGGAATTCAGAACTCTCCTGAGAACAGTAACATGGTGCCCAGGGTGTGAGTTACACACCGTGCGTGGTATACAAGGGCAGCGCCTATTAAAACACACCGATGTTTGCACGTGGACTGTAAGCATTTTCACATCAGTGAGATCCTCTAGAATGAGAACAGCCTCCCAGGAGCTCAGGGCAGATGTCACGGCCTTGGGAGTTTTACAGAAAGGCCCTGCGTTGGAGAGCTCTGGGTTTGGAACTATGGGCTCGGGCTGTGGGCCTGCACTGGTCCCCTGGGCTCCAGAGCTGTGGGCCACAGAGGGGAAGCGCAGGCCAGGGGGACTAGGTACAGAGCTGCATGCCGGACCTCCCCCACACCCCTGGGCTTCAGGAAGCAGGGTCTACCTTGGCGGCTGCGGGGAGCGGGGCTTGGGCTTCCCCTTCTCCTTCTCCCGCTCCTTCTCCCGGTCGCGGTCACGGTGCTGCCGGTCCTTCTCGTCCCGCTTGGCTCGCTCACGCTCCCACTCCTCCTTCCTCCGCTGCCGCTCCTTGTCGCGCTCGCGCTCCCGCTCTCGCTCGCGCTCCCTCTGCCGGCGCTCCCGCTCTCGGTCCCGCTCCCGCTCCCGCTCGCGCTCGCGCTGTCTGTTCTCTCTCTCTCGCTCCCGCTCCCTTTCCTTTGTTAAAAAGCCAAACACATGGGGACACCGTGCGTTATTTGGGTGACAGAGGCACTGAAAGCCTTGGCTCCAACACCACGCGATCTGTCTGTGTCACAGAATCACACCTGTACCCCACAAACCTACACACAAAACGCCAAGTGCTCCCGACTATGATTGAACTCTCTGCGGTGGAGTACAGAGGAGATGGCAAGAGAGAGGCAGGATCAGGGAGCACCCTCAAGTGGGGATCTCATCTCATTCCCAGCTCTCTCCTTAAAACACAATGTTAAAAACCGGGTCAGATGCCAAATTAGAGCAAACACAAACTAGGAGTGAAATCATCCCAACCACCAATTCTAGACTAACTCAGGGCAGCAATTCTGCAGTCACAGCCCGGTGTCGTTGGCACAGATGGCCTTCCGCCGTGTGGCCTGGGCAAGTCCATTTGTCCATCCAGAGACGGGAGTTCCAGGCTTGTCCCAGGTAGGTGCAGCCACAGCAGAGCACATGCCCTGCCTCTGGAGCAGAGCAGGCACCCAAAAGACTGCTCCTCTTCTTCTAGTACAATCCTCGGATGCCCTTTCCAACTTTTCCTCTGCTCTTACTCATTCATTTGCTCTAATATTCAAGGTTAAAACTGAATAAAGTCCAATCACAACGCACCTGATGGGTTTCAGGCTTGAGGCCTCTGTTGGGGAGATGCAGGGTGCACCCCGAGCCTCCCTGCTGCCCCTCCCTCGGACACAGCAGAGAGGAACGCAGTGGAAAGGGATCCCTGGGGCTTTCTCCCACCTTCCAGGGTACCCTGCCCAGGGGTAAGCAGCAGGACCCTGCAGCCCACCTGCAATGAGGAAGCTGCTTTATGGAGAGACGGGGCACAAGAGCATCGAGCAGGGGGACTTTTCTGGCACGATGGGGCCCTCTTCCCTCTGCAAGCTCACCCTGATGGGCTCCTGAGGAGACAGCCGCACCTGGTCCTCAAAGCTCATGACTGTCCCTGCAGTCACAGAACAGAACTACACAGCAGCTTCTAACTGACCCTTCCCTGGGGCAACTTCGTCAAATCACCCTAACAGCTAAGATGAGGAACTCACAGTCTGAAGCACATAACTCATCAATATGCTAAACTCTGAGGCTCAGACCAGGGAGATTTCCAGGGCGGAAATCTCAGTATAGACCAGTCTTCCATGAGAGCAGTGAGGTGCAGCAGGCCCGGAACAGACTTAACAAGCTGGCTGAAGTGGACCAGAACAGGCGCCACATCCTAAACGGGATCACTGAGGGGTGGGGAAGAGTGACACGCCCGAGCAGGGAGACGCAGGCACCCCTGGACACAGGCATCAGTAAGTATACTGGCAAATCTCATTTTCAAAACCAGGCCGAGCTGGGCACAGTGACTTATGCCTGTAATCCCAGCACTTTGGGAGGCTGAGATAGGCAGATCACCTGAGATCGGAAGTTTGAGACCAGCCTGACCAACACGGCAAAACCCTGTCTCTACTAAAAATACAAAAAATTAGCCAGGTGTGATGGTGGGCACCTGTAATCCCAGCTACTCAGGAGGCTGAGGCAGGAGAATTGCTTGAATCTGGGAGGCAGAGGTTGCAGTGAGGTGAGATCACGCCACTGAACTCCAGCCTGGGTGACAGAGTTAAACTCCGTCTCCAAAACAAACAACCCAGGCCGGGCGCAGTGGCTCATGTCTTTAATCCCAGCACTCTGGGAGGCTAAAGCAGGCGGATTGCTTGAGCTCAGGAGTTCAAAACCAGCCTGGACAACATGGTAAAACCCCGTCTCTACAAAAAAAATACAAAAAAATTAGCTGGGCATGGTGGTGCATGCGTGTGGTCCCAGCTACTCGGGAGGCTGAGGATGGAGAATCATTTGAACCCAGGAGGTAGAGGTTGCAGTGAGCCGAGATTGCACCGCTGCACTCCAGCCTGGGTGACAGAGTGGGACCCTATCTCAAAAAACAAACAAACAAACACCACACAAAAAAACAAAACCATAGCAAGAACCAGTTTTCAGGCAAGTCTTTGTTCAAATGACCATTAATGTAATCGCTGCCTCTGAATTCGTTCTCCGTAACAATCAATTTGGTTTTCAAATTGGTACATTGTGCTGGCTCTATAAGCTCATATAAAGCCCTGTATTTTTTACTGTAAATAAAAAGGGATAACTTGAATGAACAGATCATGAAGTTCATATGTGGATATTGAAGTCATACTTACTCGGTAATTATGATACGGCTCTGTTTCTGTATACTGCACCCTGAAATTCTCATACTGTCCGCCACGCCAAAACCGCTCAATTTCATAGTCATAATAAGGGTCTGCGTAAGGCTCGAGTCTGAAAAGGGCCAATGAAAAAGAACTCTCATCACTTAGGAGCACTGGCGTAAAAAGACCACACGAAACATTAGGGACAGAAAGTAACAGACCGTGACGCAGTGGGGTTTACTCCAGGAGCGCAAGGTTGGCTCAAGGTTAGGAAATCTGTTCACAAACTACATCTAAGAGCAGGCCAGAAGTCAAAGGGTTCTATTCACAGATGATAAAAATGTCTAACAAAAATTCAATAGCCTTTTTGATAAAAAATACTCAAGAAAATAGGAAGTGAGGGCCAGGTGTGGTGGCTCATGCCTGTAATCCCAGCACCGTGGGAGGCCGAGGCAGGTGGATCACCTGAGGTCAGGAGTTTGAGAGCAGCCTGACCAACATGGAGAAACCCCTTCTCTACTAAAAATACAAAATTAGTTGGGCGTGGTGGCACATGCCTGTAATCCCAGCTACTCAGGAGGCTGAGGCAGGAGAATCACTTGAACCCAGGAGGTGGAGGTTGCCATGAGCCGAGACTGTGCCATTGCACTCCGGCCTGGGCAACAAGAGTGAAACTCCGTCTTGAAAATTAAATAAGAAAAAAAAAAAAGGAAAGAAAATAGGAAGTGATACTTTAGCATGATAAAAATATACTGACACACTTTGGAACAAAAGTCAGCACCTTACTCACTGGGGAATAGGAGGAGCTCCCCCAGGAGTCTCCGCAACCACCTGTCCCTGTGTGGAGGCACCCCCTGACTGGACAAGGGGAGCCCACTAGAGGCACAAGAACACGAAAACAAGGAGCAAAACGAGCTCAGATTTGCAAAATGATATGATACTATACATGAAAAACCCAGAGACTTGATAAAGCCAATTCAAACAAACAATGAAGAAACTTGGAAAGGCAGAGGATAAAAAAATTAACATAGAAATCAGTGTCTTCACAGACACAGATTATAACCAGTTAGGAGGCAGAGTGGAGAAAACCGCATTTACAATAGCAAGAAAGAAGAAAAAAGTACTTAGGAATAAAATATCAACACATTTCACCAGAAATGTGCAGAGCTGATTCCTGAGAGACACAAAGTGTGTGTGAATAAGTGGGGAGACGCCTGAGAGACATGAAGCGTGCGTGAATAAATGGGGAGACGCCTGACATGAAGCATGTGAATGGGGAGATGCCTGAGAGACATGAAGTGTGTGTGAATAAATGGGGAGATGCCTGAGAGACATGAAGTGTGTGTGAATAAATGGGGAGACGCCTGAGAGACATGAAGCGTGTGTGAATAAATGGGGAGACACGTGACATGAAGCCTGTGAATAAATGGGGAGACGCCTGAGAGACATGAAGCGTGTGAATAAATGGGGAGACGCCTGATACAAAGTGTGCATGAATAAATGGGGGTTTTGAAACCTGACACAAAGCGTGCATGAATAATGGGGAGACGCCTCTTGCACTGGGAGAGCGCAGCTCGGAATCGCCCACAAGTCAGTCCTTCCTACACTGACTGATAAATTTAACACAATCCCAGCAAAAACACCAATGAGCTTCTTTAAGGAGCCAGACAAGCTGACACCCAAGTTCACATGAAAAATCGCACCCCAAGAACAGCCAAGAAAACCCTGGAAATGAAAAGACACGCCAGACACGCCCTCTGAGACATTAAACATCCTAAAAAGCCTGTATAATTAAGCCAGTGCCATCGCAGCACATGAAAACCGGCGGCCAGAAGGAGGAGGCAGGAGGTCCAGAGGCAGACCCAGGCACGCCCAGAGAGGTGGCATCTCAGGGACAGAGGGGATTCTTCATTGAACAGGGAGGGGACGACTGTCCAGCTGCTGGGAAGGTCAGGCTCTCTTCCCCACTGCGCACAGGGTTGGGGGGGGCCTGCTCTAAACTCCTGGCGGGGCCCACAACTCTGCATCTCCTTTCCTGTGGAGCAGAGGAAACAAAGTGTACACTAGCAATAGGAGGTCCCTGGACGCCCCTCCAGGGTATGTCTCAGCCACAAGCCAACCCTCTGCTTCGGGTAGACTGGGTGGGAACCTGAGGCATCATGGCTTGAGGTGGCTCCAGCGATGGGTGGCTACGAACACCCTCGAGGCCTCCTCAACTCTCCACATGGCCTAGAACTGGCTCTCCCAAAGGACACAGCTTCAGTCCGTTCCCATCAGTCGGACACCGTTCAATCTAATGTGCACACTACTCAAATCACACTGAATTATAACACTCAGGAAACATTTGTAGAGACCTGTGGCAATATGACATCAGGCTACATAAAAACGAAGAGGAAGCCTGGACAGCACGCGAGACACCGTCTCTACAAAAAACACATCAGCAGCCAGGTCTGGTGGTGCATGGCTGTGGCCCCCAACTACTCGGTGGGCTGAGGCTGATTGCGTAAGCCCAATAGGGTAGAAAAGCCTTTCCCAAAATGTGTGAGGCGTGTGTTCTCTGACAAGAGGACTGTGCCGGCAAATTTGTTTTTGGGAAACTGTACTTAAGCAAAATGAAAAGGCCTCTTTCCTGCAGGCTTTCTGGAAGTCGTGGATGAGCGGATAGGAATGAGGCACACAGCATTTCCTCAGCGTGGCTGCCTCGGAACCATCTGCTCCGCAGCATGCGTTCTAGAGAACGTGTCAACACAACACGCCACCAGGAACTGCAACCATGCCAACAACGGACTCCTCAGCACCATCCTGAAAAATTCTGAAACACTCTTGAAATGAATTTGGAAGGTATTTAATTCAATTTAAAAATAAATGCTACTGGGCAGTATCATGGTATGCACAAACTCTTCCCCAACTGTTTTAGGGAACCCAAAATGTTAATGGGCCTTTTGAGAAAAGGGTTCTGTGGTGAAGCAAGGTTGGGCAAAGCTGGCTCGCAGCAACTGGGAGGCTCGCACCTCGTTCTGCAGTCACCACTTAACCAGCCAACACCAACAGTGTCCTGTGCACACACGTGGAATCTGCACTCCAGAGGCCCCGCGTCCCCAGAGGTCTGGGCAGCGTCAGACTCAGCACTGGCACGTGGAGTGGACCTACTCCTCGCTGGAGAGGAGAACCCGAGGTCCTGGCTAAGGGGAACCATTGGACATGCCCATCAGGGGCAGGTGGTTTCTGCCCACAGCCTTGCCCAGGGAGAGGCATGGCAGGTGAAAAGTCGAGCAATTAGAGAACGTGTAAGACAGAAGTTTGGAGCTTCGAGATCACTTTGTTTAACCATTTCATTTCAGTGACAAGGAAACTGGATCTCAAAAAGTACTAGGAAAAAGTTCTAAAATGTCTAACACTACTCACTTTTAATCTAAGGGTTATGCAATATTACACAATGAAATGCAACTTGCATTTGCACAATTCAGGTTGAAATCGTGCTGACCTCAACCCAGGTGGAGGGAGGCTGTGCTCTGCAAAGGGTGGGAGTCAGATGCTCACGTGTCCCTGCTTGCTGCAGAGACCCAAGGTGAAAAGGAGGGTCCCAGGCAGCTCACAAAGGGAGCAGCGACGCAGCCCCCTGCTGCCTCTTGCCCTCACCCCAACCCAGCATGGTCGACCTGGTGCCCACCTGCCTGTTGCCCACGTTCCTGTTGCAACGCTGGCCACTGAAAGTGCAGGCAGGGGAGGAGGTCCCCAAAGGCATGCAGAGGCCACAGGCAATGCCTGGGCACCCATACATCCATCTGCCCTGAGTCTGTGGGACTGTGGGCTTACCCATGTGGAGCAGGCCCTGTCTTACTCTCCAGGTAGCCCAACCCTCCCTCCCTGCTCACTCAGGGGGCTTCCCCACAGGGCACCAGCAAATCCCAGGTAAAAGCCACTTGTGCTCTCTCAGTTAAGCATCTGGGACAAAGGAGGTGCTGGACCAGCATCTGGTAGACCTGTTACCTGAGGAAAGGGAGTGTGCTTTTTGAAAATTACTGTTCTGTTTCCTCTGTATCCCAGCCTGACATCCTACTCCAAAGAACAGCAGCCTGCACCTCCGCCTCTAATACACCGGCACTGCACTACTCTCTGTGCTGGGGGCGTATGGGGAGTTGGCAGGGGCCCAGTCCATGGCCCTGGCCATGGCCTGACAGCCTGACTCTGATTTAATCAGAAACTCTGTTCACGGTGGGGCTACTACTGATGACCGCATTTCTCACAGGTGACGTCCTGTGCGCACTAGAGGCCCTTGTGTCTTTTGGGTCACATGTCCCTATTAGACTTGTAGAATATTCTGGGCACAGCATCCCCAGGAGCCCTATGCAGAGATGACATTTCTTTTTTTTTCTTTGAGATGGAGTCTTGCTCTGTCGCCCAGGCTGGAGTGCAGTGGCGCCATCTCGGCTCACTGTAAGCTCCGCCTCCTGGGTTCACGCCATTCTCCTGCCTCAGCCTCCCGAGTAGCTGGGACTACAGGTGTCCGCCACCACGCCTGGCTAATTTTTTGTATTTTTAGTAGAGATGGGGTTTCACCATGTTAGCCAGAACGGTCTCAATCTCCTGACCCTGTGATCTGCCTGCCTCAGCCTCCCAGAGTGCTGGGATTACAGGCGTGAGCCACTGTGCCCGGCCGTCATTTCATTTCTTAATGTCTTACATATGTGAGAACTTTTTTTTTTTTTTTTGGAGAAAGAGTCTCACTCAGTCACCCAGGCTGGAGTGCAGTGGCACGATCTCACTTGCTGCAACCTCCACCTCTCGGGCTCAAGAGATTCTCCCACCTCAGACTCTTGAGTAGCTGGGACTACAGGTGCGTGCCACCATGCCCAACTAATTTTTGTATATTTTGTAGAGATGGGGTTTTGCCATGTTGTCCAGACTGGTCTTCAACTCCCGAGCTCAACTGATCTGCCAACCTTGACCTCCCAAAACACTAGGATTATAGACATTACTAGCTACTGTATCCAGCCAATATGTGAGGTTTTATAAGTCAGATGGTACCTGAACAAAGTGCTTGAGGTGGTAGAAACGGAATATTTAAAGCTGCGAATCAGAGTGCGTCTGTCTAGCAAAGTATTATTATTATTATTATTTTAAGAAATGGGGCTGGGCACGGTGGCTCACGCCTGTAATCCCAGCACTTTGGGAGGCCAAGGCCGGTGGATCACAAGGTCAGGAGATCGAGACCAACCTGGCTAACATGGTGAAACCCCATCTCTACTAAAAATACAAAAAAAAAAAAAAAAATTAGCCGGGCATGGTGGCAGGCACCTGTAGTCCCAGCTACTTGGTAAGCTGAGGCAGAAGAATGGCGTGAACCCAGGAGGCAGAGCTTGCAGTGAGCCCAGATTGCGCCACTGCACTCCACGCTGGGCGACAGAGCCAGACTCCGTCTCAAAAAAAAAAAAAAAAAGAGACGGAGTCTCGCTCTGTTGCCCAGGCTGGAGTGCAGGGGCATGATCTTGGCTCACTGGCAACCTCCGCCTCCCAGGTTCGAGCAATTCTCCTGCCTCAGCCTCCCAAGTAGCTGGGATTACAGGTGCATGCTGCCACGCCCTGCTAATTTCTTCTGTATTTTAGTAGAGATGGGGTTTCACCGTGTTGCCCAGCCTGGTCTCAAACTCTTGAGCTCAGGCAATCCGTCCGCTTTGGCCTCCCAAAGTGCTGGGATTACAGGCGTGAGCCACCGTGCCCGGCCACAAAGTATTATGTTTACTAAGTGATCCTGCTAGGTCAGTTTTTAATTCCAAAAGAGATATAAAGAAAAAACAGGCCAGGTGCGGTGGCTCACGCCTGTCATCCCAGCACTTTGGGAGGCCGAGGCAGGCAGATCACGAGGTCAAGAGATTGAGGCCATTCCTGGCTAACATGGTGAAACCCTGTCTCTACTAAAAAATACAAAAAATTGGCTGAGCGTGGTGGCGGGCGCCTGTAGTCCCAGCTACTCGGGAGGCTGAGGCAGGAGAATGGCGTGAACCCAGGAGGCGGAGCTTACAGTGAGCCAAGATGGCACCACTACACTCCAGCCTGGGTGACAGAGCGAGACTCCGTCTCAAAAAAAAAAAAAAGAAGGAACAACAATTTTCTTGTCCTTTATGTCCTCAAGACTTCTCGAAAAGTCCTCATATTCCACTGGTTCTACAATGAAGTGCCTAGAGCTCCATCCTGTAGTAAGCAAAGCCTGCCTGCATGAAGGTGCTTCTATGTGACAATTATTTGCAAAACTCAACATCAGGTGGCTAACGTCTATATTCCCAGCAACTTAGGAGGCTCAGGCGCGAGGATTGCTTGAGTCCAGGAGTTGGAGACCAGCCTGAGCAACATAGCAAGACCTCATCTCAAAAAACCAACAGAAAACTCTCGACATTAGGAAATAAAATAACATGGTATCTTCAGAGAATTTGTGTCCCTGGAATTACTTACAATCAATGGTTCTCAAACTTTAATATGCATCAGAATTACCTGGAGGGCTTGTTAAAAACAAACCACTGGCCTGGGCTCTCCCTGGAGTTTCAGACTCAGTCTTCCTGGGGTCGAGCTAAGAATCTGACCTCTCACATGCTGCTGGGGGCAGATGTGGCTGAGGTTAAGGCACCACACCAGGAGGTCACAGCTATCAATCCAGGTTGCACTCTCCTCACCTGTGAGGCAGGGACATGGCCCTGACCTCGGCCTGCTGTGACCCAAAACAGGTCAGGAGCACTGGATGCGAAGCCTGTCATGCAGCAGGATTGCAACACATAAGTGCTGCTGGCTTGGCCTCTTCTGTGCCATTAAGGCCCTGGAGCCTGACCGCCAACTGGGCTGCCAGCCACCCTCCTGCACACCCTACAAGCTGCGACCTGCTTTGCCAGCTGTTCCAGGTGAGGCCCTGCCTGCAGCGGGCACAGGTAGGACCGAGAAGGCTGGGTGACAAGAGGACCCACTCCTGCCAACAGCACGCACCAGGACATCTGCACTTGCAGTGCAGCTCCTTCCTTCCCTCCGGGTCTCAGCAGCCCAGCTGTACTGGCTCCCTCTACTCACTGTTTTCCTCTGTAGCAACCTACCTGGTGGACCCACCCTTCCCTTAGATGCTCTTTGTGACAATCATAGGGGGGTCTCCACCCTCCTGGCAGAACCCTGACAGTTCTTTCCACTGTGTCTATCAGAAACAGCCAGGGCACCTCGCCACTGTGACACATGCACCCTGACCCTGTTCCCAGAGGTCCTGACTCACCAGGTCTCGGGGGAGGCATGGCACAAAAGGCCTCAGGTTAACTGTAACATACACAGAGGCTACTCTATAAAAACAAACAAAATACAAACATACAGAAATACCTGGCTTTCAGACACCAGTGAAAACCTTTCAGCCCTGACTGCCGAGACTTTAACATTTGGGGGTCCTGCAGTGTAGATACCGGCTCCTGGGAGAGAAGCTAGGGAGCCAGGAGCCAGCTTCTGTCACCTGGTGCCAGGATGGGAGACACCTGTTTCTGTAACCAACACTGATAGGTAAAACACACACAGAGGGCACTCCAAAAAACCTCAGAGACCTGCCGAACCACTTCCAAGCAGGCAGTTTTCCGGTCCCTGCTCCAGCCAGGGAAACTGGAAATAGAGTGTCAAGGATCACGCCCAGGTTCTAAAATCCATCCTTCCCCACACATATTTATAGAGACCTCTGTGCACACGAGCTCTGGGGAAGGAAAGACGATATCCACATCTAACAAAAAAACACAAAGGCCTCCAGGGCTTCAGGAGACACCCCTGGTGATCCTGCAGAGTTCTGACTCAAATGCTCCTTTCTGTGATCTGACATTCCACACAAAACTTAATTAGAAAATGTACATGTTAACCAAGTCTTTAAATACCTATCCCTTTAACCTCTAAGCTCTCACCTGCTGGGGCAGGTGTGGGCCACTGGGGCTTCCTCCCCCAACTTCCGCAGGCGGAAAGCCCAGGGTAGCCTGCTCGCGGCAAGAAGGCCTTGAGAAGGGCCTTGCAGGGCCAAGTCGACAGGACCAAATCCTGGAGTGCAAGCCCTGCACGCCTTCCTTTTTTGAGCACCGTTTATTGTCACTCCAGATAGAAATCATAGTGATTATGATTCCCTAATAGCAACCAGAAATGTACAGGGCTGCTAAAGCCTCAGCATGATGGAGTGCCAATTCAGATCTGCCCGAATTATAATCCAGTTCCCTGCCCTGAACCTCACCGTGCCATCCACAGGCAGAGGAAAACAGCACTTTATATGCCATGCAATCCCCCAAGATCTGACTTCCACCCTTCGACCCAGGCACTTCTTCTGTTAAGACAGGATTTTTAAAGACCAGGCATAAAGGGGCTGGGTGCAGTGGTTCACGCCTGTAGTCCCAGCACTCTGGGAGGCAGGCGTGGGTGGATCACTTGAGGTCAGGAGTTCGAGACCATCCTGGCCAACATGGTGAAATCCATCTCTACTAAAAACACAAAACTGAGTTGGGTGTGGTAGCAGACACCTGTAGTTCCAGCTACTCAGGAGGCTGAAGCAGGAGAATCACTTCAACCCAGGGAGGCGGAGGTTGCAGTGAGCCAAGATTGCGCAACTGCACTCCAGCTTGGGCGACAGAGCAAGACTCTGCCTCGGGAAAAAAAACCAAAAAACAAAAACCAGCCATCAATGCCCTGGAGGAGAAGCAGTGAAGGCAGAACAGCCCTGACAGCGAAGAGGCCGCAGCTGTTGTGTTCCTGGCTTGTGGCAACCTCCACACGTTTCCTGGCTCCTGGGTAATGTGGGCAGGGGTGAGGAGCCAGAAACACAGACTTGTGGGGCTCTAGAGGCCTCAAGGACAGCAGCGAAAACTCTCAGAGCTCAGGAACCACAACGGTGTGAGTGCTGCCAGTCAAGGCCCATGGCACAGAGCCCTAACGCTTCCTTCCTAGAAGCAAAAAACTGAGATGAGCTCTGAGAACCGTGCCTGAATGCTCTCAGGAACGTCACTGAGACTCCAGTGAGTGGGGCTGGGTCTCAGCCGAGCGCACCCTGGGGCCCTGCACATGGCTGCTCTCTCCGGAGCGTGGCCGCATGCAGGAAGGAAACGGAGGGGCAGGCAGGGCCATTCCTTACACTGTGTCTCTGACATCTCTCGGGATCCGAGAATTCCAATCTCGAAAAACTTCATTTTCTTTGTCAAATTCCCGTTCGTCTTCGCCAATGGTCACCGTAAACCTTTTCTCTTCAAAATCAGGCTCCTGTTCTTTTCGAATAGTTGCTTTTTTTAAAACCTACCATTGTAAGAAGAAAGAAGTCAACATGGAACAGAATACCGGGCGTCGCTGTTAGGAAACACAAAGGGAGCCGTCCCACCCGACCGCAGCAGCCCTGCAGGAGCAGGAGCTGCACGCTGCAAGTGCTCAAGGGGTGAGGGGCGGACACAGCACAGTTGTCCTTCTGGGGAGGGCAGTCTGTGCCCGTCTCTGCACAAACAGCTGCCCCCGGCCTCCGTGTGCCCACATGAGGTGTTCATCACTTCCTTCAACTACCCTTGGAACTAGATCCAGGGTTCAGTCACTCAGTGACAAGCAGCAGGTGGAGTGGCTGGAGTCTCAGAGGGAAGGAAGTGACATGCCGAGGGAGTGAGAAGGAACATCTTGTCCGTCATTTCCCAGCAGGGAGGCTGACCAGGAAAATGAGGAAGTGGGGCTGGGTGCCAGCAGAGTGGTCCCCAGAGCTGAAGCTCACACACTGGGGCCAACGTGGGCCTAGAGGGAGGAAGTGTGCAGTGATAGGACCAGAAAGCTCCAAGTTTTCTCCAGGAAGAGCAGACACTGAGTCTCAGGAGTGTGGGGTGCAGATCCTGGGGGTGCGGCTCGGGCAGCCTCGCCAGGCTTTCTGTGAGTGGCTGGAGACTGCACCCTGTGCTCCTGGGCAGTGCCAGCTGGGGTGTGGCCCAGTGCTGATCCAGCCCCATGAAGACAGTGGGTATGCCCTGGACTGAACTCCCTGGCCTACTGGGCTGCTGCCTGAGACAGTTAGATATAACTCTCCATCCTTCCGGGCCTGGTGGCGCATGCCTGTAATCCCAGCTACTTGGGAGGCCGAGCAGGAGAATCACATGAACCTGGGAGGCGGAGGCTGCAGTGAGTCGAGTTTGGGCCATTGCACTCCAGCCTGGGCAACAAGAGTGAAACTCTGTCTCCAAAAAAATAAATAAATAAAAAATAAAGAAAGACACCACAGAAACAGACGCCTAACTTCAGAGATTTCTGGGGCTCTCTCTGGACCGAGGAAATCCCAGTTTTGTCAAGAACCACTCCTGTAATAGCATCTTTCTTGTCGGGATTTCTGCTGAATTGTGTTTACCTCCTTTGCATGCCGGAGTCCTCGTTCCCAGGCACTCTCTGTTGGGGGCTCTGGAGGGGGTGGAGGCAAAATTTCATCAACTACCGGCCCACCCTATTGAAAAACGAGAAGGGAGAAGGTGAGAAAGTAAAACTTTCAAGTGTACAGAGAAACCAGACAGTAAAAACATCAACTACAACACAAGCCGGCCGTGTGTGGCCGCTCTCCTTCCACCAAGCCTCACTCCGTCCTCGGAAAGCCGAGGCCTGCTTCCACTCGGGACGACAGAAGCAGCCGAAAGGGGGCACTGAGCCTGTGCTAAGGCACAGTGACTTGTCTTAAGCTTGAGATTCAGACACAGCTCAGTTGGCTGATGTGCTAACAATGAAAGAAGAGGCATCACGCACCCAAGGGTTGGCGGGCATCAGCGGGTGAGGTCCGAGAGGCGGGGCACCATTAGGCGGGAAGGGGTCGGCTTTGGTGATTAGGGAGTAGTTCCCCTTGTCGTTCACTCCAGGGTGTATAAACCTACAATTCATTCCCCAGGTACAGTTCCCTATGGAAACAAAAGTGAGATCAGAAAGGGTCCACAAGAGCCTAATTGCACAAGGGCAGCTGCTGGGGTGGGGGGTGGGAGGGGGCAGAGGCCATGTTTACCCAGGCCTGATGGCGAGCCACACAGTAGTGGGAACTGAACGGGGAGGTGGGCGGGATGAGCCTGGAGAGGCTGAGCCAGACAGCTGCACCTGCCCAGGCACGGCAGTTCCCCAGAGGCTGCCAGGCACCTCGGTCAGAGTGACCACAAAGTCACTTTGTGGAGAGTTCACGCGTATCAACTGTCTGAGTATTAATTTTCCCCTTAAACCAGAAAAGCCCCAGAGCTTTGCTTCCAGCCCTGGCCCAGGCTCATCTAGGTACAACTGGATGTTAATTGTATTTGTGCCGAAACAGACATCAATGAGAAGCATTAACAATGATCAGAAGCCTGCAGGTGTGCTCAGGGTCCCCTTGGCCACCTCTGTACGTCTGCATTTCTCTCACAGAGAAAACTCTCACAGGGCATTTCAAGATATTTCTGGAACTGAAACGGGCTTTTACACTTTGCTCATAAATAACAATCACAAACCTTCATCTTCAACAGAATATCCGGGTTAGTAAAGGAGACCTCGACTTTCAAGTGTAGAATATAAGACATCTAAGTGTCTAACTCAATTACTGAGTGAATCACTTTTTTAAAATGTACTTTTTTGGGAATAGATAATGTGTACACATTGTTTAAAACCAAATATGGCATATAGTATCTAAGCGGTTTAAAAATTTTTTTCAATGGGTTAACATGCAGTTAGATTTTAAATCATTTAAAATTTTAACCTTAAACATCAGGAACACTTAAGCCTGCATTAAAACCAACTCAATACAACATAATAACAATATCGATCCAAATTAAACACGAAAGAAAACTTAAAACTGCTTCTCTGGAAATGCAAAAATGACAAGTAATTTTTAAAATTTCTAAAAGCATTTCAGAGATCACACATAAGTCAAACGAAGTTGGGAGGCCAGGCGTGGTGGCTCACGACGTCAAGAGATCAAGACCATCCTGGCTAACATGGTGAAACCCCGTCTCTACTAAAAAATACAAAAAATTAGCCGGACGTGGTGGCAGGTGCCTGTAGTCCCAGCTACTTGGGAGGCTGAAGCAGGAGAATGGCGTGAACCCAGGAGGTGGAGCTTGCAGTGAGCCGAGATCGTGCCACTGCACTCCAGCCTGGGCAACAGAGCGAGTCTCTCTCAAAAACAACAACAAAAAACAAAAGAGGTTGGGAAATGTTATTCTATAGGGGGTTCAAAAATCCAGAGCCTCAGAGAGATTTAAAGAAAAACTGACTATGCAGTCATCCATCTGAGACTCAACACACTACAGAGCTCTTCATGGTTTGCCTCTGAAAATACTCATGCAGTATTCAAAATCACGTGTGTAACTAAACAAGTAACAAAAGCTCATTGTAAAAAATGTCCAAGTACAGAAAAGTGCTGACAATAGAAACCACAGCTTTTCTGTACTCCTTTTCCTTTTTTTTTCAGATGGAGTCTCACTCTGACTGAGTGAGACAGTCCCAGGCTGGAGTGCAATGATGCAATCTCGGCTCACTGCAACCTCCACCTCCTGGGTGTCAGTGATTCTCCTGCCTCAGCCTCCTGAGTAGCTGGGATTACAGGCGGGTACCACCATGCCAGGCTAATTTTTGTATTTTTAGTAGAGACGGGACTTCACCAACTTGGTCAGGCTGGTCTCGAACTCCTGACCTTGTGATCTGCCAGCCTCGGCCTCCCAAAGTGCTGGGATTACAGGCGTGAACCACCACACTCGGCCTCTGTACTTCTTTTTCATCTAAAATATGTATCTGGGTGGTGGCTAAATGTTATCGTTCTTTTCTGTATTTATGAAAATTTTTAGGACATCACCTACGAACCTACTATCAAAAAAGATCCTTTCTCACTGATATTGGCATGGGGAGAAAAGAGGAACAAGGCAGAAGAGAACAAACCAGTGAGCGCCAAAGAGCAAGCTGAGAAGGCGAGCGTGGGGCTGCCACTAGAGACCAGACACTAGTGGGTGACAGTGTTCAGCTCTCGGGAGCCACCTGCCCGGGGGTGCTGAGCGCTGTCCTGCCCCTGGCCAGAGTAAAGGGGAAGATGGCTCTGGAAAGCAGCACAGTTGGTCTGCACGTCTAGCTGGGACACACTTCCAGCAGACGTCAGGCAGAAAGAACACCATTGTCCCATCTATCTTTTTAAAATGTGAACTTTTATCTGTGTAGGAACACACCCAACTGTCGGGAATGTGGGAAGGGGCTTTAGATTTTATTTTCTTGCCTTCTGCCAGCCCATATTACTTTCTTTCCTTTTTTTAATTTTTTTTTTTTTGAGATGGAGTCTCGCTCTGTTGCCCAGGCTGGAGTGCAGTGGAGCGACCTAGGCTCATTGCAACCTCTGCCTCACAGTTCAAGCAACTCTCCTGCCTCAGCCTCCCGAGTAGCTGGGATTACAGGTGTGCACCACCAAGCCCGGCTAATTTTTGTATTTTTAGTAGTGACAGGGTTTCGCCATGTTAGCCAGGCTGGTCTCAAACTCCTGAAGTCAGGTGATCCGCCCACCTCGGCCTCCCAAAGAGCTGGGATTACAGGTGTCAGCTACCGTCCCCAGCCTTACTTTCATAATTTAAAAAGCAATTTGTTAAAAAAAAAAAAAAAAAAAAGAAAGAAAGAAATTATCCAGAAAATAGAAGCAACAATAAAGATCTTCTGGTTTACAAATGGGACTTCAAACCCAAAATTTATGTGGATTGTGATTCTAACAGTATAAAGATAGTTCTGCGGATACTGTGTACACAGACATGGCCTCAGGCCAGAAGAGGACAAGGAGGGACAGAGGCCGCTGGAGCGGGGCGGAGGCGGCCCCTCCACTGCTGAAATGTCTAAGTACTATTTCTGGCTTCAAGACAGGATGATGGTCTTTTTCTTAACTGGAATGTCGGCACAGCAGCAACTGGTTTTTCTTTTGTTTTGTTTTTGTTTTTTTGAGATGGAGTTTTGTTCTTGTTGCCCAGGCTGGAGTGCAATGGCACAATCTCAGCTCACTGCAACCTCCGCCTCCCAGGTTCAAGTGATTCTCCTGCCTCAGCCTCCCGAGTAGCTGGAATTACAGGCATGCACCACCACGCCTGGCTAATTTTGTATTTTTAGTAGAAACGAGGTTTCTCCATGTTGGTCAGGCTAGTCTTGAGCTTGCGACCTCAGGTGATCCGCCCGCCTCGGCCTCCCAAAGTGCTGGGATTACAGGCATGAACCACCACGCCCAGCCAACTGTTTTATTCTCTTATTAATCTTTACGCTTGTGTAAACACTGTATTATTTTATATATATGAAATATTTCATAATCAAATGAAATACTTGTAAATAAAAAATACCCACCCACTCTAAAAGGTACACTGTGAAGTTGACCACCTATCCCATGCCTCCAGGGCCATTCCCAGAGGCAGTTATCAATATACTGGGGCTCCATCCATCAATCATTGCCCCCTTTTACCTGAGCATATATATTATGCTCTGTGCTGAACCTTGCTTTTTTTCACTAAACAATGTAACTACAGAAAGGGAACCTGCATGCTCAGTAGCAACCAACCCAAACTGGATCAGGGAAACAGACAGGAAACAGATAGGAAACATGGAAAATCCGGAAACTAAACACAGAGGTGGCAGGAACTGAGGCTCAGCTCATGCTCCAGCACAGCCCACACATGAAGTATCTTTAAATGTCTCTTCTGATTTTGAATACAGTAAATATCAATTCCCTGTGTTTACTTGGTTTATATGTGTCATTTCTATTGATACGTACGATATTAGAAATTAAGAGACACTTAAAGATATCTCATTATTTAACAATAACAAGATATCCAATATATAGTAACAAATATTTATGAAACTGTTTTTAAAATATTTGGTGAGAGGAATAGCATTCTTTGCCTTTTTGCGAATCTCTTGAATGCTGACCCTGGAAAACCCCTGGCCTCCCATCTGCATGCGATCGACCATGAAGGGCCGCTGTGGCTCAAGCAGGAGAGGACATTACAGCCCCAGGAAGAGATGCAGCTAGAGAGGGAGGGGCATCTAAAAGCCTTTTCAGTGTGCTCAGAGCTTCTCCCTGACACCGCACTCAGCAAGGGAAGGCTCCTTACAGCGAGCTGCAATTGAACCCTATCACCACACTTTTCCAACTTGGTTCTTCTGAAATCCATTGGTCTATCTTGAACTTTGAATGGGTCTTTTACCCAGGCATGATTCTGTGACATCCTGCAATGGTCACCTGAGAAAGTCCTGACACACTGAGAAGCTGGTGAGCACACAAAAGTCCAATTTTCAACTGAAAGCTCCAATTTTAATACTGCTAACACTGTCCGTTGTTCTCCTTGAAGCCACAGGCTCACTTTGTTCCTGCCAGGACCCGGATCTGCATTCCCTGGCATGTCTGCCAGTCTTTCTCATCAATGTGTGCTCCACGGAGAGCGCACAGGGTCAGCCGCAGCTCCAGCCTTGCACGTGCTGCCCCTTGAGGCCGCTGGACTTGGGTGCCGGCAGGGGCTCTACCCACGCTGCCACTCCACCACGCTGAGTACTGAGACACACACAGAAGCTCTGCTTTCTGGCTTTCCACAGTTTCAGTTACCTGCGTCTGAAAATACTAAATCGAAAATTCCAAAAATAATTCCTAAGTTTTAAATGATGTTCTGTGCTGAGCAGCGTGATGAAATCTTGTGCCGACCTCCTCTGCCCCACCTGGGACACGAATCATCCCTTTGTCCAGCAGATGCAAGCTGTCCACGACGCTAACTGCCCACTAGTCACTTAGCAGCCCTCTTGGCCAACAACCGTTGGGGGTACGGCGGTGCTGTGCTCACTGTGGCTCAGTGACCCAGGATCACTGGGGGCAGGTGACCTTCCTTCTGACGCATTGGCAGGAGGTCAAGGGGGGCCCAATGCTAAGTGGCAGGGCCTCCGTGTCATCATGCGAGCATATTTCATCCCACGTCATCAGATGGCTGAGTGGCTGAGTGCAGTAAAGTGAGCTCTTTTGAGAGATCACATTCACATTTTTATTACAATTGCTCTATTTTATGATTGGCTATTGTTGTTAATCTCTTACTGTGCGTAACTTATAAATTAAACTTTATCATAGGGATATGCTTATATAATCATGGAACTGTACACTTAAAATGGGTCAATTTCATGGCACATAAATATTACTTTAATAAAGTTTTTTAAAAAGAACTTACGAATAATAAAAATAAATAATACATCTGTACACAAGTGTAAGATTTAATTAAATTACAGTTCTTACTACTACAGCACAGACATGAAGTAAAGTGGCATTCGAAATGCCAGTGCATGGTGAATGCCTGGCTCAGCCTTACTGTTATTATAAATATAGTTTCGATTTGGGAGGCCAAGGCGGTCGGATCATTTGAGGTCAGGAGTTCGAGACCAGCCTGACCAACTGAAACACAAAATTTAGCCACTACTAAAATACAAAAATTAGCCAGGCATGGTGGCATGCGCCTGTAATCTCAGCTACTCGGGAGGCTGAGGCAGGAGAATCGTTTGAACCCGGGAGGTGGAGGTTGCAAGTGAGCTGAGATCACGCCATTGCACTCCAGCCTGGGCAACAGAGGGAGACTGTATCTCACAAAAGTAAAATAAAATGAAAGAAAAAGAAAAATAAATAAATATAGTTTTGACCTCAGGGTCCCCTGAAAGGGTCTCAAGGACTCCCAGGGGTTCACAGATGACACTCAGACCTGCTGCTTTAAACACAGTTTTGCAAGGATTCAAAACTGAGCAAAAGACATTTCTCCAAGAAGATACACAAATGACCTATTAAGCACATGAAAAAAGACACCCCACCACCCATCTTCAGGAAAGGCAGATCAAAACCCAGTAAGATATTACCTCCTACCCACTGAAATGGCTACTATCAAAAAAAAACAGAGAACAGAGTAATGGTGAGGACGTGGAGAAACTGGAAGCCCCCACACCACTGGTGGGAAAGTAAAATGGCACAGCCACTGTGGAAGACAGCTTGGCGGCTCCTCAAAACATGAAACATACAACCACCAGGTCATCAGCAACTCCACTGCCAGCGGCTCCGCAAAAGATGAAACACACAACCACCAGGTCATCAGCAACTCCGCTGCCAGCGGTTCCTCAAAAGATGAAACATACAACCACCAGGTCATCAGAAACTCCGCTGCCAGCGGTTCCTCAAAAGATGAAACACACAACCACCAGGTCATCAGCAACTCCACTGCCAGCGGTTCCTCAAAAGATGAAACACACAACCACCACGTCATCAGAAACTCCGCTGCCAGCAGTTCCACAAAAGATGAAACACACAACCACCAGGTCATCAGCAACTCCACTGCCAGGCACATGCGAAAGAGCTGAAAGCAGGGTCTGAAGAGATTTTTACGCCCACGTTCACAGCAGCTCTATTCACAATTGCCTAGAGGTGGAAACCACCCAAGTGTCCACCCACAGATGAGGGAAACACCCAATGCAGCTGCTCCACACTAACAAATATTGGTCAATCTTTTTTTTTTTTTTTGGAGACGGAGTCTCGTTCTGTTGCCCAGGCTGGAGTGCAGTGGTGTGATCTTGGCTCACTGCAACCTCCACCTACTGGGTTCAAGCGATTCTCCTGCTTTGGCCTCCCAAATAGCTGGAATTAGAGGTGTGCTCTACCACCCCCAGCTAATTTTGTATTTTTAGTAGAGACAGGGTTTCACCATGTTGAGCAGTCTGGTCTCGAACTCCTAACCTTGAGTGATCCACCCACCTCGGCCTCCCAAAGTGCTATGATTACAGGCATCAGCCACCGCACCTATTATTCAGTCTTAAAAAGACAGAAGGCCAGGTGCAGTGACTCACGCCTGTAATCCCAGCACTTTGGGAGGCCGAGGAGGGCAGATCACGAGGTCAGGAGATCGGGACCATCCTGGCTAACACAGTGAAACTCCGTCTCTACCAAAAACTACAAAAATTACCTGGGCGTGGTGGCGGGCGCCTGTAGTTCCAACTACTCAGGAGGCTGAGGCAGGAGAATGGCGTGAACCCAGGAGGCAGAGCTTGCAGTGAGCCGAGATGGTGCCACTGCACTCCAGCCTGGGTGACAGAGCAAGACTCCATCTCAAAAAAAAAAAAAAAAAGTATTCCACCACAATTTTAAAAAATTAGGGGGAGCACAGCCAAGGAGATCAGACCCAAAAAATGGACTGGGATGCTTGTTCACTGAGGGATAAATCAGAAGCCCAAAGTAGGGGCCGGGTGTGGTGGCTCACACCTGTAATCCCAGCACTCTGGGAGGCTGAGGTGAGCGGATCACCTGAGGTCAGGGGTTCGAGACCAGCCTGGCCAACATGATGAAACCCCATGTCTGCTAAAAATACAAAAATGAGTTGGGGGTGGTGGCAGATGCCTGTAATCGCAGCTACTCGGGAGTCTGAGACAGAAGAATAGCTTGAACCCAGGTGGAGGTTCCAACGAGCCGAGATCTCACCATTGCACTCCAGCCCGGGTGACAGAGCGAGACACTGTCTCAAAAAAAAAAAAAAAAGAAATAAAGAAACCCAAAGTGGGACACAGTTTAAAGAAGATGCTACTTACTCCTCTGTGGACAGAACTTTGTGTCCTGATGATCCAACACAGGCCCACGAGAGATAAAAACATCCCATGAAGAAGTACAGCTCCAGTTGTAGTGTATGTGCTGTGGAGCCGGGCAGGCGTACACAAAGCACTGATCTCTAAAATGTGAGCAAGGTGTGTTCCCAGTGCATTTTGCTGTCATTTGGTCACAAATCTCAATGTGTCCACTAAGCGATTAAATGATTAATCTCTATATCACAACGTGTCGGAGATAAAGCTAAGAGAGGCCTGAGCAGTGGCTCATGCCTGTCATCCCCATACTCTGGGAGGCTGAGGTGGAAGGATTGCTTGAGCCTAGTATTTGAGACCAGCCTGAGCAATATAGTGAGATCCCATCTCTACAAGTAATTTAAAAAAGAAAGATGAGCTCTTGCAATGTTGCCCAGGCTGGTCTCTAACTCCTGGGCTCAAGTGATCCTCCCCATTCAGCTTCCCAAAGTGCTAGGATTCCAGGTATGAGCTACCATGCCCAGCCACCGACTTTTTTCTAAGAAAAGAATTTTCTAATTGTGACACAATTCACATAACATAAAATACTCCCATTTAATGTGTACAATTCACTGGTTTGCAGTATATTCACAAAGTTGTGTAAGCATCACCACTAGCTAGTTCTAGAACATTCCATCACCCCAAAGAGGAAATCCTGTACTCACTAGCTATCACTCTCCACCCCCAGTCCAGGCAACGAGGAATCAATCTACTTTCCGTCTCTGTGGATCTGTGGCCTTCTGTGCTCCCTTCTGTCACTCAGCACGTCTTTAAGGCTCGTCCACATTGTGGCATGAGTCACAATCTACTTTCTGTCTCTGTGGATCTGTGGCCTTCCGTGCTCCCTTCTGTCACTCAGCACGTCTTCAAGGCTCGTCCACGTTGCGGCGTGAGTCACAATCTGCTTTCTGTCTCTGTGGACCTGTGGCCTTCTGTGCTCCCTTCTGTCACTCAGCACGTCTTCAAAGTTTGTCCACATTGTGGCATGAGCCAGTGCTTCATTCCCTTTATGGCCAAGTAGCATTCCACTGCATGGACAGGCCACACTTGTTTATCCATTCCTCACTTTTTGGGTACCTGGGTTGTTTCTCTTTGGTTACTGGAAATTATGCTGCTGTGAACATTAATGCACAAGCTTTCACATAAATGCACACGTCCGTTTCTCTTGGCTGCATACCTGCAGTGGAACTGCTGGGTCATACAGTGGGTACCCGGGAGCTTCTGAGGAACTGTTTCCTAAAGCAGCTGCACCGTTTTACCCTCTCACGAGCAGTGAATGAGGGCTCCAACATCTCCATATCCTTGCCAACACAACAAACTTCATTTTGTTTTTAAAATAACTTGTTGTTATTGGAGAGATCATAAACTGAAGAATTTCAATTTCATATAAACTGCAGGTAGGCAGAAACATTTAAGTCCAAATTTCTCATAACAAAGCAGCAGCAGAAGACATGATCTAGAAAACGGTAAGAATCAGCCACTTCCTCTGTACCGTATCACCTCACTCTACAGAATAAAAACACTTCTGAAATGAGTTATTGATAACACCTGATTAAGCCGCAAAAATGCTGCCTTATCTAGCTTCTGACTTTTTTTTTTTCAAGAGACTGAGTCTCACTGTCGCCCAGGCTGGAGTACAGTGGCACGATCATGGCACAACTGCAGCCTCAACTTCCCAGGCTCAAGTGATCTGCCCCTGTCAGCCCCCACCCCCCACGTAGCTGGGACTACACATGCGTGCCACCAAACCCTGCTAAGTTTTCATTTTTTGTAGAGACAAGGTCTCACTATGTTGCCCAGGCTGGTCTCAAACTCCTTTCTTGACTGTAGAAACCCTTCCACATGGTCTCACTTGCTGAAACCCAAACTCAGTACTTAGTCTAACTTTGGGGGCACCACCTTCCAATTCTGACCAACCCACGTGATGTGCAAGGAGACAGGATCCTGTCTGTGTTCATCCAGGCATCTCCCAATGAAGGGAATGAAGAGTTCCAGTAACCATCTCTCTGTCTGTTTTGTGCTTCTGTTGTTAAATTCTGGAATTAGCTCAGCAGTGAGCCCTGGGCTCCTGGTCCAGAGTCTCCCTGCCCTGGTGGATGCTGCAGCCTCCTGCAGTTGGAACCATCAGGCCAACGCCGACTGGCCGGTCAAGCTTCCCAGTCACACTGCCACCCAGAGACCAGAGCACTGCACTGTGATGGGTGCTGATTCAAAATGACTGCAAATGTGTACACGTACATGTGTACAGATTGTTCTCCATCACTTTCATACAGAAATTTGAGACACTGATGTTGTTAATTCCCACACTATTATGGAAAAGAGGTCTTCTGCTTAAATTCCAATTTCTTTAAATACTGACACTGTGAATACCAAAGCTTTTCCAAAACGTACCGCACATTTCTCTGCATTCTTAGGTGTGTCTGTGACAATCTACGGCTCTAAGTCTGCTGCCCTCACAGGCTCTCCCCAGTAGGGGCCCCTCACATGCACGTGTGACTTGGGCACGTCAACTGTTTTTGCTTGGCAAAACCAAGCAAGCACACACCCACAGGAGCGAGCCTAACCCGGGGTTCCCATGAGCCCCACATCATCAGGTCATCTCTTGCACAGGGGCGTTCCCGGCTGCTCTAAGAGCACAGCCTGCCTCTGAATGATGGGACTCCGCCACACCCCAAGGGTGTGTCCTGCCTGTCCCCGATGCTCGACTGGCTCACGTGCCTCTAAGGAGGAGGTTCCGAACAGCTCTCTGCCCCTCAAAGACCCCCTTTCCTTCTGGCTTCACAGCTGTGTTCTGGATCCAGGAGAAGGAAGTCTGGCCTCTGGAGTAGGGGGACTTTAAGGTACTGAAGAGAGTGAATATAGCGTATTTTGTACCTTTAACCTGGCCTCTGAATGGTATGGAATTGGATATTGGTGGAAGAAGAGTGGATAATGGTGTCACAACATCTGGAAAAGAAGTACAGGAAGCTCTTGTGAGCTTTAGATGGCACACACAGGCTGGCAGTGACAGTCATCTATGGGCTTACAGCAAAATTAAGAGAAAAGAGAAAAACACCTTCCTACCTTTCCAAGGGGAACGCTGAATTACAAGAAATATGCCAAAACTACTGCTGCACATCAAAGATACCCTTACAAGTTGGAAATTCTCATTTCCATTTCCGAATCCCCCAAGACATTAAGCAGCGAAACAAAAAGCCCTAACATCATCAGGCTAGAGTTCTGCCACATTTTAAAATGGGTCAGCCCAGACTTTTCTGACACTTTCTTACACTGTCCCCTGCTGCAGCTCCTGAACTCACACCATTCCTTCTACAGGAGAGAGCCCTGCTGCCTTCAGCGGCCATCTCTGGCCATTTCGAAATCCATTCCACACGAACAAACGCTTCGGACACATCTTGCAGGAAAAGCGGCCATCTCTACAGAGGTGGGGAAAATGCTAATTCTGGTGTCTAGAACATTCGGCCTTATGAAAAGGACCACTTTGAAAAATGACTGATGCCATCTGCATTATAGTTATGGGTCTGCTGCGATCGGAAGGGCCTGGGACCACCAGTGTGAGAATGAGAATGACCAGGCTGCTCCCACCAAGGCAGTCATTAAAGTGATAAAAGCACCAATAAAAGGGCCTATTGTTTACCATCAATATTGCCACCACCACCACCACCACCACCACCACCACCTAGCCAGTAATGCCCAGAGAACTGCCTTGAGCAGAGCAGGGCCTGGCAAGGTGAGCCAGCACCACAGCCCCAGAAGGTGGGGCCCCAGCTGGCTGCGAGAAGGCCTCACACGCAGACAATTACCTTTCATGAAGAACCGGCAGGTGGGACGAGGCCTCACCTTCCTGTCACTGGGGTCCTTCACTTCACCTTCTTCCAGGTCATCATCCTGAAACAGAGAACACCGTCTTAGCGTGGGGGAGGCATCTATCAATCAGCACTGCTTTCTCCAAACCAGAAGGGGCAGGAAGCTGCGTGTGGAACCTGGATATTGTCACAGGAATTGAATTCACGTCAATTTTCCAAATCTTAGGTCCCAGATCTACATAGCAGGGATGATCAGAGCGTGCCCGGCAGCTCTAAGCATCCCGCCACAGCACCAGGGAGAAGCACTGTGCAGCACACAGGGCAATTTACAGAGTGGGCTTTCGTGACATTTCTCTTAACTATCAACTCTGGGCAGGAAATAGTAACACTTCGGGGTTTTAAAACTTTTAACATTTAAATAAAATATGGAGAACAAAATATTTTATGTCCCTTAAACACAAACATCCTCTAATTTACAATTCTTGGGGAGGGGAGGAGTTGGGTGCCTCAGGGCAGTGATGCCAGCAGTTGGGAGTGGCCCGCCTTGAGGCTCATCCTCAACCAGCTCCTCACCCTGACTGTCAAGTCTTAGAACAACCCAGGAGCTCTAAGCTGGGCCTCACCCACAGGGACTCGGGTGCACAGCCAAACCTGACCCTTGCTTGGTGCTCTCCCCAAGCCACCCACTGTCCCAGGGCCTGTTCCCACGGACGTGCAGCTGAGACCCCTCCTTACACCACCCCAGCCCACGTGGGCACCAGCTGCCCACCTGACATCCCTGACACAGGACCATCCAAGATGGAAGTACTCGTCAGCCTGATCCCGGCCTCTTCCAGCCAGCCCTAGCGTAACCAATCTCACCGGTCCCATGTGGCCCCTCTTGATCCCCCTCCCCATCTCCTGCAATCTGCACCACTGCCCATCACACCCAGCCTGGTAAAACCACTTTCTAACTGACCTCTCTCATTCCCTCCTCAACTCCTCCAGTCTCGCTTCACAGTGTGAAGCGCCCTTTTCCAGTTCCAGGCCTGACCGCGTTCTTCCCTCTCCTCTTCCTGATTATTCAACTTACTTTCAGATGGAAGCTTGAGTCCCCTTCCTTGGGGTGGCCTTCCCTGAGCTCCCCCTACGACAGGTCCTTGCAGCCCCAAGCCCTGCAGGTGTTGCAGCCACACCTGAGCACCCTTGTGTTGACGACACCACCACCTGCCTGGCTGAACCCTGTGCCCCACCAGGGCAGGCCCACGTCTGCCAGGGCAGGCCCATCGCCAAGTTGCTGGGCCCAGGCAGCATCTGGCTCACAGTAAACAGTCCGTAATTATCTGTTGAATGAAAAAATGCTGAAACCAAACCCTGGATTTACGACAACCTAAACTTTCACAGCTTAAATATTTGCATCATTTTTTGCCTCAAAGATATCTGGTTATTAAAAAGTATTTTATAAGGAAAAGAACAGATTCCTGAGAGTTATATCCCTTAAGTAATCCAGCAGAATCACTTTTTAAAGAAATGATCAAACATAACAAATTAAAAAAAGAAATGATCAGAGAAGGCATGTTTAATTTATGCCAAGTGACAGGATGTCTCTCTTCTCTGGTCTTTTAGTTTGTGTCTTCTTTTTACTACTATTCTTACAGTAATGAGCACCACACTAAAATCTCAACGTGGTATTCTATGTAAGCTCAAATCTAAGTGGAGAACACATTCTTTGTTCCCATGAGAAAAACAAAACTCATTTGGAAAGTTCGAATCCATTCCAATCTTCCTGCCTTACTTGGAAGTGAGCGTGTAGGAGATGAGGTGGTGAGAAGGGTTTTTCCCGCATCAGGATGAATAGGAAACAAACTAGATCAGATGTAGCATTGTTTCTGCAAAGATGTAACCACCAACATTCACAGAAGCAAAAAAGGAGAACAATGTAACCACCTTAAGATTGGAGGGAGGACCCTGTAGCTACTAAAGGTGATCGGTAAACAGACCAGAGTTGCATACTGAAGGTGCGAGACATCATTTCAACCCAAAGAACACAGACTAGCACCTACACACTGACCCCAGTCACCCAGCCTCTACACCCGCAAGGACCAGGGGCTGTACATATTGGTGTGCTGGGCTTATGGCCCCTTTCAGTTAAAAAATCAAACAAACAAAAATAATCCACCAATCACTCAGCAATATAATATTGTGAATTTTCAACTAACCACCATTTAGCACAATGGTCTTTTAAATAATGGATGATTACCATGCTTTTTTTTTTTTTTTGGAGACAGAGTCCTGCTCTGTCGCCCAGGCTGGAGTGCAGTGGCACGATCTCGGTTCACTGCAACCTCTGCCTCCCGGGTTCAAGCAATTCTCTTGCCTCAGCCTCCTGAGTAGCTGGGATTACAGGTGCCCGACATCACGCCTGGCTAATTTTGTTATTTTTAGTAGAGACGGGGTTTTGCCATGTTGGCCAGGCTGGTCTTGAACTCCTGACCTCAGGTGATCTGCCCGCCTTGGCCTCCCAAAGTGCTAGGATTACAGGTGTGAGCCACCACGCCCAGCCTCCGTGCCCAATTTTTATTCTTACTTTATATGTGTAAATAACAAAATATTTAACCTCCCAAAATAAATAAACAAATCACTAAATAATGGATAATTAAAACAAGTTCTTAAATTTTAGAATATCATGCAAAGACAACTCAAGACAGGGACCCAGAGCTGAAGTCATCTGAGATTGTCACACTAAGTGTCTGCCACGCAGGAACTCCGGGTCTCCTGGTTTCCCTCACGCCGATGGCCTTCTGCTCATGTGACCCGAGCCACAGAGAGTAGGAAGCAGAGGACAAGGAGGGGCCTGAGTGGACCAGCTAGCTACAAATTGGCCTAAAAACGGATGGTGCCCGTGGGGCTCTCAACACACACCACCTGGGACAGGCCAAGTTGACGTGGACACTGAGGGTGAGTGTGAGGAGACACACAGGCCTCAGTGCACCCATCTGAAGCCGGGTCTCCACGCTGGCACACTCCTGCTGGTGCTTTCTCACCACAGGGGAAATACACACGTGGATAAAGGACACCAGGCTGAGGGCATCATCTACTCCAATTTTAAGAGCCTTTATAAAATTCACATGCAGTGGGGGAAAAGGCCCAGGTTCAAATCCTGGGTCCAGGCTGTCATGACTGTGAGTGTGGACAGGTCACCTGATCTGCAAAAGTCACCTGATCTGCAAAGCTCGCCTTCCCCTTTGCACCACGGGGCAAGTGCCCCAGAGCAGGGTGATGTGGGCTGAAGGAAAATGCTGCACCGTGCTTAAAACATGAGCAGCAAGTGCTCAGCAAGCGCGCCTGAGTCCTCCATTTCAAAGGAAACGCCTCACTGGTAACGTGCTAAACAGGACTAACTCAGAGCAATGACACAGGGGATTTTCGCTTTCTTCTTTGTGCAGCCTTTTCTTTTCCTTTCTTAAATAGAAAGAACACTGTGAACATGTATTACTTACACAACAAGAAAAAAGTTATTTCACACTGGAGCTTCTGTACAAAGGCAGATGCAGATAAGGAAAGGGGGCCACTGCGTGGAGCTGCTGTGCCAGAGGAAGCCGAGCAGCCGGGCCCCGGGCCCAACCTGGCACGGCCACTCAGGCCAACCACAACCTCCTGAATCCTGGGCATCTTGTCTGCAGGATGTGGGTGAAAATACGGGTCTATCATTCCTTAACTGAAACCTGTGGGGCCAGGTGTCTTGAGAATTCAGAAATATTCTGGCTTCAGAAAGGTGACAACACAGGGTCTAAAACGGTAGCCTGCGAGGTACACAGCAATCCTGTGCAGAGGTCTCGGGGACCCTCCCACAAGAGGGGAGGCAGGAGGCTATGAGCAGCCTCACGCCAGCTTGGGCCAGGTCTGCCACCAGGTGAGGAAAAGGTTTCAGTTCTCAGAGCTTCTGAGGCCTCAGAGCTGTAAGGACGGTGGCCTGCGCTTTTTCATGTGGCTATGTGGAACACTAACCACGCTAAGGGGCACAGAAGGTCTCTGAGCCTACTACTGATGCTACGGGGCCCTTTTTCCAAGTGTGGTACAGGCCGCTGCTTCCTGGGCTTTGGCAATAGAATGGGCGCACTTGGCACCTTATCAGTGACACGGAAGAGAACCCCACTTGAAGTGGAAACCCACAGCCATGAGGCTCGCTGAAGAATCTTCTGCAGAAGAGCTCATGGATCCAGACATAAAAGGCGGGTGGATCACGAGGTCAGGAGGTCAAGACCAGCCTGGCCAAGATGGTGAAACCCATTTCTACTAAAAATACAAAAATCAGCTGGCCGTGGTGGCGGATGCCTGTAATCCCAGCTAATCGGGAGGCTAAGGCAGGAGAATCGCTTGAACCCGGGAGGCAGAGGTTGCAGTGAGCCAAGATCGCACCACTGCACTCTGGCCTGGGCAACAGAGCAAGACTCCATCTCAAAAAAAAAAAAAAAAAAAAAAAGAAAAGAAAAAGGAAAGGTGGATTTAAACAGGAGAAAATATTAAAGACCATGTGCAAAGAAAATGTTCCAAAAGGTGGACTGAGAGCTACCAATTATGACAGGAGTCATGTGGCCCACCCACTCAGGACAGGGCCCACTGCGCTGCTGGCTGACTAGGAGGCCACCCTACAAATGTAGGAGGTCCTCAATAAGAGGAGAATGGAACAAAATGGGAACCCTATCCTTTCCAAGGGCCAGTGTGCTCCAGGTGACGGAAGGCCTGCTAATCAAATGTCAAGTCAGATATAAACACGGAACATGGAGTGAGCAAAAGAGCGGGCAGACAGACCCAGGCCAGGCCTCTCAACTGTAACGGCAAATCAGAGCCTCGCCAGGCTGGAAGGAGCTTGTCATCTCCCAGCAGGAAAGGTGGTTCTGGGGAGAGACTAGACGTGCAGGAGAAAGGAGAGGCTGCCACATGGCATGAGTGGGTCAGGGTGGGCTCCACGCACTCTTTGGACGGCAGGAGCATAAAAACAAGGCCTGCTGCACCCAGCTCTCTTCCATGCCGCTTCCTGAACAGGTAAGAGACCGGTGACTGAAGGTCAGCTGGTGTCAGGGACGCCCTCACCCACACCACAAATGAGCCAGGTGCTGCAAACTGCTGGTCCCAGCCCTGTACGGAAACTTTCCACCCCACCACGCAGGCCAGCGGCACTTCCAGAAGATACTTGCATCAGGGGGTGTTCTGGCAGCATACCAAACACAGATTCAAGGCCTTAGGCACAAGCTATGTGGTTTAAACAATTTCAAGGGCTTATTGTACAAATTGATGTCCCGATCAAGGAAAGTGTACCCCATAATCAGTTCACCTGTCCCAGTGACCCAAAATCTAAAAGGGACATGTGCCCTGAGAGAAGAGAAAGCGCTTCTGAAAAAGAATGATAAATCAGGCCAGGGACAGTGGCTTGGCACTTTGGGAGGCCCAGGTAGGAGGATCACTTGAGGCCAAGAGTTCAAGACCAGCCTGGGCAACATAGTGAGACCCCATCTGTTTTTTAAATTAAAAGCAACAAAAATTAAAAATCAAAACTAAGAAAAAGAGAAAAGAATGCCAAATCAAACGGCTCTCTAGACTTTGCCATTCAATCCTTCCAGGTATCCAGTAGACCAGGGTGCCAAGGGGTAGGCCACGAGGCTGCAGGCATGCAGGGAAAGCCTCTAGGCGAATCAGTCCCTCTCCTGACTGGGCCGGTAAGACCCTGCTGGGACCTGGAATGCTATGAGGCCTCAGAAACATCCATTTGCGAAGGTACAGGCCAAAGAGAGTAATTCTTCCACAGAGAAACATCTGGGTAGTAGACGTGACACCAGGGCTCTACTTGAAAGCAACGAGAAAAATGTCTTCTAGAACGGACACTTTGCACCACACGCAGAGGCTGCTTTCCAGGGACTGAAAGGAAAGGGGACCGGGCGAAAGGCCTGGTGGGAAGCTGACTGCTCACGGACCCGGCGCACCCCAGGGCTCCCAGTCCATCAGAGAAACCCAGCTAGAGACAGGGAGCAGGGCGCGGGGCAGGAATGCAGCAGGGCCTCTGAGAAAGAGGCAGGCACAGGAGGTGGGCTTGGTGGAGATACGGCAGAGATGCAAGAGTGGACGACAGGCTTGGAACTGGGCCTGAGAGGAGGAAAAAGCTGGAAGCAGCCGGAGCGGCAGCTCTTCATGCACAGGATGGCGTGGCGCGTACCTCTGCTGGGTCCTTCCCACAAGGGTGGAGGGCTGATGCTGCTCACGTGAACTCCCTTCCATCTGTGACTGGCTCTTGAGCGTGGACCTTCCACTCACTGCCACTTCACATTACAAAGGTTCTCACCTTCAATGTGCCCCGGGCAAGTAGGATTCCTCTACTGACTGGCTGCCCACTATGTGCCAGGCCCCAGGGAGATAGGGGAACCAGCCAGGTAGCCCCCAGTCTTAGGAAACATGTTCTTGGGAATAGGGGAAGCAGCAGGCAGAGACATATACATATACACACACACACACACACACACACACACACACACACACACACACACACACACAGATGAACCTGTGTCACGACAGAGAGGCAGAGGCAACAGAGAAACAGCCTACGCAAATGCTGAGGTTGACACATAAAGGATGGAGGAGCCTGAAACGCTGCTGGGCGTGGGAACAAGAGGAGACCACGGGGGCTCCTGGGGCAAGCAACCCAGGGGCCTGAAGTCAAATGTGCTCTTGTAGAGGCTGAACCCACCATTCACAGCACTGCCCACCTTGGTTAAAGGCCTGCTGCCCCCACAGCAGGAGCGGGCTCTGCTCCGCCCTGCCCAGTCACACTCAGCATGTGGCACAGCAAGGTCCACCTGTGCTGGTGTCCAGGAGCACAGACCTATGGGGGATGTGGGGCGCTGGAGGCAGTCTGTGCGGTGGAAGAAACCTGCCTCCCCGTTTGCCAAGGGAGCTGTGCTGGGGTTTCCACAGCAGCACTCCGTTTTCAACTGTGGGTCCCCTCACAAGACGGTGCCAGGCAGGGCAGGCAAGGTCTAGGTAGGCAAAAATGGCAAATGGGGTTTTTCTTCCATGTGCTGTGTCTAGGGGAAACCAGCATGTCCAGGCCCTTGGCAGCCAGGGCCATTCTCCAGAGCAGCTGGACCCATCTACCGCACCGCCCGCGCCCATGGTGCGGCACTGAGAACTCACAGTATGCTCCACAGACATGGCCTTTCAGGACCACTATGGGGACCCTTGATCCGTCTGATGAATCTCCCCCAAGACTTGAGGGTCTGCAGCCAGTCCTCTTAAGAGGAACTAGAGCACGCCAGAGCCCTGGGTGCAGGACCTGCTGCACTCCCAGTGGTGGTGCAGACAGGGCTGTTACCCCCAGGACACAAAAACTCAGTCTCATGGGCATCCTCAACCCAACCAGCTCCCCCAGCTGATGAACCTGAATCTCACCGTCTCTCCTTTCCCTCTGCCAGCCCTGGGGTAGGTCTCCTCTTGCAAAAAGCACTAGCTGAGGAGACCACTTCCTACACTTCGCTGCGGAAAGATGAAACATCTAAAATTCTCAGCTTGCAGGTGCACACACGTCCCGTAAAGTCACATGAGCAATACTTCAAACCCTATAAATTACTGAGCAGTGCCACA
Source organism: Homo sapiens (assembly GCF_000001405.40). Lineage (NCBI taxonomy): Eukaryota > Metazoa > Chordata > Mammalia > Primates > Hominidae > Homo > Homo sapiens. The sequence continues at coordinate 88,579,070 of NC_000016.10, read as the reverse complement.
GAGAGCAGCGATGGCCGGAAAGTCATATCCAAACGTGCATTGAGAGCACGCACGCCAGCATGCTACTGGAGAAGCATGGCACCCGCCGGGCGTGGTGCCTCACGCCTGTGATCCCAGCACTGTGGGAGGCTGAGACGGCCGGATCACCTGAGGTCAGGAGTTTGAAACAAGCCTGGCCAACAGGGCGACACCTCATCTCTACGAAAAATACAAAAATTAGCCAGTGGTGGCGGGCGCCTGTAATCCCAGCTACTCAGGAGGCTGAGGCAGGATAATTGCCTGAACCTGGGGGTAGAGGCTGTAGTGAGCTGAGATGGCGCCACTGCACTCCAGCCTGGGTTACAGGGTAGACTCTCTCTCTCAAAAAAAAGGAGCATGGCATTCAAGGCAAACCGGCGGTTACACATCTAACTGGCAGCCTTTACCTGCCTCAACCCAGAGCATGACATCAGAGAGATACTCTCGGCAGACACTCTTCACCGCAATGACTCCCCATAAGCACAATCCCCTTCCCCAGGATCTTTCAAAAAAAAAACAACAAAAACCCAGTTCAGTTCAACTGCTCTGTCCCTTGCTCACCTCCTTTGAGTTCAATAGCTCCGGCAAGTATCACTCAGGAGGACTTTGGGGTGTTTCTCCCGAAACACTCATAGTTTTTCCAACGGCATCAACTGCTAAGAAAACCCCACCTACCCATACCTAGGATCATAGATAGTACTACCTTCCCCTCAACCTGAAGGCCACATTAATTTAATGTACAAAAAAGTGTGCTGGCTTTGTCAGAAGTTGAGGTGCCCACCACAGTCTTTTCAGGGATATGTCCAAAGAGGCCTGGCCCAGCTGGTGCCCTCTCCAGAGGTCAGGCTCTAGGACCAGCATAAAAATGCCTAAAACATCCAAAACCAGATGGAAAATTTCCTCATTCTTTTCAGTCCAAAAACCTGACAAGAGTGGAAACCCACGTGGTTTCTGGTTGAGTGTTAACTTGAGTATCACTTGAAGACGGCAAAGACAAGGACAGACATTAACCCTTCATTCCTAGAACCTAAAAACACTGGGCGCTGGACCTTTCACTACAACCCAAACAATCCCACCAGCTGGCCGGCCGAGGGCCACGGAAACCCTGCTGGCAGCTTCTGGAGCTGCCTCTGCTCATTCTCGATTTCTGGCTCTTTCTCTCCAATCACTATGGGACTGAACCCAAAACAAGCCTCTCATTCTCCTGCACCATCCCTAGTAACAAATCACTAAGTCAGTCCCACACAGAGTCCCTCCTTTCCAGCACCAGTCTATGTCAGGCTGCTGGGCAGGATGCCCCGCGACGCTCTGCTCCATCATACTCACGTCTATTTCCCCATCATCGATTTCTCCATCATCGTCCTCTTTCTTTTTCTCCTTGGCAGCCTCCAGGGATTCCTTTTCTCCCACACTCTGAACACCAGCCTTCCCCTCCTCCCTGGGAGTGCCTTCGCCTTTCTCCTCATCATCCTCAGCCCCCGCTTTCTCAGCCTCGTCCTCCTGGACGGCGGGAGCTGGCTCCTCAGGAACCTCCTCATCGTAGTCTAGCTCATGCTCATCCAGCTCCCTGGTGACTGAGGAGGCCTCATCCCTAAGGTCGCTTGTCCGGTCTTCCTCCCCTTCGTCCCCCTCCTCCTCGCAGGGGGAGCTGGTCGGGCCCCGGCTCAGCTCATTCACCTCTGAGTCCTGGTCTTGGGATTTAGGCTCACTTGCCCGGTCCTCCTCGTCGGAGTGATTATCTTCCTCCTCCTGGCTCGGCCCCCTGGCTGCACTTTCCTCATCCTCCAGATCAGAAGCCCTCACCCCCGCCCCGTCCAAATCCTGATCGGACCCGCTGTCCCTCAGAATGTCATCGTCCGAGAGTCCCTGTGGCTGCTCTTCATCCTCTGGAGAGTGAGGATCCCGTTCAGGGCTCTCGGCCACATCCATCGGTACCCACGGTTCTGCAAAAGAGAGAATACAGATTGACAGCCTTTAGCAAAATGGAAAACAAACCTTGTCCCTACTTTCCTGGCCTGAAGCAGCAGGACTTCCATCCTGCTTGGTCCCACACGGCCCTGCCCCAAATCCCACACTCCACTCTGCAGAGAAAGACAGGCCATAACTCCACTCCACAAGGCTAGACTGCTCAGCTAAGCTGGGTGTTAAGTGCCTCCCGTTTTTGGCAATCTGGCAAAATGAGATGTGGCAGAAGGAGACGCAGCCTGGCCTAGCCCTTCCCCGCTCAAGGGCAGCCCACACGAGTTAACAGAAAGTGAGTAACGATACGGATCGCAAAGGACAGCTGTGTGAATTCTTAGAGGAGTATTTACTTTTGAAATTAAAGATAAACTGTATCATGGAACGAGGAAGCAAAACTGCAGGCCCAGATCTCACCATTTTTCTGGAGTCATCCTGAAGCAGGAACCTGGGCCAGCCTTCGGCAGTGTCCAAGTCTGGAGCCTTTTCTGTTACTGAACACACTTCTCGAAGGCCAGCCTCTGAGGGCCTCCGAGAATCCCTTGGCTGCCCTTTAGCAATGCAGGCTCAGAGCCCTGCCTGCGTGTTCACTGGCCCCTCCAGCAGGTGTCGAGAGGGCTGTGTTCACCCGCTCAGCAACTCACACTCCTAAGTTGAGAACCCCTCTTCCCATACAGGTAGCTGCTGTCGAAAAGAACTCTGGCAGGAAACTTGACACACTTAAGTACCGCGCGTATGTAAAAGACGAGGCTGGCCAGGTACGGTGGCTCGCATCTACAATCTCAGCACTTTGGGAGGTTGCAACGGGAGGATCATTTGAGCCCAGCAGTTCGAGACCAGCCTGGGCAACATGGTGAGACCCTGTCTCTGTAAAAAAAAAATACTAAAATTCAGGCCAGGCGCGGTGGCTCACACCTGTAATCCCAGCACTTTGGGAGGCCCGAGGCAGGTGGATCATGAGGTCAGGAGATCGAGACCATCCTGGCTAACACGGTGAAACCCCGTCTCTATGAAAAATACAAAAACTTAGCTGCACGTGGTGGCAGGCGCCTGTAGTCCCAGCTATTCAGGAGGCTGAGGCAGGAGAAAGGCGTGAACCCAGGAGGTAGAGCTTGCAGTGAGCTGAGATCGCGCCACCGCACTCCAGCCTGGGCGACAGAGTGAGACTCCGTCTCAAAACAAAAACAAAAACAAACAAACAAACAAAAACTAAGTCACAGAGTGTGGTGGTGCGTGCCTATATTCCCAGCTACTTGGGAGTCTGACGCAGGAGGATCGCTTAAGCCCAGGAGGTGGAGGCTGCAGTAAGCCAAGACTGCATCAATGTGCTTCAGCCTGGGCAACAGAGTGAGACCAATCTCCAAAAAAAACTCAAAAAACAAAAAAAGACGGGGTCACTTCAGACTTCATTCCTATTTTTACTAATCCAGATTAAATTATAAAGTTAATATTTTCGAGTTTCCCTCCTCAAAAACTCATAGAAAGTACACTGCTACCCATGCTTTAAAAGTGGACGGTGTTAAGACGGGTAGGAAGGTGTAGAACGGCAACACCTGCCTGGCAAACACTTGCCACACCACCACTACCAGGGCAGCTAGTCACCACCAAGTGAGTGTGGAGCAGCAGGGACAGTGCCAGGTCAGCGGTCACTTGACTGTTCAGTCTGTGAGGCTGTTAAAATAACGTATGTCACGGTCACACTGCTCGGCATCTCGGCAAGGTCTGGAAACAGATTATTCATCTCAAGATAACTACGGACGCAGCAAGTCATACACATACACATTTATATGTCTTGTATCTCAAATAACCATACACACTAAAGATAAAAATATTCATCTTTTAAATTTATACTTTTAATACAACCTGTTTAAAGATGCACAGTATCAAGAATTGGTATCAACCTACAGTTAAACATTTTTTTTTTTTGCTGTTAATGGAAATCATTAAGATTAAGTACACATTAGAGGCCGGGCACGGTGGCTCACGCCTGTAATCCCAGCACTTTGGGAGGCCGAGGCGGGTGGATCACGAGGTCAGGAGATCGAGACCATCCTGGCTAACACGGTGAAACCCCGTCTCTACTAAATATACAAAAAATTAGTCGGGTGTGGTGGCGGGTGCCTGTGTTCCCAGCTACTCGGGAGGCTGAGGCAGGAGAATGGCGTGAACCCAGGGGGCGGGGCTTGGAGTGAGCCGAGATCGCGCCATTGCACTCCAGCCTGGGCGACAGAGCGAGACTCCGTCTCAAAAAAAAAAAAAAAAGATACATTAGAACAAATTGGTCAGGTGCGGTGGTTCATGCCTGTAATCCCAGCACTTTGGGAGGCTGAGGTGGGCGGATCACTTGAGTCCAGGAGTTCTAGACCAGCTTGGGCAACATAGCAAAACCCCATCTCTACCAAAAAAAAAAAAAAAAAAAAAAAAAATTAGCTGGGTGTGGTAGGGCACCTGTCGTCCCAGCTACTTGGGAGGCTGAGATAGGAGGATCACCTGATCCTAGGAGGTTGAGGCTGCAGTTCAGCCTGGGTGACAGAGTGAGACCCTGACTCAAACAAAAAACAAAAAAGCCAAAAAAACCCAAATCTGGCCAGGCGTGGTGGCTCGCGTCTGTAATCCTAGCACTTTGGGAGGCCAAGGCAGGTGGATCATCCGAAGTCAGGAGTTCAAGACCAGCCTGGCCAACATGGTGAAACCCGGTCTCTACTAAAATACAAAAATTAGCTGGGCATGATAGCAGGTGCCTGTTATCCAAGCTACTTGGGAGGCTGAGACGAGAGAATCGCTTGAACCTGGGAGACAGTGGTTGCAGTGAGCCGAGATCACACCACTGCACTCCAGCCTAGGTGGTGGCTAAGCGAGACTCCGTCTCAAAAGAAAATTCAAATCATTTAAAATTCATCACTTTATAAAAACTAAATGGGCCAAGGGTGGTGGCTCACGCCTGTAATCCCAGCACTTTGGAAGACTGACGCGGGTGGATCACCTGAGGTCAGGAGTTCAGGACAAGCCCGGTCAAAATGGTGAAACCTTGTCTCTACTAAATATACAAAACATTAGCTGGGCATGGTGGTGGGCATCTGTAATCCCAGCTGCTCGGGAGGCTGAGGCAGGAGAATTGCTTGAACTCGGGGGGGCGGAGGTTGCAGTGAGCCAAGATTGTGTCATTGCTCTCCAGCATGGGCAAAAAGAGCAAAACTCCGTCTCAAAAAAAAAAACCTAAATGGTTAGCAATAACATAGATTTACAAACCAACCAATCCATTCCAAGTCACTTAAAAGCAGACAGTTCTGAAAATGATTCACTTTTTGGTTTTCTAAGTACACTATTCGGTTACTATCCAGAGACAGGACTACTGGGAGGAATTATTAAAAAGTCAGTCCTAAGCCAGGAGTGGTGGCATGTACCTGGAATCCCGGCTACTTGTGTGGTTGAGGTGGGAGAATCACTCGAGCCCAAGAGTTCGAGTCCAGCCTAGATAACATGGTAAGACCCTCGTCTTTTTATTAAAGGTAGTCCTAAACTGGTATACACTGCTGAAAATGGGAAAGTCAAGGAGCTGATCCCCAAACAGTATCACAGGGGCGCTTGATGCACAGAGCATTTCTGCAGCCCAAGGCAACAAAAGCAAGGATGAAAAGCACCAAGGCTGCTAAGGCCTCTACGCACTGACTGTTCAAGACTGGGAGTCTGCGTGGGGTTGTGGCAGTAAGTCACCGGTGGCAAACTGGCAATTCTCTCTCTTGCCTAGCTATCGACATTAGTAACACCCTATACTATCTTCGTACACTTTTTATTACAATGTATAAACATCTTCCTCATAGAAGGGCAGGTAGTTCACATCTCCCCAGCTGCCTAAGCGGAGCGCCTGGTGCCCAGTAGGATGCCCCAAGCTGAACCCAGACCTGAAATATGACAAATTCTGATTCTCATGTTTTATAGTTTAATGTCAACCTTGGAAACAAAGTGATCTCTTAAATAAACCAACTTTTATGCAAAACTAAATGTCTCCTCAAACTAGTTTTAAAAATCACACAATTGGCTGGGTGTGGTGGCTCATGCCTGTAATCCCAGCACTTTGGGAGGCTGAAGCGGGAGGATCACGAGGTTGGGAGTTCGAGATCACCTTGGCCAACACAGTGAAACCCCTGTCTCTACTAAAAATACAAAAATTAGCTGGGCATGGTGGCACGTGCCTGTAGTCCCAGCTACTCAGGAGGCTGAGGCAGGAGAATCACTTGAACCCAGGAGGAGGAGGTTGCAGTGAGCCGAGATCATGCCACTGCACTCCAGCCTGGGTAGCAGAGTGAGACTCCGTTTCAAAAAATAGTAATAAGGTGCTACGAAGGGAAACGTGGCCTCTTAAGTGTAGACAATGAAATGAGAAGTGTAGACAGGGGTGTCAGTAGAAGAGTCTCAACTGATACCCACGTTTGCAATTTGTGCTCAGTTTGGTCTTCTTACACTATCTATAACTGAAGATTTTCAGCACAATTTAGAACTAAATCCTTAGTCCTCTGATCCACCAGATGGGTGAACTTGCCTAAGGAATGAAATAACAAGTGCCCATCGTCCCGTCTCCGTTGCTTTCTGCATTTGGCAGATGATACTTGATAGATATTTGTTGAATACATGACAAAAAACTCGTTAATTGAGGAACTACCTGTTGCCTACCAGAAAGGAATTTAAAATAAGTGCCCAGGAGGAGGAGGTTGCGGTGAGCCGAGATCCTGCCACTGCACTCCAGCCTGGGCAACAGAGTGAGACTCCGTCTCAAAAAATAATAGTAATAATAAAGAGCAGGTGCTACCTCCCTTCCGAGCAGCCCCTCTGGGAGGATGCACAGACTCCAACGGCACTGCTGAAATGCAGAGCGTTTGGGGACCTTCTCATTGCGAATGACCTTCCAAGCCTAAAGAAGTCTTCTGGTATTCTTAGTGGTGGCAAATCTTCCTCCTCTCAAGCTAGTCACTTTGATAAAGTGCTGCAAGTCAGAGTCTCACCTGATAAGGTGAGCTACCAACCACGTAAGTAAACTTTTGGTCAAACCTGGAGGGTGACTATTGAATAAGACTGATTTTCCCATATGACTACATTTTTACTACCACAACAGGAGTTCTAAAGAGATTCTGGCAAAGAAGCACCGATGAAATACAAGCACATTTTGGGACAATTACTTTCAACAGAGCAGTACCTATTTGAATGCCTAAGTTCTGGTACATCTGGTTAAAATTCTGACTCATAACCTCATGGACTTAAAATATCTAAATGAACGTTATCAAGGTTGGTGACAGACCCCACGTGCAAAGTGACCAAGCGTGACCACTAAACTCCTTGATAAAGAGGTACTCACCTTGAGATGCTCTGTAGCTGTGACAAAATACAAATCTCTGTAAACACGATGTAGGCCATAGGTTAACTTACCTGTTTGCTTTCTGGAGTGACTCCACAAAGCTTTCTTACAATATTTCAGCATGTCCCACCTACAACGGGAGAGGAGTTTCCGGCTTTGGGACACATTTGACTGGTTCCAGGGCTGGCTGGGCTCCATACTGCCCTTAGATAGTAAAATTATCAGGAAAAGACTCTCCTCCCAAAGCTGGGAAGCGGGATTCAGCCGAGGTCAAACCTCACCCGGATAATCCCAACTACTGAACGGGAAAGGACTACTCTACAGACAACAGGCTGGAGGTGAGTCTAACAGGAGACATGATGAGCACCTTGCTACACCCCAAACGGTACTTCAGATGCCAAACACTCTCTTCTTCCATTTTCCCAAATGGGTCTGAAGAATGACCTACTCTTGCAAATGAGTTAGCGTTGTTCGAACAAAGCTCATTTAAAACGGCCACTCTACCCGGCAAACTCAGTTGTCATAAAGTATTCAGGAAAAATGTTTGGCAGGAGTAAGGCTGTTAAGTTTCAGTTCTTCCAGCATTATAGCTGCAGTTGGTCTATATAAAGGACCCAGCACCTCTGATCTCCTAATCCAAGGGGCAAGGAAGTTACATACTCCTAAGAGACCGGCGCGCGTCTTGGGGCAATCACTGCGCCCAACCTGTGCACACTTTGAAGCTGCGGAGCAAGTTCCAGGAGGTTCATAAAGAGCTCAAAGTTCTCCGAAGAGCCCAGCAGCAGCCCGGGATGACCTACTCTGGAGGTGAATCTGGGCGCCTCTCACCGCCCCTTAGCCGGCGGCACACATGTGCCACGCGAGTGGCCCGGAAGAGAAATGACAGCTTCAGGAAAATAAACTCTGCCGCGGGGCGCGGAGGCAGCGCGCGAGGAGCTCGGGCGCCCAGGGCGCCCCAGGACCGCGGGGCCGGCTTACGGACGGAACTCGGGGTGGTGCCTGTCTCAAGGTCCCCTTCCCTGGGCCCGAGGGCCACGCTTCGGCCGGTGGGTCCGCACGGCCGGAGGCGCGCCGGGCTCCCGGGCCTCCCTCCCGCGGCCGCCGCCGCCGCCTCGGCGGCCTCCTCCTCCCGCCGCCGCCGGCCCGGCCTCCCGCCGCCCTCCCGGCCCCAGCTAACCTCAGCGCTAGGGCGGAGAGGAGGCCACGGCTCCCCTGGAGTCGGAGCGGCGTGGAGAAGACGTCCCTTGGCCCTTCCGCTCTTCACAGGTTCTGGCTCCAGGCTCGACACGGGCGGAACAAACGGGCTCCACTACCCGCGGGGGCCGGCCATTGTGCGACGTCATCAGGCCGCGACGGTAGTCCTACGGCCGGCGGGCTTCCCTCCCTCGCCCCGCCCCCTCCAGCTTCCTTCCGGCCTCCGCGCGGTTCCGCCCCCGCAGCGCGCGCCCGGACCCGCGCGAGCCAGCCGAACCCCCGCTACAGCGCAGGCGCCACGGGGAGTTCGCTTCTCAGGCGGCGGGCGTGCGGATCCGCGCCTGCGCACAGAGCTCCCCGCGGCCGCCGGGTCACGTGACGGGGCTCCGGCTGGGCCGGCGGGTTCTTCATCCCCGGGGATGATCGAGTTCATCAAAGTGGAAAACTTAAGGCGGTCTTCGTCGGGCTGATACTTCCTGCTTTATTGAATGTTGATATTAAATGCTTACCTCCGGAATTATTTTTTGAGGTATCGACTTTAGATTAAAAGCCTAACAATTCTTACCTTTCCCGTGGGCTGCCTGGCTCCCCGCGCGGTTCAACGCGAGCAGCGCCAGTGAGGGGACCTGTCGCGTGTCCTGCTCAGCGCGGTGTCCCACGGGCGCGTCCACAGCCCGGGGCGTCCAGGGGCTGCAGCGGTGCGAGCTGCTCTAGAGACGGAGGGCCCGGCCGGAGACCAGGGGCCGGCGGTTTCATCCTGCGCTGACCCTTGCCAACGACGTGGCTGGTCCTGGGGATCACAGGGCTTCGCTCATCCCATCTTCCTCCATATCCCCAAGGTGGAAACAAGGGGGCGAGATGTCCACAAACTGAGGAACAGACAAAATGCTGGCTGTCCATGCAGTGGAGTGTGAGTCAGTCATCAAGAAGAGTGAAGTTCAGACCCATGCCACAACATGGGTGAACCTTGGAAACATACTAAGTAAAGCAAGCCAATCGCAAAAGGACAAAACCTGTGCGACTCCATGCTATGGACCGAGTTCTGTCCCCCTAACATTTGTATGTGAAGCCTTAATCCCCAATGTGACTGTGTTTGCAGAAAGGGCCTTTAGAGAAGTAATTAAGGTTAAATGAGATTATAAGGGTGGGGTCCTGATCTGATAGGATTAGTGTCCTTGGAAGAGGTACCACAGGCCTGGCACTGTGGCTCACACCTGTAATCCTAGCACTTTGGGAGTCCAAGGTGGGAGGACCACCTCCTCCAGGAGTTTGAGACCAGCCTGGGCAACAAAGCAAGACCCCTGTCTCTACAAAAAAATTAACAGGGCACCGTGGTGCGTGCCTGTAGTCCCAGCAACTTGTTATGGTTACGTAAGAGGAATGTGAATTCAACCCTGGTGATTTTGGGTCGTGTCAGGAGCAGCCCTGCGACACCAGTTGGCACCTTCTGCAGACTCTATGTGTCGATAAGACAAGGTCCCACCCAGCAAGTGCCCTTTTCTCAGCTGATGAACATAAGCCTGCATGGACGTTACTGTCCATGGAAAGGAGCGGCCGGCACCGGCTGTGACAGACACGTGCCTGTCTGCGATCTGAGTTTCATGAACAGTAAACTCTGTTGGTCACAGCCTCTTTGGAAAACAATGTTAGTTAAAAGAAGTGCCCTGTGACCAGCAGTGCCACCCTCGACAGGGTTCTCCAAGTGGGACCCGGGCAAGCAGCCTCAGTATCACTAGGGGTTGTTAGCAATGTGCCTTCCTGGGCTCTGCCCCAGAGTGGCCGCACCAGTGACTGGGAGTGAGGTCCCAGGGCCCTGTGGTCCATGAAGAGCTCTCAGGGGATTCTGATGCCCAGTGGTACAGGTGGGCCACCGGACTGGGGTGTCATCTGCCCGTGGGCATGAGACATGAACAAGGACATAGCAGGTCTGTTAGTAGTCATAACTAAAAGAACAAAGGAGCCGGGCACGGTGGCTCATGCCTGTAATCCCAGCACTTTGGGAGGTCGAGGCGGGCAGATCGCGAGGTCAGGAGATCGAGACCATGCTGGCTAACACAGTGAAACCCCGTCTCTACTAAAAATACAAAAAATTAGCCGGGCGTGGTGGCGGGCGCCTGTAGTCCCAGCTACTCGGGAGGCTGAGGCAGGAGAATGGCATGAACCCGGGAGGCGGAGTTTGCAGTGAGCCCAGATCATGCCACTGCACTCCAGCCTGGGCAACAGAGCGAGACTCCGTCTCAAGAAAAAAAAAGAACAAAGGAAAAAACCAGAAAACCACCCAGATGTTGATGAGCAGATGATTGTACTGTTGTAATAGTAATCTGGTACAACATTTGCAACATCGCGGTTGTTAAAAATGCTAACGCATGAACCTCCAGTGTGTATACACAGATATAAATAAACGGGTGAAGACCATCTGTGAGGTTGCATGACAAAGGCAAGTGCAGAAGCAGACAGGGTGGGCACATTTCTTTTCTTTCTTTCTTTCTTTTTTTTTTTTTTTGAGACAGAGTCTCACTCTGTCGCCCAGGCTGGAGTGCAGTAGCGCCATCTCGGCTCCCTGCCACCTCCGCCCCCTGGGTTCAAGCGATTCTCCTGCCTCAGCCTCCCGAGTAGCTGGGACTACAGGCGCCCGCCACCACGCCCGGCTAATTTTTTTGTATTTTTAGTGGAGACGGGGTTTCACCGTGTTAGCCAGGACGGTCTCGATCTTCTGACCTCGTGATCCTCCCGCCTCGGCCTCCCAAAGTGTTGGGATTACAGGCGTGAGCCACTGCGCCCGGTCCACGTTTCTATCAAATTGAAATCATGAGCGGTTTTGCTGAGGGTGTGGGGCACCCAGAGCCTGCGGCCTGTGCTCGAGTGAAAATGGTGGCCCCGCTCCAGAAGCCTGCGACGGCGCTCACGGAACCGCAGCCTTCGTGCGGCGGCACCTGGGCCGTGCTACTCCTCTGTGACTTCCCGGAAGAGATGAGCTGCTACGTCCAGCAAAAGGCACATCCAAGATCGTTCACCCCAGCATGACTCGTTACACTCCGGACTAGAAGGAACCCCAAGGTGCTTCAGTGACAGAACGATGAACCAGCTGGGGTGTAACCCCCATGCAATGGAATATCGTACAGGAACGAAAAGGACACGCTACCCCTACAAGCAACATGGATCTCAGAGGCAGGATGTTGCGCAGAAGAAACCAGACACAAATGCTTCGGCTCGTGTTGCTGCGACTCATTACAGGCAGCCGAATCTGCGGTGATGGGGGCCCCAGGAGCAGTGACCAGGAGGCAGTGCCACGGAGCCTGCGGTGGGGGCTGATAGTCAGTAGCGTGACCTGGTTGGGATGTTCTGTTTTTAAGCTGGAGTCCATCATGTTTGTTTATTTGTTCATTTCGTAGAGGTGGGGGTCTTGTAGAGGTGGGGGTCTCACTCTGTTGCCCAGGCTGGTCTCAAACTCTGGGCCTCAAGCGATCCTCCCACCTTGGCCTTCCAAAGTGCTGGGATTACAGGTGTGAGCCACTGCATAAGGCCGTTATTGTTATTAGTGCTTAAAAATATTTAGTAAACATTTTATTTAGCCTAAAAACCATTCAGAGAGCAGAGGCTGGATGGAACACGGCGTGCCAGGCGGTGAGAGCACAGACCCTCCTCTTCCAGAGCAGGAAGTGGGTAAATGACTTTTAAGCCTCATTTCTGGGGTGGCAAAACTCTTCTGTATGAAGAAGTACAAATATGTAATGTCCCATAATGGCAGCTATGGGACGTTACGTATTTGCCAAAACCCACATAACGCACAACGCCAAGAGTGAACTGTAATGTAAACTGTGGACTTAAGTCAATGATCGTGTCCCGATACGGGCTGGTTGGTTGTGATGCAGGGCAGGTGAGGCCCAAAGTGGAGCTTAGCCTGCCAGCGTTCTTGGCTTTGCCCAAGAAAGAATTCAAGGACAAGCCGGAGGTAGAAGAGAACAACTTGATTGAAGAGGCAGTGTGGCAGGTCCGTGACGGCTCCTGCAGAGCTGGGCTGCCCAGAAGGCAGAGAGCAGCAGCTCAACGCACTTCTGCAGACCCATTATACCCACTTTTAATTACATGCAGATTAAGGGGCAGTTTATGCAGAAATTTCTGGGGAAGGAGTAGTCACTTCTGGGTCACTGAGTCATTGCCATGGAAAGGGGTGGGAGTGTTGCCATGGCGATGGTAAACTGACACAGAACACTGGTGGGTGTGTCTTTTTTTTCTTTTCCTGAGACGGAGTCTCCCTCTGTCACCCACATTAGAGTGCAGTGGCCTGATCTCGGCTCACCACAACCTCTGTCTCCTGGGCTCAAGCAATTCTTCTGCTTCAATCTCCTGAGTAGCTGGGGCTGCAGGCATGGGACATCATGCCTGGCTAATTTTTGTATTTTTAGTAGAGACAGGGTTTCACCATGTTGGCCAGGCTGGTCTCAAACTCCTGACCTCTGGTGATCTGCCTGCCTGGGCTCCCAAAGTGCTGGGATTACAGGCATGAGCCACTGCGCCCAGTCTGGTGTGTCTTATAAAAAGCTGCTTCTGCCCTGCCCTGTTTTAGCCAGTCCTGTTTGGTCCCAGCTCCAAGCCCTGCCTCTGGAGTCAAGTCCTGCCTCCTATCTCAATTGTAATAAATGTTCTGCACCAGTGCAGGGTGTTAATAAGAGGGGAGATGGGCAGGGGTGCTGGGGGTACAGGGGAACTCTGCTCATTTTTCTTTTTTTTTTTTGAGATGGAGTCTCACTCTGTTGCCCACCCTGGAGTGCAGTAGCGCAATCTCGGCTCACTGCAAGCTCCACCTCCCAGGTTCACGCCATTCTCCTCAGCCTCCCGAGTAGCTAGGACTACAGGCGCCCATCACCACGCCTGGCTAATTTTTGTGTATTTTTTAGTGGAGACGGGGTTTCACCATGTTAGCCAGGATGGTCTCGATCTCCTGACCTCGTGATCCACCCGCCTCAGCCTCCCAAAGTGCTGGGATTACAGGCGTGAGCCACTGTGCCTGGCCTCTCATTTTTCTTTAAACCTAAAACTGGTCTAAAAAATTAATTTCATATTTTTTTTTTCACAAGAATGTGGAGCAACTAGAATCACGTACTCTGCTGCTGGGAGTGTGACTAGTGCCCTTATTAAGAAAAAGTCAAGAAACATTGGTATGAATATTACTGGAGATCGGGAAAATGCCGGAAGAGACCATGAAAAGAGTTAAAACTTGTTGCCAATTGGGGGTGGAAACTGGGAGGGAAGAGGCAGGAAGCTAGTTTTAAAAATCAACTTTAGGCCAGGTGTGGTGGCTCATGCCTGTAATCCCAGCACTTTGGGAGGCCGAGGCAGGTAGATAACCTGAGGTCAGGTGTTCGAGACCAGCCTAGTCAACATGGTGAAACCTTGTCTCTACTAAAAATACAAAAATTAGCCGGGTGTGGTGGCGGGCACCTGCAATCGTAGCTACTCGGGAGGCTGAGGCAGGGGAATCACTTGAACCCAAAAGGTAGAGGTTGCAGTGATCCAAGATTGCGCCACTGCCCTCCAGCCTGGGCGACAATAGCAAAACTCTGTCTCAAAACGACAACAAAAAACAACAAAAAAACCCCAACTTTATTGAGTTGGGGTTTGCCAAAATGAACACTTTTTTTTTTTTTTTTGAGACGGAGTCTTGCACTGTTGCCCAGGCTGGAGTGCAGTGGCGCAATCTCGGCTCACTGCAACTTCTGCCTCCTGGGTTCCATCGATTCTCCTGCCTCAGCCTCCTGAGTAGCTGGGACTACAGGGGTGCGCCACCACGCCTGGCTAATTTTTGTATTTTTTAATAGAGACGAGGTTTCACCATATTGGCCTGACCTCGTGATCCGCCTGCCTCGGCCTCCCAAAGTGCTGGGATTATAGGTGTGAGCCACAACGCCCAGCCCAAAATGCACACTTGTAAGTGTGCAGTTTGATGAGTTTTCACAAAGTGTGCATCCACACAGGCCCACCTCGCTAGCAGAGCCCTGTGACAATGACTCAGCCCTTAGAGCACCTGCTAGGAGAGAAGAGTTGGAGGCAGGAACTTCTTCCAGTTGCCTTATGTGCAGAGAAGGAGGCCGAGGCCCAGAGATCACTTGTCCAAGACCACCCCTGGCTTAGCCAGAGCCCACACTGAAACCCAGCGTTCTCAGCTCTTTTCTTGGCATTGTGCAAAGCCGCTTGCAAAGAAAGTAGTGACTGCCCCATTGAAGAACAAGGGGAAGCAATGCAGGCTTTTGAGCAGGGGAGCAACATGAAGAAAGTAGCATGTTATCATTTTGAAGGCCTCCTATATCTGAACCACCTCTGATTCTGTCGTCGCTATTAAGTGCTTTTTCTCTTGGTTTTCAGTGATCTAGTCCCTGCCTCTTTTTTTTTTGGAGACAGAGTCTTACTCATCCCCCAGGCTGGAGTGTAGCGTAGCGGCACGATCTTGGCTCACTGCAACCTCCGCCTCCCGGGTTCAAGTGATTCTCCTGTCTCAGCCTCCCGAGTAGCTGAGACTACCGGCATGTGCCACCATGCCTGGCTAATTTTTGTATTTTTAGTAAAGACAGGGTTTCATCATGTTGGCCAGGTTGGTCTCAAACTCCCAACCTCAGGTGATCCACCTGACTTGGCCTCCCAGTGTGCTGGGATTACAGGTGTGAGCTGTCGTGCCCTGCCCTTCCCACATTTTTGAGACGGGGTTTTGCATGTGTTGCCCAGGCTGGAGTGCAGTGGTACAATCATGGTTCACTGCAGCCTCAAACTCTTGGGCTCAAGCGCTCCTCCCACCTCGGCCCTCAGAGCAGCTGGGAGTACAGGTGTGCACCACCATGCCCAGCTATTGTTTTCGTTTTTTGTAGAGATGGGTTCCCAGTGTGTTACCCAAGCTGGTCTCAAACTCCTGCGCTCAAATGATTTTCCCACCTTGGCCTCCTAAAGTGCTGGGATTATGGGCATCAGCACCATGTCTGGTGATCTGGTCCCTTCTTCTTTTTTTATTTTTATTTTATTCTTTTTTGAGACAAGGTCTGACTCTGTTGCCCAAGCTGGAGTGCAGTGGCATGAACAGGGCTCACTGCAGCCTCAACCCCCTGAGCTCAAGTGATCCTCCCACCTCAGCCTCCCTCGTCCCTGGGAATACAGGCATGCACTCCCGGCTTCTGGTCCCTTCTAAGAGCATGCCTTGTGCTATGGTTTGAATGTTTCTCCTAGACTTTATGTGTTGGGAACTTAATCTCCACAATTATATGCTTTTGGAGGTAATTAGGATTGGATAAGGTCATCAGAGTGGGCCCCCATGATGGGACTAGTGGCCTCATAACAAAAGAAACGGGCCGGGCGCGGTGGCCCACGCCTGTAATCCCAGCACTTTGGGAGGCTGAGGTGGGCGGAGCACGAGGTCAGGAGTTGGAGACCAGCCTGGCCAATATGACAAAACCCCGTCTGTACTAAAAATACAAAAATTAGCCGGGCGTGGTGGCAGGTGCCTATAATCCCAGCTACTTGAGAGGCTGAGACAGGAGGCAGAGGTTGCAGTGACCCAAGATGGTGCCACTGCACTCCAGCCTGGGTGACAAAGCGAGACTCCATCTTGAAAGAAAAGAAGAGAAAGAGAGACTTGGGCTGGCGTGCTCTTGCCCAGCGCCATGCTCTTGGACCTCCAGCCTTCAGAACTGTAAGAAACAAACCTCTCTTCTCTATAAATTACCCACTCTTAAGCTATAGCAACAGGTAACAGACTAAGACACCTTGTAACTTTTCTTATTCTTTTTTTTTGCTCTGCGATTACAGGCATGAGCCATCGCGCCCAGGTTAGCCCTGTCCAGACTGGCTTTGGGGGTTACAGCCCTTGTTCCCAGGGAGTGGAACTTCTGTGCTCCCAAGGGAAAGCCTGTGATGGTCACCAGCCCCCGCCCCCCACAGGGCTTGGTCTCCAGCCCGTCGCAGCTGCCAACACCCCTGCTCAGCTCTCCATCCTCCCGGGAGCCTTTTCTGTTGGGTTTCTTGGAGTTTCTTGGGGGCATATTCAGCTTAGGGGGCGGCCACGGCCTGAAGGGGATTTGCACTCAGGGCTTTGGGCTCTTTCTCCAAGTTCCCTCAGGCCCCAGCAGGTTTGGAGCCTCAAACTCTAATCCCTGTTTCTCAGCTCGGCAAGGCTGTGCTTTCTGTTTTTGGACCTCCACGCCAATGTGGGAAGATGCCCCACAAGGAAAACCAGGCTGAACGTGGGCTCACTTTCTTGTTTATGTTCGCTCAAGGGATATAGCCCCGGGCCCCACCAGCGCTGGTTACTCCCCACAGGCCCCGTTACATGCGTGTATCACACAGCGAAGCGTGTGTGTCCAGCCTGTATCCATGTCTTCAGCGGGAGGCCGAGTGCCATACCAGCGGTTCTGTCTGAAAGCATTTTACGAAGGATAGCCCTTGCTATTTCCTCAAAGAGCCACCAGAGGGCACTCCCACTCCGCCCAGCCGCTGTTCCCGGGGGGAAGGGGGGATGGGGGGGTGAAGGGTGATAGAGGGGTGGGGGGGTGGGGGGGTGGGGGATGGGGGATGGGGGGGTGGGGGTGGTCCCAGGCCCTGGACTGCAGGTGAAACCTGCAGGAAGCCCTGTCTGTTCTGTGTGGGACCCCCACTTCCATCATGGCCCCCACCACAGACACAGTGAGTCCACTCCAGTCCCTGTCCCAGCCTCTGGAGGGATGCTGGCTCTGACCCCATCTGGCCCCCTGCCTTTCCCTCGAGATGTCCATGGGCCCCCAACTCTTTGACGAGGTCTCAGACACCCCAAGGAGGCCGGGGAAAGGATTCCCGGCGCAGCTGAGCTTGAGGCTGGGGGCTTTTCTGTTGTTTCTGCAGCCCCAGGGCCTGGCACCGTAGGACCTCTGCAGGCTGGTGGGGGTGAATGAATGATTGATTGATGAATGAATGAATGAATGAATGTCAGTTCAGCTGCCATTTCACCGCCTGGAATTTGGGACTCGGACTGGCTTCCTGGCTCCTCAGCTTGCAGACGGCCTATTGTGGGACTTCACCTGGTGATCATGTGAGTCAATACTCCCAGTAAACTCCCCTCCATGTATACATCTGTCCTATTAGTGCTGTCCCTCTAGAGAACCCTGACTCATATACTGGGGGTGACGTCAACGCTGCTGTGACTGTCATTTTCTGGTTCTAGAGAAACAGTGGACCCACTGAGACCAAGGGCAAGGGGAGGAAAGGCCCGGGGTAGGGCTGAAGACACAGGTTCCAGGCCCAGCTCTGCTGCTCACCGATGAGGCTTCTCCTCTGTTGAGCAGGTACAATCGTAGGGCCCTACTCTTGAGCTTGCCGTGTGGGTTGACGGTGGCGG
Source organism: Homo sapiens (assembly GCF_000001405.40). Taxonomy (NCBI): domain Eukaryota; kingdom Metazoa; phylum Chordata; class Mammalia; order Primates; family Hominidae; genus Homo; species Homo sapiens. The sequence goes on along the minus strand of NC_000016.10, from coordinate 88,561,197 downwards.
TCCACATACGAACACTCAGCGTGGTGCCTGGCATGCAGACAGGGTTCTGTAAATCTCGGTCGTCGTAGACGATTCCATTTATTACCACCGAGCACTTCATGACCCCTTTAGGCAAAAGACTTCCCTCTCTGGACCCCTGCCTCCACTTCTACGTGGTGGCGGGTTCAGGACTGATGGCTCTGTAGCTCCATCCCATGCCATTTCATTCCATTTTCTTCCTTAGCTTCTCCATGTCTTGGCTTCTCTGTTGGGGTGATTTCAGCACCACATGGAGGACAGCAGCCTGGGAGCTGTCCATGGAGCTGAATTCATGGGAGGGCACCTGGTGGAGAAGGCGGGGTCGGGCTGGAGGTGGGGGTGGGAGGGAATCAGCAGGGGATGGCCAGAAATGGAGGGAGCTTGCGTCCATTGGGCACAACTGGGTCTTCCACGCCATGACAGCTCATGGAGTCAGCCTTTCCTGTCGTTCCAGGTAGCCCCAGTTGGGAGCTGAGGTGTGTTGATTGGGGCTCTGGGAACCATAGCCTGCCAGCTGTGGCTTGGCCATCCCCTCTGCCAGCGCTTTCCCGCCCATCAGCCCTTTTCTCTGGAGTCCCTCCTTCAGCCAGGTCCTGAAAAGTCATACCTTTTGGCCAAGCTGCTGAAAATACTACTCAGCCAGAACTCATGTGCTCATGCCAGCCTCATTCATGACACCCTCCAAACCAGAAACAGCCCAGGAGCCGATCAACAGCTTCATGGGAAAATGTATTGCAGTCTATCTCATCGCCGGGCCCTTCCGTGGCCGTGGAGACGGGCGAATCATGGTCTATCCCGTCGCCGGGCCCTTCCGCGGCAGTGGAGACAGGCGAATTGCAGTTATGCGCAGCAAGGAAGCCTCTCTCAATCACATTGAGCAGAAGTGGCCAGGCTCAATTCTGTGGAATTCTGTGTGGATCACAAACAGGCAACATAGAGGATGGTGTTTTGGGGTGCATGTTGAGGGAGAGACGGGGTTCTCTTCATCACAATGGTGGCTGGCCTCCAGGAAGGGAGGGACAGTGGCTGGGAGGCCAGGGGCCTCTGGGATGCTGAAAAATTCTTTTTCTTCTCCTTCTTCTTCTTTTTTTTTTTGAGATGGAGACTCACTGTGTGGCCGAACCTGGAGTGCAGTGGTGGGACCTCGGCTCACGGCAACCTCTGCCTCCCAGTTGAAGTGATTCTCATGCCTCAGCCTCCTGAGTAGCTGGAATTACATGCGCCTGCCACCATGCCAGGTTAATTTTTCGTATTTTTAGTAGAGATCGGGTTTCACCAGGTTGGCCAGGCTGATCTCGAACTTCTGACCTCAGGTGATCTGCCCACTTTGGCCTCCCAAAGTGCTGGGATTACAAGGCATGAGCCACAGCACCCAGCCCAGAATGGTTAATTTTATGTTATGTGAATTTCACTCAATAAAAAAAAGACAGGAAGGGGAAAGAAAGAAAGAAAAGGCAGGGAGCCGGGCATGGTGGCTCATGCCTGTAATCCCAGCACTTTCGGAGGCCGAGGTGGGTGGATCACGAGGTCAGGAGATTGAGACCATCCGGGCTAACATGGTGAAAACCCGTGTCTACTAAAAATACAAAAAATTAGCCAGGCGTGGTGGTGGGCGCCTGTAGTCCCAGCTACTCAGGAGGCTGAGGCAGGAGAATGGCGTGAACCCAGGAGGCGGAGCTTGCAGTGAGCCCAGATAGTGCCACTGCACTCCAGCCTGGGCGACAGAGCGAGACTCCGTCTCCAAAAAAAAAAAAAAAAAAAAAAAAAGGGCAGGGAACACCAGGGGGCCCAGGGGAGTCAAGGTGCCTGTGAGTGTCCCCAGCAGCCCACCTCTCCTCCCCTCCCCCCAGCCTGCAGGCCCCGGAAGCACAGGGCTGTGCCCTGGAGAAGTCTGGAGTGACTTTTAAAACACAGATATGGGGACCCATCCGATTCTGAGTTTCTGGCCAACAGCGCTCCGTGTGGTTCAGAAGTTGTATTGTTTCAGGACGGAAGCAAAGTCCAGCTAACAGCTGTCAAGGGCTGGCCTCTTGCTGGGGCCTTGGGCCCGACTTTCTCCTTTGCTCCTCCCAAAGGCGCTGGGAAGCAGGGTGCTGATGGTAAAAAATGAAGCTCAGAGAGTTTCAGTGCCGAACTCAACATTGCACGACCAGGCACAGGAGGGCACGGGACTCACAGCTCCGGAGCTTGAGGGGACGCGGGACTCACAGCACCGGAGCACGGGAGGGCATGGGACTCACACTCCCAGAGAACGGGAAGACAGGGGACTCACACCCCCAGAGAATGGGAGGACACGGGACTCACACCACCATAGCACAGGAGGGCATGGGACTTACAGCGCTGGTCCATGGGAGACGCGGGACTCACACCCCCAGAGAATGGGAGGATGCAGGACTCACACCCCCAGAGTACAGGGGGACATGGGACTCACACCCCTGGAGCATGGGGGGATGCGGGACTCACACCCCCAGGGAACGGGAGGATGCGGGACTCACACCACCAGGGAACGGGAGGATGCCTGACTCACACCCCCAGGGAACGGGAGGACGCAGGACTCACACCCCCAGAGCACGGGGGGAACGCGGGACTCACCCCCCCGGAGCACCGGGGGACGCGGGACTCACCCCCCCGGAGCACGGGGGGACGCGGGACTCACCCCCCCGGAGCACGGGGGGACGCGGGACTCACCCCCCCGGAGCACGGGGGGACGGGCGACTCACCCCCCGACGGGGGGATGCGCGACTCACACCCCCGGAGCATGGGGGGACGCGGGACTCACCGCACATCTTTAACTCCTAATCCCATCTGCTGGGGAGGCTGCGGCAGGATGAACGCTTGAACCCAGGAGGCAGAGGTTGCAGTGAGCTGAGATCGCGCCACTGCACTCCAGCCTGGGCGACAGAGCGAGACTCTTTTGTCATTTCCCTTTTTACTCAATGGCTACTTTGGTTTTTCTTTTCTTTTTTTTTTTTGAGATGGAGAGCTGGAGTGCAGTGGCACGATCTCTGCTCACTTGAACCTCCGCCTTTTATGTATTTTCAGTAGAGAGAGGTCTAGAAGGCTCAGCTGCAGCCGCCTGCCCCGCAGGGCATTCCTGGCCCAGAAAGGGTAAAATCAGACTCTAAACTCATTCAGCTGAGTGGCTTGTCCTGGGTCTGCTGTAACAAGTGACACCAATGGGCGGCTTAAAGCCACAGAAGCTGGCTGGGCACAGTGGCTACACCTGCAATCCCAGCACTTGGGAGGCTGAAGCGGGAGGATTGCTTGAAGCCAGGAGTTCAAGTCCTGGCTGGGCAGCATAGTGATACCCCCATCTCTAAAAAAAGATGGTGCACGCCTGTAGTTCCAGCTACTCTGGAGGCTGAGGTGGGAGGCTTGCTTCAGCCCAGGAGGTCGAGGCTACAGTGAGCCGTGATTGCACCACTGTCTCAAACGACAACAATAGTGACAACAAAAACACTCAGAAACATATCGCCTCACAGTTCCGTAGGCCAGATGTCTGATAGCAGAGTCATGAAGTGGAACTCGAGGCACGGGCAGGGCTGCAGGCTGCAGGGAAGGCTCCCCACGGCCTCTTCCAGGTTCCCAGGCCTCAGGCATCCGTGGCTCCCGTGCCTTGAGGCTGCATAGCTCCTGCTCTGCCTCTGTGGTCCCACGCCTCTCCTCTTCCATCTGTGTCCAATCTCCCTCTGCCTCCCTCTCAGGAGAACTCATGATCACGTCGGGTCTGTCCAGATGCCTTCTTTCTCTCCATCTTTAACTCAATCATGTCTGCAAAGACCTTTCTTCCATTCTTCCACATACAGTCACGTTCACAGGGTTAGGGTTAGGGACATGGATGTCTTTTTTTTTTTTGAGACGGAGTCTTGCCTGTGACCCAGGCTGGAGTGCAGTGGTGTGATCTCGGCTCACTGCAAGCTCCGCCTCCCGGGTTCACGCCATTCTCCTACCTCAGCCTCCCAAGTAGCTGGGACTACAGGCGCCTGCCACCACGCCCAGCTAATTTTTTGTATTTTTAGTGGAGACAGGGTTTCACTGTGTTAGCCAGGATGGTTTCGATCTCCTGACCTTGTGATCTGCCCGCCTCGGCCTCCCAAAGTGCTGGGATTACAGGCTTGAGCCACCACGCCCGGCCAGGGCACCCAGCCATTTTCAGTGGCCACATCACGTGTGAGTGAGGGGACCAGTTTCTGAGCGGGGACCCTGGTTTCTGAGCCCCCGTGGTGTGCTCAGTCCTTGTGAGGTTATGGTGAGGTAAGAATAGTGGCCCCCAGCGTGGAGCCTGTTTCCATTTCTCTTTTTCTCCTTCTAAGGCAGTACAGGCGGCCCAGCTGTGCCCTCCCGAGCAGGTGAGGCTGGCTGAACCCTCTGGGTTTTCCATCCTTGCCTGTAAGTAGAGCTGAAAACAGCACTTTCGCCCAGGTGCTAGGAAACGAGATGCTGTGTGTAAAGTGACTGGTGGCTGCCTGGCCTGGTGGTAAAGGTCCCGGAAATGGGTGACTGTGTGAGTCCAGGCTCACACTGCTCTAAAGAACTACTGGAGACTGGGTCATTTATGAAGAAAGAGGTTTAATTGGCTCACAGTTCCACAGGCTGTGTAGGAAGCATGGCTGGGAGTCCTCAGGAAACTCACAATCATGGTGGAAGGTGAAGGGGAAGCAGGCACGTCCTCACATGGCGGCAGGAGAGAGAGAGAGAAAGTGGGGGGCGGGGGAAGTGCCGCATAGTTTAAAACCATCAGATCTCGTGAGAACTCACTATCTGAGAATAGTGAGGGGGAAATCCACCCCCGTGATCCAGTCACCTCCCACCAGGCCCCTCCCCTAACCTTGGGAATGACAATTCGACATGAGATCTGGATGGGGACACAGAGCCAAACCACATCAGTGGCTTTAGGGAGATCTGAGTAGCAATGAAGGCATGGCCCGCTTGGGAGAAAGTGTCTGCAGGAAGCGCCTTGTGAATTCTGCGGTGCTCACCATGGGCTGGGCGGGTTTTCAGTGGGGGCAGCAGGGCCTTGGAGATGGGGCCACACTCTGGGGAACCCTTTGGGTCGGGGAGTGAGCCCCGCTCTGTCTAGACATAGGCAGTCCCAGCACAGCAGAGGGCGGTCCTTAGGTCCGGAAGGGGGCACAGTCAGGCGCGAATTCTGGGCCCTGAGCTGGGGCCATCATCTCCTCCCGAGAGAGAGCACAGGTGCCATTGCAGGTGCTGCTAGGGTGCTGCGTGCCCTCCGAGCTTGGCGACGCTCCACTGAGCTGTGTGAGTCTCCGTCCTGGGCTCCGTGGAGACCAGGATGATAATAAGATGAGGACCAGTGGCTTCCAGGAGCCCCAGTCTTAGAGGTGGAGACAAAGAGCTGTGGAGGGGCTGGGGGTGGAGAGGAGCCAGGGGGTGGGCAGAGGGGGTGGGGATGGGGCGGGAGGCATGGAAGGGGCAGGGGAGAGACGAAGGGCCACTGGAGCCACATTAAGACAGAGGGGAAGTGTTAAGACTTGGAGCTGAAAATGCTGGGAATTAAGCGGAAATTCTGCTAAAAGTTTATGGTAACACACTGGGATGGGGGCCGGGTGCAATGGCTCATGCCTGTAATCCCAGCACTTTGGGAGGCTGAGGCAGGCAGATCACTTGAGGTCAAGAGTTCAAGACCAGCCTGGCCAACATGGCGAAACCCTGTCTCTACTTAAAACAAAAAATTAGCTGAGTGTGGTGGTATGCGCCTGTAATCCCAGCTACTTGGGAGACTGAGGCAGGAGGATCGCTTGAACCCTGGAGGCGGAGGTTGGAGTGAGCCGAGATCGCCTCACTGCACTGCAGCCTGGGTGACAAGAGTGAAACTCTATCAAAAAAAAAAAAAAAAGAAAGCCAAAAATGCTGAGAATTAAGGCAAAATTCTGCTAAAAGGTTATGATAACACCTGGGATGGGAAAGGTCAGGCGTGCAGGATGAGGCCCGAGGGAGAGAGATGCCCCTTGCTTGGCGCCTTGCAAGGCTGGAGGAATGGGGCCGTGGGGAAGGGCGGTGGCCCCTGGCTCAGACAAGGGTTCCCTGGTGGAGGGTTGGCAGCTGTGGGAGGGAGCGGGGAGGCTGGGAGCTGCAGGGCCTCCCTCAAAGCCAACCAGGCCTTTGGCGCCAGCATGGAGGGGCTTGGACCAGCCCTGGAAGGGGAGTCCTTTGTCCCTGTCTCCCTGCCTCCCAGCTGCCCACTGCCCATCCCTGCTCAAGAGAGGAGGCGGGAAGGCTGTGTCAGGGAGGCCCAGCTGGGCTGGGGGTGGGGCCGAGGTTGCTGCTGCGGGTCTTCAGATGAGGACTCGAATGCTCCCAGGGGCCTGGCTGAGGCGGGACCAGCGGAAGGAGTAGGGAGGAGGGCTGGGACAGAGACTGGGTCCCTGAGATACAAGGCAAGGGCAGGGGCCTGGTGTGAACTCGCCCATAACCTCCAGGTTCGAGTCTCTCCTCCTGAGTGCTCCAGACCTGACCCTTGCTCTTCCCTTGGGACCCCACTGGCAAAAGGGACTTTGCAGATATGACTGAGTTAAGGATCAAGAGAGGGGAGATGACCCTGGATTATCCGGGCGGGTCCCCCTGAACCACAAAGGTCCTCGTAAGAGGCGGGCAGCAGGTCAGAGAGGAGAGGAGAGGCTGCCCTGCTGGCTCTGAAGATGGAGGAGGGGCTGAGAGCCAAGGAACGCAGGCAGCCTCTGGAAGCTGGGAAAGGCGAGGAACGGATTCTCCCCGGAGCCCTTCCAGGAGGAAGCAGCCCTGCCCACACCTCAGTTTTAGCCCTGAGAAACCTGCGTTAGCTTCTGGCCTGCAGAACTGTGAGAGGATGAAGCTGTGTGGTTTCAAGCCACTAACTCTGGGGTTTTTTGTTCCAGCAGCCACAGGACCCTCGTCCAGAGACCAGCACCCCAGCCTGACCGGGGCTTCCTGGTGACCTGCCCAGGCTCCCACCTCTCTGCTAGCTGGGGCTGTAAACATTTTATACTTGTGATGAGGCCACCAGCAAACGCGGAGGCCTTCCTCCGGCGGTGACCCAGTGATGAGCCTGGGCCGATGTCCCCAGGCACACTGGGGTTTTCACAGAAGCAATAACATCTCTGTCATTTTTTTCCAGACCTCACTGAAGATCCCCCTACCCCAGGCTCAAGTCAGAGAGAGAGGAGGTGGCAGTGCCGGAATTTCAGCTGCGCATCCGTCCCAGCTCTGCACTGCGGGCGTCCGTCCCAGCTCTGCACTGCGTGCGTCCCGCCCTGGCTGGAGCTTGCAGACGGCAGCCCTGCAGGAACCCACCGGGGCTGACTCCTTCCTCCCCAGATCCCACAAAACAGCAGTGGATCTCCACTCGGCACGCATTCCCCTCTACATTCACACGAAGTGTCTTTTAATGGAAAGTGTATAAACTCGTTAATTTTGGTTACTGCACTGAAGTTAGGCAAGCTTCTGCAGCTTTATTAAATGACCAATGCTGTCCCTCCTGAGTGTGAAATTAACTCACTTTTCCTTTTTTTTTTTTGGGGGGATGGAGTCTTGCTCTGTCACCCAGGCTGGAGTGCATGGTGCCATCTCAGTTCACTGCAAGCTCCGCCTTCCGGGTTCATGCCATTCTCCTGTCTCAGCCTCCCGAGTAGCTGGGACTACAGACGCCCGCCACTGCGCCCGGCTAATTTTTTGTATTTTTAGTAGAGATGGGGTTTCACTGTGTTAGCCAGGATGGTCTCAATCTCCTGACCTTGTGATCCGCCTGCCTCAACCTCCCAAAGTGCTGGGATTACAGGCGTGAGCCACCGCGCCTGGCAGATTAACTCACTTTTCATGGCAGGTTTGAGGGAGACAGAGAAAACTCTTCTCTCACCTGAAACCGTGGCTTTGAGAAAAATAAAGTAGAACGACCGTGGCTCTTGGGAGCACTATCTGAAGGACTTGGCAAAATGTTTCCTCTTAGTGGCACCTGTGATGCCAGGTCTATGAAAAGCCCAGGGAGCCCGGCTGGCACCACCTCTGTGGCGTCCTGTGGGCCTCTGGCCATGCTGTGTCGTGGGAGAAAGAGCCGCCACGCAGCTGTGTCTTGGAGGAGCCTCCCCGCTGCTGTCAGAGGTGCAGCGTGCACTTAAATAGCAAGAACCCAGGTGCAAAGCCTTGAGGCCTGGGGCTCGGTTTCTACCCCTGTGAGGTCCGGGGCTCGGTTTTTGCCCCGTCACACGTGACCACCAGCCGGGAGGTGGGAGGCTTAAAACAACAGAAATTTACTCTCTCAAAGCTCTGGAGGCCACAAATCTGAAACCAAGAGGTCTCAGGGCTGCCCTCCCTGCAGGGCTCAGGGAGGCCCCTTCCTGCCTCTCCAGCTCCTGGCTGGTGGCTTTCTCGCTGTCCGTTTTCATACAGCCCCTCCTCTGTGTCTCTGTCTCCTTCTCCTTATCAGGACATAAGCCGCAGCAGCCCAGAGCTGTGACCCTTCATCTTACCTTCATTACCTCTGCAAAGACCCTGGTTCCACATCCACAGGTCCTGGGGCTAGGGACACGGCTCAACCTAAAACAGCCTCTAAATGAGGGGGTTTCAGAGGAAGATTGCCCCAGCCCCTCCGTGCCGAGAAGGATTTGGACATGGAGGAGTACGGGAAGGGCATTCCCGCCACTTGGAACAGCCCACAGCTGGAGGCATGCGTCAGGAGGAGCAGGGCCCTGTGGGCCCAGTGGGTGTGGAAGGTCATGTGTGGGGCAGTGTGTCTTCCAGAGGGCTCAGGAGTGTGGGGCTGGGAGCCACAGAGCCTGTGGCAGGCAGGCGTGACCAGGGACAAGTGTGTTGCCGGGGAAGACAGACCCGGAGGATCAGCGAGGCCAGGCTTCCCAGCGGTGGAGCCCCTGGACAAGGTTGTGTCCCTGTGGGAGGCAGAGGGCTTTTTCAGCCTTCATTTCAGGAACAATGACATGAAGCCCTGAGAAGGAGGAGCTCAGCCAGGAGCGGAAGGAGCTGGGCTTGAGCCCGGGGTTCAGTTCTACCAAACCCAGTCCAGAGCTGGCACCTGTCGGCAGCCAATGAGCACATTAAAAAATGTGATGAGGCTGGGCAATGGCTCACACCTGTAAACACAGCACTTTGGGAGGCTGAGGTGGGAGTATTGCCTGAAGCCAGTCCAAGACCAGCCTGGGCACACAGTGAGGCCCCCATCTCTGCAAAAAATATAAATAAAAAAAATCAGGCCTGGTGTGGTGGCTCATGCCTATAATCCCAGCAATTTGGGAGGCTAAGGCAGGTGGATTGCTTGAGGTTAGAAGTCCAAGACCAGCCTGACCAACATAGTGAAAACACATCTCTACTAAAACAAAAACAAAAACAAAAATTACCCACGTATGGTGGTGCACGCCTGTAATCCCAGCTACTCAGGAGGCTGAGGCAGGAGAATCGCTTGAACCCAGGAGGCGGAAGTTGCAGTTAGCCGAGATTGCACCACTGCACTCCAGCCTGGGCGACAGAGCAATTAGCCGGGTGTGGTGGTGCACACCTGTAGTCCCAAGTACTCGGGAGGCTGAGGCGGGAGGATGACTTGGGCCCAGGAATTTGAGGTGGTAGTGAGCTGAGATCACACCACTGCACTCCACCCTCACTCCAGGGTGACAGGGTGAGGCCCTGTCTCAAAAAGTAAATAAATAAGTAAATGAAAAATAAAAATGTGACAAGACCAGGTGCTCATTGATGAGTGAATGGAAAAACGAAATGGGGTCCATCTGTGCCTGGAAAATTCTTCAGCCATAAAAAGGAGTGGAACGCTGACACAGGCTACATTGGGACGAACCTTGAGACCCTTCTGCAGAGTGAAAGATGCCGGTCACGAGAGGCTACATGCGTGTGCCTCTGTGTCTCCAGAATGCACACAACAGGCAAAGCCACAGCAGGGGTAAGGACTGGGGGTGTCTGGGCTGGGGAGGGGGAGAGGCAGGCGGCTGCTAATGGGGTGGGTTTTTTTTTGTTGTTGTTTTTTGTTTTTTGAGACGGAGTCTCGCTCTGTTGCCTAAGCTGGAGTGCAGTGGCGTGATCTCAGCTCACGGCAACCTCCACCTCCTGGGTCCAAGCAATTCTCCTGCCTCAGCCTCCCAAGTAGCTGGGATTATAGGCCCACACCACCACACCCAGCTAATTTTTGTATTTTTAGTAGAGACGGGGTTTCACCCTGTTGGCCAGGCTGGTCTTGAACTCCTGACCTCAGGTGATCCACCTGCCTCGGCCTCCCAAAGTGCTGGGGTTACAGGCCTGAGCCACCTCGCCTGGCCTGAATTCGCATTTTAAAAGAGTCTTGGCCAGGCACGGTGGCTCACGCCTGTAATCCCATCTACTTGGGAGGCTGAGGCATGAGAATTACTTGAACCTGGGAGGTGGAGATTGCAATGAGCCCAGATCACACCACTGCACTCCAACCTGGGCAACAGAGACTCTTAAATAAATACATAAAGTCTCATTTGCATAATTTCATGTAATGATGAGCAGAGCCCTCTGAAGGTCATTATCCGGGCAGCCTCTCATCTGAGCTGGGCTCGGAGCCTGGACTGTCCTCTCCCGGGAGCCCCTTAGGCTCCGTGTTTTCATGGGCCAAGGTTGCTGTCAGACTGCCTGAGTCCCCAGGGCTCTGAGTCCGGCAGATGGTGTCCACGCCCATTTCCTCTTCTTTCCGCCAGCCTCACTGTAGCCTGGCCTTGCTACCTGGCCACTTCCTCCGGGCCATGCCGCTCCGGAAAGGAGCCCAAGGGCAGCCTTCTGTGTGGGGGCCACTGCGCCATCCGTGGGCCATGTGGGCTGCTCCAGAGGGCAAGGTCCCCGGCCTCCCTGGGTCAATCAGAGCTGGCTGTGCTTTGTCTGTTTGGTGGTAGAGCTGCGCCGTGCTGGGGACGGGGGTGCACACAGGAGGAGGCTCCTTCGGTTGGAGCAGAGTTGGGGTTGGGGTGGGGGCCACCCTCTCCCCTGGCCTGGCGTGGAAGGAGAGAACAGGCATGATGTGTGTCTTCTGGAAGATGGCAATGGGCACGGAGCAGAAGAAGACCAAAGGCCCGCCTGCAGCTCCCGTGTTTTGGTAGGGGCATTGCGCGTGTTCAGGAAGTGTGAGGTTCCTGTCTTCTCTGACAGCAAGGGCTCGGATCAGGAGCCAGGGGTAGGAGCGCAGACCTCAGGGGGAGATAACCAACCTTCACTCCCTCTGTGTTCTCTGGGCCTGTTCCCAGGTCAGAGGGCTGTGCTGGGGAGGTACCACACAGTTGGACTCAGCTACAGCTAAGTTTTGATTGAAGGCTCCTCCCAGGCACTCACCCTCTTAACCCTCTCAAGTGAGCCCCCGCTGGGTGCCTGAGCTGCAGGAACCTGCAAAACACCTTTGTCCCTCCCAGGCTTCAGACTGACTTCAGAGTTTCTTTTCTTTTTTTCTTTTTTTTTTGAGATGGAGTTTCGCTCTGTCCCCAGGCTGGAGTGCAGTGGCGTGATCTCGGTTCACTGCAACCTCTGCCTCCCAGGTTTAAGTGATTCTTCTGCCTCAGCTTCCCGTGTAGCTGGTATTATGGGTGCGCATCACCACACCCGGCTAATTTTTGTATTTTTAGTAGAGACAGGGCTTCACCATGTTGGCCAGCATGGTCTTGATCTCTTGACCTTGTGATCCACCTGCCTCGGCCTCCCAAAGTGTTGGGATTACAGGCATGAACCACCATGCCCGGCCTCTTGTTGCTATTTAGAGGAGAACAAATGACTTACAATCTAACGCAGATCAGAAGTGACTGCCAGTGTTTCTGACTGAGACTTAGATAACGAGTCACTCTGATGTTTGCACAGCAGTTTGAAGCAACACGATGTCTCCTTTTGTGAAATTAACTCTGAAATGGCCCCACGTTTAAAGAAGTGACTTTATTCTGCTTTGATATTTCAGCTCATTTTGAAACCCAAGCTTGGTCTCCTCTCTTTGCCGTGTGAATTGTCTATGGATTCCGGCTGAAAGCGGCGGACCCTGGCTGGTGGGTGCAGGTGCAGTACAGTTAGAGCTGGAGGCAGTCCTGCCTCGTGCAGCCACTGCCGGCGCTCGGGATGTAACCACTTGGACCCTCTGTTTCGTCTTCAGTAAAACAAAGCCAGCACCAAAAGGGTTAAGATTGGAACAGACTTTCCTCAACTCTGATCCATGGACCTGTGCGTTGGTGCCAATGTCTTCATCGATGTACAGTGAAACGAGGAAAAGGAGCGCCAAGTGGAATAAATCATTCATGTGGGCCGGGCGCGGTGGCTCACGCCTGTAATCCCAGCACTTCGGGAGGCCAAGGCAGGTGGATCGCTTGAGCCCAGGAGTTTGAGAGCAGCTTGGGCAACATAGGGAGAACTCGTCTCTATTAAAAAAAATAATACTTTCGTGTAAAAGGCTTTTTGTGCAGAGATTGTGCTATCCTACTGTATTTGGTGCTAAAAGGTGCTTTTATGAGATATTGAGACTATTGAGCAATAGTTAAAAAAATTAATGTCAGTATCTGGAAAAAACATAAGGTTAGAGTCCTATGCTAACCCGGAAGTGATTGTCGACAGTTTTCTGGTTTGTGATTTTTCCAAAGTCTGGGGACCCCTGTTCGGGGTGGCGCTGCCTCACTGGTGCCTTCAGGTGAACCCTGGCTGGGGGAAGAGTCCCCGGGAGGGAGCTGGGCCCAGCTATTCAGCCCAGCCAGAGCAGAGAAGGCAGTCGGTCAACATGCAGGCCCTGCCCCGGGCTTTGGTGCCAGATAAAGGGATGTCCCAGGAGTTCCTCTGAGACCCTGGAGCCTGTGGCTGGTGCGTGTGGGAGGAAGGGAGGTGTGAGCCAGGCGCCCAGACCACAGGGCTGGTGGGTGGGGCAGGAAGAGGGCCAGTGCCCCACATGAACCTGCCAGGGCTGTGGGCCTGGAAGCCCCTTCCCCCGGGAGGGTGACAGGGTCATTGACGGTGACCACCTGGCTGGTGCTGACGTGGAGGGTGGGGATTGGAGCCACTGGGGTGGGACCCTCTGGCCATCCACTGGGAACCCCACCTTACAGGGGAAAGGGCAGTGGCGGTCAGGCTGCTGTCAATCCCTACTGTAGTGTGTGGGTGGGGGCTCCGTGCCCTGGAGACCCCCGATCATCTTTCTGGCCACAGGATGTCCTGCCTGTTCTATGCCTCCTGGGTGTGGGGGGAACCAAGGGTCCAGGAGGGGAACTGTGCAGTCTCATGGATCAAAAGGGCCAAGGTGGGGTGAGGCCAGGGTGTCTGCAGCCCAAGCACATACCCATGAGTTTCACACTTGGATGGTTGTCACCCTCTGTTCCCTCACCTTCCCCACCCTCTGTCCCCTCACCTTCCCCACCCTCTGTCCCGTCGCCTTCCCCACCCTCTGTCCCGTCGCCTTCCCCACCCTCTGTCCCCTCGCCTTCCCCACCCTCTGTCCCCTCGCCTTCCCCACCCTCTGTCCCCTCGCCTTCCCCACCCTCTGTCCCCTCGCCTTCCCCACCCTCTGTCCCCTCGCCTTCCCCACCCTCTGTCCCCTCGCCTTCCCCACCCTCTGTCCCCTCGCCTTCCCCACCCTCTGTCCGGTCACCTTCCCCACCCTCTGTCCCCTCGCCTTCCCCACCCTCTGTCCCGTCACCTTCCCCACCCTCTGTCCAGTCACCTTCCCCACCCTCTGTCCCCGCACCTTCCCCACCCTCTGTCTCCTCACCTTCCCCACCCTCTGTCCCCGCACCTTCCCCACCCTCTGTCCCCGCACCTTCCCCACCCTCTGTCCGGTCACCTTCCCCACCCTCTGTCCCCTCGCCTTCCCCACCCTCTGTCCCCTCGCCTTCCCCACCCTCTGTCCCCTCGCCTTCCCCACCCTCTCCTCGCCTTCCCCACCCTCTGTCCCCTCGCCTTCCCCACCCTCTGTCCCCTCGCCTTCCCCACCCTCTGTCCCCTCGCCTTCCCCACCCTCTGTCCCCTCGCCTTCCCCACCCTCTGTCCCCTCGCCTTCCCCACCCTCTGTCCCCTCGCCTTCCCCACCCTCTGTCCCCTCGCCTTCCCCACCCTCTGTCCCCTCGCCTTCCCCACCCTCTGTCCCCTCGCCTTCCCCACCCTCTGTCCCCTCACCTTCTCCACCCTCTGTCCCCTCACCTTCTCCACCCTCTGTCCCCTCACCTTCCCCACCCTCTGTCCCCTCACCTTCTCCACCCTCTGTCCCCTCACCTTCCCCACCCTCTGTCCCCTCACCTTCTCCACCCTCTGTCCCCTCACCTTCTCCACCCTCTGTCCCCTCACCTTCCCCACCCTCTGTCCCCTCGCCTTCTCCACCCTCTCTTCCCTCACCTTGTCCACCCTCTGTTTTCTCACCTTAGAAATGAGCAGAAAGGTGCAGAGATGGGCGATGGGTCTGGACAGATGTTTCTCCATAGACATACAGTGGCCAGTGAGCAGGGGGATGCTGCGTGGCACTGCCGGTCACTGGAGAATGCAGATTACAGCCCCAGTGAGACTCCGCTTCTCATGCATTCAGATGCTGAAGTCAGACAGTGCTGCAGCATGTGTTGGTGGGATGTGGAGGCCTGGCATGCACTGCTGATGGGAACAGCAATCGGTGTGACTGTTGTGGAAAGTAGGGTGACAGCCACTCAAAAGCTCAACCTCGGGCCTGGGTGCGGTGGCTTATGCCTGTAATCCCAGCACTTTGAGAGGCTGAGGAAGGAAGATTGCTTAAGTAAGGAGGTGGATACCAGACTGGGCAACATAGTGAGATGCCATCTCTACAAAAAGTAAAAAAAAATAGCTGGGAATGGTGCTGCACGCCTGTGGTCCTCAGCACCTAGGAGGCTGAGGTGGGAGGACCCCTTGAGCTCAGGAGGTTGAGGCTGCAGTGCACCGTGATGGCGCCATTGTTCGCCCTCTGCCTTTGATTGGAGAGTGATGATTTCCTCGTGCTGGCTGGAGACTGGAGCATCCCATGTGCATGCTTCCTGAACTTCTATCTGACTTTACTTGTATTATTATTATTGCAAAGGTAGAAACAAAAAGAGACGCAAGATGGTCGGGCACAGGACCCCTGTCCCCAGCTCATGAGGTGCCACCGGGATCTTTTTGCAGCCCTGGCCGGCCCTCTGTGCCCTGTGTCCCACCCTACTCCAAGTCCCAGCTATCCTGAGTCAGGTGCAGCAGCCTTCAGGAGCCAGTGGGGCTCACTGAAGCGGGTCTCACTGGCTGAGGTCCAGGCGTGAGCAGGGCTGGCCCCAGCTGGGAGCTCCTGAGGAGAACCAGCTGCTTATTCTGGAAGCCTCCCCGTTCCTTGGCTCATGGCACCCCCCCCATCTTCAAAGCCCATTGAGTCCTCCCATCCCACCTCTCTGGTATTCTTCCTGACCCCTCTTCCACTGATAAGAACTTTGTGATTATGCTGTGCCCACCAGGATGATCCAGGGTAATCTCTGTATCTTGGGTCAGCTGATGAGCAACCTCAACTTCCCCTGCAGCCTTAACTCCCCTCTGCTGCATGAGGCTGCGCCTTCACAGGCTCCCCCTGGGGATGAAAACACAGGCATCTTTGGGGCCATTCTTCTGCCAGCCGCCCCTCTCCCGGCATCGTTGTCTATGTCTGCTGCCTGTATTTGAATCCAGTGTACGTGCACACCTGAGTGGCCCTGCATCTCCCGGCAGCGTCCATGGTAAGATTCCCTGTGCTGACTCACAGAGCCAGACGTGGTGGCCCAGGCCCATAATCCCAGCTACTCAGGAGGCTGAGGCTGGAGAATCGCTTGAACCTGGGAGGCGGAGGTTGCAGTGAGCCAAGATGGAGCCACTGCACTCCAGCCTGGGCGACAGAGCAAGACTCCGTCTCAAAAAAAAACCCAAAAACAAAAAAAAACAAAAAAACTAGTAGTTAGACTGTGTGTTACCATGTGCTGATGTTTATTAGTTACTGAACTTGGGATTAACTGACTTCTTTGTCAACAAGGTCTAAACCAAGCCACACACCCTCATGGTAGCCTCTTCCAAGTCTGAGGTTTGCTGAGGGAGGGTGAGTGCAGCCCTGAAGTGGGAGCAACCGAAGCACAAAGCATGATGTGAGCAGGAGCCCAGCTCCCTCCAGCCACTGCAGACATTGCATCAAAAACTGCCCCCGTGTTGGCCAGGTGCGGCGACTCATGCCTGTGATCCAAGCACTTTGGGAGGCTGAGGCAGGAGGACCAATCGAGCACAGCGGTTCACAGACCAGCCTGGGCAATATAGTGAGACCCTGTCTCTTATTTTATCTATTTATTTATTTATTTTTGAGACAGAGTCTCGCTCTGTCACCCAGGCTGGAGTCAGTGGCGCGATCTCCGCTCACCACAATCTCCGCTTCCCGGGTTCACGCCATTCTCCTGCCTCAGCCTCCCGAATAGCTGGGACTACAGGCGCCCACCACCACGCCTGGCTAATTTTTTGTATTTTTTTAGTAGAGATGGTGTTTCACCGTGTTAGCCAGGATGGTCTCAATCTCCTGACCTCTTGATCCACCCATCTTGGCCTCCCAAAGTACTGGGATTACAGGCGTGAGCCACCCCGTCCGGCCCCTGTCTCTTCATAATAAAATTTTTATAATGAAGAAATTGCCTTGGTGTGT
Source organism: Homo sapiens (assembly GCF_000001405.40). Taxonomy (NCBI): domain Eukaryota; kingdom Metazoa; phylum Chordata; class Mammalia; order Primates; family Hominidae; genus Homo; species Homo sapiens. The sequence goes on along the minus strand of NC_000016.10, from coordinate 88,544,579 downwards.
TCCATGGTGGTGTCTGTGATTGTGGGAACCAGTTTTCTTTTCCTTGGCTATTTTCAAATTTCACTGGTCCTTTAAAAAAACACACAGTAGAACTTTAAAACAACAACAACTAAAGTCGTACATTGACACCCAACAAACACCACAGCTCCTGGTGAGGTGAGAAGTGGCTTTTGACTCACAGGGAGTCAGGGCTGCACTGAGCAGTTTGCAAATCTCAGCTCCAATGATCATGAGGTATGAACAAACTCGCCAAGGCTACCTGCCTGAAACCACAAGTGCAGCCAACAATGATGATCTTTGGTAGTGCTTTTTTTTTTCTTTTTTTTTTTTTTTTTGAGACGGAGTCTTGCTCTGGCGTCCAGGCTGGAGTGCAGTGGTGCGATCTTGGCTTCTTGGCTCATTGCAACCTCTGCCTCCCAGGTTCAAGTGACTCTCCTACCTCAGCCTCCCGAGCAGCTGGTACTACAGGCGCCAGCCACCATGCCTGACTGATTTTTGTATTTTTAGTAGAGACGGAGTTTCACGTATTGGCCAGGCTGGTCTCGAACTCCTGACCTTGTGATCTGTCTGCCTTGGCCTCCCAAAGTGCTGGGATTACAGGTGTGAGCCACCACACCCGGCCTCCCAGAGTGCTGGGATTATAGGTGTGAGCCACCGTGCCTGGCCAATCTTTGATAGTTGTACTGATTATTTTCATCATTACCATGATCGTCACTATCATCATCATTATCACACACTATTGTCACCATCACCACCATCATCAGAATGTGCGTTTTCAACTTTAGAAATGAAAAATGCCATAAAAAATATTCACCGCAGATTAAGCAACAGATAACACACTGGTAAAGAGGGAATTTATTGACCAGAAAGTAGATCAGAAGAAATGACCCATTAGGAGTGCAGAGAGATAAGGAGATAGAAAATCTGAAAGAGAAGCTAAGAAGTACAGAGTAGAGAAGAGAATCTAATATAAATCTAATCAGAGTTCCAGAAAGGAGAGCAGAGGGAATGGGGAAAGGCAACATTCAAAAACAAAATGGCTGGGGATTTTTCAAAAATGTTGAAAGGTAAGAATTCTCGGATGTAGGAATGCCAACGAGGATGCACACTTAGTGAACTGTATACAATTGCAGGCTGTTAACGGTGAACCGATCCTGAAAGAGGTGATGATAAAGAAATACAGCTGACTACTCTTCATCAACAATGAGAGTCAGAGAAAAGTGGAAGCACATCTTTTCCTTTGTTTTTTTTTTTTGAGACAGAGTTTCACTCTTGTTGCCCAGGCTGGAGTGCAATGGCACCATCTCGGCTCACTGCAACCTCTGCCTCCCGGGCTGAAGTGATTCTTCTGCCTCAGCCTCCTGAGTAGCTGGGATTACAAGCATGTGCCATCACGCCTGGCTAATTTTTTGTATTTTTGGTAGAGACAGGGGTTTATCCATGTTGGTCAGGCTGGTCTCGAACTCCCGACCTCAGGTGATCTACTCGGCTTGGCTTCCCAAGGTGCTGGGATTATAGCCGTGAGCCACCATGCCAGGCCTAGCACATCTTCAAAGAATGAGAAAAGTGAACTGTCAAGCTGGATGGAGTGTCCAGCCAACTTCTCGTTCAAGAATTATGGCACAATAAAAGCTTTTCAGAGAAAACAGTAGCATAGTTTTGCCCAGTCAGGCCCTCATTAATGAACATTTACAGGATGCTATTAAGGAAGAAAGAACGCAACGCCAGGAGGTTGTGCTGGGATGGCTTGTGACCCAGCAATCTCCACCATCCATGGCCAGGCGGCATTTGAGGGGGCTGCACCTGCCCGCCAGGTGCACTGGAGCTGCCTATCCACCTGCTGCTGGCACCTGGTGCTTCCCATTCCCGCACCGCCCATCTGATTGGTGCCAGCCGCATCTCTTCATTTATAATTCGCCCTCCCTGACAATGTCTTCCCACCAGGCTCCTCCCTGTCTCCGGCCTTCCTGTGGGATGTGCAGACACTGGATCCCAAGCCAGGACTCGAAACTTCAAGCCCAGGCTCTGGAGACTTCCTTGCCACCTCCATGTTTGATTGTGGAAGGAAGGAGGGGCCAGCTCTCTGGCCCTTCCCAGCAGATGGCAGGAGGGACAAACTTGCTGGCTCTGTGCCCCTTCGGAGGCCCCAGTTGGCAGGGTCTAACGAGGAGTGCAGCCAGCTGGTTAATGGGGAGAACCTCGGGGGAGGTGACAGCAGCCACAGTGACAGTTGCCCAACAATCAATGTGCCCAGGCCAGGCAGGCTGGTGGGGGAGATGCATTGCAGGGGACATGAGAGCACAGCCCATAAGGACGGCCCCCAGCCTCTTGAGAGGCCCAAGCCTGCTTTCCATAGCCAGAGACCCTATTAGAGCCAAGGGCGGGCCACCCACATGCAGCCTCTGAGCTGTTCTGAGGTAGGAAACCAGCAGGACATTTCTGGTCACAACCTTGCTGACCAAAACGTGATCTGGTCCAGAAAGGATAAAGTAAGGAAAGCAGCAGGAACCAGCAGATGGCGAGGAAGGCGATCCCTAGCTGCCTCATTGTTCTCTGGCATAACACAGTCCCACCAGCCCCATGACAGTTTACAAACACCATGGCAACAGCCTGGACGTAACCTGCTTTACGTGGCAATGCTGGGGAAGTTATTGCCCCTTGCCTAGAAAGTCCTAAGTAACAGCCGGGCGCGGTGGCTCGTGCCTGTAATCCCAGCACTGTGGGAGGCTGAGGCAGGTGATCACCTGAGGTCAGGAATTCGAGACCAGCCTGACCAATATGGTGAAAACCTGTCTCTACTTAACATACAAAAATTAGCCGGGCGTGGTGGCAGGCTTCTGTAATCCCAGCTACTTGGGAGGCTGAGGCAGGAGAATCACTTGAACCCGGGAGATGGAGGTTGCAGTGAGCCAAGATCATGCCACTGCACTCCAGCCTGGGAGACAGAGGAAGACTCTGTCTCAAAACAAAACAAACAAAAAGAAAGTCCTAAGTAACCTGCTCCTCAATTTGCATTAACCCACCCTTTAATTTGCATGTAATTGAAGAGGGGTTTAAGTGGTTATAAATACAGTTGCCAAGAGCACTGTGGACTCTGGATGCACTGCCAGGGAGTTAGCCTTGCTCTGCAAGGAGTAAAATTGTTCAATAACAGACTGCTGCCGTCTAACACCCTGGCCTGCCCTTGAATTCTTTCCTGGCTAAGCCTCAATTGCGTGGCCCACCTGTCCTGCATCGGGAAGAGAATCAAGGCCACGTGCTGCCGGCTCACGGCAATAGCCGGGCGTGTGGGCCTTGGGTCTCTGCCTCAGGCTGGTGGCATACGCCCATGAGAGCATATGAGACCTTCTTTGAGCCATCAGCGGCCTCCTGGGGGGATCTGGGCTGTGCAGGAGGGGCCCAGAATTTCAGACTGGAGTTAGGGTGTGTGCCAGGCCTGCTCCAGCTTCTCCCGGCTGCTTGGGGTTTGGGGTTCAACACGGAGGACTCGGATTAGCCAGGACACCAAGGTCCTCTTCACCCTTCCCTGCCCCTTTCCGCCCCCCACCTGCACACGCCACACTCTCCTAGGCATTCCTTCAGCCTCAGCCCATGCCCTGCGTTCGAGGGTGGGGCTACTGCCCTCGCCACCCTGTTCACCAGGAGTGTCAGAGAAGGGGAGGGCCAAGTGTGCACTCCGCGCAGGGCAGGACACGGCCCTTGGGCAGAGATCTGGGTCCAGCTCTCTCCCTGCCCCGCCCCTGCCTCAGCTGACGAAGGCCTGGTGAGCAGGGCTGTGTGTGCTCCTGCTGGTGAGCTAGTGAGGTCGGCGCCCACGGTCTGGGCACCTGCTGTGAGTGCAGGTCTCACACGTGCCAGAGAGCAAACTGCTGGGAGCTGGTTAAATGCAGATTCCCAGGCCCTGGCCGGCAGGGAGGGAAGCAGCCAGACAGAAGCTGCTGCAGGTCTGTGGGCAGTGCTGGGGAGGCCTGGGGCTCTGAGGGGACAGAGGGGCTCTGAGGGTGCCAGATGGGGAGGCCGTGCTGGTGCGAGGGCCGCCGTGTGCAAGGCAGGGCTCAGGCTGTGTATTTCCCTTGCATCTTGGTGGTCACTCCTGTGACCCTGGGCAAGTCACCGTGCCTGGGAGCCCCCTGCTCCCTGCCCAAGGACAGCATCAGAGGATGTGCCTCCAGGGTCGTGTTGGAAGCAGCCTGGAACAGCCCTGTGAGGTTGGGATTCTGCCGGGTTCGCCACTCTCGCCAGGTCCAGGCCACCTGGCTGTCTGGTGGCCAAGCTCCTCCCGGGTGGCCAGTCACCTCCCCTGCTCCTTCCCTCGCTGTGGAAATGGATGCGCTTCCGAAAAGCTGCGAGACCTCCTGCTCTGCGCCTCCCTCCTCCATGCGTCCCGCCCTAACCCTAACCTCTGCCCGGAGCTCCCGACCCTCCCTGCCCCTGCCTGGCTCACCTCTGAGACACTCCCAGCCCGAGGTCCCGAGGCGAGTTCTGTCCACAGCTGCATGGTTTGCTCTTCTCTTCACCTCTCCCTGGCACCTCCAAGGAGGAGGGGGTTGGGTGTTGAGGGGGTGAGGCTGCCTCCTCCCAATCTTCCTCCCTCCCCCTCTGCAAGGCCCCGGCAGATACAGGGCAGGCCAGAGTGCAACGGCTTTGCTGCCTCCTGGCGTCCTGAGGCTCTGCCTGAGACTCCAAAGCTGGGCTCTCCCGAGGGGTCGGCTTGCGGGGGACAGGTGGGGACCGGTTTTCAGAGCAGACCCATCCGACGGTTGCCAGCTCACGCAGCCCCCCAGCCACAGGTGATGTCCTGCTCTGCATGTTGGTGTCCTGGTGTGGGAGACAGGGCCGGCAGTGGGGGCCCTCTCCACTCCCACCCTTCCTCAGGCAGGCTGGGGTGGGCTTCTGCTAGGCCTGAGCTTTCTGTAAGCCAGGGCGTGGCTGGGAGCCAGTGCCCAGCAGTACGGCTGGTGGTCGAGAACCGAGTGCTGGAAGCCAGCAGAGGGATGTGTCCTGGCCCAGCTGTGCCCGCCAGGTGCCTGGGCAGGAGGTGTGTCCCGATGGAACCTTGGGGCCCTCGTGCACAGTCAGGGCACTCAGCCCATGGTGTGGCTGAGAGGACAGACCCTGTGCCTGGCAGAGGAAGGGGCCTCAGGAGGGCGAGGCTGCCCTGCATCATCTCGTGGACGTTGTGTCCCAAGTAGCGTGAGGGACTCCCGGCAGGCTGGGCTGACCCTGCCTGGGAGTTGCCAGCCTGCAAGGGGCTTTGAGCTGTATGCAGCTCAGGTAGAAGGGAGCAGGTGCCCTCCTGGAAGAAGGAGGGTGGAGGCGGGAGGCCCATCCTGTGCAGGGCAGGGGACGGGTACAGCCTGGCTGGGTGGCCCTGAGGGGGACCTTTTAAGCCAGTCTTGAGGAGAGAAGGAGTTTCACAGGCAAAGCTGGGGGGAGTGGGGAGGGGGGAGGAGTGGGGAGAGAGCAGCTTGGAATGCAGCGGTCCGAGATCCAAGAAGCTCAGGTCACACATGGGACTCAGTGGACAGTGTGATTGGAGAGTGGGCTGTGACGGTGGCCGTGTGCCATGAGTGGACAGTGTGGCTGGAAAGTGGGCTGTGACAGTTGGACTGACTGCTGGGCATGGGGAGGGGCTGGCTGTGGTCCACACACACCCCTGTGACTTCAACAGATGCAGACCCCTCCTCTGTGTCGGCCACTTGTGGGTGCCTGGGAGGCAGAGGTCAAGCAGGCGCAGCCCCAGCTTTCAAAGGAGACAGGCCAGTAGGCGACGGGCAAGAGGACAGAGATGCAGAGTGACCGTTCCTACGTGGGAGTGAGCTGGGGACAGAGGTGCAGAGTGACCATTCCTACACGGGAGCGAGCTGGGGACAGAGGTGCAGAGTGACCGTTCCTACGCGGGAAGTGAGCCAGGGACAGGTCTGAGGGGGCACCTAAGCTGAGAGCTGGATGACAAGGACAGCCTCGGAGGAGTAGAGAGGGCATCAGGAGGCACTGCCTGGAGCAACCAGCTGCAGCATGGAGCCCAGCGGGTGGTGGGCTTAGCAGGGCCAGGGGCTGCCGTCGGGACAGGCCGCCAACGGGAGGCTCCTCTCCTCTGTGCTGAGGCAGAGAAGGGGGACTTCTGACCTCTGAAGGATGGGGCCAGTAACAGAAGGGGTTTTACGCGAAGCACAGGCACCTGGGGGCGGGGACGGGCCTCAGAGCAGGGTGAGCCTGGGAGAGGGGAGCGGTGGCAGCTGTGTGAGGAGTGGACCCTCGAGATTTGGAAGCGGCTGTTCAGAGAGACTCAAGGGTGAAGTCCCAGGTCTGGGAGTCGGCGATGGTGGATGGGTTTGGGAAGCGGTGGGATTTGGACAAATCAAGCATTGCTTTGACAATGAAGGGTGAATAGGCAAGGCTGATGCTCTCCAGCTTGAGGGGCAGGGGGCCACTGAGGATGCCTATGCAGGTGAGGGGAGGAGACAGGTGGGCTGGTGGGGAGACAGGTGGGCTCGGGGTGATGCCTGTGCAGGTGAGGGGAGGAGACAGTGAGCCAGGGGGGTGCTTGCACTGGTGTGGGGAGACAGGTGGGCTTGGGGGAGGGGAACACCTGCACAGGTGTGGGCAGAAGTTACAGGTGCGTGGGGTTACAGTCACTCATGGTACATCAAGGGCCTGGAAGGACACAGGGGCTGTAGGTCTGCAGGTCTGGGGCTCAGGGGAGGCGTGGCTAGACTACAGAATTAGTGGAGAGAAGACCATGAGCCCACCCCAGGAGTGTGGAGGGAGAACTTCAAGGGGAGACCAGGGCAGACTCAGAGCCTTGAACCTGGCTCAGCAGAGAACCAGCTGGGGGGCCGAGGGGGTGTCTGTGAGCAGGGCAGGCAGCTTCCTGGGGAGAGGCGGGAGAAGGCCTGGGCCACCACCGAGTCAGCGGCTACAGGGGAGGCACAGGGTGGAGGCCCAGGCGGTGGTCTGGTGGGGGGAGACTGGGGTGATGGCTTGAGGGAGTAGGGGTGACTGATGGCGTCTGCCAGGTGTGGGGGCCCCAGGGTCTGTGCAGAAGACGCGTGCCCGAGGCGAGTCCTGGGTGCGATGGGGACGGGCTCTGGCCACACGCCAATGACCTGGGACGGGCGATGGCAGCGGTACCCAGCCCTGCATGGTGGGGACAGTAGGGGGTTATGCAAGCCAGGACAGGCGCAGGGCCCTTCGTGAGGCTCAGTGTGCTGCCCTAAGCTTCGAGTCCGGGCCGTGGCGGGGCCCTCTGGGGTGACTTCAGGTCTGGGTCCCGGTCACAGGGTCCTTGCTGCCTCTGAGATGAGCCCCCAGGAAGGGTTGCCAGGCCCGAACTCCCACTCCTGCGGCACAGGTGTGGACACTGAGGCACGTCTGGGTGCATGGCGGGTTTGTGCGGCACTGCTGGGCTGTCTTCCAGATTCTCCTCTGCGTCTTGCATTCCAGGGCCTCGCTTGGTCAGGTTTGGGGTGGGGCTCAAAGGGGGTGAGGACACTGGAGTTGTGTTTTTTACCCCCTTTGAGCACCTGTCACTCACCAGAGACTGTATTCGTAGTTTCTAGACACCTTTAAACAGTTTACTTTTAAATGTACACACAGTGACAACCCCCCACCAGGTTTCTATTTTTTAGAACATCTTGTACCCTGCGCCCGCACCTGGGGAGGACTTGGGGGCAGAGCCTCCTGAACCCTCCACGCAAATTCATGCACAACAATGCAAATGATGAGCAGACTTGAGGGGTCCGTGCCTCCCGTCCCCGCTATCACCTGGTCTTCAACAGAAGGGGTGTCTGTGAGGAAAAGGCTGCTTGCCTTCCCTGGAGCTCAGGTCCCTGGGAGGGGGTGGAAGCCATGTCTGTCCATTGGCCTTGGCTACGGGCCCCATCTGGCCAGACCCTAGTGGGCAGGTGGACAAAGACATCAGAGACCACTGAAAGCGCTGCAGACCCAGGCCCACGAGCTGCGGGCAGGAGAGCGAGCCCTGGACTGGCTGGGAAGTGCCTCGGGCTTCTGAGGCAAGAGGCCGCTGCCTTCTTTGCCTGCACTCACCAGGGCTGCTGGGCAAAGCTGAAAAAAATGCAGCTAGTTCAAGTAGAGTTGGAAATGGGCTGGGAATGGTAGCTCGCGCCTGTCATCCTAATGTTCTGGGAGGCTGAGGCTGCAGGAGCACTGGAGGTCAGGAGTTTGAGACCATCTTGGGCAACACAGGAAGACCCTGTCTCTATAAAAATGTTTTAAAAGTTAGCCAGGTGTGGTGGGTCAAGCCTGTAGTCCCAGCTACTTGGGAGGCTGAGGCAGGAAGATGGTTTCAGCTCAGGAGTTTGAGGCTGCAGTGACTTATGATCGTGCCACTGAACTTCAGCCTGGGGAACCGAACAAGACCTTAGCTCTAAAAAATATAGGGTTGCCCAGCCTGGGCAACATAGGGAGACACCATTTCTACAAAAAACACAAAAACTAGCTGGGCATGGTGGTGTACACCTGTAGCCCCAGCTACTGAGGAAACTGAGGTGGGAAGATCACTTGAGCTCACGAGGTCAAGGCTGCAATGAGCCGTGAGTATCCCAGGGACTCCAGCCTGGGCAAGAGAGTGAGACCCAAAAATAAAAAAATAAAGTGACGTTGGGAATAGAAGAGTGTTTTTGTTCTCCAGTGAGAAAGCACGCTGGAGGCTGCCCACAGCCACCCAGCTGCAAACGGCACGGTGACACCGTGGCTGAACGCGGTCAGCCAAGTACTCCCTCAGTGTGGCCGGCCCATACAGCCCAGCAGGGCAGGGAAGACGGGGGGTGGGGGTGCCCTGACCCTTGCACCGACTCAGCCACCACAGGTGACTCCACCACACGGTTGTCCTCAGCCCTGGCTCTGAGGGAGAGATGCACCCACCAGTGAGCATCAGGACCCCCTCGAGGCCAGGGAATGCTTCGGCCTCGGTCTCCCTCTCCTGTCCACCTACTCGCCTGTTCTTCCCCCAGCCTTGGCCACCACAGGGCTTCATCCTCCCCAGGGCGCCCCCACCCCTGCCATCCCTGGTGGTCTGTGACTGGATGGGGGACATCGGACCCCCAGGACCATGCAGGGTTGGGGGATGGCCAGCCAGGTCAGTGCCCCTCTCTTCCGTGTCTGGCGGCCAAGTAGACCGTGGAGAGGGTCAGCAGTGTGGAGGCTGCTCTCCCTAGGGGGGTATGGACAGGGCTGGGGTGGGGTAGGCCCAGAGCGGCTGGCCCTGCAGTGGTTCAGTGTGTGCTGTGGCCTCCGACCTGACGCTCGGTCTAGCTCTTAGCACCCAGTGGTGTAACTCCGGCAGGGGCCCAGCCACTCCGGGCCGCAGTGGCCTGTGTACACAGCAGGGCTGGATGTGACACTGGCTGCGTGTGCCTGCTGGCTCAGAGAACTAGGCTGGCCCACCACCATGCTCATCAAACTGAACTTCTTTATTAAGTGCCAAGGGTCCAGGCGGGCGCTGCCCCCTGCGGCCCCCTCCGCCGAGGCCTGTGCGTGGCGGGGTTCCCAGGAGCGGCAGTCCGTGCGGCCTGGGGGCGGCCCCCTCCCCGCATCGCAGCGGGGCGTGCAAAGCGTCTGCGGCTGTAGTGTGGGCGCTCACTTCACGTGCTCGGCGGCGTGCGAGGAGCAGTAATACTTCTTGTGGGCGATGAAGGTGGACAGGCTGCTGAACTTGATGTTGCAAAGACGGCAGTACCGGTGGTTGCCGTTGGGCAGCGGCGCCGGCGTGCCCTTGCTGGGAGTCTGGACGCCCTTGTCCGAGTAGGAGGGGGGCGCCGGCGGGGGCGGCACGGCCTCGGGCGCGGCGGCCGGGGACGGGGGCGGGCCGGGCGGCGGCTCCTGGGGCTCCGGGCCGAGGCCGTCCCGGGGGCCACGGGACCCGGGCTGCGGGGAGGCGGCGGGGGCGGGAGCGGGCGAGGGGCCGCGGTCGGCCGGCGTCCGGGCCTCGACCCCCGGGCCGGCCAGGGGCGCGCCGAGCAGCAGGCCGTGCGCCAGGCGGAAATGCTCCAGCAGGTCCCCGCGCACCGGGCCGTTCGGGGGGCAGTAGGGGCAGGCGGCGGCGGGCAGGCCGAGCGCGCCGGGCGGTGGCGCAGCGGGGCACGAGTACTTCTTGTGCGCCAGGTAGGCCTCGAGGCTGTGGAAGCTCACGCGGCAGGCCGTGCACTCGTGGTAGTCGGCCAGCGCCGGTGCCGGGGCTCCGGGGAGCGGGCGCCGCGGCTTCTTGCTCAGGTCGATGGGGCCGTCGGCCGCGGGGCCGGGCGAGCGCGCAGGGGCGAGGCCGGGGCCGCTTCCGCTTCCGCTTCCGGGCCGCGGCGACTCGGGCGCGGGGGCGTGGCCGGGCGGCGGGGGGGGCGGGGCGCCGGCCGCGTGCAGCTCGTAGAGCTTGCGGCGTCTGCGCGTGCGCACAGGCGCGGCGGGAGAGGGGGCCGGGGGCGCGGCCGGCCCAGGGGGTCCCGGGGGCGCGGCCGGTCGGCGCGGCGGCGGGTCGTGGCGCGAGGCGCAGTAGTACCGCTTGTGCACGGTGTAGGTCTCGTGGCGGCTGAAGCGGATGTTGCAGGCCTCGCACAGCGTGCGGCTGGGGTCGTCCTCCGCGTCGTCCACGGAGCTACCCGGGCTCTGGCTGCCCTCGCTGCCCCGGCCGCCCGCGCCGTCCTCGGGCGTGGCCGCGCCCCCAGCCCCCTCCTCGCGCGCTCCGGGGCCCGGGGACGAGCGCGGCGCGTCGGGTTCGGCGGGCTGGCCGGGGGGCGCGCGGGCCGGGCCGGGGGGCGCCTTGGGCCTGCGCGCGGCAGGCGCGTCCTCGGGCGCACGGCGGCCTGAACAGTAGAGGCGCTTGTGCACGTAGTAGTTGTTGACGTTGCTGAAGGTGATCTCGCACTCGAAGCACGTAGCGCCCTTGGGGGCCCCGGGGAAGAGCCCGGTCTGCGCGCCGCCGGCGCCCGCGCCCGCGCCCTGCTGCAGCCGGCTGTGCACCAGCTCGGACATCTTGGCCAGGATCTCCGAGGCGGGGGGCGCCGCGTCGGGCCCGAACACGTACTGCGGAAGGAACAGGGCCCCGGCCAGGCCCAGCTCGCCGGGCACCGGGCTGGAGCCCGGCGTGGGGCTGGACAGCTCGGCCTTGACCCTGGCCGGGGCGGGGCTGCGCGGCGACGGCGTCCGCGACGGGGCCTGGGGCCCAGGCTCTCCGGGGCCCAGGATGGGGGCCGCCTCCGGCTCCTCCACCGCCTCCACCTTGATGCTCCTGGGGGCCGCCGGGGGCTCGCTGCTGCCTCCATTCTGGGCCAGAGGCTCCGCTCTGGCCTCTCCGTTGGTGGCCTCGGCCAGGGCCTTTCTGTCCAGTCCTGGCGATGGGGTGGGCGCCAGGCCCAGGTCCGCGGAGGCCAGGGGGCCTTGCAGGGCCGTGTGCTGCTGCTGGAAGCTGCCCAGACTGTCTGCAGAGAGATCGCAGGGGTGGCACCTCAGGCCTGGGGCAGGACCTGGCCGGTCAGAGCTGGAGGGCGAGCTCCGGAAGGGGAGGGGTGGGCGGGAGTGGTTTAGAGCGAAGGCTGAAACGGACCCCCACCTGTCTTGGGCGACAAGCCCACTCCCTTCCCACTGCTCAGGGGGCCTAAGGGGCAGGGGTGGCCCCCACAGGGCTGCTCACCTGGGGGCAGCTTGGTTGCTGGGTGTCCGGCCCCTGGCGAGTAGATCTCACCCTTGGAGCCAGGCTGGCAGACCATGTGGTTGGTGACCAAGTGGCTGTAGAGGATGTCCCTTGTGGTGGAGATGAAGCCACAGCTGTGGCAGACACCTGTGGGCCATGGCGAGGTGGTCAAGGCCCAGGGCGGGGAGGCGGGACCCACACACCCCCCGGCCCCTGCGGTGCCTACCGCTCAGCGTGTCCGTGTGCACCTTGAGGTGCCGCTCGCAGTTGGCCTTGGTGGTGAAGGCCGACAGGCAGATCAGGCACACGAAGGGCCGCTCTCCTGGAACACAGGGCGCGTAAGAGCGGTGCCCGGGCCAGCTTAACCTTGGGACTCCAGGGATGAGGAAGGCGACTGGGCCCAGGGCCGTGATCTGTGCCGGGGGACCCTGTGCTGAAGGGTCTTTAAACCCCTCCTCCTCCTCCTCCGCCTTTTGTCTCTCGGGACAGCAGTGGGCCCAGCCCTCAGCTGACTACCCAGATAGCCCACAGTCCGGCCTGCCTGCTCTGGGCCCCTGCGGGGGCCCTGGGTGTGCCGGAGACCGCGCAGGTGAATGGTGGCACCGTGTGTGCTTGCATGTGGGTTTTCCCGGGCGGCCTGCGGGACTGGGTGGGGAAGCAGCCGGCATCCTGAGGACCCGCGTCCGGGGTGGGGGCTCACCGCTGTGGCTGCGCATGTGGATCTCCAGGGAGCTGGCGCTGGGGCAGCTCTTGCGGCACTGGGGGAAGGGGCAGACGCGCTCGTTGGGGTAGGTCTCTTTGGGCTTCTCGTCTGTGGCGGCTGCGGCCGGGGAGCCGGTGCCCTGGCGGCTGGCGCAGTAGTAGAGCAGGTGCGCCTGCAGGTTGCGCTCGCTGCGGTACCAGATGCCACAGTCCTTGCAGGGGAAGACGTCTTCTGTGGGGTGGGAAGCAGGCGGGGTCAGGCTGAAGGCCAGCCTGCCAGCCAGGGCAAGGCTGTGGGCGGAGGCAGGGCCTGGCCGTGACGGACCCCACCGTCCTCCCCACCCCAGGAGCTGAGGCTTTGACCCCTTCCTGTAACTGTAAGCCTCCTGGATGGTCCTGTGACAGCCCCACTCCCTTCCGTAGATCCCAGGAGCCCTGGGACCCGTGGGGAGTGGGGTCTGAGTGAACCCCTATGGGTCCCCTTCCAATGGTGAGCCCCATAAGGAGATGCTTTGGCCTCATGGGGGCAGAAGGAAGAAGTGGACACCGCCAGGTGAGGCTAGCATCCATGACATACTGGGGTGACCGTGTGGACCCGGGAGGCCGTGGAAGAGGAAACGTGTGTGTACAGATGTGCGTGCAGGTGCGTGGGAGTGCCAGGCTGCAAAGAAAACCCACGCACACAGTCCCTGGGCACTCAGGCACACGATGGCTGCTGACTGCAGTTCTAGGGATGTGGGCATGAGACCAGGAGTGCACAAGTTAGGAAGCCCCCATGCGCCCACACACCTGGGCGGCTCCATGTCAGTGACCACCTGGCTGGTCAGATTTGTCGAATTTACCACACTGACCCCAAATGGGCTGCTTATAACTGTTGAGAGTTTTGGGGGCTTGCACTCTGCTTACGGTGGTTTTGCCAGCAGGGGAGGACTTCTCTAGCGTGTTCTCGGTTTGTCTTTATAGCAGTTTAAGGAATGTTCTCTGCCCCAGAGCCCTGCCCCATCTGCCCATGGCCCCTTGGCTGAAGACAGGGAAGGGAAGGACCTGTTCAGCTTGGCCTTGGCCTCCGTGTGGAACCCAGGGGCCCTGGGATTCCTTATCTGGCTTTCAAGCCCGTTCCACTTAGAGACTGATGTGATATCTGGTTTCTGCCTCTGCAGGTTAGTGCTGGTTTCTCACCCGGCTTCTCCGATGTTGATCCTGAGTCTGCAGTTATCACGCAGGGGTGGCCCCTACCCCCGCGCCCTCCCCTCTGCGGCCTGCTCGCCACCTCTGCCTCTTGGGAGGAATTTCAGTGCCTGGGTGAGGTGGCTCTTCCTCCTCCACCTCGCTGTTCTAACGACTTTTCTGGCTCACATCTCCCTCCTGTGCTGTTGATTTCTGTTTCTCAAGTTCCTTTTACTTGGGGGCTGCAGGCAGCTCTGTCCTCTCTCAGCTGAGGCCTTGAGCTGGGTCCCAGACCTGGGAGGCCACTGGGTGGGTTTGTTTCTGCGTCTCCAAGGTCATTGTGGGGGACTCTTGCTGCAGGGGTGTGGGGAGAGGGGCCGTGGCCATGCAGTTTAGAAAGGCTGCCCGCCTGCTGGTGACCACAGGCCAAATCTGGTGGCCTGCGGAGGGGCCTCCAGGCAGGTGCCTCTGCATCCCGCTTCACAGGCGAGATGGGCCCAGAGTGCCGGAGGCTCAAGAATGAAACTGGATCTGACCCTGGAATTGGTTCCTGCGGCTCTTCCAGAGCAGCAGACAAGCGTCGGCCGTGCCCTGGCAGCCGCAGAAGTGCTAGGGCAGGACTCAGGTATGTCAACAAGATGTGTGGCTCACGGTGGTGTCCTTCCGAAGCAGCGTTCCCAGGACACTGCTGCCTGGGGATGAGGCATGTCAGACCCGCGAGGGGGAAACCGAGGCAGAGGCTGAGCCTGGGGCACCCGCAGCTGCCCCTCAGGGACTGGGAGGTGGTCTCCGCAGGCTGTGTGGGCAAGGACCCTGCTGGAGGACGGGACCCTCACCAGCCTGCTGTCCCCACTGTCTTACTGGCGTTATCAGCGGGGTGTTCCCCTGGAGTTGGGTCTCCCGGGCACCCCGAGACACTACGGGGGCACCCCCTCTCCATCCTGGTGGAGGGGTGCAATGGCCTCCCATCCCCTCCGTGCCTTCTTCAGGGAAGAGGAGAAGGCAGATGGGGACCCCCTTTGCTCCCGGCTCCTTTCAGTCACCTGCGGCCCGTGTTCTCTTCTGACCTCCTGGCTCCCTGGGGCAGTGGCTTGCCCAGCCCCTGCCCCCAACCTGGGCTTAGGTGTGGACCTGGCCGCTCGGCCCGTTCTCTCCAGTGTCACCAGCTATTCCCACCAGCACATAACATGGGCTATTATGTCCTGGCTACCAGGCACACAAGCCCATCCCCCTCTGGCCAGCTGGCCCCTGTGCAGGCCTCCTCTCTGACCCTCCCTGGAGCGGCCTCGGTCAGGGTCATGGCGACCTCTGCACTGTCAGGACCAGTAGTCATTTCTCTGCTGTTGGTCTCGCCACAGCCTGGATGTGCCAGACCACCTGCCGCCCTCCAGGACCCCCTCTAACCTATCTCAGCTCACTCTCCGTACCTTGGGAGATGTCCCCTGTCCCCTGACTCCAGGGTCCACAGGCCCCAGGGCTCTCTGAGCCCCATCCTTGTCCCTCAGTGGACTCTGTGGCTTCTCTTTTGCATGTAGCAGGTGTCTTGATGTCAGGACACTCAAAGAGTGGGGGTCTGCTCCCCTGACTCTCATACGGGCTGACATCCCCCCAGTGGCTGCACACTTGGCCCTGCAGGTCTCTTTGCCCCTAACCACTGGCTGCCTCCACCTACTTCAAGCCGTCTTCACATCCGACTTGCTCACAAAGGTCGCTTTTCTTCCAGTTTTGTGACTCTGTGGTCACCAAAGCTAAACCTGAGTCTTACCGTCCCCCTCCAAACGCCATCCGGTGCCGTCCCTGTTCCCCTGGGAAGCCCCAGCCGCTGGCCGGAGCCAGACTTGCTGCGTGTTCCCTGCGTGACTCGTGCCTGTCCACGATGGCCACGCGCTGTCCTTGGCCACAGAGGTGCACGGGGCGCACCATCACCCTCGGCTCATTTTTCAAAGTTTTGGCAGATATGGGATCTTCTGTGTTGCCCAGTCTGGCCTTGAACTCCTGGGCTCAAACGGTCCTCCTGCCTCGGCCTCCCACGGTGCTGGGATCACAGGTATGGCTCCTGTACCCGGCCGGGGGTGAGTGACTCATGATTCCCGCAGCCACCCTCAGAGTTTCCGAGAGAGCCACTGCAAGAGTGGCATCTGTCCACTTCAGTTGTCCCCAGGGGCGGCTCTGTCCCCAGGGACATACGGCCATGTGTAGAGAGATTTTGGTGGCGTGTGCCTGAAGTCCCAGCTACTTAGGAGGCTGAGGCAGGATGGCTTGAGACTAGGACTTTATGACCATCCTGGGTAACAGAGTGAGACCTTGTCTCGAAAAAAAAACAACAAAAACCCAACCAACAGATGTCTTGGTTGTCACAACTTGGAGGTGGAGGTGGTGGCAGCACCTAGTGGGCCGGGGCCAGGGCTGCCGCTCACCCCCCGTGGTGTCCAGGGACACCTCCACTGTGGAGTGACCTGGCCCCAGACGCCAGGAGGGCCGAGGTGAGGGTCCTGCTCTGGCCCACAGTCAGGGCCGCCCCCGCGTCTGCCCCCAGGGAAAGCACTGGCTTCTAGTGTGGTGTGCGGGGCAGAGCCGAGTCTGTGCCTAAGCCCGCTTGCCTGCTGGCAGGGGCTTTCCCTGTGGTGGCCCTGGGCTCTGGGGACCCTCCTGTCCCTATGTGTTCTGCACTTGGGACCACCCACGTCACCTCCTTCCCTGCCTTACCTCTCACTCTGTCGGCAGCCTGCAGCCCCCGAGCTTCCCACCCTCAGCTCCCACCCTCTCCTGCCCTGCCTGCTCCTCCTTGGTGGAGCAGCCGCCCTGGGTGCGGAGAGCCCAGCACTTACTGTTGATCACTGCGGTGGCAAGGATGGAGGCCATCCCGGCCTGCTGGGGCAGGAGCTGGAGGTCGTGTGCAGGGGCCGGGCACGTGGGCTCTGCTGGCTCCTTCTTCACAGGGTGGCCGGGGGTGCTGTGGGGCTCGGCCGTGAGGAGCACGCTCAGGAGTCCCCCCGCAGGCACCGGCTTGGTGACCCTGCACCAGAGTGCGTCATCTGGAGGGAGACAGGTGTCCAAACCTAGGACTTTGTGCCCCACTTCCCTGTCCCGTCTTAAACAAGGGGCAGAGGATGGGGTCAGGAGAGCGGCCACCCGGGTTCACAGCCATGGCTGGCTGGCTGCCAGGGCCATCCTGCCTGGGGGGCAAGGCTGGGTGGTCCCCTGTGAGTGCTCACAGCCTGCCTGCCTCCAGGCCTCCTTGCTCTGGGCCCATCCTAGTGGGAGGGCCCCGAGGAAGTCTCCCAGGAAAGGGATGACGTGGAGGGCGGGTGGTGGAGTAACTAGGGGAGACCCTGGGTGGCCACTCAGGGACGGCAGCCAGAGGTGGGGCCCTAGAGTGGACCCGGCTCTCCAGGAAACCGTCCAAGGGCGGCTCTTCCTGCAGCCACCCGCAGGGGGCAGCCTCAGCCCACAAAGCCCAGGCTGCGCGGGGCCGGCTTGTTCACCTGGGGCGCCCGGGCTGTGTGTCCCCTGCGGTGCCGCCCTCAGGCCTGAGCCGGCCCGCTCACGCGCACCACAGCCTGTCCCCACCCTGCACTGGGGCCAGGGACTCCACTGGCCAGTGGACCTGCCTAAGCCCAGAGGGCCTCCCGCTTCATCCCCGGGTGCTCGGAGGTGCAGGCCACCCAGACGTGCCACCCTCAGTAGCAGCAGCACGGCAAGGCCCCTCGACTTCCTGGACGGCCACCTTGACCGTTCCTGGAGCCAGCCTGACGACATGGAGGATGGTCCAGTGGCACCTGCCAGCCAGTCTGGTGTCGGGGTCCCTGCTGCTGCCCTTGGTGGGTTCCCAGAGGTGCAGCCAAGGCAGGGAGGAGATACGGGGATCACGGTGTCCCCCAGAGGGGCAGAATCCTCCCCCACCCCCCCGCCACGGACACCTGTCCTGGCTCAGCCTGCCAGTCGGGACCCTCATACAGGGACTCATGGTCTGGGCTGACTGGTCCCAGTAGAGTGTCTGCCTCATGCTGCAGCGCCCGGGGCCAGCAGCTCCCTGTGCCCCATCCCCTGCCCTAGCAGGCTGGTTTCCCTTTAAGGGCTCAGCCCAGGGGGAGCCAAGTGACCCCCACCTTCCGGAAGGCTTGGGACGGAGGTGCCGCGTCATACTGACCCTTCCTGTGGATCTCTGTGTTGGCCTCGGCCTCAGTCAGGGCCTGGGGCAGCGTCCTCAGCCAGCAGGCCTCGTCCACCAGCAGCAGGGTCAGGGCTGGGCTCTGGGGGGGGAGGGTAGGAACACGTGGGGAGGGGTCCGTCAGCAGCCTGCCTGGGGGTTCCCGTGAGTATGTGGGGCATCTGTGACACGGATCTGCCTCCCGGCTTGGCTGGTAGGCCAAGCTGTGGACAGTCATTGGCCCAAGAGCTGGCAGAGGTGTGGCATGGGCCATCTGTGCCATAGTTGACCGGTGGGGCTAACACCGTGCTGGGGCTGGGAGGCTTGGCAGGGAGTAGTACCTTCCAGGGTTGGGCGCAGGGTTCTTGTGGAGACTGAGGCCCAAAGAGGTCGAGCAACATGCTCCAGGTCACACAGCCAGGGAGCAGCAGAGCCTGAACTCACACCCGGGTCTGCGTATCTGTGTTCTCCCCACTGCTCGCCCACCCTTGCCCCCAGAGTGCTGGGTGTGAAACCGCTGTTCCCACAGGGGCTGGACCTGGTAGAGGCTCCTTCCACACAGGCCCTAGATGCCTCCAGAATGACCTCTGTGGGCTGGGGCCGAGATTAGCCCAGAAGATACGGCACTTCCCTAGCAACCCTCGGGCCTCAGTGTCCTCCTGACAGCATGGCTCCCCTCCCTGCCACAGGGCGTGGCAGGGCCACCTGCGTTCCCGCTCGCTCCCGGGGCCGGCACACGGCGGACGCTGGGGAGCACCTGGTGGACTCAGCAGGTCTGTCCCCACCCTGAGGCTGGTCAGGCCCCTTCCTGTGGGCCTGAGACACCAGCACTGTGTTGGATCGGCCCTGGCCCCCCTGGCCTCACTGTCACCCTGGAAAGCAGGCAGTACCCTCCTCTCCATCTCATGGGTGAGGAAACTGAGGCCTGGGAAGGGGAGGGACAGAGCTCATGCCAGTGCCTCGGGCCATGCCATGCTGTCGGCGGTGGCTCAGGCTAAGTCTGGAAGGAAAACACTCTGGGCCGAGCCCGTGGAGGCCGCCTCGTTTCCTGCATCCATTGCACCCCGGCCCCCAGCTGAATGGCAGAGGAAATGCGAGGGGCCCCATCCCAGTGCAGTCGGGGGCTGGGACAGGGCGAGGTGGGGCGGGCAGTCCATGGCCTCGCTCTGTGGTGCCCAACACTGGTCAGACATCAAGGGGAGAAAATGGTGACGGAGGAAGGGGTGACCGCCGCTGCCCCTCAGGCCTCGGTCCCTCCTGCAAGGCTGACTCAGCCTCAGTGCCCTGACCCTCAGCCCTGTGCTGCTCACTGCACTGGTGGTCCCCAAGCTTAGCCACCTGGGTGTCCAATCTGGAGGCACAGCATACACGCGTGCTCCAGCACTTCCTGTAAACACACTTTTTGTTCTATACAAATGAATGCCTTTTAATCAGAAACTTCCTGCACCATGACCTTTGCCTGAAAAGCCAGTGTCACCTACAAATGCTGCCGCTGGCCCGGGACAGGTTTGTGCAGCCCTGTGGTGAGGATGGCAGTCAGCCCAACCCTGCCATGGTACAAGGGGTCGGGCTGGTGACAGTGCAGGGATGTCCCCTGTGGGTCTGGGGTACCTCCCCACTAGGTGCCAGCCCATGAGCTTTCCTGGACTTTGCCAGCACGCGTGGGACCCTGTGGGCCGCAGAGGTGGGCAGTGGGGTCCCAGCCAGGCTCGGCCTCCCTGCTGCGACCTTGGGCAGGGCACGACCAGACCCGTATGCAGGGACCCCTCTGGGCCACCCCTGCCTCTTGGCCCATCCGCAGGGCACTCAGGAATCTAGCAAGATACAGCCTTTGGGCTGGGACGTTCAGTGACTACTCAGGCAAGGTTCAGGCGGGCTGGCCAGCAGAGCAGGTGGCTTCCACGTCACCTGCCTGCTACCACACGGCTCAGCCACAGAACGGGTGAGCAGAGCTAAGCTGGCCAGTGGGGTGGGTGCCCTGGCTGGGGTGGGTGCAACCCTGCAGTCCCAGTGTGAAGCCGTCCCCAGCAGCCACCCCAACCCCTGGCTCAGGTTCTCCTCTGCAGACGGGGCTCTGCCCTCTCCCCACATGGCTGTTGGGGGGACAGAGGGGCGGCCGAGCCCCTGCTCACTCTGGACCCACCCGAAGCCCACCATTAGCCTTTGGGGCAGTCTCAGGGGGGTCAGTCCTATCTCCTTTGACTCAGTTTCCTCCCGGTATGTTGGGAGGCCATGATCTGTGTGAAGCTTTTTGCCTGCCTGGCAGGTTCCCAGCACAGGATGCATATTAGCTCCAGCCCTGGCTGTTGCTTTTGGGTTGACCTGGCAGGACAAAGTGGGCATGGGGTGCCGTCCACAGGGCATGTCCGGGGCAGCACATGCTGAGTGTCCACTGTGGTGAGTGGCTGCCCCGAGAAAGGTGCTTTGTGCAGGCTGGCATCGGGTGGGTGCCCCCCTTTTAAAGGACACCCCCGTGATTCCCAGGGCCGCAGAGCAGGGCTCAGGAACTGCACGCCAGCTGTGGGGCTCTGCCGGCTCCGATGGGGGCTTCTGCTGGGGCAGGCTGGGGGGTAAACCCCAGGGGCAATGGGCAGGCACATTCCTGGCACAAAGGTGGGTGACCGGCGGCTACTGTGTCCCGGCTGCTCCCGAGCCAGGCGGGCAGCGCTCGGCGAGGCTGCTGGGGCCTGGCCCTCCCCACCCTGGCCTTCCTGAGCCTCTAATGAATATTAATGAGCAGAGGAGGGTGAAAAAAATTAATCTGCTTGATCCTCCGATGGGTGCTGCGGTAACGATATGAAATCTAATTATTCGTCCCAATATTTCTAAACCCTCAAACTGAGACTGACAGCCTGCCGGCCGGTTTAATGCTTATCACTCCCAGGAGCAGCGTGTTCCCAGCATGATAAAAACACGCGCCGCAACTGTGCTGACGCTGCACGCACCCCCGATTTTTCTGTGGCGGTCCCGAGTGGAGGGCAGGCGCCATGTTCCCGCCCGGCCCCGCCGAGTGCACCCCGCGTATGTGGGGCGCGACGGGGCGCCTGGCCTGGCTGTGCGGGTGGGGAGGGGCAGGGGGAAGGAGGGTGAGGCTCCCATCCGGCACCCGCCCCCGACCCGGGAGGGAACAGGTAGGAGACCTAGGGGTGCAAGATAAGCAGCTCCGGCCACCCTGCCACGGCCCCCACTGCCAAACACTCTCAGAGGGGCCTGCCGCTCCTACTTCTGCGACCACAGGCTGGGAAGGGGTGAGGGCCTCCCTGCCAGTCTGCCCTGGCTGCTGAGGATGCAGGGGCCACCCTGACACCTCTCAGGGGACAGGTGAGCACAGCCTCGCCTGGGGCCACCAGGGTCCCCAGCCTGGAGGTGGCATGGACACGGCCAGCCCTGAACCAGGGTCTTGCCCGGTGCCAAGTGGCCGGACCCCTGAAGCCAGCCCGGGGCCACCCGCCCATCCTGGGAGCCACTGCTGGGGCCGCGGCCAGGAGACGCTGGGGCAGGAAGCCAATTTCAGCTTCTGCTTCCCTTGCGGAGGGGCTGGCCGGGCACGGGTCTGCCTGTTGATTTTTTTCTGTCTCTTCTTGTTTCCCCACCTCTGATCAGCCTGGAACAGAAGCCCTTTCTCTGGTGCTGCAGGCCCTTCCTGACCCTGCTCTGCCTGTGGGCACTGGGGAGCAAGGGGGAAGGGGGCCTATTTTTTTTTTTTTTTTGAGATGAAGTCTCACTCTTGTCCCCCAGCCTGGAGTGCGATGGCATGATCTCGGCTCACTGCAACCTCCACCTCCGGGGTTCAAGCAATTCTCCTGCCTCAGCCTCCCGAGTAGCTGGGATTACAGGCAAGCACCACCACACCCAGCTAATTTTTGTAGTTTAAGTAGGGACGGGGTTTCACTATGTTGGGCAGACTGGTCTTGAACTGCTGACCTCAGGTGATCTGCCCGCCTTGGCCTCCCAAAGTGCTGGGATTACAGGCGTGAACCACCGCGCCTGGCCTTGGGAGGGGGCCTATTTTTAACTTCCAAACCAGGCCCTTCTGCCAAGACTCTCAGAGATGTGGGTGCTGCGGCCATCTTCCCTCCCAGGGTGCCACAGGCTCGGCACCCAGCCTGGTCAGGCAGGTGTGTCCAGGGTCCACGGAGGACGCTAGAGCCCACCCTGTTTGCCGCCCCTTGGGGTTGCCCTGTCCCTCCTCTGGGCCCTGGCCGGCCCCACCAGCAGTGGCCACTTTAAATTCCCCGGGCGGACCTGAGAATGTTCCTTGTTTCCCCCAACAAAGAGGTCAGTGTCTTGATTCTGCGGTGGCACCGAT
Organism: Homo sapiens; assembly: GCF_000001405.40. Taxonomy (NCBI): domain Eukaryota; kingdom Metazoa; phylum Chordata; class Mammalia; order Primates; family Hominidae; genus Homo; species Homo sapiens. The sequence goes on along the minus strand of NC_000016.10, from coordinate 88,522,607 downwards.
AGCCATCGGAAACCCTATCTGTGCAGCATCCGCTGTGACAACTTTATCTGAGGCCGTTCCCAAACCTCGCTGTGAAGCTCTGAAGCAGCTTGCAGGGCTGCTGGGGTGGCCCGGCCCATGGAGCCAAACGGCCGGTCCTGCAGAAGCCCCGTGGGGCTGCTTGGTCATCCCCAGGACACTGCGGGGTAGTGGGCCAGCAGCAGGTTCACGGGAGGGTGGGAGCTGAGGCTGAGGCTGAGGCTGCTGAGGCCCCAGCCCGTCTTTCCTCCAGCCCACCCTGAGAAGTCCTCCACCTCCCCATCACCTTAACAGAGGCACCAGCTGGTCCCTCAGTGCCTCTGTCTCCCTCGACCATGCAAGGAGTACACTTCCCAGGTGAGGGCCTGAGGCCTGCACGACTACAAGCCAGGTCCGTGAGACCCCTGCCGCCTTGCTGCTGCCACTTCATCCACTGGGTCACACACTCACTCACTCCCTTATCCGGCAGGCAGGCCTTGTGCACCAGCTGTTGCCAGGTGTGGGGAACACAGTGAACAGAACTGCATCTCCCGTGAGTCCTGGAGTGTGGAGCCGCCCAGAAATAGCAGGTAGGCACCTGGAGGGGCAGCGACAGAGACACGGGACAGGCTGAGACGGGGAGTGGGGGTGGCTGTGCCAGGATGTTGGCCGAGACCTGGAGGGTGAGGAGGGGAGGGTGTGGATACGAGGGGGCCAAGGAACAGCACGGGGGAGGAAACAGAGAGGAGGGAACAGCATGGAGAGGGAACAGCATAGGGGAGGGAACAGCACAGGGGAGGGAACAGCACAGGGGAGGGAACAGCACAGGGTGTGGGAACAGCACAGGGGAGGGAACAGCACAGGGTGTGGGAACAGCACAGGGGAGGGGGAACAGCACAGGGGAGAGGGAACAGCATGAGGGAGGGAACAGCACGGGTTGGGGGAACAGCACAGGGGAGGGAACAGCACGGGGGAGGGAATAGCACGGGTTGGGGGAACAGCATGAGGGAAGGAACAGCATGGGTTGGGGGAACAGCACAGGGGAGAGGGAACAGCATGAGGGAGGGAACAGCACGGGTTGGGGGAACAGCACGGGGGAGGGAACATGGTGTTGGTGCTCAGGATACCTTAGCGGGGGGTCCCTGACCCACGATGGCCTGAGGCTTTCTCACCTGGGGATGGGGCTGGGACCCCTGGAGGCACCACAGGGTCTGAGCAGTCCTCTGAAACCATGCAGGGAGCCCCAGAGCCTGGCGTCAGGGGTCATCACCATGGCAGAACCTGATCTCATAGGAGGGGAAGGCTGGGCTTGGGGAGCTGAGTCAGGCCACTCTCCCTTTAGTTTTCACAGCACGGAGGAGGGAACAGCATGGAGGCGGGGGAAACAGCATGGAGTGGCAGTGGGAAACAGCACAGAGGAGGGAACGGCATGGGGGAGGGAACACTGAGGTTGGCCTCAGGCCATATATTCATCCATCCATCCATCCATGCATCCATCCACCTGTCCATCATCCACCCACCCACCTAATCATCCATCCACCCACCCACCCTCCCATCCATCCATCCACCTGTCCATCATCTACCCACCTACATAATCATCCATCCACCCACCCACCCTCCCATCCATCCATCCATCCACCCACCTGTCCATCATCCACCCACCCACCTAATCATCCACCCACCCACCGAATCATCCATCCATCCATCCACCCACACTCCCTCCCTCCCTCCCATCCATCCGTCCATCCATCCACCCACCCACACTCCCTCCCTCCCTCCCATCCATCCATCCATCCATCCACCCACCCATCCATCTATTCATCCATCCATCCACCCAATCATCCATCCATCCACCCACCCTCCCATCCATCCATCCATCTACCCACCCATCCCTCCATCCACCCACCCATCCACCTAATAATCCATCCATCCACCCATCCACCCACCCTCCCATCCATCCACCCATCCATCTATCCACCATCCACCCACCCACCTAATCATCCATCCACCCACTCACCCTCCCATCCATCCATCCATCCATCCATCCATCCATCCATCCATCCTTTCAGCCACCCACCCATTCATTCATCCATTCATCTATCCACCTACCCACCCACTCATCCATCCACCCATACATCTGTCCATCCATCCACCATCCATCTACCCACCTATCCATCCATCTATCCACCCATTCACCCACTCATTTATCCATCCACCTATCCATCTATCCATCCACTCATCCATCCACCCATCTATTCATCTATCCACTCATCCATCTATCCACCCCTCCTTCACCCACTCACCCACGCATCCATCCACCTACCTATCTATCCATCCATCCATCCACTCATCCATCTATCCATCCACCCAGCCGTCAATCCATCTACCTACTCATCTGTCCATCTACCCATCTACCCACCCATCCACCCACCCATCTACCCATGCATCCACCCATTCACCCGTCATCCATCCATCCACCTTCTCAGCCACCCACCCATTCATTCATCCATCCATCTATCCACCCACCCACTCATCCATCCACCCATACATGTATTCATGCATACATCCACCTGGTTATCCTCCCATCCATCCACTTATCCACCAGCTATCTACCCACCCATCCATCCACCTACCCACTATCCATCCATCCATCCATCCATTCATCCATCCATCCACTCATCCATCTATCCATCTACCCAGCCGTCAATCCATCTACCTACACATCTCTCCATCTACCCATCTACCCACCCATCCACACATCCATCTACCCACCATCTATCTGTCCATCCATTCATCCACCTGTCCATCATCCACCCACCCACCCTCCTATCCATCCATCCACCCACCATCCATCTGTCCATCTATTCATCCACCTATCCATCATCCACCCACCCTCCCATCCATCTGTCCATCCACCCACCCACCCTCCCATCCATCCACCCATCCATCCATCCACCTATCCATCATCCACTCACCCACCTAATCATGCATCCACCCACTCTCCCATCCATCCATCCATCCACCCACCCTCCCATTCATCCATCCATCCATCCATCCATCCTTTCAGCCACCCACCCACTCATTCATCCATTCATCTATCTACCCACCCACTCATCCATCCACCCATATGTCTATCCATCCATCCACCTGGTTATCCATCCACCATGCATCTATCCATCCATCCATCCATCTATCCACCCATTCACCCACTCACTTATCCATCCACCTATCCATCTATCCATCCATTCATCCATCCACTCATCCATTCATCTATCCACTCATCCATCTATCCACTCCTTCACCCACTCACCCACCCATCCATCCATCCATCCATCCATCCCTCCACTCATCCATCTATCCATCCACCCAGCCATCAATCCATCTACCTACACATCTGTCCATCTACCCATTTACCCTCCCATCCACCCACCCATCCACCCACCCATGCATCCACCCATCATCCATCCATCCATCCATCCACCCATCCATCCATCCATCCACCCATCCACCCACACTCTCAGCCATCCATCCATCCATCCATCCATCCATCCATCCATCCATCTATCCATCCACCCATCCATCCACCCACCCACTCATCCATCCACCCATACGTCTATCCATCCATCCACCTGGTTATCCTCCCATCCATCCACTTATCCACCAGCTAGCTACCCAACCATCCATCCATCTACCCACTATCCATCCTTCCATCCATCCATCCCTCCACTCATCCATCTATCCATCCACCCAACCGTCAATCCATCTACCTACACATCTGTCCATCTACCCATCTACCCTCCCATCCACCCACCCATGCATCCACCCATCCACCCATCATCCATCCATCCATCCATCCATCCATCCATCCATCCACCCTCTCAGCCATCCATCCATCCATCCATCCGTCCATCAATCCACCCATCCATCCACCCACCCACTCATCCATCCACCCATATATCTATCCATCCATCCACCTGGTTATCCTCCCATCCATCCACTTATCCACCAGCTACCTACCCAACCATCCGTCCATCTACCCACTATCCATCCTTCCATCCATCCATCCATCCACTCATCCATCTATCCATCCACCCAGCTGTCAATCCATCTACCTACACATCTGTCCATCTACCCATCTACCCACCCATCCACCCACCATCCATCTATCCATGCATCCACCCATCCACCCATCATCCATCCATCCATCCACGCACCTACCCACCCTGTCAGCCACCTACCCATTCATTCATCCATCCATCTATCCACCCACCCACTCATCCATCCACCCATACATCTATCCATCCATCCACCTGGTTATCCTCCCATCCATCCACTTATCCACCATCCATCTACTCACCCACCCATCCACCTATCTACGCATTCACCCACTCATTTTTTTTTTTTTTGAGACGGAGTCTCGCTCTGTCGCCTAGGCTGGAGTGCAGTGGTGCCACCTTGGCTTACCGCAAGCTCCGCCTCCCGGGTTCACACCATTCTCCTGCCTCAGCCTCCCGAGTAGCTGGGGCTACAGGCGCCCGCCACCATGCCCGGCTAATTTTTTTTTAATAGAGACGGGGTTTCACCATGTTAGCCAGGATGGTCTCGATCTCCTGACTTCATGATCCGCCCACCTCGGCCTCCCAAAGTGCTGGGATTACAGGCATGAGCCACTGCGCCTGGCCTCACCCACTCATTTATCCATCCACCTATCCATCCATTCATCTATCCACTCATCCATCTATCCACCCCTCCTTTACCCACTCACCCACTCATCCATCCATCCATCCATCTACCCACCCACCCTTTCAGCCACCCACCCATTCATTCATCCATCCATCTACCCACCCACCCTTTCAGCCACCCACCCATTCATTCATCCATCCATCTATCCACCCACCCACTCATCCATCCACCCATACATCTATCCATCCATCCACCTGGTTATCCTCCCATCCATCCACTTATCCACCATCCATCTACCCACCTATCCATCCACCTGTCCATCCATTCACCCACTCATTTATCCATCCATTAGTCTATCCACCCCTCCTTCACCCACTCACCCACTCATCCATCCACCCACCTATCCAACCATCCATCCATCCATCCATCCATCCATCCATCCATCCATCCACCCAGCCATCCATCCATTTACCTACACATCTGTCCATCTACCCATCTACTCACACAACCATCCACCCATCCATCTACCCATGCATCCACCCATCCACCCATCATCCACCCATTATCCACCCACCCATCCATCCACCCACCTACCCACCCACCGACCCACTCATCCATCTGTCCATCCACCCACTCATCCACCCAGCCCTCCAACCACACATCCATCCATCCATCCATCCATCCACCCACCCACCCACCCATCCATCCATCCATCCATCCATCCATCCATCCATCCATCCATCCATCTACCCATCCATCCGTCCACCTACCCATCCACCACGAGTGTTTCTTCTGTATCTGACTATAAATTCTGAAGCTGGCTGGGCCCCTCAGGCCCCTTTCCTCCAACCCCTGGCGTGGCAGGGGTGGGAGCTGTTGCTGCATCAGGGAAGCGACCTGCCCCAGGTCACACGGCAAGTCGGTGCCAGAGTCCACGCTCCTGACTCGGCTGGGGACTTGTGCACTCATTTTCCTCTGTGGGTGCCCGCCCCCCATGTCCAGAGGTGGGGAACCGAGGGGGAAGCCACCCTGTCCCTGTTCATCCCGGCCTGTGAGCAAGCCCCAGGCCTGTGGAGGCCAGCGGGGAGGGTCACAGCATCGCATCTGCACCCCTCCCCCTTCTCCTTCTACAAAGAGAGAAGAAAAACTGGCAGCAGCTGGGGCGATCCGGGCAGGAGGCAACGTCCTCCTCAGGGAGGGGTCGGGGAGAGAACTGGGACCTATCAGCCAAGAGCGACAGGGGCCCGCTGAGACGCAAAAATATTTAGACAATAAATGAAGTATCGGAAAGGCGTGCATATCTTGAAGAAATCAATCATCTTGTACGGTGTGTCTGGACACTCGGCGCCAAGGCGGAGATAGCGCCTCGCTGGGGAGATAAGGGTTAATCAAGGATTTAATTCTGCAGGAGATAAAGCAGAGGAGGGAAGAGTGGAGCGGGGGCTCCTTCCTCCCCGGGCTCCCCACAGAGCCCCAGCGGCTCCTCTGGCCTTGGCTCCCCTTGTGCCCCCAGACGTTATCTCCCCACTTGGGAGCGTTTCTAACCCCGTGCCCGTATCCCCAGGATGGCCTGTGCCCTAGGCCAGAGCAGGACTAAATGCGGAGGCAGGCGGACAGGGAGGGGTGACTGCAGCTAGGGCAAAGGGCAGCCCGTGGGGATGACTCCTGGGCCGGTGCCAGCCCCTCAGCCCTACCATTAAGGAGCTTGCGAGGGTCTCCGGGGATAGGCAGATGTGGGTTCTATTTCTCCCTCTGCTGTTTGATCCTGGGTATTTGGGCAATTGACTTAACATCTTGGAGCCTCAGTTTTCTCATCTGTAAAATGGAGTGGCAGGACCCTCCTCGTAGGGTGCGGGGAGGAGGAAGTGAGGATGGGCGTGTGGTGTGTCTGGAACTCACAGAGCCCTCCAATCTCAGCCCCTACGGTCTTTGCCCTTGGTCTCTACCTATGGGTTTTCTTGACACTTTGAGAGTTCAGAGATGAGAGCCACGGAGCTCCTAGCCCATCCACTCATTCCTCCTGGCAACCATAAATGCCTGCCAAGATCCCCACATCCCAGCACCCCAGAAGGATCAACTGCCGCTCACACGCGTACAGTGATGGGGAGCTCACGCCCCACAGAACCAGCTCTAAACACCATGGCTTCCTTCCTGTGGTGGAGCTGAAATGTGGCTCCTTCCATGGAGAAAACTGACCACCACTGAGCTTCCGCTGCCGTTCTTCCACCTCCCTGCTCCAGGCCACGGGGCCAGGCAGCCACCCCTCCTGCAGGGCTGCTGGCCGCAGTGCCCACTGAGCCATGCCCTGTGTCAAGCACCACTCCTGACCATCTCACGTGACCCGCCCAGCTGCCCTGGCAGACAGGGGTGCCCTGGGCTTCCCTGCACCACAGATAAGCTTGCAGCCCTGCCCACGCCCCCTCTCAGGGTCTGCAGGCTCAGACGTAAAAGGAAGCTTTAGGCGCCCCTGTGTCTCACCCAAGGTCCCAAAGGCTGAGGAAGTGGAGGCTCACAGTGGGCAGGGGCCTGCCTGGGGATGCACAGCAAGGAAATGGCATAAAGGCAGGAGACTCCAGGGCCTGGCAAAGGGGGACGCCCTCTGTCCTGGGCCAGCTTCCCAGTGACTCCCTGAGCGGCCTGGGACATGCGTCTGCCCGCTCAGCTGCAAAAGGCTGTGTGAATGGCCCAGGAGGCCCCAGACCCTATGCCGCCCATGATGCAGCCCCACACGTACTTACAGGTTTCTATATACCAGTGCCCTTTCTTAGCTGAGACGTGGTTTAAAAGAAACCATTATACCCTCTTCGGAGGAAACCGAACTGACTTGTCATAAGTTGGAGGTAGCCCCAGAAGTACATCCAAGACAAACGACACAGGCCTTTGTGTCTAGCAGCAAGGGGCTGCCTTGGAAGGCTCTGCCAGGCAGGGGCTGTCACCAAGGAGATGAGCACACGTGCCGAGGCCATGGAGACCATGGGCCTGACGGCCGTGCCTGTCGTCAGAAGAGTCCGCGGGGACAGACACAGAACTACCCTCTCGCTCTCTGCTGTAGCATCCCCACCGTCCCAGTACCCCAAGGCCTGGGCCATTGGTTTGTTCCTCCCTCCCCTTGAATGCTCTTCTCCTCTGCTTCAATGCCCAGTCATCTGTCAAGGTCCTGCTTAAAGAACCCCTCCTCCAGGAAGTCCTCCCTGGGGCACCAAAGGCCCCATATCACCTCCTACAGGAAGCCCTCCCTGGGCCCCAAGGCAGCGAATCCCTCCCTATCCTCCAGGTCCCAATATCTCAGGCCCACATCTTCAAGTGGCCAGAGCCCCGGAGCTGGCATCTAAGCTGGGCCTGTCCCCTGGGTCCATGTTGCCCTGCATTGGGGTGGGCGGGCAGGGGCGGGGATGGGGGCTTCTTACCGGCTCCGCCTGCCTGGGGGATGAGGCTCTGGTCTGGACACTCCCATGGAACGGGCCCCAGGACAGGCCCGTGGCGAGGCTGAGTCGGGCCCGTATGCGCCTCTGCCCATCCTGCACCACCGGCTCCAGCTCGTCTGCAGAGAGACATCGCAGGCATGAGGCGTGCCCGGTCTGGGGCCTGTCCAGCCCACCTCCCGCTAGGGTTGGCCCAAGGGGCAGTGGAGGGTGGCAGTCCTGGGGGCCTGGGGTGAATGGCAGGGGCCGGGCAGGTGCTGGGTCCCAGGGGCCTGGGCAGCCCTGCAGCAAGATCTCTAGGGCACTGTGGGGTGTAGGGACGCAGCCAGGAGGATGCCTGTGGCTGGGTTTGAGCGAGCTGTGAGCCCTGCGATGGTCGTTCTCCAGAGCAAGGGCTGCGGGTGGGACAGGCCCACAGAGCCCGGCCGCACAGTGCAACGCTGGCCTGAGTTTATGTCATGGCTGACTGGGGGCCCCCAAAAGATACATCAGCCTGCAGTCTATGAACGTGCTGATATTTGGAAAAAGGGTCTTTGCAAATGCAATTAGATTAAGGCTCTTGAGATCAATGGGATTATCAGGTGGGCCCTAAAACCAATGACAAGTATCTTTCTAAGAGACACAGAAAAGGAGACAGAAAAGACCATGGGAAGATGGAGGTGGAGATGGGAGGCAGCCATGAGGGTCGCCTGAAGCCCCCAGAAGCTGAGAGTGGCAGGAGGGAGCCTCTGGAAGGAGCCTGGTGCTGCCGACACTTGGACTTGGGACTTGGAGCCTCCGGGCTGTGCAAGGACACACTCTGCTGCCTGAAGCCCCAGGTCACGCTAACTTAGCACCCAGCCGAGGACACACACACACCTGGCCACACCTGGCCCTCACCTGCCTCCTGGAGCCTCAGCCTCCTTGGTGGACAACAGGGACGTGGCTCCTCCCAGGCCACACACCCTCTGCCCAGGAAGGCCGGGCCACCTCTACCTCTCCTGTGGCCAGGGCTGCCTGGGCCCACAGAGGCCTCACGTGGCCTGGCCTGGTCCCCTGGCCGCAGTGCTGTGGCGGCCCCACTTCCTGGAGCCCCGATTGGGCAGGCTGTGGTCTTAATGGGCCTGATGATCAGATAGCTGCTTGCCTAATGGCAGAGATAACATGTAAATACGCCGGGAGGCCCTGCTAAAACGTTTTAACTGGGTCTTTGTCTTCCCCAGGGCAGATAAGATGGCAGCGAACCAGGACCGAGAGGCCGAGGAGGCCCGCGCCCCTTTATCAGCCCCCAGGAAGGGAAGAGCGGACTGGGGGCAGCAGGAGCGGTTCTGCCGTCTCAGCTTCAGGGCTGCCAGCCCACCCAGAATGCCTGGGTCCCAGCCCAGGGCTCTGACCACTAGGCCGCCCCCTCCCCTGCCCCTGCAGGGCTTGGCACCAAGAGGGTGACCAGTGTGAGCGGGGTCCCAGCATCACAGTCACACGGGCCAGCTAGCACCCCGCGGCCCTATGGGGGACCGGGAACACCCATTCCTGTGACGGTCATCCCCCTGCACAGACAAGGACATCGAGGCCCCTGGAGGCTCTGCGGCTAGCAGGCTAGCAGTGGGGCACCGGGGTCCAAACCCAGAGGCCTGGCTCCAGGGGCACCCCTGCGTGTGACAGTGGTGGGGGGCCCGGCCCCTCATGTCCTGGCTGTACCTGCGACTCTGGCCCACCTGGCCAGGCCTCGGGGGTGGGCACGGGAGAGAAGAGACTCCCCCGATGGGAGCTCCTGGTGTGTGCTCATCTGTCCCTCTGTCTGGCCTCCGGCGGGTCCTCAGTGCCACCATCAAGTGAGCCTGTGTGTCACCCCCGAGTCAGGGCTGGGGCCACAGGGAAGCATGTGGAATCCCATCCGGACTGTCAGAAACGCTTGGAGCTTCGTGGGGTGGGCCCTGCATGCAGGCCTCTGCTCTCCTGCTGGGGCCTGGGGGGCAGGGCGGGGTGGGGGGCCAAGAGGACCCCTTGTCCGAGAAGCCCCTGAGGGCACGTCTGGACCCAGGAGTGGCTGCGACTTCCTTTCAGAGAGGGAAGGGGTGGCATGCCTTCCCCTCGGGTTCCAGAACATTCCTGACCAGAGTCCCTGCTGTTCCTGAGACACTGCTGTGCACCTGGGGCTGGTGCCCACCTTTCCAGGGGTAGGAGGAGCTTGGGCCTGCAGCGTCCACACCTGCCGCGTATCACACCTCAAGGGTGCTGAGGTCCCTGTCCTGGCAGCCCTGGGCTCTCACTTGTCCCCTGCCCTCATGGGGAAGTGGGAGGGCAGAACTGGTGCCCACCCTACCCGGCCCACGAGGCACCCACAGGCAAACGGTCCTGCTCCCTAATCGGAGCTCCAGGGCCAGCCGGCCAAGCCTCCCAGATAAGAGCGTGGCTGGCATTTCCCGTGGCGGCCGCCCCTTCTGGGTATGGGTATCACACACTGCCAGAGAGGGCTGGCTCTGATAAAGGTGGCCGTTCCACTCGCCCAGGGGCAGAACCCACCACTCAGGGATGGCCGGGGGCTGGGCGAGGGGCCTCCAAGGAGTCCAGGGATCGGAGGGGTGTGGGGCTGGGGACCAGGGCAATGGTCACCATGACAACCCATCTCCCTGGACCAGGGTTCAGGATGCGTCTCCAAGGGGCTGTGCACGGGAAAGGTGCCTCTTGGGGGTGGATGCAGGTGCCTGGATTGGTAAGGGGAGCATGGCTGATCTTAGCCCCAGCTCACCCCAGGTGCCCTTGTGCAGCATTCGACCTGTGCAACTGAACATAGAGGCCGTGGTGGTTCTCAACGCTCTTCTGCTCACATAACCTATTTCCAGCCCTGTTCCTGCAGAGACCCTCTCCCAACCGGAAGTAAAATCGCATTGGAAAGTGGGGGTGGGTGAGGCCTCCTACTCCTGGCAGATGGGGTGCCTCCTGAGGACTTGGCTCAAGGCTGAGAATGGATGGAAGTGTCCGTGAGTGAGGGTGAGGGGCCTGGAGCCTAGGGCCGGGGGATGCTGAGCTGGGTGGGAATGGGCAGGAAGACACAGGCAGTTGTTTTTTTAAATGGCCTCTGAAATGGCTGGGGGATCCAGACAGTGGCACCCATGGAGATGGTCAGCACCCAACCCCACCACCAGGAAGCCTGGGGCCCGGCGAGGCTGAGGAGTGCCCAAGCCACACTGGGAGCTGTGGCTGGAGGTGGGACCAGAACCCACCGTGAGCTCAGTGCTTGTCCCGCCACAAAACCCTGTGGGGCACCTGGGGCAGCAACAGGCATGCCACAGCCTTGGCCTTGGGGCTCCCAGAAAACACAGGCAGTGGCCAGACACCCCCACCGGCACCGACAGCTCTGAGGGCGGGCCTGTCAGGGTGGGCTTCCAGGGGGTGGTGTCCTTCCCTGCCAGCCTCCTGTGACTGGTCTTTCTGCCTCCTCTTCCCCAGCTCCAGAACAACTGGGTGAGCCCAGCAGAGATGCCAGCTCCGGCCAGGTTGTCTCTGCAGCTGAAGAATGGGGACGCTAGCTGTGGCTCCCAAAAACCCACGAACCCAACATGAGTGCCCGCCCCACGGACCCAACTGAGTACCTGCCCCACGGACCGAGCCTCAGCCAGGCCCAGCAGGACTTGTGAGGATTCTTTCCAGCTGTGCTCAAGTTACTCCTCCCAACGTACATGGGGGAGACAGATCCGAGAGGTTAAGCAACTGGCCCAAGGGTAGGCAGTGGGTGGGTGGGTTTGAACCAGAGCCCCAGGGCTCTTCTGAGCTGAGGTGGGAGGCAGCGGCTGGTGGCCCCGTGGCTGACTCTTCCTGCTCTGACCTCAGTTTCCCCATCTCTAGACGGGTCTCCTGAGGAGGGGGCGGGACCTAGGCCGCATGGGTGAGCCCAGCCAGGGGAATGGGGCCGCCACTACAGGCACAGCACTGGGACAAGGACTAATTTATTCAGGCAAACAAGACTGCACACGCCATTTCCAGAACAAACACGCTGTGCTGGGATTCAATTTCACCCCCAGGCATCTGCGAGGAACCAAATGAGAAGTTCCAGCCATTGCATATTTATATGATTGAAAGGTCCACATGGGTCTTAAAGCCCTCCGATTACACCCCATGGGGATGGAAGCAGTGGGGGACCGAGGACCAGGCAGAGCTTGGCGCTGCTGGCTGAGCCAACCCCACAGAGTGGGGAACCTGGCTGAGGGGAGCCCGGTGGGTCTGGCCAGGGTCCAGGGCCTTTTGGGGGTGCCTGGGGAGGGAGAGCTGGGGTTTGGAATCCACAGGCCTGGGGCCAAGTCCTGCCTCTGCCCAGCTTGCCAGCGGTTGTGTGTGCTCTGAGCCTCAGTTTACCCATATGGAGAAGGGGGTGCCAGCATGACGTTCCCTCGGGCTCGTGCCGTGAGGTTAGGGGGTGTGTCTGCCGGTGCAGCCAGCACTATTCTCTCTCTCCTAGCTGCCCAGATGGGCTGAGAAGCTGCACCAGGTGGGCATCCTAAGGCCTGGGGCCCAGCCCAGGGCTGCCCCCTGGGACTTGGCCTTCACCCCTGGGCTCTGGCTCTGCCCCCGAGGCCCCAGAGGCCCCTGTCGCCTCCCTCAACAACGTGGCCAACAGTGCCCAGCGCAGGAACCGTGGCCCCCTCCGTGACGCGCGTGTGGCAGCAAGCCGGTAGAGGAGCGTCTGCTCCCATCCCACAGGCCCAGAGACTCCAGCAAGCAGCTGGGGGTCACATAGCAGGGAGGGCAGTTGCTCCCGAGACCAGACCCTGAAGCTGCTCTCTGACAGAGGATCCAAGGCTACACCCAGGGTCTTCTGCCTCCTGAACCCACTCTGCTCAGTCGCCCGCCTCCCTGGGCCTGTTTCTCCACCTGCTCCTGAACCCACTCTGCTCAGCCGCCCGCCTCCCCAGGCCTGTTTCTCCACCTGAGCCCTGGCCCTGGCAGGCTGGCTCACAGCTCTGACTTGAGGAGGCAGGTGAAGGCGTCACCCTGTGAGTCTGCGGACGTCCGGGAACCGGGGCCCCTCCTGCACACAGCTGGCCTTCCCGCCTTCCAGGGGCCAGCCTCCCTGTGTGCCTAATGGCTGGTAGTCTCGGGAGTGCAAAGTCCAGCCACCCCAGATGGTGGGCTCTGTGGTTGGTGCCCACCGTGGGGTCACCCCAGCACCCACTTATCTAATCGGCCCCATCGCTCCGCCCGGCCCCGCCCTGTGGCTCCCATAGGCCAGCTGGGTCCAGCTTTGTTGGGAGCGGCCCTGTCTCAGGGATCATGCTGTTTGCTTTTGATAAAAGTCACAAAAAAGGAAAGAAAAAGGAGTGAGGGGGAGGGAAGGAAAAACCCCAGGCTGACGGGGTTCTGGAAGCCTCTGTGGGTCAGCGGACTGGCGGTGAGGCTGGTGCACAGACCACGTGGGCCCCGAGAACACCAGCTTCCAACACATCCTGTACAGACACAGAAACCGAGGCCAGAGGGGCGAGCGGCTCCCCAGGGTCACACGGGAGGCAGACCGGGGTGGCCAGGGGTCAGCTGCGTGGGGCGGGGCAAGCCGGCCCCTCTGTCCACGATGACGCGCCGCGTGCGGATTCGCTTGCTGATCACCTGTGCTTGGTTCCCACGCAGGCAAACCCCGCGGGGCCCCTGAGGACCTGGAGCCCATTTAACAGGGGGTGAGGTGACCTGCCCAAGGTCACCGGCTCCAAAGTCAGACCCTCCTGGGGGGAAAAGCCCGTAATCTGGGTGGCAGCTGAGGCCCCAGGACAGAGAGAGGCGACAGAAGGGGAGGGGGGAGGCTAAGTAGCTCCTCCCCCACCCCGTGACCTCCGCGCAAACTCTGTGTCCCCTCTGCAGCCTCAGTAGCAGGCCCTGGCTCTGTGTGCTGCAGCCACCTACGGGAGGCAGAGCCCTGGTTCCCAGGATTCACCAACCAGGGCCCACGGCAGGCACCGAAGGCCACATCTGGGAGAGGTTCAGAGTGAGCGTCGGGATGGGCCTGTGCCCAGGAGAGACCAGGGGAACCCACGTGGAGCCCAAGGCCTGTGGTTGGACTCTGTGGCCTGCTCTGCAGCCACGGAAGCCTCTTGGGCAGTAGAAAGGGTGGTCCTGTGTGGATGTCATGGCCTCCTTCACATGTGATCCTCCCAAGATCTGGCTGGGAACAAACCCAAGCCTGGTGAGAAATGCATGGGGGACGAGGCTGGGGGTCCAACAACTTCTTTTCTTTCTTTTTTTTTGAGACAGAATCTTGCACTGTCACCCAGCCTGGAGTGCAGCGGTGCAATCTCGGCTCACTGCAGCCTCCGCCTCCCGGGTTCAAGCGATTCTCCCATCTCAGCCTCCTGAGTAGCTGGGAGTACAGGTGCGCGCCACCGCACCCGGTTAATTTTTGTATTTTTAGTAAAGAAGGGGTTTCGCCATGTTGGCCAGGCGTGTCTTGAACTCCTGACCTCAAATGATCTGCCCACCTCAGCCTCCCCAAGTGCTGGGATTACAGGTGTGAGCCACCGTGCCCGGCCCACCAGCAACTTCTTCACACATCCTCGACCCACTGGGCCCCTTCCTGTGATCCCCTTTTTAGGTTCCTGTTTACAGATGGGGCAACCAAGGCCCAGAGGAGGGAGTGGCTGCTGGAGGCCCCCGAGTGGAGCCCAGGATGGCCTGGGGAAGGGTATCCTCCCAGGAGGGCTGTGGGGCTGGGCCCATCTGCAGAGGGGCCTCACAAGGGTCCCTTGTGAGCATCCGAATGCCTGGGTGCATGGGTGAGGTCAGGGTACACTGGGCAGCTGGCTCTCTGCAGGGGGCCTTTCCCACAGCCATGCGGGCCCCTCAGGGCTGCCACTTCTCCCCGAGGCCCACATCTGCCGGAGCTGGATGGCATCTCCCATGGGGGCTGGTGTTCTCAGGCCTGTAGAATCCACAAGACCCAACCCAGGCTATGGACAGTGGCTGAGCACCGTCCTCTGAGTCATACCCCGTCCAGCCAACCTGCCAGGGCATGGAGAAGGCTGACACACCCAGGCAGCCCAGGTCTAGGACCAGGAGACCAGAGCCATGGGGCACTAGTCAGTCAGTGTGTTCCCTGGATCAAGCCACACCTGAATGCCAAGTCAAGAAACATAAAGGGACCCAGGCTTGACTCCAGCCCTGGCTGGGTCACTGATGGCCATGGCACCTCTGGGCAGACCTCAGCTTCCCATCTCTGAGCTCTGGAGGCGGGGACATGGTGCTGAGGGGGTGAGGCCAAGAGCTCGGGGGATGATGGGGACCGTTTCTCCTGCTCTCGTCTGTGAAAAGCAAGGCCTGAGAAGCTGGGGGCCACGTCGGAGGTTACACAGCCAGCAAGTGGCATGGGAGAGTCGAGCCCAGGTCCTCTGATCGCAAACCCATGTCTGCAGCCCAGGCCATACCCCCACTTGCAGTGAATCCCACCCCTTGGGTAGTGGGCCCTCCGTGAAGCCCCTTCCCCGTTCACAGATAGGAGTCGCCGAGCGGAGCAGGCAGAAGGCCACCTGGAAAGGCCAGCAGGACCGTAGCCCTCACTCGCAGCAGTGGCCCCGGCTGTGGCACTCGGGACAGCCGAGATGGAAGGAACAACGTGACATGCGCTAGCGAGAAGGGAGACGGAGCCGCAGGCGGATGAGACGCGGGTGACGGGAGCCATGGATGCACCAGAGCTTGGAGACAAAGCCACTCGAGGGCTCTGCAGATTAGCCTGGCTTCTGGGGGCCTGATGAGGGCTCCCACCCTGCCTCCTCCTGGGTCCCCCCAGCGCCCCTCAGAGGGTCCAGGTCCTTGCAGGAGGGCTGGGTCTGGGAGAGGCGCAGAGGAGCCTGGGAGCTGCACACCCAGGATGGGTAGAGAAATGGATCAGCTTTGCTGTTGAAAAACCAGATGTCACATACGTCTGGGCCCTCTGGCCACACTGGGGAAATGGCTCTGCTCCTCAGAGCTGTGCCCCGTGCACACCCAGTGATGGCCACCACTCTGCGGACGCACACTCAGTGCACAACCTGCCCTGCCCGCCCGCCCCCATTCAGTCCTTTCTGGATTATTCTGTGTTATTGTGTGCCCAGCATTGCAGTTAAGCCCCAGCACAAGACCTGAGTCTATTTCACTGAGGGGAAACAAAGGAGGGGCCTGCCTAAGGCCCCCCAGCGCCCTGCCCTAGAAGACCCCAGGCCCATCACCTCCTGGGAGGGTTCCAGCTCCTCTACCCTGGTCCCCCTGCCCTGGTGCCCCCCCACCCCTGCCCTGGTCTCCCTGCCCCCTGACCCTGGTGCCCCCCAACCCTACCCTGGTCTCCCTGCCCCTGCCCCTGGTCTCCCCACCTCCTGCCCTGGTCTCCTCTGCCTTCTGCCTGGCATGGCCCCTGTTGGCCTCCTGGCCATGATGCCTGGCCTCTGCTGGGCCACAAACCTCAGAGCACCCTGGAGGCCAGTGGAGAGCCCAGGGTGGGGTTGGCCTAGAGCCCCAGGCCTCCTGGATGAGGGTTTTCTTCTCACCCCAGGCCAGAGGTTAACAAAGGGCTTCGAACCACAGAACCTGCCTTCCTGAGACCCTCAGACCCTGCACTCACTGTGGATGGCTGTGGGGGGCTGGGGGTGCGGGGGGTGCCTGTCCTTGGGGTGAGCACGTGGTTGGAAAGCCCCATGGGGGGGCCCTGCCGGCGGCTGCACCTGCCGAGGCTCTCTCTCTGCTAGAGGTGGGCCTCGTGCCCTATGTGCCCATCCTCCAAGCACCCGCCCACCAGCACGGTGGTCTCCTTGCCAAGATGTGCTCAGGACCCACATCGCAGGGGGCCTGGGTGGGGTCAGCAGACAGGCGGCATGGGCTGCGTTCCCGGGAGCTGACGGCAGGGGGTGCTGGCTCCAGGGAATGGTAGATGCCAGGTATGGTGATGCCTCAGGGCCAGCCCACATGGCACCGTGCCAGGACCCCAGGAAGCCGTCGTGCGGAGGGCGATGCCGGCCCCTCCCACCTCCTCCCTGCCTCCCAGGTCCCCAGAGTGCTCACCACCTCCTGAGGGCACCAGGGGGCAGAGGTCTTGATTTCATTAACTCTGTCTTCCTGCTGGACTGTCAGCCCCTCAGGGCCGGCTGTTGAACGGCTGTGTCCCCAAGGCACTGGGACACCGTGGACCTGAGTGCCTGTGTTTGGAGGAGGAGGGCACCACCGCCTGGGAGAAGACCCAGCCAGAGGACCCTGGGGAGGGACTGGCCTCCTCGCCGAGGCCCTAGCTGGCTCTGGGCTGCCCTTCCACAAACGGGCAGTAAGGAGCAGCAGGCTCAGGGGCCATGGCTTGGCTTGGCCAAGCCTGGGCCTGGCGTCCACTGTAGAGCAGCTGCGTCAGCCACCGGGCGAGGGAGAGGCAGGAAGGGCCGGCCCCAGGTGCTGCAGCCCCCAGCCTCGCCCCGCCCACCCGCCAGCTGGTGCCTGTGAACTTGTCTTCCTATCGCCTGGAACATCGCTGCAATTATTGATTTTTTGACACAGAACAACAGCCCATCTTTATCGGGCTGAACCCTGGCCCCAGCTAATGGCAGAGCTGGGACCGCCTGGGAATAGCAAGGAGGGCAGGGTGGGGCCCAGCTCTCCTGCAGGGACCTGGGGGCCCTCGCACCTGCAGGCCCAGTGGCCTGTCCTGGGGAGGGGGTGTCTCTAAGGGAAAGGGCAAGGCCCTGGCCCCACAGGGGCAGTGGGGCAGTGCTCAGGCCCAGAACTGCCCTTTCAGAGGCCTTGAGGACAGCTCGGAGCCAGGTCTTGCCTGTCTGAACCCCTTCCATGGTGCTCTCTGGGGACTGTGGTCTCAGACACCACTACCTTGGCCCCGTCTGGGGCAGCTGGACTGGCAGGCAGAGCGCCACGGTACACAGGGGGGCCATGTCCCTCCATGTACCCTTAAGGGGTCTGTGCACGGGGCCCAGCGAGGTGCTCTTTCTCCATGCACCCTGGGCGGTGTCTCTGCCACTCTGCGGCACCTCGCCAGGGCTGAGGAGTCTGAAAGCCACAGCCTCATGTCACCTCCAAGCTGGGAGATTGGCGGCCTCTCTGGGCTTCTGGAAGGCTAAACACCCTGGGTCCTGGGCCTTGGTCTTCCCGCCTGGGAAGTGGGGAGAGGGAGCTGATTTGCCTCCAGGTCCTAGTAGTCTGGTCTTTGGGGACCCTGAGGCCTGAGAACTGGGGTGGGGGTCCCTGGCTCTCCCCAGCCTTGCCTTGTCCTATTGGTGGCTGAAAACAGGATGTCAGATAAGCTGTTTGCACAGAACATATTTTCTTTACCTTATCTGTGTCCTATCGGCCTGGGCGCCCTGGCCTCTGCCCCGTTTTTCCAGGGTCTGGATGCCGCTGAGGGCCCTTTCTTCCTACCAGGTCCCTGCTCAGCCTGTTCATTTGCCCCCTGGGGACTCTGTCTGTGCTTCATAAATGGGAGAGGGTGAGTGAGGGCCCAGGGTACTGCCTCAGCCCTGGGCGAGACCATCTACCCAGCCTGGCAGGCACCCACCCCCACTGAGGGCAGCCATGGACACCCAGGCAGGTGCTGGTGAGGACGCTGGTACCCACCGAGAGTGTCAGGACACTGCTACCCCCAAGAATGGAAAAGTCCCTTCCAGAAAAGGCTGCTGCCCTGAGCCCTCACTGACCCTTCAGGCTCGTCACCTCCACAGAGGAGGTGCTAACCAGGGGGAGACTGAGGCCTCGGGAGCCCAAGATCTGCCTGGCAGCCCGAGGCGCTAACTGGGGTACAGGGCCTGTGCCCCGGGGTGAGCCCAGCCCCATGTGAGTCCCGGAGGCAGAAGGTGCTTCCGTGAACTGTGAATGTGTCTCCTCTTCTAAAAGTCACGTGTGATTTTATGGGAAGCCACAGAGGGTGCTGCCATGGCACCGATCACCCCAACACAGATGAGAAGACCGAGGTCAGAGAGGACCTGGCTCCACAGAGAGGCAGCTGGCTGTGAGTCAGATGCAGGCCAGGCAGAGGGTGGGAAAGACCAGGAAGCAGGAGGAGCCCTGGAGGCAGAACAGGCCGGCCCCTCCCCAGACACAGATCCCTCCACTCAGGAACCGTGGGCCCCCCAGACACAGATCCCTCCACTCCGGAACCGTGGGCCCCCCAGACACAGATCCCTGCACTCAGGAACCGTGGCCCCCCAGACACAGATCCCTCCACTCAGGAACCGTGGGCCCCCCAGACACAGATCCCTCCACTCAGGAACCGTGGGCCCCTCCCCAGACACAGATCCCTCCACTCAGGAACCGTGGGCCCCCCAGACACAGATCCCTCCACTCAGGAACCGTGGGCCCCTCCCCAGACACAGATCCCTCCACTCAGGAACCGTGGCCCCCCAGACACAGCTCCCTCCCCTGTGCCGCTGCTCAGGACCCACGGGGGTCCCCACTGGCCCCTGAATCAAGCACTGTGCTACAGTGGGGGTTCCTGTCCCAGGGGCGCCGTGCTCATCCACCCACCCTGCCCCGCGGAGCAGCGCCCCTGCCACCTCCCACCTGCCGAAGAGACCGCACACAGCCTTCCAGCCCTGAGGGGCCTTCATGGCTGGTGGGGTTGGAGGAACGACAGCTAAAGGCGGGTGGGGGTGGCGAGCGCTCTGAGGGCAGCCCCGGATCTGCCGTCCGGCCACCGTGTGTGCAGAGACCCACAAACGGGCATCCACGTGGCCTCTGCTGCCCTTAGAACATCCTTCTCTGGAAGAAACGTGGCAAGACAGCAAAAATTTAAAAAAATAAATGGCTTGCCATCTTTGACATGCTGACCTGAGCCCGCCCATGCCGGGATGATTTTTCTGGGATAAATTCCCAGGAGCCAACTGCTGAGTCAAGGGAAGCAGCAGCTGCTGGCGCTGGGGCAGCCCGGACCGGGTGGCTCCGACCTGCGAGGTGGGGACCCTCGGCTAGGGGGGGTCACCAAGGCCACTGCCTCCAGCAGCACTGGACGGGAAGGGACAGTGGGGCTCTGGGAGGCTGGGGACAAGCCCAAGACCTACAGTGACTCCAGGGTGGATCCAGATGGGAACCTGGGGCCAAAGACCCTGTCCATGGCCCCGGGCGGCCCACAGGGCACAGGGACGGGGTTGGGGGACATGGAGGGGCAAGCACAGAGGCGTCAGGCCTATGGGGCAGAGGTGGGTCCTGAGTGCCCGGCGCCCGGGCCCCTGGGCAGGGCGGGAGAGGGCGGGGGGCCGGGGTGGGAGGCACCCTCACGAGACGCAATAAACCCGAGATAGCATCTTGCCGCATCTCAGGCCCTGCTCGGCCCTTTCGGGCAGGATATGACCAGCCCTCGAGCCGATGGCGGCCCCTTTGTCCCATCTCCGGGGACCGATCTTATCAGCTGCGTCCACGGCCGCTGTAATGGAAAAGCGCAGTGAGGAAATAAAAAGTTACACGCAGAGAAGGAGGAGAGATAAATAAATAAATAAATAAATAAATAAATAAATAAATAAATAAATGGGGGGGGGCGGGTGGAGCCGCGTCGGGGGTGGAGGAGCTACTAGGAGTGTTAAACCATGGGTTGGGGCGTTTGCAGGGCTGGGGTCAGGAGGTCAGGGCTCACCGGCCTGGTCTCCACCTCGGATGAACCACGTGAACTCACTGGGCCTCAGTTTGCTCATCGGCCCAGGAGCCCCCTCGCGGGCTGGGGTTGATCCCATGGCAAACAGCAGTGGCAGGAGGGCCCTGCACCCACGCCCACTACCTCCATCACCAGCACCAGCGGCAGGGCCCTGCACCCATGCCCGCTATCTCCATTATCATCAGCACCAGCGGGAGGGCCCGGCACCCACACCCGTTACCTCCATCATCAAGAGCACCTGCGGGAGAGGCCCTGCACCCACACCCGCTATCTCTATCATCACCAGCACCTGCGCGATGGCCCACGCACCCAGGCCCACTATCTCCATCATCACCAGTACCTGCGGGAGAGCCCATGCACCCACACCCGCTATCTCCATCATCACCAGCACCTGCGGGATGGCCCACGCACCCATGTCTGCTATCTCTATCATCACCAGCACCTGCGGGAGGGCCCACGCACCCATGTCTGCTATCTCTATCATCACCAGCACCTGCGGGATGGCCCCCGCATCCATGTCTGCTATCTCCATCATCACCAGCACCTGCGGGAGGGCCCCGCACCCATGTCTGCTATCTCCATCATCACCAGCACCTGCGGGAGGGCCCCGCACCCATGTCTGCTATCTCCATCATCACCAGCACCTGCGGGAGGGCCCCCGCACCCAGGCCCACTATCTCCATCATCACCAGTACCTGCGGGAGAGCCCATGCACCCACACCCGCTATCTCCATCATCACCAGCACCTGCGGGAGGGCCCCCGCACCCATGTCTGCTATCTCCATCATCACCAGCACCTGCGGGATGGCCCCCGCATCCATGTCTGCTATCTCCATCATCACCAGCACCTGCGGGAGGGCCCCCGCATCCATGACCGCTACCTCCATCACCAGCAGTGGTGTCTCAGTTTCCCTCCTGGGCAGGAGGAGGTGGAGAAGTCAGGCCAGTGTGGGGAGGGGCCAGCCTTAGAGACCCTGACATATCCCCAGCCAAGGCTGCACCCCCACAGGGAGGGCCCGCTGTACCTGTCGGTCAGGTGAGGACACCGAGGTGCCGTCTAGGGACCCAGCACTGTGCCCAGGACCTGGCTCAGCCCAGGGTGGCCAAGATCCGAGCTGACCACGCAGACTTGCTGGGAAAGAGAAACTGTGGGCCCTGCCCTGCCCCAGCAGCCCCAGGGAGCCTGAACTGTCCTGTCCACGTCTCACAGATGAGGACCCTGAGCCCAGAACAGGGCACAACAGGCCCCAGGTCTGCGGTGAGAGAGGTGACACCTGGAAGCTGAGTCTGCCGTTGTGCCAGCGGGAGGGTTGGTGCCAGTAACGGCAACAGCACTGCTGGCAGCAACAGTCCTAGCAAGGTGACAGAATGACCCAGAGTGACAGCGACAGCACCAGCAAGGTGACAGCGGCCAGGCCAGCAGCAGCACTCTCTAATAGCGCTGTTTCTGTGCTAGTGACAGTCACGGTGCCCACGCTGGTGGTGACACGGGTGTAGTGGTGGGAACAAGGGCAGCTGGGGCAGCAGCTGCCAGCGACACGCTTGTGGCTTGCCCAGCGCCTGCCCACTGTCCCAAGGGTCCTCCCAAGAGCGCCCTGTGGCCGTCTTCCTGACGAGGCCACCAGCTCATGGGGGGAGCTGGCTGTGTCCCCGGCCATGCGGCAGGCCCAGGAGGGGCAAGGAGGGAAGCTTCTGGGCAGTAGCCGGGGCTCCAGGGGCTCGCCCAGGTGACTCTGGTGGGCCTGCCCCCGAGATGTCTGGGAGGGGCCGGTAGGGCAACGGCGGGGCCTGGGTGGGGGCTGGTGGTGGGGGATGGCCGGGGCAGGAAGCCGGGTGGGAGGGCGGAGGAGGAAGCCAGCTTGATTAGCGCCTGCGGCCGAGATAGGCTGCCCTGGCCACAGATAGCCTCTCCCGGAAGGTGGTGAGGCCAGAGGGCAGCACGGCAGGCAGCCAGGCCCGGCCCCCGCCCCCCAACCACCAGGATGGCTGGAGACCCAGGGCTCCGGCTGCGCTCCTCATGGGGCATCCACTGTCCGCTCACCCTCTGCTGGCATGGGGCCGAGGAGGGGCCGGGGAGCCCACGGGACTTGGGGGCTGGACCCGGAGAGGCTGGATGGGTGGGCCTGGGCCCTTCCCTGGGAGGCAGGCCTGTGGGCTCTGTGCCCACTCGGCCCCTCCCCAGCATGGGGGTGGGGTGGCTACCTCACCTCTCCTGGCCTCAGTTTCCCATCTGTGAATGGGGACACTGCCCACTTCAGCCAAGCCCTTTCTCAGATCTCCCTCTGTCTGCCCCTGAGCCGTCCTCCACCCAGCCAGCGGGATTCAGGGGCCACCCAGGTGGGGTCCCCCACACTGCACGCAGACCTGCTCCGTGTCCAGCCTGCTAGGCACCAGGCTCCGCCCTGTCCACGTGCGCGGTCCTGCCTGCCCCCTGGCCCCTTCGCTGCTCCCAAAGTCAGCTGGGCCGGCCCCACCCCAGGCCTCTGTACCCGGCTTCCTCTGCCCTGGCCTGCGTCTCCCACCCGCTGCGCGGCCCCCACGACTGCTCTCTTCTCCTCCGCGGCTGCTCTGGAGGAGGTCTGTTTTCCTCACGCTGCATCCCCCTGTCTATCACAGGGCTGGCACATAGCTTGTGCTCAATAAATGGAAGTACAAGGGAGTGAGTGAGTGCCGGCTCTGCCTGCGATTTCGGGACTTCGAGGCCCAGGTGACTTTCCCGGGGTGGAGGCTGAAGTCAGGGCCAGGTTCAGGAGGCGGCTTCTGTATGGCCAGGGCTGGGGTGGGTGCGGGAGGTCAGCCAGGCCCCAGGGTGCCGGCAGCCTGGTCATGGGGGAGCCACGGGGGCCGTTGGGGAGCTGGGGATGAAGGAAGGGGAGCCGGCCTCGGGGGCTGCAGATGGCTCTGGCCCCAAGCTCAACCCTGTCCAGGGGCTCCGCCCACAGGGCCTTGCGTGGAGAGGCAGGCCTGGGGTCTGGTGGTGCAGGCAGGACCCGGGTGCAGCCCCCACCCAGGCCTGGGGCCAGTGCTTGGGAGAGGGGAGGGAAGGGTGTCATGGGAAGGCTCAGGGCCAGGGGCAGCCAAGGTGTCCACGCCAACGACCCAGGGTCAGGCCAGCCAGAGCCTGCGACCTCTGAACTCAGTTTCCAAGATAACCACCCTCTGCAGCCGCAGGCCCAATGTGATGGGGCCTCAGGCTCTGAGCTGACTGCTGCCTCACCCCTGCGATCACTCCAGATTAGAGGGGTGCCCCCGGCTCCGGGACTGCGCCCTCGGCCTGGGACACCGTTTCCAGACGCCCCTCGTTCATTTGGAACTCAAACGTCGGCTCAGCGAGGCCGGCTCTGCCTGCCCCTCGGACATGTGGGGTTCCTACCTCGTCATGATTTGGGGTGTCTCCCTCACCAAGGAGCAGATCCCGGAGGGCCTGGGCTATGCTGGCCTGAGCACGTCCCTCATACACACGCTGGTTGAATGAACATGCCACCTCCTTCTCTTAACTGCTCCCGGGCAGGACACCCATGTTCTTTCTGGTTCCAGGGCCCGTGTCCCTCCACCATACACGTCCAGGGCAGGCCCATCCCTGTCTATCCAGCACCTGATATGCGCCTGGCCCCAAAGTGCTCAGCAAACCTCCGGGGAAGGGGCGTGGCTGCGAGACACACAGCCCCTCCTCGGGTTCTGTCTCGGGCTCCCCAGGGCCCCCTCTGCCCAGCTGTGAAGTGGGGCGGGGTCTGAGGCTCCCTCTGGGGACCCCCCAGGTGGGTCCGTGTTCCCCAGGACAGCCAGAGGAGGTGGCTCCTGACCCAGCACTGGGTCTGGTCTCTGGAGCTGACCCCAGGCTGACCCCTGCCATCCGCCAGGGCCCCCTCCTCCGCCGTTAATCTAAGACTAATAGTGCTATCGGGGGCAGCACAGGGCCGCTGATAAGGCAGAATAGCTGGAATGATTTCCCACCCACGCACACCGGGTGGGGAGGGAGCCAGTCGCCTATCGGCCCATCTCCCTGCTGTCCATCAGGCCGGGCCCCCGCCTCAGCCTCCACCCGATAGCAGGCCTTGAGGTTTGCGTAGACGCTCCGCCGGCGAGATTAGTCAGATGGAGCTCGGCCCAGATAACCAGCCCGACGCCCTCACACACTCGGGTGAGGATTCCCAGCCTCGGGCGGGCCCTGTCGGGACCCTGGGGCGGGGGACCCTTCGTGGGCCTCAGGCAGGAAATAGTGGACAGAGCCCTCCTCCCGCCTCACAGCAGCTGCCGGCTCCCAGCGCCGGGATGCTGGACCGGATCGCTCACGGCACGAACACCCCCCACAAAACCCTTCAGGGTACCCATTTTACAGCCAAGAAAACCGAGGCAGCTCCTTGCAGTCCCTGGCACTGAGCCCCCGCCCTGACCCCGCTGAACCCCATCCCCGCCCGGGCCCTGAGCCCCACCCTGACCCCTCTGAACCCCATCCCCGCCCGGGCCCTGAGCCCCACCCTGACCCCTCTGAACCCCATCCCCGCCCAGGCCCTGAGCCCCACCCTGACCCCTCTGAACCCCATCCCCGCCCGGGCCCTGATGTTCCAGCCACCACTGACCACTTGAAACTCAGGCCCTGAGCCAGCTCCTTGTGCACACCCGACCCCACTCTACTGTGTCTGTCACACCTTGGAATGGGGCTGGGGCTGGGGCTGGGGCTGGGGCCGTCCACCTGCCGCCCCTCCCATCTCTCACACCCAGCCTGACACTCGGGCATCCCTTCTACTGGCCAGCAGTGCCCTGGGGACATGGCCAGCCTTCCCATCTCTGCCATCAGAGCCCAGGATGGAGTGGGGATGGAAAAGTCACGACTTGTGTGATCAGCTGGAATTCACCTTGTCCATAGTGGTCCTGGGAGAGCTCCAGGTCCTGAGGCACTTACGGGTGGAGCGAGCCAGGAGCAGGTGTGTGCGGCTCCTGGGCAGGGGCAGGCCTGGCAGCCCCCCACCCACAGGCAGCGCTGCCCAAGTCCCAGCCCCATGTCCACTCAGGGTTGGACCGCTGTGGCGAAGCCACCTCACCTTGCTGAGCCCCCGTTTCCCTAACTGTAGAGTGGGATCCAACTCAGACCTCCCCTGCAGGACTGGCTGCCAGACGTGAGAGACCCTGTATACCAGGAGTCGAGAGCCCCCCTCACAGGAAACGCCCAGTGAGAGGCGATCTCCTCAAGCCCCGTGTACATGACCAGTGCTGGTGTGCTCTGATGCCCAGCAGTGTGTGGGTGAGGGTCCCCGTCCCCACCCCAAGCCCCCTCTCTGTTGCTTTCTCTCCCCTGTGGCCCACCCTGGGCCAGGGCAGGTGGGGACTTTTGTTCCACAGCCTGAAGCCCCCAGGTGGGGGCTTCAGGGTCCAGGGGAGCCCCCCTGTTCAATCTCAGCCGCAGGGTACCCCAGGCCTCTCCTCCACCAAAGGCCCAGCTTCCCAGGCCCCACTTTGCCCCTGGAGTCAGTGGGGGTGGGGCGGGGTCTGGGCTTCATGAGGATTGCTTGCCCGGGAACTGCACAGGCCAGGGCTGAGCCTCAGTGGTGCACCTGGGTCAGGTCCCCAAGCACCAACCCAGCCCCACTCTGCCCTCCCTCTCCTATCCAGCCTGTCTCCAAGGCCAGGCTCCAGCCTGGAACCCCCAGCCCTGTGCTCTCAGGATAAAGCCAGCCCCGCCGCTGTCACATCCTGGGCCTCTCACCTCTGCCCAGGCTGGTCCCTCCTCATGGAAAACCCTTCCAGGAGGCCAGGCAGGGGATGTGTGCTGAGCCCACCAGGAAAATTCTCCCTGACACCCAAGGGCAGTGGATGCCACTGCCAGGTGCCCTCTGGAAGCCTCCTCCTTCGGCTCCAGAGGACTCTGGGATGGAGTGTCCTGCCCTGCCCAAGGATGGCCGTGGGGCCACATGGAGCCCAGGCTCAGGTGAGAGCCGCAGGAGTCACTGCTGGGAGCCTGCCCCGGAGCCTGTGGGCAATGCGGCCACGCTTTGCCCTGGACCACCCCAGCTCCCACCTCACAGGCGGACCCCTGTGCTCCTCTTGCCTTAGCATGCCCCCCTCCCCATGGCCCAGTTGCATTTTGTTTCATACATTTGGTTACCAGGAAAAAGCTCTAGGCCCCGAGACGCCTCCTGGTGAAGGGAACCCCACCACCCTGGCCCCCAAGTGGGCTCCTGGCCACTCACCTTCCATCCGGGGCCATAGAGCCCCGGCTTCCCTCATGTTACTTCACACACACAGAGTGGTGGGCAAGTCCTGTGGGCCTCTGAGGCCGCCTCCTCACTCCCCGCCTAGCATGGCACCCTTGGCACGGTCCTGCCCTTAGCGTCAGGTCTCAGGCCATCCTTCCCACCCTCGGTGCCTGCACCACGCTGCCTCCCAGACAGACACAGGCAGAGCTGGGGGAGACTCGCTCTCTGCCCACCCAGCAGACCAGGCACCTCCTCTGCACTGGCACAGGTGGGCAGGTAGGGGGCCAGAGGAAGGACGGACAAGTGAGGCCTCCTCGGTGCCCCAGGTAGCCCTGGGCGAGAAGCTTTCCTCTGAGCCCAGTTCCCCTCAGTTCTGCCCAGCCTCACAGAGGGAGGTGGCGGAGGCCTGTTCCAGGGGAGGGGATTCCACACTCCAGGGTCCAGCCCCCACGCTCTTCGGCCTTTTCCTGCACCTGTTTCCTTGTGGCCCAGCCTACACGATTACTCTCTGGGCAGACGACCACACAGGGCCCGTGAAATGGGCCAGCCCAGGACCCCAGGGAGTCGAATGGGACCCCGGCTCCACCCCTCCAAGTCCTAGTGGGGCTGGCACGTCTGAGCGCCTCCATTTTCCGAGGCAGGAGTGGGATGCCCAGGACTCAGCCCCACATCCCACGATGGGACGGGCCTGCAGGATGAGCCACGGCCGAGCTGCTCCCGAGCGCGTGCAGGGATTATAGATTATGGCTTAGCCATTTGCATAGCAGAATCTTAAGCAGCCGCCCCTCCGGCAAACAAGGTCATTTCAAAGATAAAATAGGAGCTCTCCGCCTCCTGCCGCCCATCCTTCCCTTCGCATCCGGGCTGGTGGCTCCAGGGAGGAGGAGGGAGTCCAGGCCCTGGTGGCCTCCACCCGAGGTCCCTTCTCTGTGGCCACTTCTGGGATCACGCTCAGACCCCAGCCCTTCTCTCCTCCTGCCGGCTCCTCCTGCTGCCTCACTGGAGTCCAAGGCCACAGGCCCAGTGACCGGGCCGCACTCCTGCCTGTCCACGCCCGCCTCGCCCCCCACTCAGGCCCTGCGGCCTCCTGCCCGTGCAGGGCTGCGCCCTCTACTGCACCCTCTGCTCCCTACTGCAGGGCCCCGACTCACCCTGGAGGCCCGCGGACACCCCCTCCTGGAATCAGCCCCCTCCCTGTTTCCCCCTCGCTTCCTGGGTTTGCTGTGGGTGGTGACGGCGGGGTTTGGTGTGTTGTGATTGGTCCCTGTGACGGGAGGCTCTGCCCGCGGCCTCTCACCCCGGCCGGGCGTCCTGCTTTGGACAGCGGGGCCGCACTGCAACAACCCCACTGGTGGATCCCTTCCGGCTTCCACCTGGAAGCCTCCCTGGTGCTGAGAGGGTAACGGGGTTTGGGGGGTGAGCTCCTCCTGCCATGAGGCCATGGTGACTGCCACCGACGGGGGAGCGCAAGGTGGCTGCTCCCGGCCCCTGCTCGGCCGCCTCTTGGCCGCGGAAAGGGGAGTTCCAGGTTGCAGATGGCGGCTTCTCCCCGTAGAACCTGCCCGCACCCCCCAATCCGAGATAACCCAGGCCGCCCCGGGGCAGCCGACAAGCTCAAGGCCTGCAGCCGAGGTCTGGGAAGTGACTCCAGCCACACTCTGCGCTACACACTCCGCAGTCCCCCTCCTCGTGGAGGCTTCCTGCGGCTGTGGCTTTCCTTATGTCCATTTTACAGATGCGGAAACTGAGGCCTGGAGGGGTCAGGCGGCCTGCCTGCTGTCACTCAGCGAGGCTGGACTATAGGGCCTGTGCTCCCGTCTCAGAACAGCTCAAGGTGCCCTCCTTTGAAGCCGTGGCGCTCGAGAGCAAAGCCGCTCGCAGCAGACAGAGCTCAGAACTTTTGAAAACAAAAACCAGCACCCACTGAGTGCCTCCCTGATCCTTTTTAGGGCTCTGGGACCACCAGGTATCAGGTAGGGCCAGGAAGGGGCTGGGGTGGGGGCAGTAACAGGGCCAGGAGATCATGGGAAGTCAAGACAATGGCCATGTGCATGCCAGGACAGCTCTCCGCAACCCGGGACAGCTCCCCGCACCCCGGGACAGCTCACCGCACCCCGGGACAGCTCTCTGTACCCCGGGACAGCTCTCCCTACCCCGGGACAGCTCACCACACCCCGGGACAGCTCTCCCCACCCCGGGACAGCTCTCCCCACCCCGGGACAGCTCCCCGCACCCTGGGACAGCTCTCCCCACCCCGGGACAGCTCTCCCCACCCCGGGACAGCTCCCCGCAGCCCGGGACAGCTCTCCGTACCCCGGGACAGCTCCCCGCACCCCGGGACAGCTTCCTGCACCCTGGGACAGCTCTCCCCACCCCGGGACAGCTCTCCCCACCCCGGGACAGG
Organism: Homo sapiens; assembly: GCF_000001405.40. NCBI lineage: Eukaryota > Metazoa > Chordata > Mammalia > Primates > Hominidae > Homo > Homo sapiens. Next base: position 88,493,345 of record NC_000016.10, on the reverse strand, counting down.
TCTCCCCACCCCGGGACAATTTCCCACACCCCAGGACAGCTTTCTCCACCCCGGAACAGCTCTCCTCACTCCGGGACAGCTCCCCGCACCCCAGGACAGCTCTCCTCACCGTGGGACAGCTCTCCCCACCCCGGGACAGCTCCCCGCACCCTGGGACAGCTCTCCTCACTCCGGGACAGCTCTCCTCACCCCGGGACAGCTCTCCCCACCCCGGGACAGCTCCCCCCACCCCGGGACAGCTCCCCGCACCCCGGGACAGCTCCCCGCACCCCGGGACAGCTCTCCGCACCCCGGGATAGCTCTCCATACCCCGGGACAGCTCTCCATACCCCGGGACAGCTCCCCACACCCTGGGACAGCTCTCTGCTCCCTGGGACAGCTCCCCACACCCTGGGACAGGTCTCTGCTCCCCGGGACAGCTCTCCGGTGCTTACAAAGTCCTTGTGTGCCCAGGAACTCACTTATGTGTGCAGCGGGTGTTGGGGGCCTCTTGGGTGTCCCTTGGGAGAAGGAGAGGGGCTGGGAGGCCTCCTCTCTGCCTGATGTTACATGAGTGCCTCCAGGGAGTCTGGGACCACCAGGGACAGGGCAGCCTGGCTGGACCCATGGTGGAGCTGTTGGGAGAGGCACCAAGGCCGGGCCTCTCCGCCGGGCTAACACCGTCCACCTTCTGGATGTCCACAAGTCCCAGTCGCTTTCCCTGGGAAATGGGTCTAACCGGGGTCGGGGTTGGGGGGTTTCCCAGGATACCTGTGAGTCCGGGTCCAGCCAGCAGATGAGGGCCCTGGGCTCTGGGCTCTGCAGCGTGACCGGGTCCCATCCACATGCAGGACAGATGGGAAACAGACTCAGGGCCCAGTCACCTCCCCAAAGCCACAAGGTGCAGAGTGCCCCTTGGTCCGAGCTGGTGCTCCCTCCACCCCAGATAGGAAAGGAGGACGGCACCTCCCAGGCCGCCTCAAGAACAGGGCCCCAGGCCAGGTTCAGAGGGGCTGGGGCAGGTTCAGAAGGGCTGGGGCCTGCACTGTTTCCCACCCTTGGGATTGGGTGGGGTGGGGAGCAGCTGTGGGCCAGAGACCATAAAACAGAAATTGGGAGAGAAAGGGGCAGAGACGGGTGAGGGAGAGAGGCATGGAGAGAGACAGAGAGAGAGAGAGAGAAAGAGAGGCAGGGAGGGAGGAAGAGAGAAGGAGAACGGCAAAGAGAGAGGGAGAGAGGAAGGGAGAGAGGGAGAAGGCGAGGAGGGATGGGGAGAGAGAGAGGGGCTCACACAAGATGGAGCATCAGAGAGAGGGTCTGGAGACAGAAGGCAGAGATGCTCAGGAGGAGCAGGGCAAATGTGGCTGATCCCCTATTGTGCCCTGGCCACTGGACCGGTCACCTGGCTGGGCACTGCCCTTGGGGCCACTGACCCTGCTGGCCATCGACGCACGGGCCGCCCCGAGAGATAACAGCCCACAGAGCCTCCTTGGCTTCCCCGCGGGTGATAGCTCAGCCTGTGTGGGTCTGATAGGCCGTAGCCACTGCAGCGGTTGGCCAGCGGCCGCGTATCAGCCCATCACCGCCCACTGCACAGAAATTCATATCTGCGGGAGCCGATAGGGCACCGCCTGGTCCTGAGGATGCACACAGCACAGGAAGCTCGGGGGTGTGCCCCAGCCCCAAACCACGGCCGGCCTCAGGGGCCCGGCCCTTCCCGGCGCCAGGCTCCATCCCCCAGGGCCTTCTCCGTCTGGAGAACAGGAGGATGATCTAACCCCTCTCAACACCGCAGGGATGGACAGGGACCCTTGGGGTGGCGATCAAACCAGTGTCTATGAACTCCAGGCCTAAACCCAGCTCCACCACCTCCCAGCCGCATGACGGTGGATGCGTCCTGCATCCCCGGGCTGGGTCTCCTCCTCCAGAGACTTGGGTCACCATCTCGGCCCCTCTTGGGGCTGGTGTGAGGACTGCCCAGCACCCTGTTTGCCCAGTGGCCAACTGGGTCCCACAGGTACACAATGGTCCCTGCCACTGCGTGGGTGGTCTCCACTGATAGAGTGTGGGAGCTCTGCGGGCCCGAGGGGGGCCTGTGGGCGCCCTCCCTGCTACCCGCTACCCTATTCTACAGCAGGGGACACTGAGGCAGTCAGGGCGGCCCCTCCCGACCCCACAGTGCTGCCCTGCAAGTGAAAAGGCCTCCCTGTCATGCTGACTCCGCAGCGAAGGCCTGAGGCACCAGCACCTGACTGGGACCCCCGAAGGCACCAGCGCCTGACTGGGACCCGCGAAGGCACCAGCGCCTGACCGAGACCCCCGAAGGCACCAGCGCCTGACCGAGAGCCCCGAAGGCACCAGCGCCTGTCTGACCCCCGACAGGTGTGTCCTGGGCCTGCTCCCCACCTGGTGTCCCTGAGGAGAAGGGACGCAGCCAGCAAGTTTCTACCATGGCGCCTGGAACCCCCACCATCTGTGGGTCCCAGGTGGGCAAGTCACATCATCTGCTGTGCTGGATGCCCGGTCCCCCTTCCTGGGGGACAGCAGGGGGAGCCCGTGAGGACCGGTGGCCATGAGGCCCCAGCATTGCCTTGGGCAGCCCCACAGCCCATGCAGGTGTAACTCAGCTTCCCCATGGGGCCGGGTCATCCTCCTGGCTGCGGCTGCCCAGGCCCACCCCTCTCTCTGTGGCCCCGGCTGCCCTGTTGTGGGAAGGGGCAGCGTTAAACAAGCGGCTGCCTACTTGCACCGGCGGGCACATGGACCCATCGTGCACTCTCCCCTTGCTGCTGGGACCTCGCTGACCCCTTTCCATCTTGGCCCCTGGGAAGGAATGTGGTCCCTCTGCCTCAGCGAAGCCTTTCCCGCTCCCCAGCACGGCGAGCGCCTCACCATGCATCTTCTCTCCACAGACGGGGCCCTGCTGGTGTCATTACGGCCGCTTGCGCGCTCTGCATCGGCCATCTGCTCCCGGCTATATGCCTGGCACACAGCAGGCACTCAATAAATGCTTGCTGCCGGGCGTGGTGGCTCACGCCTGTAATCCCAGCACTTTGGGAGGCCGAGGCGGGCGGATCACGAGGTCAGGAGATCGAGACCATCCTGGCTAACACGGTGAAACCCCGTCTCTCCTCAAAATAGAAAAATTAGCCGGGCATGGTGGCAGGCACCTGTAGTCCCAGCTACTCGGGAGGCTGAGGCAGGAGAATGGCGTGAACCTGGGAGGCGGAGCTTGCAGTGAGCCGAGATCGCGCCATTGCACTCCAGCCTGGGCGACAGAGTGAGACTCCATCTCAAAAAAAAAAAAAAATAATAAATACTTGCTGCATCTGTACATGCATCTGGCTCGAGCACCTGCCCCTCCCCACGCTGTCCCTCCTCCACGGGGGACCTTGCGACCCCCACCCCGCCTCTGCTGGGCCCCCTCCCTCCCTCACCCACCAGCTCCCATGACGGCCTTGGCCAGGCAGCCCTGGGATTCCACCCCAGACGCTACTGCGGTTCCTTGGGCTGTGGGATTTATTAGGAACGACAGAAACAACCTGACTGCCAGTATTTCCTGCGTTCATAAATGAATGGAATTCACAGTCCCCGAAGGGGCCACAGGGAGAACACGTTCATGGGACTTCTGGGGTCAGAACTCCAGCTGCAAATCACGGAGCAGAGTCACCAAACCACCCTCTAGGACACACCCTGTGGCCCAGGCCCCGCGGGGTATGTGGATGGGACTCCGTCCCCATAGGCTGCAGCCGCTCTGGAGTGGGGTGGGGCCCTCTCCTGCCCTTCAGGCCTGACCGCCTGCCTGGGCACCTCAGCACAGCTCTGAATCCCGGCCCAGCTGGGAAGGCCACGGGCCCGGGCAGCTCAGACGCAGCCTCCTGTTCCCACCTCCCTGCCTTTCCTGCCTCTGAGGATTCTTTACCAGCCACCACTCTGGATCCTCTTCCGCGGCCCAGACCAGGCTCTGATCCAGGGAACCCCCCAGCGCTTCCTTGTACACCACGTGAGGCCCGGGATTGGCGCGAGGGTGCCAAGCTCCAGTGATACCACCAGCTGCACGGGTTGGCTGAGCTTTGGACTAGGCACAGGCCTGGGCCTGGTGGGTCTCCAGCAACCTGCACACCTGCCCCAGCACCCACGTCGCCCTGCTCCCAGGGGCCGGGCCAGGCTGCCCGGGAGGCGATGCTGCTGCCCCCACCACCCGCGTGGTTACCTGGCCCGCTCCAGGGACTGCCCGGCTCTTCCTCCGTGGGCCTGGGTTCTGGTTCCTGTCCTTCCAGCTCCTTGGGGCCTCCTGGGGATGTGGGGGGCGGCAGCGGTGGGGGTGAGTTAACATCTGCAGAGAGGAAAACACCGTCACATCCCTGCTGAGTGCCGGGCACTGAGCTGCCCCTCCCTGTAGCTGGGAAGGATGCTGAGGCGCTGGGCGCCGGGTTGGGGAGCTCGGGCCCAGAGCCACCCCCATCTCCTGGTGCGCTCTCACTGGGGTGGGACAGACATCCAAGTTTTCCTCTTGCTCTTTTAAAACCCCTCTCCCCTCATTAATTGCTTCAAAGATAATTGTTATTCCAGCTGCTGTTGATAATCAGGGTACAGGATGGCCAACTGGCCTGTCCCGGCCAGCAGGCACATGCGCCGTCGCCAGCTCCCTGGTCCCCTCTGCTGGCAGCTGGGGGCCCCTCCACCAGGCCCTGCACCGATTCCAGCCCAAAGGGCATGTTTGCCTTCCCAGCTGGCCTGATAACCACCTCGGCCCCGATCGATGCGATCCCATAAAGCCCCCCCACCCCATGACGTCACGTGTCTACAGATTATTAATACCCGCGATAAGGGCTGCGATTAACATCAAATAAGTCAATCACACAGTATAAAAGTCCTATTATTTTTGGCTATAAATCAAAGTGGCTGGCATCTGAGCTCCAGCCACCGCGAGGGAGCCTCGCTGGACCCGCCAAGCGGCAGACAGCTCCTGCGCTGCTGTGTTATCGCGCCCATCGCCACGCTATCACTACGGGCGGTGCCAGGTGCAGCCCTGGCTGTTTTTTCCAGCTCCTTCCCGGGCCCCACCCCCGCCCCCATGCGGCCCTGGCTCCTAGATCAGATAAGGAGCCTGGCTCCCCGGGAAGCCGGCCCGGGTCAAAGTCCACCTCCACCTGCCCTTTGCTGCGGCCCCTCCATCAGGGCGCCCTGCAGCTTGCCGGCGGCACCTGCGTGCGGCACTAAGGCTGGCGGCGGTGACAGCCAAGGGCCTCGGAGTCCACATGTGCTACACGTGCTCTCTCCCCCCAGCCACCAAGGGACTCGCACCCAGCTCACATGTGCAGTAACGGAGGCTCCGCGAGGGTTAAGAGCCCGGCCCCGGGACTGGCCAGGGAGAGCTCTGGCTGTACCACGAGCAGCGTGTGCCGACGGGGACGGCGGCAAGGACAGGGAGGAGTGGCAGCCAGCGGGTCCCAGGCCTCACCAGAGGCTGGGCTGGACGCCTGCACCTGGCCTGGCCGTCCTGGGGCTGGGATGTCCCTGGGTGAGCTAGGGGAGATGGCGGCCCCAGCCCTGGGGTCAAGTCCCACTGGCTCTGGTGACCCCAGGGCCTGCTGCCTGCCAGAAAAAGGGGCCCAGGCGCAGCAGGCTGGGCATGTGCAGATGGGGGTGAGGCCTGCTGGGCTCTTGGGGCCGCGGCCCACCCAGCGGGGACCCTGACACTCAGACTGGGAAATGCTGGGGTGGGGGTCCCCACTGAGAAATCCCGCTCCCAAGCCAGGGACCAAGGTCTGCCTGGGATCTCCACCCCAGCCCCTCGGCTGCAGACCCCTCTGAAACCTCTCCCCCACCCCCGTTGGCCTTGGAGCCTTTGGACCTGCTGTCACTGCCTCCTGGCATTCTTCCGCCCGTCAGGGGCAGCCCCACGCATCCATCTCTCCTCCACCCCAGCTCATGTCACCCACCTAGCATCCTCCCAAATGGTCCGGGTATGGCCACATCCCCTCCACGTTGGAGTGGGGGTAATTCACAGTCTGTGTGCAAAGGGTTTCATGGCATGGGGTAGGTATGAGATTGGTGCCTGGGGCTGCAAGTGGAGTGTGGGGGAGCTGGGTGGAGCCCACCCCACAACCTGCTGCTGTCTCTCTCGGACCTTGGAAAATGGGGGTGAGCATGCTGACCTCTCCTGGCACCTCTGTCCCAGGGAGGCCCCTTCTCCCAGGGTCTCTGGATGTGTCTGGGGTACAGCTGGCTCCAGCAGGCCTCCTTATGGCAGGTTAACTGTCTCCTGGGAGGGCAGGCCCTCCTTCCGGCTTGGGAAATGCCCTGCCCCATGGAATTGGCCACCAGGAGGGCCCAGGGAATGTGGAGGTGCCTGTGAGGGTGGAGGAAATCAGGCTAAACCCAGACCTGGGTGGGACCCCCACTAGGGCACTTGCGAGCTGAGTGACCCTGGCAAGTCACCAAACTTCTCTGGTCTGTGAATGGGGTGTGGTGTCTTAGCAGGAGACACCACTGTGCACCCAGCACCCACTTGCACCCAGCATCCACTGTGCACCCAGCACCCATCTGCTGTGCACCCAGCATCCACTGTGCACCCAGCACCCACTTGCACCCAGTATCCACTGTGCACCCAGCACCCATCCGCTGTGCACCCAGCATCCACTGTGCCCCCAGTACCCACTTGCACCCAGCACCCACTGTGTACCTAGCACCCACTGTGCACCCAGGACCGATCCACTGTGCACCTAGTACCCACTGTGCACCCAGCACCCATCTGCTGTGCACCCAGCGCCCATGGTGCACCTAGCACCCACTGTGTACCCAGCACCCATCCACTGTGCACCTAGCACCCACTGTGCACCCAGCACCCACTTGCACCCAGCGGTCATCCACTGTGCACCCAGCACCCACTTGCACCCAGCACCCACTGTGCACTCAGCCCAAGCAGCATGCCAGCAGGGATCACAGCTCAACAAGCCCCAGGGAGGGGGCCTCATGGTCCCCACTTCACAGAGGGTCTACTGAGGCTGGGAGGGGCATGGATTCCCATCCAACCCAGGGCCAGACCTGCCCCATCTGGGCCTTGGTCTGCTCATTTGTATGAGGGCTGGATTTCAGGCTGCACATGCAGCAGGTGTGCACATCTCCCCTTTCCTGGAGACCCCCCAGCCCCACCGAGGGCCTCCGGGCAACAGGCCTCTGGCTGGAAGACGCCTGTCCTGGACTCCTGCATATAGTTGGCCCACACCTCTCAGACACCACTGAGCTCTGAGGGCATGGTACGGGTAAGCAATGGAGGCCCCGGCTGGAGGCGCGGTGAGAGGGCTCAGTCTGACTCACCTGCGCTGGGAGGGCTCGGGGCTTCAGGTGCCGTGGCCTTTTGCTCCATGTGGCTGGCACCCACCAACTGCACCTCCTCTCTGGCCTCCATGTCTCCGAGGGAACCTGTGGACACAAGACGATGGGGGTTCGGGAGGAGCTCTGGGGGGACAGCTCCTGCCTCCTGACCCCTCCTGGCATAGGTACAGCCCCGGTGCCCAGGCGGAAATGGCAATGGGTGGGGGTGAGGGTCATCCCTCACCCTGAGGTCAAAGGACAGGTGGCTGTTAGCTGGGGGCTCCCTCTGGGTTCCTCAAGACTTGACATTTGGGCATGGTGGCTCACACCTGTGATCCCAGCAGTTTGGGAGGCTGAGGTGGGAGGATTGCTTGAGTCCAGGAGTTTGAGAGCAGCCTGGGCAACATGGCAAGACCCTGTCTCTATAAAAAATACAAAAATTAGCTGGGTGTGGTGGCGCACACCTGTAGTCCCAGCTACTAGGAGGGCTGAGGTGGGAGGATCGCTTGAGACTGGGAGTTGGAGGCTGCAGTGAGCCGCGATTGCACCGCTGCACTCCAGCCTGGGTGACAGAGTGAGACCTCTGTTTCAAAAAAAAAAAAAAAAGACCTGATGATTCTTGACGAACCCCCACCCTCTGCAACATTTCCAAAGCTGCAGGGTCGCCTCCGCCCACCCTTACCTGCCGTGACCCTTGGCCTCCACCACGCCCACGGATTCCACTCTTGCCAGAGAAGGGCCGCGGACCCCGTGTCTCTTTCCCACCTGCTCCCCCCAGCACCAGGGGACAGGCCCCCACCTGCTCTGGCAGCCCTGGAGCTGCGAGTGGGCCCTCCCTGTACTGTAGGCCCAGCGTCCATCCAGGCCCTGAGGGTCGCCGTCGCCACGGCCTCCGCCTGGCATCACCTGCCAGTGCCCCGCCCAGGGGCCCAGTCCCCGTGCACTTCCCTCACACTCATTCCCTCGGTCTGGGAACTCCCTGGGGTGACACCCTCACCCAGCACAAAGGAGGCGCTCACAGACTTGTCGAGCGAACAAACCAAGCAGGGCACAGGTGTCTGCAGCACCTGGGGGTGGAGTGCCTCAGGGCCTGGGTCCCTCAGAGACTCACACATCGGGGTGGGGGAACTCCAGGAGTCCACCTGACAGGTGACAAGGCAGACTGAGACAAGGCCACGCGGCCCAAGTGCGGGGGCAGCTGCTCCGGACCCCACAGTGGCTGTGGAGTGGCGCTGAGTGCAGGTGTGTGTGCTGACATCCGCCGGCGGGGCTGGTGATGGGTGATGGTGTCCAGTGTGAACAGAGGACAGAGGTGCCCTTCCATATCCTGTTTGACTGCTCCCCAGGTCCCCAGGCCCTGACTCAGCCTGCGTGCTGCGACTGCCCCCTCTGCACCCATACTCCACAAGGCCTGACCCGCCCAGCCTTCTACTGTCCTGTGTGAAGCACGATGGGGGCAGAGCCTCCCGACACACTCAGGAGTGGGAGGGGCCGTGGCCCTCCTGAGCCCAGACCCCAGGTCCTGCGGCCGCCAAGCCCCATGGTCACAGCAGAATAATGAATAAGAAAAGTCTGGAAACCGCGTGTCTGAGTTCACGTGTCAGGGGAGCTGATGGGGCAGAGTGGGGGTGGGGCAGAACAGAAGACACCAGAGGGAAGGCCTGAGCGTTGCAGGCTGGAACAACCACCTCCTGAGGGCTGAGCGCCCCATCCCTGGAGGCAAGCAAGCCGCACGGATGGAGAACTGTTCGGGGTTTGCGCCTCTGGCTAGGTGGTTCCTGGCTTGTCTTGCCTCATGGCCCCTCTGGGAATCTGATGAAACCTGGTGCCTCCTCCCCAGAAAAACACACCGAAGCGCCCACATGTGCCCAGCTTCAAGAGCTTCTCTCCGAATCCCCACTGTCCTCCTTCACAGCCCCTCATGATCCCTGCTTTGCTTTGTTTCTCCAGGGAAAGGCAGAAGATGGGAGGGAGATGGGCTGGTCGGAGGTGGAGCCTGCTAACGCCCGAAACACCTGCCCAGCCAGTAAGAAACGTGCCACCCGCCAGCGTCCAACGCCAGGTTCAGAGGCTCATGTCAGAGACCCCCGAAGATGCGAGAGAAGGAGAAATGCTGTGACTGAGTTTCAGGCTGATGTCCAAGGCTGACCCCGCCGTTCCATGCAGCAGGGAGGCGGGAAGGTGGATTTTCTGCGCGTTTGGACTCCAGCCCCCTCTCTGATCATGAGCAGGCTGTGGCTGGCTGATGCCGTCAAACCAAACTGCTCCTGGAGGGGCAGATGCCTTTTCTGCCTTCTGCTGACACCCGAGGGCTAGGTGCCAGGTGCCGTTCCAGGATGCAGGGGTGCACCAGATCGCTGAACACTGCCCTGGGTGTCCGGGCCACTGTGGGGACAGTCAGAGAACAACAGATGGGCCCCGGCCGAAAACAATGGCAAGTTCTGGAAGTGCAGTGAGGGAAGGGGCCATGAGAGAAAGACAGAAAAACACGGGGATGGGAGGGGCTGCCGCCGGTAGATCTCGGAGGGAACAGTGGTTGTTGTGAGACCAGCCCCTGAGAAGACAGCTCTGGCAGAGGGGGCCATATGTGCAAAGGCCCTGGGGCGGGGCCAGAGGTGGTGGAGGAAGGGGAGGTCGGGGGCCAGGGTGTGCTGGCAGTCAAGGCTGAGGGCAGGCAGGGTCCTGGCCGTGCTGACCTCAGAGGCCACGGGGAGGAGGGGACCCTCATCCTGGGGCCACCGGGGAGCCATGGGGGGTCCTGGACAGGAGGGGCAGGTGCCACCGGGGAGCCATGGGGGGTCCTGGACAGGAGGGGCAGGCTGGACTCTCCTAGCTGCAGCCTTTGGGGCTCTAGCTGGGACCCATGAGTCCCGGCCTCCTCAGAGCACCTCAGAGCTGTAATTATAGGAGGGGGCTGGGCTCAGACCACACAGGAGCCAGCCCCAGGCGAGGGCTCACAGCCTCCCATTAAAGCGCCCACACGGGCAGGCTCCAGGGCAGGCTGGGCCACCCCTGACCGGTTCAACTCCTGCCCCTGGGACAGGAGGCCCAACCCGAGTGCCCTCCCTCAGCACACGCCAGGGCAGAAAAGCAGCCACCGAGGCCTCCCCTCCCCACCTCTGGGGTCGGCCCTGAGCAGGCAGTGCCATCCAGAAGGTCAGGAGGTGCTCGGCCATCCCCGACTTGGCGGGAGCACGCGGAACGATCAGCTCAGCCCGGCTCCTCCCCCTTCTAGAGGCCCGGGCTTTCTGTGGCTGGCATGGAGCTGGGAGGGGCTGCCCAGGAGCTGTGCTTCCTCCTGCTGAGCAGCTGTAGGGCATCAGGGCCTCAGTGACCTGCTCTGGCAAATGGGCTGGAGGCCACCTGCCTTCAGGGACTTCGGGGACCAGAGCACTGGGGCTGGGGCCCACAGGAGACACAGCCCTGTGCATACCTGCTGCAGCCTCAGGAAGGTGGGCTGGCTCTCCATACCCCACCCAGGTGGGCCTCAGACACCCAGGGAGGTGCTGGGATGGTGATGGGTTCTCCTATTTACACAAGAACAAAGGCTCCTGCTCCACACAAAGCCGTGGTGATGAGCGTGGAGAAAGAGGCTGCCAGGCTAATTTCAGTTCCAGCACAATTAAAACGGCTCTGATAATGCAGGAGACAACTGTCAGCCCACAAATAGGATGTGTCGAGGTGGATGCTGCCCTGGGCCTGCCTCGGTGTCTGAGAGCAGCTGCCTGGTCCCCACCGAGCCCCTAAGTCAGCACCGGTCTCGTCTGTGGCCCACCTGGGGTCCGTGGGGACTCTCCAGGTGGGCGACAGAGCACTTGGGCCCCCAGTGGCTGGGGGCATCTGTGAGCCACAGCTGCTCTCTGCTGCTTTCTCCCCATGCCCGGGGCTAGCAAAGAACCCCCCTAGCCTCTCTGGGGACCCTCTCTCTGCCCAGTGATGCCAACAGCTGGAGCAGGCCAACCCACGGCCAGGCAGGCTGACAGCTGCTGCGTCCTTGCTGTGTGACCTCGAGCAAGTCACTCCACTCTCTGTGCTCAGTTTCCCGGTCTACAGATGGAAGCCACAGCAGCTCCCACTTCAGGAGATGAAACGTGCAGCCTGCCCGCGTCCTCAGAGCTCAACACAGGGCAGGTGCTCAGTGAACATGAACTGTGGCTAGCACAGGTTTTGAGAAATGGGCAAGGGTGTGAATGGTTAAGACTGGACGGGCGGTGCTCAGCACTTTACAAATGCCCACCCTTAACCGCCCCCACCCACGTAGTCCAGCGAGATGGTCTTCCAATTTCATTTCAGATGGGGAACCTGGGGTGTAGAGGGTGGCAGCCCACACAGACCTCAGCAGGTAGGGGCGGTCAGGAAAGTGCAGGGGGACAGGGTGCATGGAGGAGGGGGTATGAGGACAGTACGGGGACTCGGTGACGGCTGTGGCAGGGTGGAGTGGAGTAGCGTAAGCAGGACCTTGGGGGCAGCCATCGTGGAAATCCCACTCGCCAACCACATCCCAATACCCACAGTGGGAAGCCAGGTCATTCCCACTTTACAGGTGAGTAAACCAAGGCCCAGCAAGGCCGACTTGCGAGCTGCCCTGTCCACGGCCCCCGGCGAGGAGGCAGCGGTGGTGGGGGTGGGGGTGGTGGGACAGGAACTTGGGGCTGGGTTTCAGACCTGCACCCAGCACGTAGCCCTTCCCCGAGCCAGACACGGACCCCACGCCTCCCTCGCCCTGGGACCACCTGCAGTGAGGGTGATGTCAGCCCCATTGCCTGGCCTGGCAGAGGTCAGTGGCCAAGGCTGCACCTGCCTGGAGGTGTCCACGGGCTATGGCTGTGGTCATTGGCGGCCAGGGCAGCACTGGGCTCAGCCCCTGTGGTGCCCGGAGCCCCTTGGTTATCACAGCCAGCAGACACCCGTGCGCCCATCCGTCTCCTGCTCATTAAGCCGGACGCCGAAATGGAAATGAAAACATAATAGCTATTTGATTGGGGGTGAGATATTTTGCATATTGGCTTGGCGCTGATAGCGGAATTTCATCAACTCCCTTTTTTCATGCTTTAAAACTGAATTATGGAGCTGGCTCTGTGCAGCGGGATGATCCCAGCTCCCTTCCAAGTCCCCACACCGACGATTAAGGTGGCCCCTCCCGGCTTTGATGGCGAGGCGCTGGGGGGCTCCTTTGAACGACTGTCTTGCGGAAAGCTGGAGCCAGTCGCTGAGGAGAGGGGGGCATCCCCCAGACTGTGGGCCCCAGGGTGGACATGCCAGGTGGGGCGCAGATGGGGGCTGTGGATGAGGAGTCTGAGGCCCCTGGGGAGGCCCCTGCGGTGCCCCTGGCTCTGTGACCTTGGGCAAGCCTTCTGAAAACCAGGGCCCTGGCCCAGGGAGCACCCTGCTCCGGCTCAGTGTTTGAGATGAGCCTAAGTCCCCAGTGGGTGCCTGCAGGGGACACAGGCGCCTATGCTGGCCTCTCTTGGGAGTTCTCTCATTCTTGGTCTAGAGGGGAGGAAGTGGAGGTGCAGGTGCCTGCCCAGGCCCCATGTGAGCAGCTGGTGGGGCGGGTGACCACTGGCAGCCACACGGCCCCGCTCCTCCCCCACCAGCACCACGGCTCTTTCCTTCACTCTTTCATCCGCTCCCTCACTCACCCGTCCCCTCACACACTCACTTCTTCCTCCTTCGCTTTCGCTGGCTCCTTTCCCCTTCCTGAGCCCTTGGCGTGCCCCACCCTCACGAGGTGCCAGAGATCCTGCAGTGACCAGCCCCATCCCCCAAAAAGTGGAAGATGCCAGTGTGAGCACCACAGGAAAGAGTCAGAGGTGCCATCCAGGAAGGCTTCCTGGAGGAAGTAGCAAGTGGGTGGCAATCTGGATGGGGAGAGGAGGAGGCTGCCAGCACCGGGTCCAGGGAAAAGCGCTCCAGGAGAAAGGAACAGCAGGAGCTGAGGCTGGCACAGGGCAGGCGGCTTCTCCCTGAGCCTGGTTTCAGCGGATCAAACTGTCTTGCCAAAGGCTGGCGTTAGGACTCAGCCAGGTGTTGGCAGTGGGCGCTGGGCGCAGATGTGAGGTTGTCACCACAGCTGCTGTCACTGTTTCTACTCTGCAGGGACGTGCCCCATCTTCCTCCTTCGGCGGGGGGTGTGAGTGGGTGAAGGCCAGGGCTGGGGGAGGAAGTACTGCGGGGGTGGCAGCGGGGGGGAGGGAGGGACGGGGAGGGGAGCGGAGAGGGGCACAGGTCGGGGCAGAGGATGGGATGGGGAGATGGGAGAGGGGTGGGGCTGGGGAGGCAGAAGAGAAAGACCCCCAGGGCTGGCCTCCTGGTCTTGCTGGCCCTGGGTAGCAGGTGGGTGGGGGGGGGTCACAGCATTGCCAGGAGGGAGAACCTGGCCTCTGGCGGCACACAGCGGCCAGATAAGGCCCTGATAACAGACAGAAAATAGCAACAGATTCAGACTTTCCCACCAGCTGGGCAGCGGGCAGCTTGGGCCACGGTGGGGACAGAGAGGAGACGGGGACGGCCCCGCTCGCTCTGTTGAGGCCACGCTATGGGAGCGCAAGGTGACTGGGGCCCAGGCTGGGTCTGGGGGCCGTGGTGAGCCATTGCAGAGGGCCTGGGTCCCCCAGGCTGACCCGAGTTGAGTCTACAGCATGACCTCCAGCCAAGCGGCGCCCTCCCAGGTCCCTGGTGAGTGGCTGATGCTGTCCACACCCCCTGGCCCAGCTAGGAGCATCTCTCATCCCGTGAATCTCGCCAAGCAGGGAAACCGAAGCACAGAGAGCAGTGGTAGCAGCAGCCCAGCCCCGCCATCAAAGTGGGGTCTGCTGGCGACACCAGCCCAGCACCACCTGCGTGGGGAGCCCGGCCCCGCGGTTGGGACTCGGGACTCACCGCCCACACCCTCAGGACCAAGTGGCCAGTACCTCACGCGCAATCCATCAAGCAGCCAGACTGACTTCCAGGCACTAGGGCAGCTGAGGGAGTGGGCGCAGAGCCTGGGAGAGCCCGGAGCAGACGGCGCCTTCTGTGCCTACCCACCTACCCACTGGGGAGCCCAGGCTCGGCACACGCCCTCGGAGCCTCGAGCCTCCTTCACGTCCAACCCATCACCCCGGTGTGGCCCGGAGCCACCACTGCCATGTGGGGTCCAGGCCCCCGGGGAAGTCTCCACCCCCGTTTCCCTCGAGTAGCATTTGTCACCTGGCTTCTTAAACCCATGGGTCCTCAGGTTGGCCCCCAACTCCTTCCCCTGCCGCCCTTGCCTTGGGGCCTCAGCACCCCCTGCCCCCTCTACGGGAACCCTCGCCTCTATGTGCAGTTGAGGCCTCCTCATCCCTCTGGCGGAGGCTTTTTCCCCCAGCCTAGGTCCGTCCCCCATGGTCCAGGCCTCCCTTCCAGCACCCCAGCTCTGCCGGAGCCTCGTTTATTTGTAGGTCACACTGGTTCACCGGCTGGACTGGGAGGGGGCATGTGTGCCTCTGTGGGCCCGCAACAGCAGCTCAGTGAGCCCTGCGGGAGGCAGGACGGGCAACCGTGACAGCGACCCCTTACAGGGATGCCGGCACCAGGTGCTAAAGAAAGAACACAGGAACGGCTGTGTAGACGCAGACGCTGATGGAGATGAAGAATGAAGAGGCCCTCGGGGGCTATGAGAGGCCCAGGCGGGAAGAGTGCCCTGCAGCAGCCCCACCCCTGGCCCACCCGCAGCTCCTCAGTTCGGGATCAGCACTTGCTGTCAGCCAGGGCAACCACAAAAGCGGATGCCGGTGAGGGTGCGGCTTACTAGAGCAGAGCCCTAACCAGCGCAGGAGCACGTGGCTGAACCTCCAGGGTCCCAGAGAGTCGTGGCAGGCTGGGGACGTGGCCTGAGCCCACCACCCGGGCTGTGCCTTCTGGGCCCAGACACCCTCCCCCATCGGTCCTGCCCCTCAACTGTGCCAGCGGGCCTGGGGCAGGGGAGACATGGCGGTTGAGCGGCTCCACCAAGAGGCAGACAGACAGAGCTCCCACACACCCTGCCATGGGGAGCTCGTGCCTCTTCTGAGTCCCAGACCCACCCACCCCCAGGTCTGTTCTCCCTGTTCTCCCCTCCGAGGTCGGCCTCAGGCTGTGGGCTCCAGGAGGGCCAAGCCCACTGAAGCAGCCTCAGAGCCCAACACGCCCTCCAGGCCAAGCCTGGGGAGCTGCTGCTGAACTGAATGTCCCCAGGCTCAAGTAGGTGGCTGCTGTGCAGGGGCCCTGAGCCCTGACTCACTCCCAGTGAGAGCCTTATAAATATTCAATTGAGATGGAATTCACATACAACCAACTGCATCCCCATAAGCATTCTCTTGGTTTTGCTTTTCTTTTCTTTTCTTTTTTGAGACGGGGTCTTGCTTTGTTGCCCTGGCTGGAGTGTGCCTGTGCAATCACGGTTCACTGTATCCTCAAACCCCTAGACTCAAGCGATCCTCCGGCCTAAGCCTCCTGAGTAGCTGGGACCACAGGTTCATGCCACCATGCTGGACTGAAGCAATCCTTCTACCTCAGCCTCCCAAAGTGTTGGGATTGCAGGCATGAGCCACTGCACCCAGCCATGTTTGGCTTTTAAAGGCAGGAAAGTTTGCTGGAAATGGGTATGGTGGTAACACGCAGCCCAAATAAAATCCAGGGCCCCACCTGGCCCAGTCTCAGGCAAAGAAACACACCGCGGTGACCCAAATCTGTGCTTGCTTCTCTTCAAGAGTCTGAAAGGAGTCACTGAAAATCTTACTCTTTCTAGCATCAGCCACCTTCCCCGTGCCCTTCTCCGCTGACCCGGGGCCCTCACAGGCCAAAGCCCACACGCCCAGCCCACGTGGCTGCTCAGCTGTCCCTTCCCGGCACTCATGTGAACTGTGCCCGCTTCTCTCCCTCCTCTCCTCTCCTGTGGTTCCCTCTATGTCCATGTTCCAATTTCCTCATGGAAGGCAGGGAAGCCGGGCTGGCAGAGACCAGAACTCACTTTCAGGGCTGCGGGGAAGGTCTGCGTGGCCCCGGTCTGCGATGGTGTGGAGAAGGGACCCGGCGCACGGGCGTGCGCACGTCCAAATCTTCTCTCCATCGCTATCACACTGTGTGTCTAGCGTAAGCACTGCCCTTGGGGGGCCAGGGTCTTGCAGCCAAAAGCGGTCCCGGGCCAGAAGTGGGAAGCCCTCAGGCCACCGGCTTAGCTTCTGACCATCTCGGGCCCTCAAATTCCCTGCCTTTCCCTGCCCCTCTGGGAAGCCCTCCCTGGCTCAGGTTGGCCCCCATCGTATGTATGTTCAAGTCGAGTCCCTCCCTCGGTGCCAACAGCCTGGATTCCACAACACACTTGCTGTGTGAAGAACTGTCTCCCTGCCTCCCCAGCCACACTTGGCCTTGTGGTCATGTTCACTAAGCAGCCCCCAACCCCTCACCTCCTCTGCTGAAATGCCTCCCATGGGCCCCCGGGGATCTCGGAGCAAAAGCCAAACCCCTACCCAGCTCCCACCTGGTTTCCGAAAATGGCCCTGCCCTGGCTGCCCTCTCTGCCAGAACTTCCAGCAGGCACCTGCTCGGCCCTCTCCCCTCCCTCCCTCAGCCCTCCCCAGTTCCCACGATGGCCGCCCTGCCACTTGGCGGCCCTCTCTCCCTCCCTTCACGTATGCTCACGGCCGCACCCCCAGCATCTGGAACGGTGCCCGGCACACAGTAGGTACCCAGCAAATGCTGATGGACACGGGAAGGGTCAGGGCCTGGAAACAGGCTGGTGGGGTGTGGCTGGCTTGGAGGGGGGTGTGGCTAGGTCATCCTGGGCTCCCCCAGCAGGGAGGCTGTGCAGAGGGATGGAGGCTTGGTTGGTTCCCGCGAGGGGCCTTCGGGTCTCAGCCTGCTCACCCTGGGGTGGGTGAGCCAGGCTGAGTCCCACCTGGTTGGCCGAAGGTGCCCATGGCAAGGTGCCCTGCTACCTGCCCCTGTGGGGTCTGAGGCCTGGGTGGGTGTGGGGGCACCACGAGGAGAGGGATGAGACTCAGGGTCATGGGGCACCAGCATTGGGAGGGGGTTCTGCACCCACACCCCCTCAGCCCCACCACTTCTTCCTGTGGCTGACCCAGTAACCGAGGGGTGGACCTGGTGGGCTTAACTGCCCTGGGCCCACAGCCACGCCCAGCCTCTGGCCGAATGGTGTCCAGGCTGAGCAGCCGTCCAGGGGGCCGAGGGTAGGCCCAGGTCCTCCTGCACGCGTGCGTCCCAGGCAGCATCGGCTGCAGGCAATGCTGGGGCTCCTCTGAGCCCAGCCCCTCCCTAAGCAGAGGAACTAACAGTGGTAGGCAGCAGACAGTGGGCAGTGGCCAGCGAGCCTCGGGGTGGCCACACAGATAGCACAGATCCAGGTGTGCTGACCCAGCAGCCTGCCTGCACCCTTTTCCCGAGCCCTGCCCTGTACCCGGCGTTGTCCTTGGGGTCCTCACAGTCAGGAGAGAGGACCTGGGCTTTCTCAGGCCTCAGCTCGCTCTCCCCTCCTCCTCCTCCCTTTTTCTTGGCTGTGCTCCCCCCCCCGGACCCCTGCCCCTGCTCAGGGTTACTTGGGTGGGATTGGGACACAGGTCTGTGCAGCTTCCAGGCCCGAGGTCTGGTCTCTCCCCTTGCTGGCCTCAGTTTCTCCTCCTGGCTCCACGTCATAGGAGGATCACAGCTCAGCGAGGCCCTTCCCGGTCCCACACCTTCCCTCCCATCGCGTGCGCTCCTGCCCTCACCATGGTCCCTGTGTGTGCCCACCCTCCCCTCTGATGGCCCCCCAGGGCCTGGGCCCTGCCAGGTGCCCACTGCATGGCTGAAGCCAGGGCACCCTCGACACCCCACGGGAGCGTCCACCTGCCTCGCCTGCTCTGGTGCAGGGCTGGCATCGGGCATGGCTCCTCCCGGAGCTGTGGCTCCCTCTGACCAGATCCCCATCAACACGAATGCACAGCCCTTCACAGTTTATGAAGCTCTGCCAGGATCAAGCACAGGCCTGTAGGGAAACTGAGGCAGAGAGCAGCCAGACCTGTCCCTGCATGGTCCCAGCACGGGCCTCAGGTCAGCTGCCATTCAGGGCCAAGTGGAATCTAGCTGGCGACTGGCTCTGGGCATAGGGGCTGCCCAGGTCCTGGTTTACACATCTGGCCAACGAGTATGGACTCATCAGTCTCGAAGAGCTGCTGTGAACAGAGGCTGGGAGGCTCTGCAGGAGGCAGAGAGGCCCCAGATGCGGGTTCCCGACAGCCCTGGGGGTTCTGCAGCAGGGGCGTTAAGAGCGGAGCAAATGAACATCCTATGTGTGGGAATGGAGGATGCCGCGGAGGCTCGGACAGTGTTCAGGATGGAGAAGAGCGGGCTGGCGTGGGGGCTGGCTTCAGACAGGGTGGTCACCAGGGCTTCTCAGAGGCTAACCTTTACCTGTGACTGAGAAGAGCTCCGGGCAGAGAGCGCTGAAGACAGAGCCCCCCGCCCCCCGAAGTGGGACGGAGCCCTGCACGGCCCAGGGATGGGAGGAGGCGGGTGGCGGGGAGGCAGGGGGCTGGAGGCTTTGGAGGGAGCTGGGGTTTTATTCTGGGCACCGTGAGAAGCCACCATCAGACACCGAGCAGAATGCCAAAATCTGTCAGACTGTGGTAGGGTCCCTGGGCTGCTGGGGGAACCCTGGCCGGGCAGCTGCTGCATCTGCCACCACCTCCAGGCAGCCCCCCAGCTCTGGCCACCTCTTCGGGCTCCCTTGGATCCTCCCCCTGCCCTGAGCCTGCCCCTTCTCTGGAGCCAGGGCCAGTGGGCTGGTCCCCCACCCGTGTCCCCAGGGGCAGTGGCCCGGGCGGGGCAAGGCAGAGAGAAAGGGAGGCGGAGGAGGAGGGAAGAAAGAGCCGGGGCCTGAGAAAGCCCAGCCCGGCTGATAGGGGAGAGATTGGTTTCAGCCGGAGCCGCCGCCTGCCAAGTCCACATCCTATCGGTGCGGCCTGCGCTTACTCAACATTCATCACCGCTGAACTCGGAAACTTTATCGACGCTGAAGGTTGGCGCCATCTCTGGGCCCGGCCACTCCCGGCCCTCCGATGGGCCTGATAGCCACTGATAGATTACATGAGATTGCTTCACTCCGGAGAACCGATTACTAAACCCCTTGCGGAAGAGCCGAGGGGGTGCCCAGGGATGGGATGTGGGTGGGGGTGGCGAGGCCGCGTGGGGCCGTGGCGGGCAAGGACCACCGCACAGGGTGAAGGTGAGGATGGGGTCAGGCCATATGTGTGGCAGGGTGGCTGAGGCCACGCACGCGGCTGCAAGCCCGCCGGAGGCCCAGGGAGGAGGAGAGGTCCCAGCACGGCCCCGAGAATCTGGGCTGGGGAGCGACCCCCCTCCCCAGATGGGTGATAAGGGCTGATAGATGGGGCGGGGGCCGCGGCTCACGGAGCCATCGCCGCGCAGCCTGCGTCAGATGGGTGGAGGCAGCTGGCTCCCTGGAAGGGAGCAGGGGTCCCCCAGGATGGGCCCGGCCATGGGAGAAGTGGGGCGCAGCACCCAGACCCCGGGGCAGCGGGGCCGTCATGGCCCTCCCTAGCAGCCGACCCTCCTCCCGCCCTGCGGCCCTCGAGGACAGGCCTGTGGGTTCACCTCACCCCGCCCTCAAGGCCATGGTGAGAGGGGCCCCTCATCAGTGGCTGTACAGCTGGGCTGAGGCCTGAGGGTCGGTGGGTGAGCTCACAAGCCCAGGAGACTCCAGGCTTTCATTCACAGCATCCAACCACAGCCCAAGGGTGGGTGGTTCCTGCCATCCTCTTCCAAGTGGGCCATCCCGGAGATTCCCGGGGGCCAGGAGCAGGATTCACCCCAGACCTGGGGACCCTAGTGTCCAGACCCTCAGATGCCTTTCAGAAAGGAAGAAGTCACGCCCTCTGGCTCAGTTCAGCCTTTTCCTCGTTCCAGGGTCTCAGGCAGCAAAGCAACTGCTCCCACCGCACAGCTGCAGAAACGGAGGCTGCCCGGTCCCACGGGGGACGGCAGCGCCGCAGGGCCTGCGCCCAGACCTCCTGCCCAGCTGGCCCCTCGTCCTGGTGGGGTCCAGGGCTGCGGCGTCCTGGAAGCTTGTGGGGCGCTAGAGCTCTGAGCTCTGTGATGCAGGCCTGCCCTGGGCCTGCTGCCCCGCCTGAAACCAGGAGTTAACACATCAGCCTCCAACCCACAGAGGCGGAGCCTAGGATGCTGGAGTGGGGCTGGGGCAAGGGTGGGAGCCACCATCAGGGAGAGCCTGTGCCGGGAGGGCGTGGAGTTATGGGGACCCACTGCTGCTGGGTTCCCAGCACCGAATGCACTTGTGTCCTGAGCTGTACACGGGAAAGGGTTAATATGGTAAATGTGATGTACACTTTACCACAATAAAAAATAGAAAATTCAGGCCGGGCGCAGTGGCTCACGCTTGTAATCCCAGCACTTTGGGAGGCTGAGGCGGGCAGATCACGAGGTCAGGAGATGGAGGCCATCCTGGCCAACAGGGTGAAACCCCGTCTCTACTAAAAATACAAAAATTAGCTGGGCGTGGTGGCAGGCGCCTATAGTCCCAGCTACTCAGGAGGCTGAGGCAGGAGAATATCTTGAATCCGGGAGGCAGATGTTGCAGTGGGCCCAGATCACACCACTGTACTCCAGCCTGGCGACACAGCGAGACTCAGTCTCAAAAAAAAAAAAAAAAAAGAAAATTCAAACAAAAAAGCAGGAAATGCCACCCTCTCTGTGCTGTGGTGGCAGCAGGCGCTCTGGTGCCTCTTCCCTTTCTCCTGGGACCGAGGCGCAGAGCTGGCACATCCCTGCCTGTGTGCCCCACCCTGTGGGCACCTGCCCTGCCCACCACCGTGCCTCCAGCCACTTGTGGGTGTGGACACTGAGGCTGGGGCTCGCTGGGGTTCAGCCCTGCGCCCCCTCCACGAACTGGGTCCACAGATGGGGTGGGGTTACCGGCGGCCATGGGTGGTGGGAGCCCAGCTGAGGTGACCTGTCCTGAGAGTGGCCCCAACAGACTTCCGCTGCCCATCAGGGTTTGGCCCTGCCGGGCTCCTACCGGGGAGGCCCAGGCTTCTGGCTCCACTCCCTGCAGACCACACGGCCCCTGCCCCGGCCCACCCAAGGCTCTTGCGGACCTGCAGGTCCCCTCAGGAATAACCCAGTGGAACATGGTGCACAGCCAGCCGGAGGCCCAGAGCCCTCCCAGCCCGCGGGGGCCTCGCCCCGATTTCACAGAGATGGACACACAGCCTTAGTCTTAGTCACAGGCTCAGGTGTCTGTGGCAGATCCCAGTGTGAGTAAGTGGTGGGCAGGAATTCATGCCCAGGCCATGTGGCTTTAGAGCCGGGAGCCCTGACCCCTCCACTGTGTGTGGGAGCCACCGCGGCCACGGTCATCTTGGGGCCCTGACCCCACCTCTGTGAGTGGGAGCCGCTACAGCCACGATCATCTCGGGGTCCTGGCGTCCCCCACTGTGAGCAGGAGCCACCGCAGCCATGGTCATCTTGGGGTCTTGGCCCCTCCACTATGCGTGGGAGCCACTGTGGGCATGGTCGTCTCGGGGTCCTGGCATCCCCCACTGTGAGCAGGAGCCACCGCAGCCATGGTCATCTTGGGGTCTTGGCCCCCCCACTATGCGTGGGAGCCACTGTGGGCACGGTCATCTCGGGGTCCTGAACTGTGAGCGGGAGCCGCCACGGACACAGTCATCTCAGAGCCTAGATGCTATAGCCCAAGCCAGACCCTGCGGCCGCTGGCCTTCGCGAGGGTGGAGGTCACACATGGCTGCAGCCCTGGAGGGTCAGCTGGTTGGGAGCTCAGGGAGTCCGGCTCTTGTCTGAATTCTCAGTGCCCATCGCGGTCAGGGCGGAGTAAGTGGAGAGGAAAAGTCTGGTCTATCTATCATGGCTGCA
The DNA here is from genome assembly GCF_000001405.40 of Homo sapiens. Taxonomy (NCBI): domain Eukaryota; kingdom Metazoa; phylum Chordata; class Mammalia; order Primates; family Hominidae; genus Homo; species Homo sapiens. Next base: position 88,471,133 of record NC_000016.10, on the reverse strand, counting down.
GGGGAGCTGGGCTTTCCTCCTCCCGGCCCCCTCGCTCCTTCAGAAGGCAGCCTCTGGGCAGCCCAGTATGTAGTTGGCAAGGGCACACGGGGAAGGGAATGCCTGTCGCGGAGGCTGGACCCCACCGGGTGAGGTACTGGCATCTGAGCTGGGCCCTGGGTCAGTGCGTCACGCTGCGTCTCCCGCCCCTTCCTGGACGACCTCATCCCCTGCTCGGAGCTCCCACTGTGCGCTCGGCGAGGATGTGTTTCCCTATGCCACATCCTCACCTGTCACTCAGCGTCACCACCCGGCCCTCCACACCGTGCCACATCCTCACCTGTCACTCAGCGTCACCACCCGGCCCTCCACACCGTGCCACATCCTCACGTGTCACTCAGCGTCACCACCCGGCCCTCCACACCGTGCCACATCCTCACCTGTCACTCAGCGTCACCACCCGGCCCTCCACACCGTGCCACATCCTCACCTGTCACTCAGCGTCACCACCCGGCCCTCCACACCGTGCCACATCCTCACCTGTCACTCAGCGTCACCACCCGGCCCTCCACACCGTGCCACATCCTCACCTGTCACTCAGCGTCACCACCCGGCCCTCCACACCGTGCCACATCCTCACCTGTCACTGAGTGTCACCACCCGGCCCTCCACACCACCAGTCCCCCAACAACAGCCTCCCCAGTGGTTCTGCCACAGAGCACGTCAGACCCCTGTGTTCACTCTCCCTCGTTAGGCTGGGGTTCCATGAGGTCACCTGGGGTCCCTGGACCATGCCCAGCACACAGCAGGCACTCAGTACAGGTTTGGAGAGTACAGGGGACACCCGTGGGCATCCAGAGGCTGCCCGCCCCAACCCGTCCAGCAGCCCTGTCCCCAGGACAGGTGGGGTGGCCCTGACAGCAAGGACCCCGCAGGAGTGAGTCACAGCCCCAGCACAGGGACAAGGACCGTGGCTCTCCACAGGCGATGCTCCTACACGGGAGGGGCCTTTGCCCAGGACAATGCTGGCTCTGGAGGCCCTGGCTTTTTCTCCGTTTCCTTTTTCCTTCTGCTTGCTTTGCCTCTGGGGACACAGCCAGGCACAGGGAGCAGATCCAGAAATCAGCTGGGGAGTATTTATGGAGCACCTACTGTATGCCCCAAGCTGTCCTGGGAGAGGACAGAGCTGCCTGCATGTGTGGAGACCCCTCTGCAGACTGGGAGGGCTGCGTGGGGAGATCCTCTGGGCTGGGCACGCACCTCTGACCCTCACCACGTGAGAGGCACTGCACCCCACGTTAGGGGGTGGGGCCCTGGCCAAGGTGATGTCTGGTTCTGGTCGGACGGCCCCTCCCTACTTCCTCTCCTTAGATCTCAGCCCAGACTCTTTCTCTCCTCGCCCCGCCACTATTTTCCACTTACACATTTTTGACAAACACCCACACCTGTGGCTGATTTTCAGGTGCCGTGGGAGCTGACAGGGCCTCCAGCCAGGTCTCAGGCCGGCGGAGCCTGCCTCATCCTGGTCTTGCCAGCAAGACCCACTGTGCAGTGTGGGTGGATGCAGAACACAGGTGCATGCCCCCTAAGGTGTCCTAAGCCCCCTGTAGACATGGTCTCCTGGCACATGAATTTCTGACAATGGGAAATCTGGAAGACCCCAGGTTTCCAGGCTATGCCACAGCCACAGACAGGAGGACCCCCAGAGAACCTGCCACCTCAGCCTCATGGTGTGGAAGGGGAAACTGAGGCCCAGGCCGGCAAGGGGCTTGCTGAAGAGCCCAGAAACCATCCTGGGAGGCAGACCTACTAGACCGCCTTCCGGTTTTACAGATGGGGAGGCTGAGGGTGGGCAAAGGGGTTGGGACTGTCATTCATTAAGATGGTGCCACGTCCCTGGCCCGGCCGGCACTTCAGAAGCTTGGCAGAATGAGGTTCCGGATGGAAGTCAGCGCGGGGAGAGGGTGGAGCGGTGGGGGGCAGCCTGCAGGAGGGTCTGGAGTGGGCCCAGACATGGGGGTGGGAGGCTGGCTGGCCCCAGGGCCGTCCCTGCCGGGTTGTGAAACTCGCTGTTCCCATCTGGGAGTGGCTGCTGGCTGCACTCCTCTCGGGAACTCCTGGGTCCTGGTCCCCAACTGAGGCCACGTGGGTCTGGGCTCTGACGGTTGGCAGGTCATCCAGAGGCCAGCCTGTCCATCCGCCTGTGCCCAGACAGCGAGGCCCCTAAAAGGCGGGCCCTTCCAGAGCCGGTGGTGGTGGTGGCAGAGGTCTCCCGTCCTGGGGCAGGGTCCAGGATGGGAACTACTCCCCCAGGTCAAGGGCAGCCCCTGGAGGAGGCCCTGCCCCCACACAGCAGCTCAGCCAATCCCTGGGCCTCACCCCTGCTCATTTGCATACCCCATTTCCATTGGCTGCCAACAGGCTGGTTAGGACAGTGGTGCCCTGGCCATGGGGGTGGGGCTCTGGGGGGCGGGGCCCTGGGGGTATCAGATTCTGGGTGACTGGTCCCAGCCCCAAGTCTAGGGTCAGAAAGCTGCATGGGGCTGGTGGGGGGCTTCAGTTACAGTGCAGGCTCTCCCCTTTCCTCGAAGGCTCCCTGACATCCATTCAGGGATGACTCTGAGTGGGAAAGATACTGGTCCAAGGTCGTACAGCCAAGAGGCCGGCACAGCTGGGACCTGGCCCCAAGTCCCAACCCCTCTCCAAGGCCGGCCTCTTTTCTCCTGTGGGGGCCTGTTGAGAGCGACTTCTTATTTTTGGCTGCCTTGTTTCAGGGAGGGCTATTTGGGGGCTTTCTTTGCAAAATGATGATGATGATGACTTTCAGAGCACCCCGAGTGCTCAGCTCTCCCTCTAGATCTGGTGGCTCTGTGCGCCGCAGGCAGTGGGCTCGCGGGTGCGTCGGGACGGTGGGCTCGCGGGTGCTTGAGGGGCGGTGGGCTCGCGGGTGCTTGAGGGGCGGTGGGCTCGCGGGTGCGTCAGGGCCTGTGGGCTCGCGGGTGGGTCAGGGGCAGTGGGCTCGCGGGTGCGTGAGGGGCGGTGGGCTCGCAGGTGCGTCAGCGGCCGGTGGGCTCGCGGGTGGGTCGGGGCGGTGGGCTCGCGGGGGCGTGAGGGGCGGTGGGCTCGCGGGTGTGTGAGGGGCGGTGGGGGGCTCGCGGGTGTGCGGGTTGAGAGTGTGTTCTCACTTTTGTTCCTGGCATTAGGGTGGGGTGAGATAAGGGGAAGGGGGGCCGCTCAGCTCGAGCAAGCAGATAGATAACGGCGATAGCACCTCCTCCACCGCACAGCACGCATCGCCCTTTTTTATCAAGTTCTCTTTTCTTCTTTTTCGTTGTAGGGTGGTAGAGTAGAAAACACCCCACCCCCACCTCCCAAAGCCATGGAACTAGGGGGTGGGGGCCTCCCCATCTCAGGTCCCAGCCACAAAGGGCACGGGTCAGCTTAGGGCCCGCTGTGCCCAACACGCCCAGCAGCCAGCCCAGAGCCCGTGACTGGAGGAGGGAGGGGATCCAAGGCAGCTGCGAGGCCCGGGGTCCGGAGGTCCCAGCATGACAGGAGCAGCTGCGCATGTGCCCTGCAAGGCAGGTCTCGCGGTCTACACCATCAGCTCCTTGAAAGGACTCTGAGAGGGCGACTGGCACCCCATTTTATAGGAAAAGGCAGCAAAGCCCAGAGAAGTGAAGTGTCACTGGGGCGGGTGCTGAGCTCCTTCCTCGAGAAGCCCTGGGTGGGCACCGCTGGGAGGGGTGGGGAGACCTCAGGGGGGTTGGCCATGGCCTGCAGGGCAGGCTTAGCGGTGTCGGCCCTATTTGACAGATGAGGAAACTGAGACCTGAGACTCTGGGATGTGTGTGAGAACCAGGGCCATGGGGACAGATGCTGTACCCCCTGCTTGTTTGCTGCGGCTCCTGGTCTGGGTGACTGTGGCAACTATGGGGGACTGACAAGGGGTAGACTCTTGGATCACAGGGACAAATGTTCTGGAGCCACTCTGGCCGCTGTGTGATGGGACGAGGCCCTAGGTGACATCACTGAGGTCATCGGCACACTGTAGCCGTTGGCGGAAAACCGTGCAGGAAGAATGCCAGTAGGATTCAGGGAGGGTGGGCTGCGGGCAGAGAGGGCTTTGGAGAGGTGGCCCCACCCCAGGGACCCTCGCCCCGGCTCGTGTCCCCCCATTAATACCACCGCCGTTTTGGGGTTCACTGAGCCCTGCCGCACAAGGGCCCCAGATGCTTTACCCACTTCTGCCCTAATTCCTCAAAGGCCAAGGAGGCTGGAACTGTGATCATGCCCATGATACAAGTGAGGAAACTGAGAGGCTGCCGGCCAGGGGGCAGGATTTAAACGCTGGTCACTGGAGCTGACATTTACCCCCCTCCCCCACATACACACCCCACTGCACTGGAAATAGCTGACTTCCTTTTAGAATATTGAAACAAAACCAAACCCAAAAGTTAGAAAGAAACCAACTTTCTCACCAAAGGAGCTTATTTTCTGGGGACAGATGAAATGAACCCAAGAAACAAGAATAGAGGCAGGCCAGCCTCCGCCCATCCCCTCCCACTGCCAGGATGGGCTGTGCGGCCCTCAGCCGTCCCCTGCCCTTTCTGTGCTTGGCCTTTCTCCCTGAAAGGTACGGGTGAGCCCCCTGGGAGGCTCGTGGGCTGCCCCCCACTGCAAACACCCCAGAACCTCCAGCCAGGATGGAGACTCTGACCTCGGCTAGACTCTAAGCCAGAAGCCAGGGTCCCTTCTGTTCTCTTCATGCTGTGTGATCTTGGGTGAGTTACTCAACCTCGCTGAGCCTTCAGTTCTCTGAGGAGAATGAGGTCATAGGCGCCCCTCCCAGGGCTGCAGAGTACTCCATGCCAGAACTGCCGGGGCTGGGTAACGGAGCTGTTGTCTAACCACGGCCGCCATCAGGATCACTACAACTGGGGGTCCCAGAACCACCCAGAAATGTCACCATCCACACCGCCCCAGGGATCCTGCCTTTGGGTTCCCAGAGGATCTCATTTCTCAAGAGTCACTCAAAATATAAAATCCAGGAAGGGGGAAATGGCAAGCTGGCCTGCACCCACTGGGAGCCCAGGCGGCTCCACAGGAAGCCTTTCTGCCAGCGAGGGAGCGGCCGGGCCACTGCCTCAAGGAGACATCGTAGCTGCGTGGCCTTGGTTTCCCCCGTGCACGGCGGGCCCCTTGGCACCCTCCACCCCATGGCTGCTTCACCTGTCCCTCCTCCACCCCTATGGCTGCTTCACCTGTCCCTCAGCAGGAGGATTAGCCGCACGCCGGGCTCTAATCGCCGCTAATCGCTCCATCAGCGCCGGATCTCGGATCAGCTGAAGGAGGCGGCTTTATCCAGACAGACGCCGCGATGGCACCTGAGTCCCATCTGGGCGCAGCTGTCAGGTGCAGCAGCAGGGCCAGGGATGGCTGGGGACAGGGTGGGAGCCAAGCCGGGGAGCACACAGGGTTTCTCAATGCAGGCAAGCCCCTCCCCCTCCCCAGCTGGCCAATGGGACTCTGCCTGGGCCCTCCACATTTATTAAGTACCTACTGTATAACCGGGCACTGTTCTAGGCACCAGGGGGACACCAGGGATCCACACAGGCGAAATGCCCACCCTGGGGCATTGCATTGCTGTCAAGGCTGTGAGGAGGGCCCCGTGCTCCCACTCATTTGACAGGTGGGGAAACTGAGGCACAGAGACATGGCCCAAGACAGGCGCAGCCAGCCAGGCCCAGACTTCTGGCTTTTCCTCCACCCTTTGCCCACCACCAGGCTGCTGGGAGGGGCACTTCCCCGACAGAGGGCTTCCCCGCAGGCCTGTGGGCCACGGTTACTAGCTCCCAGCACCAGCCTGTTTCCAGCATTATGACATGTTTCTGCTGTTTGTCTTCTGAGCAGACGCTGCGCCCTGCCTGTGTCTCCCCAGCCCGGGCCCTGCTGTGAGCTAACTCTGCACCTCCGGACACGGGGTCTGTGCAGAGGCCGCTGCGGTGTAGGCCGGATGCTCTGTGGTTCATGGTCTGGCCCAGGGGCCAAAAGAGGCTGGGAGAAACGGCCAAGGGCTCCCACCCACCCCAGGCCCCCATCCTCCTCACCCTCCTCCCTACCTTCTTTTTCAAAAACATAATTTATCTATGTATTATCAAGAAATCCAGACACTTTAATCAGTGAGCTATGAAGTCAGAATTTCCATTCTTATCTTCGGGAGGAGTGGAAATGGACGAGATAGGCAGCGGATCGCTGGTGGGGAATGTTAATGGGTGGAGAGGCTGGGCTATTGGCCACCGAGAAGCTGGTATCTCCTCCATTATCAAGGCTGTATCTCACTCACCATCTTGGCGCAGTAATGGGGCCAGTTCAACTTTCCCAGTTATCGCAGGAGCTGAAACCTGTGCCCGCCAGAGGCCCGGACCAGGAGACAGTGCAGGGCGGACCAGGCCGCAGCCTGTAGAGCTGGAAGGGTATGGGAATGATCGGCTTGAGCCAGGGCCCCAGAGGGCCTGGGTGCCCACCGACCATTGCCATGGCGGGGGTAGGGGGTCTCTCTGCTTTCTGGGAAAATGTTTGGTTTTGGTGGAGCTGGGTGTGGGCCTATGAGCAATGGGGGAAACTGAGGCTGACTGCCTCAAGGTCCCAAGAAGGCTGGGGTAGTCCCAAGCCTTCCTGAGCTGTTCCAGGCCCACGAAGTGGAAAGACGGTAGGTGGTGTTGGGGACAGCAGCAGGACTGAGGTGCAAACACCCCGTCCTCCTGCCTTGGGACTTGCAGGGTGTCCCGTCCCCTCTGGGAGCATATCCAGGGCCCAGGCCTGGAGTCGGGAACTATCAGTCATAAACAGGCAGCCTGGGGGCACCTGGGGGCCCTGCCCCTGTGGGTCTCAACCTTAGGCACGGCTCACATGCCTCGGCCCCTCGGGCCCAGGTGTGCTCAGTGCACCCTTAAATTTTGAGGGGCTGCTCACCTCTCCTCAGGGCCCTTCCTTGAGACGCGGCACCCAGGCCCTAAACAGAGCACCTCTGTCCACTGGGAAGAAGGAGCCTCCAATCCATTCCTTCCAGCCCCCAAGGATTGACCGATGGACCACGGGGTATAGAACAAACACCTCGATCAAGGGCTCCTGGCTGGCTGGAGCCCCATCCCATGGTCTGGGACTTCCTGGAAGTGCCCAGGGCTGGCCCTGCCCTACGTGTGCCAGGTCTAGCCGTGGCTCTGATCTCTTTCCTACATTTCTAAGGCCCTGCAGTGGCCACCTTGGCCCAGAGCAGGGAAGGGACTTGCTCAGGGTCACACAGCCAGAGGACACAGTTTTGAGGCCAGAGCTGGATCTGCCTAGAGACACAGGAAGGCCTCAGTTTCCTCAGCCTGAAGACGGGCGTCCCCTGGCCCAGCGGGAGCAGGGAAAGGTCTCCTATGAAAACCACCACTGCTGCCCTCCTCTCGTTCCCTCCTCAAAATATTTGCCGGGTGGTTTCCCCGCCCAGATCTAGGAGCTCAAGCTCCGGGGCTGGGGCTGACCTTGAAACTCTCTAAGCGTCAGTTTCCCCATCTGCACACTGGGCCTCCTTCAAAGGCTGCCGGGAGAAGGACGTGAGGCCACGTCTATCAAATCCTGGGCACGGTGGCCTAGTGCGAGGCAGGGGCCTAGTAAATGCCCAGTAGGTGCTGTGACACCGGTGAACCTGGGGGCTGAGTGTGGAGAGCGGCTTAGGTCCTGGGGTCACATCCGGGGGAGGGCCCTGTGGCCACTGATGGCTCTGAGTCTTGGCTTCCCCTCCCATCACGAGGGTCTGGGCGCCTGCTGCCAGAGGAACCCCAAGAGAGGCTGAGGGGGCAGCTGCAGGCACCTGGTCCCTCACTGGGGGCTGAGGATGTCCAGGATAGATGCGCCATCAACCGTGAGGCCCTGTCCCCTGTCCCCGGAGGACTACCCAGCAGGTCTTTCCTCATGCATCACTTCGGGAAGGAGCCACGACCACCTGGCCCTGGGGCCTCCTCCGCTCCTGCTCCCTGGGTCTGACTTGGGAAGTGGGAGCTTGATGGAAAAAAGGGAAGTTGGGGCAGGAGGCGGTGATGGGTGCAGGTGCCCAGAAGGAAGTGGGAAGGAGTGGGCCCACGCAAGGCCAGCCGTGACAGAGACACCTGAGGGACGTCAGCAACCTGGGGAGGGGAGGGGGGCCCCTGCCCTGTTTGTGTGGATTTTGTTACAGACCACAGGGGGCCCTGGCCCGGGCTGCACCTCCCGTGTTGGGTGGCATCGCTCCTCACAGCCCCGTGAGGTGAGCATCACTGCTCCATTTTATAGTGGGGAAACTGAGGCTCAGGGTGGCTGAGTGACTTGCACGAAGACCGGGCAACCCTGGAGCCCAGCCTGGTGCCTTACGATACCCCCACTTTGCAGAGATGGAGACTGAGGCTTGGAGAAGCAAGGTAACCTCCCTATAATGACAGAGGGTCTAGGATTCTCCACTCCAGGATTCCAACCATGGCGGCCCACAGGGAAGCTCCCGGAACAACCCGGAAGCCCGCGGTGGCTGCCCTCTCCTTCTCAGGAAGCCACACCCCTGACAGTCCAGGAGGTCCTAGGCACAGGCAGCCATGCAGGTCCTAGGCACAGCAGGGTCACCCTGCCCTGCCGCTGCCTCCACAGCCAGAGCACCACTGTGTGCTGTGAGACTCTAGCGCAGCCACCCACCCTCTCTGACCCCCGATTTTCTCACGTGCGAAATGGGTGGAGAACCCAAAGCTAAGTGGTGTCTGGAGAAGGGCAGAACGGGGATGCCCGTAAGGCACTTAGCAGACAGGAGCCCTCAGCACGCCGGGCTCACTTCAGCTCCAGGTGGGGAACTGAGGGAACCAGGGGAGTCAGGGCCTGAGCTCTCGGAAGCTGCCCACCAGCCCCCAACACCCATTTCACAGCCGGGGAAGCTGAGGCTCCCAAGACCACAGCCAGCAGCCCAGGGGAAGCTGGGGAAGCAGACGGAGGCACAGGAGGCTGAGGGGAGGGGCCTGCTTATCTGCTCACGCGGCTCTGCCCAAGATCAGCCACCACATTCCTGCCTCAGCAGGACCACTGCCTTCCCCCAAAACACAAGGCAGCTGGGGAGGGAGGAGGAGATGGGGAGGCCGCCGGCCGATGCAGTAGGGCTGGTGGCCTGGGGGTGCTGAGTGGGCAGTGCCCAGAGAAACCTGGGCCCACCCCCAGGGTCCACGGCCCCAGCTCCCACGTCACATAACCTCACACATGTCACGCCTCCAGGGCCTCCGTTTCTCTCCTGTAAAATGGGTTGGCCAGTGCCAACGATGATCTTAGCAGTGGGTCAGATCTCCGGGCAAGAAGAGGACAGCCGGGGCTGGGGTGTGAGGCCAGCCCAGTCCAGGGCGTGGCACACTCAGGCAGAGTCCCTCCTCCCTTCAAAACCTAACGCCTGAAGGAGGGGAGGGCCAGCGGGACTCTGCTTAACGTCCAACCCTCAGGGCTTTTGGCAAAATATCAATAATGCAACCGGCAGCTCCAGAGGCAGCAAAGTCCCTCACAGACGTGTCCCTAGGACAGCCCTTCCCAGCCTGCACCCCACACAACAGCCGGGAAGGAGGTGTTCTCATCAAGCTCCTCCTTCAAGAGAGAAACAGAGGCCCCAGATACAGCCACTGGCCAAAGGGTCACAGCAAGGCCAGGCCAGGACGTGAGGTTGCGCTGTTGTCCGAAGCGGTCCCCAGACTGGTCACCTCCCTCTCCAGAGCTGAAGGCCGGCAACCACCCGGAGCCCTGAGGGTGCAGCCCAGGTGGCGGGGCAAAGCCCCTGCGGTGGGGATGGGGTGGGAACCTGGGGACTCCCCAGCAAGCATCCTGGTCCTCACCAGGCCTCGCACCCGTCGGTCCTCACCAGGGCCTCCCGCCCCACCCCTGGGTCCTCACCAGGCCTCCCGCCCCTGGGTCCTCACCAGGCCTCCCGCCCCGCCCCTCGGTCCTCACCAGGTCTCCCGCCCCTCGGTCCTCACCAGGTCTCCCGCCCCATCCCTGGGTCCTCACCAGGGCCTCCTGCCCCTTGGTCCTCACCAGACCTTCTGCCCCTGGGTCCTCACCAGGGCCTCCCGCCCCTCGGTCCTCACCAGGCCTCCCGCCCCACCCCTCGGTCCTCACCAGGCCTCCCGCCCCTCCCCTCGGTCCTCACCAGGCCTCCCGCCCCGCCCCTCGGTCATCACCAGGCCTCCCGCCCCGCCCCTCGGTCCTCACCAGGCCTCCCATCCCTCAGTCCTTAGCCTGCCCAGTGGCCCCATGAACAGCTGGGAGGCCGAGGCCCACGGGAGTAGGAGCACCATGTCACCCGGCATGAATAAGTCAGGTCCTCTTCCTGACGCGGGACCAGGGGTCTGCTCCAAACAGCTGCTATTTAAGCACCTACTGTATACCAGCCCTGTTAGACTACCCAACACAGCTCGGATAGGAGGGACCCTGTTATTCCCACTCTAAAGCGGAGTCTCTAAGGTGGGCATTGGCTGAGGCCACCTGGCTGAGAGCCACACCCTCCATCCTCACTCTGGGGTCCTTAAGTCAGTGCCACGTGCTAAACATGAAGGCTGGTGTTGGGCAGAGGGCAGGACCAGACCATCTCCCCTGTTTCTTCCTCGCACCAGGGCAGGACTTGAGTCCTGGCCCCTTAGGACCTTTTCATCCTCATCTGAAAAATGGGTATGCCCATTGAACCAACCGAGGCAGGGAGGGCCGCCACCATGACACTGCCTGGGCCCAGAAAGATGGCAGGCAGCTCCCCAGGAACTGCCAGTGTGCCTTCCTGTGAAGAACCCCACTCCTCCTGACCCACCTTCCCAGGCTGAGAGCAGCCCACTGCTCTCCGGGCCCTGCCAACAGTAGGCTGGGGACCCTCGATAAACCCTGGGCCTCTCGCTTGGCTGCCTGGACCCAAAACCCCTCTGGCTTGGCTTGGTCCAGACCCTCCCAGAGCCGGGTGGGGAGGTGGACAGGCACAGGCAGGAGCATCATCTCAGCCCCTCCTCGCTGCCTTCGCCAAAGGGAAGCCCCAGCCCAAGAGGGCAAGAGTATGCCAAGGCCACACAGCCTGGGGAGTCGGGATGCGCTGGAGGGAAGGGCCAGCCAGCTAGAGGGTGGGTGTCAGGGGCTGCCCTGACCTGGAACCTGGGGCCAGCGCAGTGAGCTATGTGAGCAGCAGGGTTGAGGGGCCCTTCCAAGGCAGGGCCCCTGTGTGTTTCACATGCTGGGCTGTCCTGGGAGACAGCTTGGGAAGAGGGATTGCTCCATCTCAGATAAGCTGGAAACCACAGATCTCACCCAAGTGATTGACCATGAAGGGGAAGAGGGGGAGGAAGAGGGGGAGGAGGAGGGGAAGGGGGAGGGGGAGAGGGAGGAGGAAGGGGAGGAGGAGGAAGAGGGGGAGGAGGAAGGGGAAGAGGGGAAGGGGGAAGGGGAGGAGGGGGAGGAGGAAGGCCCTTGCCAGAGGGCACTGCCAGCCCCATGGGTGGGCGTTAGGCTGCTGGGGAGGAGGGAGAGGAGGGGGAGGAGAAAGAGGAGGAGGGGGAGGAGGAAGAAGAGGAGGGGGGAATGAAGAGAAGGAGGAGGAAGGGGAGGAAGGAGAAGGGTAGGAGGGGGAGAGGGTTAGTAGCAGCTGTCTCGGATAACAGGTATTTTCCTTCCATTCTTACAACAGTGCTCAGGGGGCAGGTACTATCATTACGCTCACTTTGCAGATGGGAAAACGGAGGCTCACATGGGTAGGCCTTGCCCATAGTTCCACGGCCAGTAAGTGGCAGAGCTGTGGTGTGAGCAGACCATGTCTATTTTGAGCTGAGCGTCCCTCTGGTCATTTATCTGACAGAGTTCCGGGAGGCCCACTCTGTGGGGACGGGACTGACCCAGTCCTGCTCTCAGAGAGCTTGTGGGCCTGAGCGGGGAGTGGGTGACAGGATGGGCTGGCAAGGCCATCAGGCAGGTGTGGACAGGGCCTCTGAAGGAGCTGCATGGGGGCCGCCTGCACACAGGCAAATTCCAGGGGCCAAAAGGAGCCACAGAGGAGCCACCCAAGTCTCGACTTGCACACAGGCCCTAACGAGGGGCTCAGCCCTGACGGGCGCCGGCTCTCCCCTGGTCCATAAGGCCACATGCGCTGCCTGCAGCTTGCAGGTGGCTGATCCCTCACCCATGGGGTCATCTGCCTCCTAATGACACAAGCAAGGACAGCGCATCCAGAGTGGCGGGACTCACCAGGCAGGGCGCAGATGACCCCTTTGCAGGTTCTGGAACCCCCTTCCCTTCAGTCTGGGCCACTCCTGCCTGAGTGTAGGGTGGCAGACGAGGTCTGGAGAGCAGACCTGTGGCTGTAGCCTCAGTTTCCCCCTCTGTGAAATGGGGTCAGGAGCCACTGGGCACCTCCAGGAATACCCACGGGTATGGTGGCCAGGTGGGCAGGAGCCCCACCAGGGCCCCGAGTGTGGCCGGGCCGGGTCCATGGGGTTGGTGATACCAATCGGCCAGGCAACAGCTGCCTCCAGGAGGAGGCTGTCGATGGCAGATAGGCCAGCGGGAGTATTATTCACAAGCCCGTCAAGCCCAGGAACGTCTGGTTGGCATAGAAACAGGAGATAAGGGGCACAATTAATGGCATCACATTCCCTCCTCCTTTCTTCTCCAACTGACCCATTTAAATCCCCAGTGGTGCTGGATGCCACACTGGGTTCCTGGTGACCTCCAGGGAGGGGCTGGCGGGGCTGACGGCAGTCCCAGGCCCAAGGAAGGCCCGGATGAGCCTCCCAGGGGACCCCCTCCCCCTTGCAGTCATGTCTTAGGAAGGAGGCCATCTGGGGAAAGACCTCAGAGGGCCTCTGGTCCCAAAGGCCCATTTCACAGATGTGGAGACTGAGGCTGAGAGAGGCTCAGGGTGGCAGGGCAGACAGAAGCCGGAGGATGGAGAGAAGGCAGCGCGGTGCTCACGGACACACCCTTAAGGAGCGCAGGCCCGGCCGCCTGGGTTCCAACTCTAGCTCCATCACTTGCTTGGGCGAGAAACTTCTCTGTGCTTCAGTTTCCCCAGATGTAAAATAGTGATCAGAAGAGGACCTGCTTTAAGTTAATACACAGCCTGGCACAGAGAGGGCTCTTAAGCATTGGCTGTTATGAATATTATTCTTACCATCAAATGATCATGAGCTGTCTGCCTTCCCTAAGGCCCAGGAAAGGGGGTAAACCACAATCGGCCCAGAGCTGGGTGACGGCGTGGACTCCGGGGTCCGCCAGACCCTGCTGGAGTCCAGGTTTAGGGGTGGGGGGCCTTGAGAGTACCTCCCGATCTCTAATTCCCTCTGCTAAATGTGGCTTGAGGGCAGGTGCGGTGCCTCGTGTCTGGAACCCCAGTGCTTTGGGAGGCTGAGCTGGGAGTATAGCTTGTGCCCAGGAGTTCAAGACCAGCCTGGGCAACGTAGTGAGACTCCATGTCTATTTTGTAAAAAAATTTTAACTAAGGAAAAAAAAAAGAGAGAGAAAGAGAGAAAAACGTGGCTGGGATCAGGACTCTGAGATGACAATGATGGCTTCGCAGCCTAAGCATCAAGCAGGCTGCAGGCACCGTTCCCCTCAGGATGGTGACTGGGGACGAGGCAACTGGGCCAAGGACCAGGTAAGCTGAGAGCAGGACCTGCAGCCCCTGGATGGCAGACACTATCATATCCATGTTTCCAACAGGGGGAAACTGAGAGCTGTGGAAAGCACAGTAACTTGTCCCCTGTGGTTCAGCACCAGGGTCAGCCAGGCTGCCAAAGCCCCTTCTTTCCTGGATGCTCTGCCACCACTCTGGGTCATGAGCATGGTAAGGTGGCCTCTGACAGCCTCAACACCCGGGTGCCTCCCACGCATGGAAGGCCAGTGTGGATGGCTCTGTGCTGACATCCCACTCATGTTCATAACACATCACAGAAACCACCCCATCTCCCTCTGGGCCCAACCCAGCCCTCTCTGGAACTGGAAATGGCCCTTGCCAGATGGCACTGCCAGCCCCACGGGTGGGCGTTGGGCTGCTGGGGAGAGCAGGTGGGTGACTTTGAAGCTTGGAGTGAATTAGTCATCCTGTGGTTACCAATAATTTGTTTAATCAAACTCTGAGAGTGTGTGAAAAACACCTTGTTCTGAGCTGCAGCAGCTGCCTGGGCTGGAATAGGAGGGGCTCAGGGACCCTCCCTCCCCGGCTCCTTCCGGAAGGCCCTACCCAGATGGCCTAGGGTTCTATCTGGCCTGTGGGATCCATGGGCCCTTCCACTGCAAAGTGCCTCGGTGGACCCTCAATATCTCCAGCCTGACCTGGGGACTCCCACAGCCCTGGGGACCTATTCCTGATTCCATTTTTCAGAGTGGGAGACCAAGGACCTGACCAACTCCATCACTCCCGACCTCACTCGCACCTGCTGGCACAGGCTGGCCCCCCAGCCCCAGGCGCCTCTCAGCCCTTGCTCCCCCGACAGCAGTGGAAAACTGAGGCCAGCCCTACTGTGCCAAAGGTCACCCCCTTCCAAGAAGTGTCCCTGACCACCTGACGTGCCCCCTGCTCCCCTTGGCTGCCCCCTCTGCCCCTCTCGTTTGCCACTGGGACCCAGGGCCTGTATGCAGTAGTGCTCAGCAAACAGTGCTCAGCCCAGGCAGGTCTGCAGCGCCTCCACACCAGGGTACACTGGCCTCCCCCAAAGCAGTCTGGGCCATGGAAACCACCTTGATTTTTTTTTTTTCAAGAAAACTCCAAGCAGTGTACACTTGGTTCTTGCTAGGAACTACCAGCAACACCAGCATGATTCAAGGGGAAAACACCCTCTCTCCCTCTGGAGGTGACAAACCCACCTCTAGCGGTCTCGCACCATCTACGAGGACTCGGGGCGGGGTGTCCTCCCCCTTCCCCCTCCTGGCCGGGGCAAAGCCAGTTTTCTTTCATTTTGACGGACTGTACCACCGGCCACAGGGGAGGATCAACTTCTTGGCAATTAAGTGTGTTTGGGGAGAAAACTCCCCCAGACAGACCAGCGCAGGGACGCCGGCTCCCCGGCCCCAACCCGGGCCGTTCCAAGCCCCCACTCGCCCCAGTCGCGGCGCCCCCGCGCTGTTCTCCAACCCGGCCGGGCCTGGTGGCCAAAGATAAGGCCTCTTATCGCTCTTGGCGATCGCCATCGGGCCGACCGGCCAGGCTCTTATCGGAGCTCACATCGACTCGGGCGGGAGGAAAACCCAGCGGGCTGGGGGCGCCGGGGGTCCCGAGCTGCCCCGGCCCCGCGCTCCCCGTCGGCAGCCCGGCCTATCGCCTCCGCCATCTGGCCGGCCAAGGCCGCGCTCCCGCCTCGCCCTGCCCCCGCTCCCACGTTTGAAGTTAATAAATGGAAGCGCCTATCTCAGCCACCATCGGTTGCGCGCCTTATCAGCGCGGCACATCTATCTCCGCACGGAACAAAAGGCGCACAGAGGCGCGGGCAGCTGCGCCAGGGCTTTGATGGGGGCGCGGGTGGGGGGTGGGCGGCCCGAAGCGCTCGGCCCCCTCCGCTCTGCACTCGCGGCCCGGCCGCAGGTGAGGCCAGGGCAGCGGGCAGGCACAGGCGCTGGCAAGAGGGCGGGCGGGCGGGCGCCGCCGCTTGGTGACAATCAGCCTTCGCATCTTAACGTGCTGAGATCTGCCATGGGGAGGAGGCGCCCCGGGCCGCGAGCGACAGGGAGGGTCCGCGGCCCTGCCTTCCTCGTCCGGGCCCTTTCTCTGCCCCGGTCCCGGGCCGCAACGAGGATGGGCCGCGGTGGCTCACCGTGCACCCGCCGCGGTCCCAGTTCCCAAAGTGCGCGCGCTCTGCCCGCCCCGCTGGGCTGGGCTACGGGCTCTCGCTGGCGCTGGCGGCCTTATCAGCGCTGGAGATCGGTTTCCAACCTGCGATCTCCCTGTCCGAGCTATCTGCATTTCTCATCACAGTGAAACACCACACACACACACACACACACACACACACACACACACACACCCCAGAACCGAACATAGGCGCTCAGGGAAGGAAGGAAAAAGAAACCAGAGCACAAGCGCGGATCGGGACCTGTGGGTGGCTTTTAATACTTGAGTTGACACGATAGAAGGCGACTTTCGGAAAACAGGTCCCGTTTGCGCTGAGGGAGTTGGGTTACGGGAACCGGTTCATGCCTGTGACCCCCGCCTCGGGAGACCTCCTGAGTAGGGAAGCTCCCACAGGCCCCGCACAAGGGGTCCTGGTGGCAGTGGTCGTGTGGACAAAGGAGGTAGTGCCCGGGCGCCTACGGCTGGGCAGCGGGCGGGTTTCCGTCGTGGCCTCCTGGCAGGGCTCAGACGACCTGCCCGTCAGGCTCCGGGGAGGCGCCCCGGGGAGGAAGACCTGCGTCTGGGCCCTAACTGTGAGGCGCAAAGTTATTATTGGCATAGGGTGGGGAGGGTAGCTTCCTGTGCTCTTGCTCCCTCCTGGCACAGCCCAGAGGCCCAGGCCAGACAGTGGCCCCGACAGCTTAGTTCTCATCGCGGGGGCACTGGCAATGTGGCGGCGGGGCAGCAGCCTCTGACCGGGCAGGGAGCCGGACCAGCGAGAAACTTAGTGGCGTGCAGGGGCGACCCCGGCCCGGGGCTGCGTCCTGGGAGGCCCTTCTCTGACTCAGAGCAGCCCATTGGGATGCCAGGGGGTGCCCGCGGGCATCCGAGGGCACCATTTGTTGCCCATGCCGCCTTGGCTGGGACACTTGCAGGGTCCAGGAGGTGTCACCAGGCTGGCGGGGCCTGGGTTCAGGACTTCAGCGCTAGGGCACGGGGTGGGGGTGTCTGGGGGGCTGGAGCCAAGTGCCTAGGCTGCGGCAGCTGCGCGCTACCCCCTCCCCTGTCCTGCGGCTCTGCGACGGCACCGGTGGGGGTGGGCGCGGGCCGGTGCCTGCCACTTGGCCAGGCATCTCCGCGGCCCCGGGTGTCCCCTCTGCCTCCCAGGTCTCTCTCTTCGCTTCTAGATACAAAGCCTGGGAGAGTCAACCGCGCGAGATAAGATCACAATTTCAGCCCGTCCCGACAGAACGATCTTATCAGGACGGGACTTGCAGAATGTAATATTTTAAACTTTATCTGAGCCCAGATCGGGGCCGCCCTATCGCCGCACCATCTCGCAGATGCGGGGGAGGGGCAGGCCGCGAGGGGCCGAGCTGCCCGGGCCGCGCCCCCAAACACCCTCCTCCCGGCCTCCGGGCGGCCCCCTCCTGGGCTGAACCCCCCGGTGCCCAAGCCGAGACGCGGGGGCCCAGGCCGCCGGCGGAGATTAGATTACGGCGCGCTTGGCACAGCGCGGGGGGCGCGGCGCGGGGTGAAGGTCGCCGGCGCCCAGGGCAGAGCGGGGACGGGCGGGGGCGGCGCTGGCGGCTGGGCTCCGGCGGGGGTCGGGCGCGCGGAGGGGACCGCGGGCAAAGTTTGACTCACGCTTGATCTGCCGGGGGTTGCTCTGTTTCCGCCTGGACATGTCTCCGGCGCCGCGCGCCCTCCCGGCGGCCGCCTCTAGCCCCGGGCGGGCGGCGGCGGGCGGCGGGGGCGCGGCGGGGCCGCGGGGCCGCTCATGCCCCCGGCCCCCGGTCTCCGCGGCCGCCCCGGCCCGCGCCCCCAGCCCGCGCGCCCAGCCCCGGAGCCGCTGGAGCTGCCGCGGAGGCCCGAGAGGCCACGGTCCTGCGTTGCGGGCGCGCGGACTGCCCGACGGGCGGGTGCCGGCTCCTCCGCTCCCGCGCACTCGCCGCCGCCGCCGCGGCCGCTCGGCTTTTCTCAATGGAACCCGCGGGCGGCGAGCGGCGGAGCAGGCGGCCACTGCGAGGGCGCTCCTGGCGGGCTGGAGGCACGGGGCGGGGCCGGGCCTGAGCGTCGTCGGCCGCCGCACCTCCCGCCCCGCCCCCGGCGCTCCGGCCCCGCCCCGTGCCTCCTGCCGGGCCCTGCACCTCTCCGGCTCCGCCCCCAGCGCCGCGGCCACGCCCCCGCCAGCCCGGCTCTTCGTTGCTCTGGCTCCGCCCCCAGAGCCGCGACCGCGCCCCCGCCCGCCTCGCTCTTTACGGCGCTGGCTCCGACCCCAGCGCTGCGGCCCCGCCCCTGTCCGTCTGGGCCTTCAAGGCACTGTCCCCGCCCCGCTCGATGCCCCGCCCCTTCCTGGTTCGGCCCCGCCCGCGCCCCGGGGAGACCTCTAGCCTCCCCCACTCCTCTTTGGCCCGGAGGTCATGTCCCCAGGCCGCGCTGGGAGTCTGAGACCTATTCGGTTCTGTTCTGCTGCCCCGCGGCACCGCATCCTGCGCCCCGCCTCTCGGCGCCAGCTCCGCCTCCAAACCTGACCCGACCTGGTTGGGTCCTGAGACGCCGAGGCTCCGCCCCCGCACTGTAACTCCGCCCCCAGCCCTTGGTCCCTCCCTAGACCCCTGGGCTCTGCCGCACGCTCCACGTGCGCGGTGGGGGCAGTGACAACCGGCTCAGGAAGCCCGAGGCCTTGACGCCCACGTTTCTCTTGGGCCAGACTTGGGGTGTGGAGCGGATTCGGGCCAGGGAGGGGGCTTCCGTCCCAGACTGCGGTGGGGTCCGCCAACTGAGAGCAGGATCTCGGGTCTTCCCCTGTGAGCTCAGACCAGGCTGGAAATCGAGGAGGGGGCGCGGGAGCCGGCAGCCCTGGGCGTTGCCACTTGGGGCCTCTTTCCTCACCGAGCCTCTCCAGGGCGCCCCGCAGGAGACCCACGAAGGAGTTGCCCACAGCGCCCGGGCCACAGCCCCCTCTCGGAGCAGTCAGAGGTCAGCGAGGTTTGTGGGCGCGGTGCTGTCAGCTCAGGCCTGGAAATGGAGAACTGTTGCCCTCTGGGGTGTGTTCAAGAGCCCCACTTCACGGAGGCTCGGGGACTTGCTCAAGGTCACGCATTGGGGGGCTGTCCCCCACTCCCAGCTGAGTTGTATCATCTCCTTTTAATGTTCTCGGTCTACACTTGCTACCTGCTCCCCCATCCCCCGTACTCATAAGAAACGGGCGTCAGTGGGCCCAGGGGCAGACAGGAAGGACCCCTCCCACCTGATGATGAGATCATCGCACAGCAGGACTGTCACACCACCCGCCAGCCTGCTGGGAGCTCCTAAGACCCCATCTCGTGCCAACTTCTGTGACCTATTCCCTGGCTCCAAGGAAGGGGAGAAGTGGGGGCTTACCCTCAGAGCCTGGTACAGGAGAGTGGCGGGTGGGTAGGAGAGGCAGGGGTACAACACTGGATATGCGCCGTCCCTCCCCACTGCCATGGACAGACAGGAACACTGAGACCAGGAGGCCAAGAGAGCTGCCCAGGGGCATACGGGTCCTCCAGCCCTTCCTGCTCTCTGCCAGGGTCCAGTGGGCACAGCCTTCCCACAGCTGCTCTCTGGAGGGGGTGGGGCCCATGTCTGATTGGTTCACTCAACCTAGGACCTCCCCCCCACCCTCCCGCCCCCACCCAGTGCTTGTCAACTGGATGGAGCACCTACCTGTCTGGGTTTCCCACCAGGCCTCGCCTCCTTCCCCAAAGAAGTCCACTTTAGAGTATGTGGACCTGTGAGTTAGGGGAGTTCCTGGAGGAGGTGGCCATGGGCTGGCACCTGGGCTGGGTCTGAAGCTCCACGCACAGCAAGTGGCACCCAGGCTGGCGCTGCTGGAACGGGCGGAGATCTGTGTTGAGGTGGATTCCGAGGGTCAACAGGAGACAGCCATGATCATCCATGATTGATGTCTGTCTAGGCTGCAGGAGGAGACGATGGGGATCATTTTGGCTGCTGCTTTGCCTGATCTGATTTATTTCTATGAGCCCATATATAGATGAAAACATGGAGGGACATGCCCAGGGAAGCCAGCGAAGGGGGCAGGCGGCAGGTCCAGACCACAGCCTGCTGCCCTGCCTCCATCACTTGCAAGGCCCCATGCAAAATGAAAATATGAAAATGTGGAGCCCCCTTGATCAAAACCCCCAAACCCCAAAACCCCAGGGCATCAAGGGCAGGATGTTGAGCCCGGTGTGGTGCCCTTCCCAGCTCGGGCCCTGTGCCCCTGCACCGGTCACAGGTCCCCTAACCCTGCCAGGGCTGCTTTTGTAGCACATTCCTTCTACACTCTGTCCCTCTACCTGCCCGGAGGAAGGCATTATTACAGATGAGAAAACCGCAGCCAAGAGGGGAGGCTGCCTGCTGATGTCGAGTGGTAAAGCTGCAGGACCTTGCACACACCATTAAACCCTCAGGGTGGTCATGACGATAACCATACACTGAGGAAGAGACACAAGGCATGCTGTCTAGAGGATGGTCTGGGGGAGCCCAGAGCAGGAGCGGCCATCTCTGCCTGGGGAAATCAGAGAAGGCTTTCTGGAGAAGGTGACATCCAAGTGGGGCTTTCCAGGAGTCCCTGATCAGGTGGGAGAGGAACAGGGCGTGGGGTTGCTGAGGCTGTCCAGGCTGAGCCCACCTAGGACCTCCACCCCCCACCTGCTGCCCATTGTGAACCCCAGTTTCCATCTGCCCCTGCATGTTCTCGAGGTGTGTTGAGATTCACATCCAAAGTCACTGGTGGGGAAGTTGGAATTGCATTCAGGAGCTGCACTGGGTTCTCCCCTGCTGGCTCCCAGGGAGAGCAGGGCCTGGAACACATAGGAAGTGCTGTCTGGCAGTGGCCTGGAGACTGCCTCCCCTCCAAAAACAACCTCAGCCCAAAGAAGACATTTTTGGGGTTTGAGAAGTGGGGGTGTGCAGGGGTGGGCTGGGCCAGTGGACATGGAATTCCAGCCTTCTATTAGGAGTAGAGGGGTGTGATGGGGCAAATGCCTTACTATGCTTCTACTCTGCCTCAGCCCTGCCCCTGATGCTGGGTCGGTTTCAGGGGAGGTTCTCCTGTGCGTTGCCGACCCTGTACATTTGGAGGTAAGGGAGGAGGCACTCTGAGATGGCCTCCTCTCCCAGCTCCCCAGCCTCCTCTCCCCTTTCCGGGACCTGTGTCAGCATCACCAGCACAGCACTGACTTTGTGCTTCCAGGCTGTGCCAGGTCCGTGCCACCTTTGCACAACTGGCTGGGGTGGGGGCTCAAGTTACCACCATATTACAGATGCAGAAACTGAGGCTTGGAGCGGACCAGTTGCTTTTCAGGGGTCCTACGTCTTGGAAGTGCTGGAGCTGGGAGGGAGCCCAGGAACTCTCACTCCAGAGCGCATGTTCTTCACCCTGAATGGGACGTTGGGAAAACTGGGTTCGAGTCTTGGCTCTGCCACTTTCCCTCCTACCTGTGGGCTACCGGCCATGGACCTGGCTCCTCTGACGGGCCAGTGCCGAGCTGCCCCAGCGTGCAGGGCAGGCCCACCTGTCTCCTCTTCGGCAGTCTCCCGGGGAGAGCTCAGGAAGGCCACCCGGGGCTGGGCAGCAGCTGTGGATGGGTGAGGGGCTAATTGTGGCACCACCTATGTGCCAGGCCGACTGTTGAGCTGTGACTCAAGGAGCCACAGAATGTTCTAGGAACTTAAGCTGGACCTTGAAGGATGAGGATGAAGAGGATGATCAAAAAAGAGTGATGGGAGAGAGAAGGGCATTTCTGGCGGAGAGGGTGCAGGGGCAGAAGCTGGAGGCCGGGGTGGGTGGACCAGGGACCGCAGTGGCTGCAGGGCTGGTGCACCTGGAGGTCAGGCCACGTGAGGGCCTCGGAACCAGGCTGCACCCAACTCCTCTGTCTGCTTCCCACCACTCCCCACAGCTGGCCTGTCACCAGGATCTGTGACTTCACTTCCTTATGGCTCTGAGAGGCCCCTCCCACCCTGCTCCAAACCTTCATCAGCCTCATCTTGCCCACTCTCCCCCACCCTGGCTGGTCCCTGATGGAAGGGTGAAGCCAGCGGGGCCTCCTAAGAGCCATGTGTCGTAGCCTCAGGCTCTGCCCTTCCTTCATCCTGGAGCCTCCCTGTATGTGGGTCCAGCGGTCCCCCTTGGCACAAGCTATTGGGCTGCTGGGTGCACCCTTCCCTCCGTTGCCTGGCCTGGTCTGCCCACCCCTCCTGAGGGAATCCACTGAGTGCCCCAGGCAGGCTCAGGTCTCTCTGTCCCAGAGTGCAGGGCAGGCCCAGCTGTCTCCTCTTCCGCAGTCAGCGCTGCCCTCCTACAGCAGCAGCCACAGCAGACACTGCGGAGGGCCCTTCCGAGCCAGGCTGCACATTTGCATATGTCGGCACACTCTGCTCACAGCAGCTCTCTGCAGAAGGAGCTGTCAGAATTCCCATTTGCCAGATTTGTAAACAGAGGTTCAGAGAGGGGAAGTCACTCGCCTGAAGCAGCAAAGCAGGGAAGCGCAGGGCAGGACTCTCTCGGGGACGCGCATGCTCTGAAACGCACAGGGGTGGCTGAGTGAGGGGAAGGGACCCCAGGACCTCTCCCGTGGTCCCCGCCCGGGCAGGGCCTCACTTCCCCCACTGCCAGTCATCCCCAGGCCTTGGCGCCGCCGGGCAGCCGTGCCAGGGGCCCATTCTGACATTTGTCAAAGCTGGCTCTGTGAAGGGTTTAATTAACTTCCTGTTTCAATGGGGGGGATAATGAGTTTTAAATACCACATGACTCCATAAGGAGGTCAGGCGGCAGCGGAGATGTCAAAATAAATTAAGTTAGGAATCGGGAGGCCACTCGCCATGGGGGGTGGTCTGGCTGGCTCTGGGATGCTGCCTGGGCCACCCTGGGCAGGGGCTGCTGCTGCTGTGGCCCTGTTGTCACTGGGGCTGGCTCTGGCTTTGGAGACGGGGCTCAGGCAGTCCCACCCTCAGCCGGGACCCATCTGATCTATCAGACATCCGGGGACAGCAGAAAGCGGGCTTGGCCTGGGAGCACGCTGGATAAGCCCCTCTCCTGTGGGTCTCACAAGCTTTGCCCTCCAAGAGCCAATGGCCAGGCTCTTGCCTGGAGACTGTCCTTGGATATCAGCCGGGAGTGACCTTTTCACGCAACTGCCTGTCTGTCCCATTTATCCGGCGGGGCAAGGTGATACCAGTGCAGACAGGAAATCTTATCTGGACATTTCTTAATCTCTGATAGTGGGGGTCATGTACATCACAGATAGGACTCCCTTCCTTCCTCTCTCCTCTCCCTCCTTTCCTTCCTTCCTTCCCTCCTCCTCTTCCCCTCTTCCCTCCCTTCCTTCTTCTCTCTTTTTTTTTTTTGAGACAGGAGTCTCACTCTGTCCCCCAGGCTGGAGTGCAATGGAGTGCAATGGTGCAATCTCCGCTCATTGCAACCTCCACCTCCCGGGTTTAAGTAATTCTACCTGCCTCAGCCTCCCAAGTAGCTGGGATTACAGGCACCTGCCACCATGCCCGGCTAATTTTTGTATCTTTAGTAGAGACAGGGTTTCACCATGTTGGCCAGGCTGGTCTTGAACTACTGACCTTAGGTGATCCGCTCACCTCCCAAAGTGCTGGGATTATAGGCGTGAACCACTGCACCCGGCCTCCCTTCCTTCTTTCCATCCATAAATATGTCTTGAGCTCCCAACCCAGGTACTGAGATTAGGCAGTGAACACACACAAGTCGTCACTGTGTGTGATGGACTGTGCCAGGCGGAGGTGGTGGCCAACAGCAGTGAGTGGACAGCAGACGACACGGGGGGCTTCCATGTGCTATAAATCAGGTGGGGCGGGGGTTGCCATCTGACCAGGTGTCTAGGGGAGACCCCGTAACACTTGGGGAGGGTTTCGGGAGGAGGGAGCCAGCACGTGGCCAAGGCAGGCTGTGGACTGCAGCTCAGTTCCCCCATCTCTGTCCACCTTGGGCTTGACCTCATGGCCCTGTGACCTACTTCGGTCAGTGGAGCGCCAGCAAATCGGAGGCAAGCAGAGGCTCACGGAGCAGGTGTATGCACGGCTTCCTGAAGACGCCTGACCTGGGGCCTTGAGGATGAAAGACTGCCTGGAGGTGGGGGGTGTGCAGCCCTGCCCCTGCTGACCTGCTGGTGGGTGGCAGCTGCCAGAATGAGCCCAGGTGAGGCCAGAAGACAGTCCGCTCAGCCGACCTGTGGAAACTTGGTCCGTCGTCAGTCCTGTTTTCAGCCACGAGCTTGGGGGCTGTTTGTGACACGGGCGTAGATGGTGCAGACGAACGTGGGTGAGCGGAGGCAGGGGCTGCGCACAGCTGCGGGACGCAGTGGCTGCACCTCTGGCACCGCCGGGGAAGCTCTCGGCACAGGACCCGAGGCACGATGAGGAGCCAGGAAACCTGTGCGCGATGGCGAGGACGGCCCGGGCAGGACATGGAAAGCGGCTGTGGCCTGTGTGGTTGGTCCCAGGCGATGCTGCAGGAAGACCTGTTTGGTTTTCAAGCAGAACTTAGGAGCCATATGCGAGAGTGTGGATATGCCAGGCTGGAAAGAAAACTGCCACGCGTTTCCAGTCTCTCTCGCTGAGAAAGATGCTCGGAGGAAGCCCTGGCCTCAGAGTGAGGAGCTGGTCCAAGGTGTGGCTGCAAGACTGCGTGTCTGGCCCCAGGAAGACCCTGTTGCTGCATCTGGACATCGGCCTCCAGAATCGGAAGAGCTCGGCCACACAGCAGCCACGGCTGGCAGAGTGGAGAAGGGTCTGTCCATGAAGGTCGAAGGGGCCTTGCTCTGGTGGATGCACCATGAGATGAGATGGAAGGAGGCGGAGACAACACAGAGGGTGAAGAGGCCCGGGACCCCATGACCTTCACCAGGCAGGGGAGCGAGGGAGGTCCCTGAACGGCAGACTCGGCCGCCTCGAGGAGAGGACACCAGGCAGGGGAGCGAGGGAGGTCCCCGAACGGCAGACTCAGCCGCCTCGAGGAGAGGACACGCCAGTGCAGAGCCAGGCCCCAGGTGGCCGGGCTAACAGCACAGTCACTGTACGGGGCAGGGCCCGGGCTTCGGAACCGCCTGTGGCAGTGACGGACATGTGCCACCCTCCTCCCAGTTCCCGACAGGGGCATTGGTAGCATTTGTCCTACACCCCGTGCCCTGCACCCCGACGCACGGGCATACTTCACCGGAGGAATGACTCGATGGCCTCAGCCACACCTGGCCCTATCTAAATGTCAGGGCCCCGGGCCTGAGCCTGACGCTGAGACACGGTGAGACTTTTGGGGAGACTTTTGGAGGGGTGAGTGTGCCCTGCATCTGGGTGGAATACAAATAATTTGTGGCCAGAGGGCAACGGTGATGGTTTTAAAACATGGCCCCCGGATCTGTGACACACCTCCGTGCGGGCAGGGAGACCCAGGCCCCGTCTTGGATTTTGGCTCCGTGACTGCTTGGCCGGAAGGATGTGCGGGAAGCCACGCCACTTCGGCTCCCAGCCCAGCCCTCGAGAGGCCGGCGGCGTCTGGGTCTCGTCTTTCGGGACCCTCGATGTTGGAACTCAATCACCATGTTGGGTGGAAGCTCACTCGGAGACGCCAGCCCCAGCAGGTGCCTCGGGCAGCAGACGAGCTGTGCCCACCCAGCCCTGCCCAAATGGTAGATTTGTGAGCAAAAGACGCGATTGTTGTTCCGAGCCACTGAGTGCCGGGGTGGCTTTTCATGCAGCCAGAGATGACCGAGACAGAGGGTGGGAGACGGAGTCGGAGAGGGGCAGGGCCCCAGCCGCGCCAGGCCCTGGGGGGCGAGGAAGCACCGCATGACTTTGACTCCGCAAGCCTCGCCGCAGGGGCCCAGGTCAGTGTGGAAGGCGCCAGCCGCAGCGTGTGCGTCTCTCCTCACAGAGAGAGCGCCACTGCCTGGCGTGAGGCCAGCAGTTCACAAACGCCGTCTCCTTCTCACCACAGTCCCGGGAGGTCTCATGGAGCCCGTTTTACAGACAGGGGAAACTGAGCCTGCAGTGTGAAATCCAGCCGGGCGCAGGGAACCGCGGCTCCTTGCCTGGAATTGAGCTCTCAGAGGGAGCTGCTGGGAGCCAGGGCTGGAAAGGATGTTGCTGGTCACTTCGTCCATTTAACAGATGGAAGAACTGAGGCCCGGTCGGGGGTTGCTGGTGACCAGCCTGAGGCCTCTGGCCCCCAGCTCAGTGCTCTGCTGCTCCTGGGTACCTCCTGGTGCTGGCAGAACACATCTGCCCTCTCCTTGGGCCCAGAAGCAGGCCTGGGGTTCTCTCGGGCAGTGCAGGCCAAGGGGCAGTGTGTTCACCTCCCTGCCATGCCCCGGGCCTTGGGGAGGACCAGCTCTGCCTCCTCTCCTCACAGCCACGCGGCTGGTCAGTGAGACAGACACTGCATTGGGGAAAGGGGCCGTGGGCTTGGGACCCAGGCCAGGGCAGGCCTGGAAAGACAGACACCCCTGGGCCTCAGCGTGGCTGTCCTGGGGCTGCGATCCACCCAGAATTGGGAACTGCCTCCCGCTGCTTCCCAGCTGGAACCTGGCGTGACCTGCTTGTTGTCCTTGCGCTGGGAGGGGGAGACACTGGGGCTGGAGCCCCCAACTTCAGCTGCATCTCTGTGGCCCATACGTGGCACGTGGACAGAGGACACGGGCAGGACTGAGCTCCCCATGGGCTCCAGGGCCTCCAAGTCCCATCACCTCTGGGGTGTTTCAAGGAATCCCCACATTAGCCGCCCCAAAGTCACTGGGACACAGCCCCTTCCCCGGGGCCGGCCCTCTCCATCCCCCTCTCCCCACTGCGTGAACCTGGCCATCCACACATCTTCTCAGGAGAGCAGATGCTTCAAGGTGTAGGAGCGTGTAGGAGAGCCTGCTTTCAATAATGAGTTTCCCAGTAAACCGTCCCGGTAAACTGTTCCCTGAGGAGGGTAGGAGGGTGTGCCCCCATCCCGCGGAACCCCTGACCCTGCCCTGCATACCTCCTCTCTGTGCGGTGGGGTGTGGGGATGAAGCCAGGCCTGCCACTCACCACTGGCACCCTCCTACCCTCCCTCTGCTTCCTCGCCCCACAGGCTGAGACCCAAGGGCACCTGGCATGTGCTCCCCTGCCTGCGTCTCCTCCACGGCTGCCTGCCCCCTCTGTCTCCTCAGCCTGGCCCAGGGCACCCACTTCTCTCCTACCCCACTTCCCCAGCGGCCTTGGAATCTAGACGTGGATGATGGGAAATAACGCCGCTGTCTATGGGAGCTCTCTGCATACTCATAGCCTCCCTGCCTCCCCCTGCTGCTTCAGGGCAGCCCATTGGGGGTTCTGGCCACAGAGGGACTCTGCAGTCTTGGGGCAAACTGGGCCTCAGAATCCTGGGTGGGAGAGACAGAGTCCCCAGGTTGGGAGAGTTGGTGTGGACGGTGACCCTGACTGTGCCCAGGGGGAGGGTTGGTGTAGACGGTGACCCTGACTGTGCCCAGGGGGAGGGTTGGTGTAGACGGTGACCCTGACTGTGCCCAGGGGGATGGTTGGTGTGGACGGTGACCCTGACTGTGCCCAGGGGGAGGGTTGGTGTGGACGGTGACCCTGACTGTGCCCAGGGGGAGGGCTGGTGTGGACAGTGACCCTGGCTGTGCACAGGGCCGGGCCTCAGTGTCCACTCCCTCTGCAGGGGTCCCCACAGGGCCTGCACAGCTCACGCCCAGTGCTCCTCTGCTCCCAGCTCAAACACCTGTCCTTCAGGGAACCCTGCAGGGACTCCGCAGCACTCTCTCCTGTGGCTGTGTGAGCGACTGGCAGGCACCTGAGTGCACCCCGGGGGCCGAGTAGGCGTGTGTGCGTGCGTGCGTGCATGCGTGTGTGCCTGTGGGCATGCGTCTGAATGCCCAGGTGTCCGCAGGGGTGAGGCTGTGCTGTGTGCACGTGTGCAGTCGAGGGATTCCCGCCTGTCTGTCCCCTTTAGTGTGTGGAGGTGCCGGGTGTGCACGTGGGTGGTTTGCAGGTCAAGTGGGTGTGGGGTCGGCAGGTGCGGTGCCTCTGGAGGCTGCAGGCGGCCGCCCTGCCCAGGTGGAGGCTGGACCCCCTGGCTGGGCGAATGCTGCCACCTGGTGGCCAGGCGGGGGCCGTCCACATCCTGGGTCTCCAGCCAAACGGTGGTTTCAGGCCCCACAGGAGGAGCGGTGAGTGGACAGGGGCAGGGCTCACTCCTGGCAGTCCCTGAGCATGGCCTCAGATGGCTCAGAGCAGCGGCCCTCCAACGTCAGCCCCCGAGGCTGGTGGGAGCGAGTGCCCAGCCCGTCCCAGAGCCGCTGACCCGAGTGGGGTGCCCTGGATGCTGCCGGCCGGGGCCCTGCCTGAGACACACTGTGCTGAACAGACACACTGCGGGTGTCCCAGACTGCAGACCTGGTGGGACCTCAAGGGTCTCCACCCATGAAGTCCATGGGACCCTTTCACACACCGAGCCCAGACAGGCAGCCCCGTGACCCACCGCTGCCCCAACACCAACTCAGAGCCCTGTGCGGGGTGCAAGGTCCTTTCCATGCCCTTCCCCCCAACCCCCGTCTACGGGCCTCCTGCGGAGCCTCCTCCCTGGATATGAAGCCACCCGCCAGGTATAGTCCCTGTGCCAGACCAGCACCTGTTCAGAAGGCCCCGCCTGGGGGCTGCGTCTGCTGGCTTCCCTGAGCCAGGCTCCTTGCACAGTGGGGGGGTAATGTGAGCAAAGGGGGTGGGCAGATGGCCACACCCCCACTCACCAGCCCCTCCTGCAGGCAGGCCTGGCCCAGGCTGCCTTGTGGCCTCTGCCACCATCAGGGCTGGGAAGACCCCAAAACCAGTGTCCGAGCAGAGAGCCACCCAGGCAGAGGACGGCGGGCGTGAGGGGAGGGGCCCAAAAGGAGGGAAGGGGCCGTGTGCGGGCCTGGGAACAGTGTTCCTGGCAAAGGGAACCCTGCAGGCAGGCGCCTGGCGGGTGGGGAGGCGGTGGGGGTGGGTGGGCCACAGCCGCAGGCCGCAGGTGAATCTGTCCTCTATCCAGGGAAGAGGGGCACCGTGTGCTTGGACGGAAGTGGTGAGACCCCGGTTAAGGTGTCTCATTTAGGAGCTCCGCTTCCCGTGGAAGAGGGGAGGAAAGCAAGGCTGGTGAGGCAGGGAGGGCTGGAGGCCTCCTCTGAGCAGCCTCCTCATCTGCCCAGTCAGGGGTCTACTCTGACCCACCCTCACTGGAGAGGGTCACTTGTCTCCTGGACACTGGGATCTTTGAGGGGCGCTGTAGGGCACAGGAGGCTGGGTGGGGAGGGTCTCCTGGTTCCACTCTTCCTGCGGCCCTGGCCCCTTCCCTGCGGCTCCCTCAATGGAGCCACTCTGCTCCCTGAGGACCCCATCCCGGAGCCAGGAAGTTTTGGAAACAGAGCGGGAGACTGAGGCAGTGCTGCTGACGGCCTCATGATCTCCGTGTGTTAACAAGCAGGAAGGTGTGGCTGCCCCGCTGGGAATCATTTGTAAGATCCCGCCCAGGTTCTGCTGGGGTCTAGAGCTCCCCATGCCCCCAGCCCCTGCAGCTGGCATGACGGTGTCCGACATCCACCCCGAGAGCAGGGCTTTGAGGACAGGCGCTGCCCTCCCCACGCTGGGCCCCTTCGCAGACGCCCTTACGGTGTGAGTTCCGCCAGCAACAAGTGGAAAGCAGGGGAGGCCCAGCGCCCACCTGGGGGAGGGGTGAAAGCTGACCAAGTCCATTGGCCAAGAAGATGAGAGGATGCCTTGATGGTCAGTGGCAGGCACTTCCACAGAACATTCCAGAAGACAGTCTCAGGAGAAGCTTGGAAGGGCCATGAGGGAGCAGGCTTTGAGGCAGGGACGTGTGGACACCTTCAGGGACCCGAGTGTGGGAGAGAGGAGGGGACAAGGCGGACAAGGCTGCGTCTCTGGGTAGGTGAGGGGGCCTGGCTCCCCAGCCTGGGAGGGCTGCGTCCTGGCATGTGAAGGCTGGAAAACTCACACCAGACGGGTGCCTGGGGGGAGGCCCGAGGGTGGCAGAGCCCAGTCCCCACGCCTATCCTCCCTCAGCCCAGCCCCATCGCTCCCTGGGTCCCCCGGGCTGCTTCTGATGTGGGGGAGGGGCGCCAGGGCACCTCAGCCTCCCGTCTGTTCCTCCTGGGGGGTGAGGGGGGGCCTCAGTGAGGATGGCCGGGGTGGGCCTGCCCCTTTCTGGAAAACCTGGGCCAGCCCCCACTGCTGAAGGGGTGGTGTGTTCCTCCTGGGGGCGGGGGAGGTCCTCAGTGAGGATGGCCGGGGTGGGCTTGCCCCTTTCTGGAAAACCTGGAACACCCACTGCTGAAGGGGTGTTCTTAGGACACAGCCATGGCTGCATCACTGGGTCCTGCACGAGGTCCCGCAGCCCCGGCTGGGCCCTTGGCCCACGGTGGCCCGAGAGTGGCAGCTGGCGCAGACACCCTGGGAGCCAAGTTCTGAGGCTCAGGGAGGTGCAGACCAGGGATGGGGGCCGGCGGGAGGACAGACGTCACGCAGCTGGAGGTTTTCTGCGAAAATAGTGGGAATATATTTGAAAAGACAAGTCACTATGATGTTTACAGTACAACCTCAGGGCCCCTCCGCACTTGGTTTGCGACACTCCGGAGGCGTTTTGAATGGCCTACAACACCTTCCAGAGAGGCGGTCTGGGCCTGATTTGGTCTCTTTCAAATATCAAAATAAAAACTTTTGACGTACACATTGCACCCAAGTAAAAACTAAACAATAGAGCAAAACAAACCATGGATCTTCAAGATACTTATGGAGAGAAGGGTGAGAAGGAAGCCCTCTCACCCTTTGACCCACCTTCACAGGCACGACGCTGTGAGAGGACACGTGCGTCCCAGGCCTGGGTTGGGTCGGTGCATGAGGGTGCCCTGGCCAGGGCAGCGGCTCTGCAGCCCCAGCCCTGAGCATCCCCGTCTGGCAGCACAGACCTCAGGCTTGCAGCCCGGCAGGGGAGGCAGGGAGAGCGCCGCCATGCAGGTGCCCGTGCCCTCGACAAGCCATGGTGGGGCCTCCCTGACCCCGTCTGTCCCACCCAATACCCCCATTAAAAAAAAAAATCAAGGAAGCCTGTATTCACATTACAACACAAAAATAGCACCAGAAACTTCAGAGTAACATTGCAAATAGGCGGAGCCCAGAGCTCCGTACAGCAGGGAGGCTCTAGAGGGCGGCCATGGAGGCTGGGAGGGAACGAGGAGGGCCCGCGGGAGCTGGCACAGGGGCGGTTTCTTCCCAGTTCCATACGGGAACCCGGTTCCTGGGGTCAAGGTGTGCTAGAGATGGGCTTTTCTCCCGCAGAGCAAATGGAGGCTGGCATGACCCTGTGGTCAGAGGGAGGAGGCATGACCCTGTGGTCAGAGGGAGGAGGCCTGTTGTGCTCTTGGGGGACCAGGCGGCTCAGAAGCAACCCTTCTAAGTAGTGAGCACTGCCTTCCCCCACGTGGTTTCTAAGGTCACTTTGGAATTCCAGCAACAGCAGCAAGACTAAGAGGGAACCTACCACCATCCCACGGCTGCCTCAACTTACTTCCCTTCTCCATGTGGGGGAACGGGAGGTTGTGCAAATCTCCAAACATTGGCTTCTGTGGTGTCGGTGCCCACAGGGCGCAGGGGTGTGGGCTGAGGGGATGGGCTGCTGTCTCTTCAAGTACTTGGTACCAAGAAAACAGCTGTGTGGTCTCAAAAGGGCTGCAGTGGCCCCGTCTTTCACCCCCAGCCTTCCAGCAAGAAAGGGAATGCTGCCCACCTGGGCCCTGTTCAAAGCATCACCACCTCAGCTCTGACATCAAGGCCTGAGCAGTTGCACAAGAAGTCAAGTGGCCACAGAGTGGACCATCTCAGGGAGCCGGAGCTGGCCAAGGAGGCAGGCCGAGACAGGAACGCCCAGCTCCGGTCCCAGGCTCTTGCTCCTAGAAATTACTCGGAAGCATCTTTCTTTAAAGGGATTTTGAAGCCAGTTAGTCTCTGCCCGAAGAGCTGGCTGAGGAGGTCACTCTGGGCCTCGGCCGTCCGGTGGGTGTGTGGCTCGGCAGGTTCAGCACCGTGGACAGCTGTGCCCCTCTTGGGGGGCCTGAGCAGGGGTCTCCCCTGGGGGAAGGCCTTGCCCAGTCTGTCCTTCCTCTGTGTGTGGCCCGGCTCTGCCTTCCGCTGCTCTGATGGTGGCGGCCTGGGTTTGTTCTGGCTGTTGGGCTTGGGCTTGGTCGGGAGCACGCGGCTGGGAGTTGCCTGCTTCCGAGGGGTCCGGGGGGGCTTGTCAGGGGCTGAGGGGGCTCTCCCGAAGCTCCCCACACTTTCACTCCTGGCTGGCCCTGGGACCTGGCCCTTTTTCCTCTTCGTACTGCTCTCTCCCTTCTCCTTGGGACCTAGGCTCCCGTGGGGCCCCTGCTCACCAGCTTCCCTTGGCCCCTTGGTGCAGCTCTTGGCTTGGGCTCGAGCGGGGAGCCTCTCTGGTGCAGGGCTCCGGCTGGGGAAGCTGGGCTTGGCTGGGGTGGTGGCTGTCTCGCTCTGGAGCTGCCCGCTGGCTGGCTGGGGCTGGCTGCCACCTCCTGTCTTGGTGCCGGGGCGAGGGCTTCCACTGCCCTGGGAGCTGGGGCCGGGTTTGGCTTTGGGGGTGGCGGGCTTCATCCCATTCTCTGTGCCACGGGCCAGCTCCCCGGGTGCCAGGCTCCCCACCGCCTTCCTTGGGTGCACTGGGAACTTGAGTGCTTTGCTGGGGGTGGATGCTGCCGACCTGTCCTTTGATGAGCTCTGGCAGCCCGCAGGCTTGGTGGCGCTGCCCTTGTGGAAGGCGCCTCGGGGCCCCCCCTCAGACACCATGTGGCTTGAGGACACCTCCTTCTCTTTCTGAAGTAGGTGGTCTTCCTGGAAATGGTCAGGGGCACACCTGCCACGGGCACCCGGGGCCCTGCGTTTCCCTGAGAACACGAGAGGAGCCCTCTTTCCCTCCGCATCTTGGCCTCTGGCTCCCGGCCGCGGCAGAGATGCCCCCAGAGGGAGAGCTTGCTGGAGAAGAGGCCCGGGGCTGCCTGGGGAAGCCTCGTTCTCTGGCCTCTCCAGGGCTCCGTCCAGCGCGCAGTCTCCTCTGCCATCAGCCAAGGCAGCTGGGAAGGGAGACAGAGACGGCGGGGGACACTCCTGGTGGTTGGATGGCAGCTCACAACCTCTGATCGGGTGGGTCACGGGGTCTACAGGCCTCTCTAGGGTCTCGGGCCATCCCTTGGTGGTGCTGGGAGCCACCTCCGAACACAGGTGGAGCAGGGCCGGGAGAGAGCCCTCACTCAGGATGGGGCTGCTTCCCCGGGGAGGAGGCCTGTCCTCGCCGGGCCCAGGGGCACTGCCGGGCATGGCCACCCTGCGCCGTTTGCTGGGCAGTGTGCCCTCGAGGGCCCGGGCCTTCTGTCCCGGCGCTCCCGGCCTCCGCACGCCGCGGAACGCGAAGGGCTGCCGCCCCCCCCTGAGGTGCTTGTTCATGTGGCGGTCGAACTGCTCCTTCTTGGCGAAGGTGTAGTTGCAGGAGCTGCAGGCGAAGGACTTCTTGATGATGCGCATAACCGTGGCGCAGAGCTCGCAGGCATACAGCGGCGTGTGCTGCAGCTCCGGCCGCTCCAGCAGCCCGTGCGCCCCGCCCAGGTGTGCCAGCAGCTCCCCGTGCTCGGGGTAGACCCGGGGGCACCGGGGGCACAGGTAGACGCGCTGCGGGCTGTGCACCGCCAGGTGGCGCTGCAGCTTGAAGGGCTTGGGGAAGCGCTTCCCGCAGTGGTGGCAGTCGCGGGAGGGGTCCTTGCAGGCCTCGTGCACCGGGGTGGCTTGCAGGAGGGGCTCCCCGCCGGCCCAGGGGTCGGGGGACGGGCTGGGGGTCGTCCTGGGGGGGCCCGGGCTGCCGGCGTCAGCCAGGGCGGTGGCAGAGGCGCTGTCTGGGGTCGCGGCCCCGTCTGGGTTGCTGGGGGTGCTGCGTGCCCGGGGTTTCGCCCTCTCGCCCGGGCTGTCTTTCTTGGCTTCTCCCTCTTGCCCCCACGGGTCTCCCGGGCTCCCGGCGGCCTTGCCGGCGGAGCGCTTGCCCCTGTGGTGTTTGGGCGCGGGTTCCGTGATGCTGTTCAGAAGGTGGGCGACAGCGCTGCTGCCCTCCAGGCCTCCGGGCAGGTCCCCCAAGGACCTCCGCGCCTGCCCCCTGCGGGCGAAGCGGACCGCGTGCTCACGCAGGTGCTCGTTGTACATCCAGACGTCGGCCACCTCCTTCAGGCACATGCCGCACGCCCAGGGCCCGGCCTTGCTCTGCGCGTGCCTCTCCTGCAGGTGCCCCCGCAGCAGCTCCCGCGAGCCAAACCTGCGCTCCACGCACATGTAGCAGGTGGGCGGCGGCGCGGGCGTGTGGGCCAGCTTGTGCAGGTCCAGCTCGCCCAGGCTGCGGAAGCGCTGGAAGCACACTTTGCACTTGTAGGAGGCCCGCCTGCCCTTGGCCGGCCGGCCTCTGCCTTGGGCCCTCCCTGCCCCTGCAGCCTCCTCTGTCCTTCGGCTCTGTGGCCCCTGTGAGCTCGCCGTGCCCTCGAAGTCTAAGAAGCTGGGGCCGGGGAGACCCACGGGGTCTTCAAAGGGTCCCAGAAAGCACAGGTCTTGCATCTCAAACTTGGTGCTGAGCACCTCAAAGTCCGTGGCACGGAGCGGCAGCAGGTGGGTGTTCCCGGGAAGCCCACCGTCACAGCGTTCTCTCTCCAGGCTGGGGGGCTCGGGGCTCACATCTCCGAGAGAAGAGGAGGAGTCATCGGCAGGGGCCGGCATCTCCAGGCCTCGCCAAGCCGCTGGGACCATGTGCAGCTCAGGAATGGCCTCCGGCCGATCGTCCTCGGGGCAGTGGGAGGGCAGCTTCTCTGCACCAGCTTCCCTGCTGGGCTCCAGGGCCCACAGGCTGAGGCCGGGGGCCCAGGGGTCAATGCCAGGCACCCTGCTATTGAGGAACCCATCCAGGAGGAAGGACTCGGGCAGACCTGCGGGATCCTCGTCCTCCCACGGGTCCTCATGGCAGAGGCAGAGGGAGCTGGAGTCGCTGAGGTCCGTGGGCAGGCGGGCTGGGCCCAGCGTGGGGTCACCGCCCTCCTCAAAGCTGGGCTGGGTTGGCAGCGGGAGCACCGGCTTCTCACAGCGCTTCCCGTAGACATGCGGGTTCCTCTTTCTAGTCAAGCGACCGCCTGGAGGGAAGAGCTGGGAGAAAGAGACCTCATCATCAAACAAGCTTGGAGGATCCTTGGCACTGGAGCCAGAGGCATCAGGAGTGGGGCCTTCAGGCCCCTGGACTCCACCCTGGGTGTCTGGGTTGTCCGGGAGGCCCTGGAGGCAGCTGCTGGTGGTGCTGTCCGCCGGAGAGCTGGAAGTCTCGGGAAAACCCAGGGGGCCCAAGGGGGGCGTGTTCTCCTCCCAGACACCTTCCTCTGATCGGCTGTGGGCCCTGCTGCTGTCCTCCGCAGGCTCGCTCCCAGACTCTTTGCACACACCCAACGCCTTGGTCTCTCTTGGTCCCCAGAACCCCCTTGCCGAGGCTCCCTTCTGCCCAGTTGGCTGTTCCCCCAGAGCTGCACCATCCATCCTCCCTGGACACAGCATCCGATCTCCAGGTGGCTTCTGGGCCCCAGTCTCCCCTGCACACAGAGCCTCCTGGTCAGTCTCCGCTGCACCCTCCATCACCCCAGGTCCCAGAGTGGCCAAGCGAGGCGGCTGCTCCCCGTCAGCCTCAGGCCCTCCTTCCACAGAGAGGCAGTGGCTCGGAGAGGCTGCGTAACTGGCCATTGCAGGGGATGGTCTGGAGCCGCGCCCATCTGAAATCACATCAGCAGAGACTGGAAGAATGCTCTCCTCCCGGAGCCTTCTCCCTCTCAGCTTTCCCCTTTTCTTATTTGACTTCCCCTCTGAGTGGCTAGGAGAGTCCACGGTGGGCTCTCGGCGCCACCTCCGGCCTTCTCTTTTTTCTGCCTGTTTGGGATGCAGCTCATCTTCCCTGGCCTGGTCTGGTCTGGGCTTGGAGGCCGGAGTCTTCACATCTACCTCATGCTCAGTAGGGCTTGGAGGGTGCAGCTGCTGGCTGTGTGGGGACCCCGGTGCTCTGAGAACCTCCTTTGAGCCCTGGGCAGGCGGTGGCTGGGTGACGTGGCTGGGGTCTCCCCGTGAGTGATTTGGTCTCTCCTTCCCAGACACCCTGTGGCTTTTCTTCCTGGGCGGCTGGCACTTTTGGGCTAGGGGCTCTAGAGGCTGCTGAGCAGGCAAGGCCGCTGGGCTCGGCTCCGCGGGGGCTCCCGGGTGTGGCCGGTGCTTCCTGGCCTTGTGCCGGCTCAGGCCCGGCCCGGAGCGGAAGGAGGCTGCGCAGACCTCACAGGTCACAGGCCCATGTGGAGCTTGGCCCTTCCACTGGCCGTTCTCTGTAGATGCAGGCTTCTTTTTATAGCCACGGGACCTCTGTTTGAGGTCTTGGGGGCCGAGGGGGTCCCCCTGGGGAGTCTGGTGGGAGGCATTTCTGTGGCTTTGGGGGGAGTCAGACTGGAAGTCACTGGCTGTGCTGCTTGGGGCTGTGGTTCTTCCCAAGCCCAGTCCTGTGGAAGGGCAGGTGACCCTGGGCATCTTGGTAGCACCAGAGCGCCCGGTCTCAGGGGTCCCTGGGTCCTCCGGCTCCTTGCTGCTGGTCCCCATCTCACCTTCCAGGCAGGCGGGGGAGTCCGGCCCTGCACCCTGTAGCGTGGGAGGCTCAGTGGGCACAGCTGTGACAGCCTGGCCCTCCCTGTGGCCGAGGCGGGCAGTATTGCTTGGAGAATACGAGGAGTGGCCCCTGGGCATCCTGTCAGGGTTGGTGTGGGGCGGGGCTCCCCTGCTCTGGGGGTCTGGCCCTGGGAGTCCCCTGCCTGCCTGTGCCTCATCTCCGGTGGGAGTGCTGGACAGGCCAGTAGCCCTGACGGCCACGCTGGGGGAGACGGCCCCTGCCAGAGGAGGAGAGGTGGCTCGGCCAGGAGACTCCCACAGCTTCTCTTTTCTGGAATCCTCTGGAATTCTTAAAGTGCTGTCTTTGGGGGTGTCCCCACTGTGAGTGCAGGTTACAGCACTGACGGAGCCAGGAGGCCAGGAGGAAGGGTCTTCCAGGGGGCTGCCCTCCCCCTGGAGAAGGCAACCAGCCAGGGCTTCCTTGGGATCGCAGGGGCTTGTTGTCAAAGACGGGGGAGCCACCGGGGAATCCTCAGCCCCAGTATCTGTCGTGGCTTGGACGCCATCTGCCTCTTCCAGAGGTGCCCAGGCAGGAGAACAGGCCAGCAGCTGCTGGGGGCCGGGAGGGTCCCTGCAGGACGGAGATGCTGGCAGCTGCCCCCCCAGCCCACCTTGGGCCCTGGAAGGCGAGGTAAGTGGGTCTTCACGGGGCAGGGGCCCAAGGCTGCAGGGCATGTGGGCGGCTGAAGTGGGTGAGGGGGCGCAGGCGGCCAGGTCCCCGACAGAGGGTGCTGGGCTATCCCCTGTGGCCAGCAGTGGCTTGTTCAGGCCGGGGCTGGACGCCCTCTCTGGAGTCCGGCCCTCAGATCCACTTCGGCTGTGGGCTGCTGTCAAGGCCAGCGCCAGGGACTCCCTATTAGGGGACGGGGGGCTTGGGGTGGGCTCGGCCTCCTCCTGAAGGCTCATGGCTGCCCTGCTTCCCTTGCATTTCTCTAGCAGGACTGCACCCTCGGTGGGGCCGGTCAGCGCTGTTTTGGGACTGGCATTGACTGAGGCGTGGTTGTCCGTGCCCCCTGGGCTCACCCCGTTCTCTGGCTGAAGCTGGTTGGCTGTGCCTTGGCCCTGGGTTTTCTCGGCTTGGCCAAGCAAGCCCCAATGTCCATCTGCCTCCAGCCCCAGCTGATGTCCGGCCACTGCAGGGAGAGTTGTCACCTGCACACCCCCTGGGGAGCCCTGGGCGGGGCCACAGGCCACCTTCCCTCCTTCCACAGTGCCCCCTTCCAGACCTGAGGGGTTCACTCGTGGAGGGCTCTGGGCAGCAGGTGTCAGCTCCTGCAAGCCCAGGATGCCATCTTTACTCTTAGCCACTCCAGGCCCTGGGAGCTGGAGCTGACGTATGGGGGGGCTCAAAGCTGGGTCCTGGGACCTCCTGCTAGGGTGGGTGTTGGATACACAGGCGGGACTTGGCACAGGGACCAACCAAGCCTCCCTGCCCCGGGGGGCAGTCAGTGAGGAGGCCCCCGCCGGTGCAAACTCATTACCCTCAAAGCCAGGCCTCCCTGCCGTGGGGTGGAGGTGCCCACCTGCTCTGCCTGCAGAATGTCCCTGGGCAGCATGGCTGGGACTGGCACCAAAAGGCCAGGTGGCATCCAGAGGTGGAGCCCCGTCACCCTGAAATGCCAAGTCAGGGGCCAGATGGACAGCAGGGCTGCCAAAAGCTTCTGGAGCAGGGGCCCCTCGGTGGGGCTGGTCTGCTGTGCCGGGCTCTGGGAGGAACCCTCCTCTCTGTTCACAGGGAAGCAGCCGCAGGGAGTCTTCACTTTCTTGTGAGCTGGCGGCCTCCTTATTCTTAGGAAATGAAAGTTCCTGGTCGGGGCTGCACTTTGCTAAACTCCCGGCATCCAGCTGTGGGCCAGGCTGCTTGCTGGGCTCAGGCAGGCAGACATCTTGGGGGGGCCTGCTGTCTCCTTCTGCCTGGCAAAGTCCAGTCTTGGAGGCTCCGGCTTTCTGCACTGGCTGAAAATGGAAGTTGGCTCCCCTGGGGCTGAAAGGAGCCCCAGAAACCAGGTCTTCCTGGGCACAGGGGAGAAGGGCTGCATGTCCCGGATGGAAGGAGGCTGGGCAGGGCCACGTCCCCCCAGGCCTCCCCTGAACCGCTTCCACGGTGGCCACAGCCGATTCCGCACCCTCCCGATGTGCAGTGGATTCTCCAACGCGCGTGAGGTCAGCTGCCGAGAACGTGTCCTCGTGGGGCACGGTGGCCTGGCAGGTGCGCCGTTGGGAGGGTGGCTCTGTGCCTGTGCCGAGCTCCACCCTGCCCACCGACTCAGCTTCTGCAAGCTCTCTCGGGGCCCCACGTGTGTCTTTGCTCCTTTGCAGCTGACTTTCTAATTCGGTGACCAATTTCTGGATCTCCAGTTCATCCTCGGACAGGTGACTCATAAGAGCAACGCTACATCCACTCCCCTTCCCAGGCAAAGATGGGGCGGCGCCGGGAACCACTGTCCGTTCAGGGGGACACGTCTTACTGAGCACCTTTCCCCCCGAGAGATCAGGAAAATGGCTAGGCAGCATCGGGGATACTTCCTCAAGCAGCAAAAAAGAGGGGTACGGTGGATCTGACGGCACCGTCTTCTGGGGAGGGTCGGCACATGCGAACGGCAGACCGGAGTCCCTGTTCGCAGACAGGCTGCCATAGAGGGGTGGGTCGAATCTGTCCACCGGCAGGTCTGGGAAGAGGGATGAGGACTCCAAGGTCGGTGGCGATGCAGCCCTGCCTGGCTCCGTCTCAGCGGTGCCAGGTGGGCTCCTTGGCAGCTGTGGCTCGAGGGAACCGGCATCCTCGCCGTCCTGGCAAAGGCAGGAGCTGCTGGCCGGCGGGGCATCCCTGGCTGAGGGCTTGGGGTGCAGTTCTTCCAGGAAACAGCCAGCCAGGTCTTTGGGTCCGAGGAACAACTCACTGTGGGGGCTGCTGTAGGGCTGAGGCCCCTTTTTGGCAACTGGAACCCCCAAGGGGTCTCTGTTAAAACCAGCAGGGTCACAGCCAAAACTGGAGATCTTTGAAGACAGAACACTGGGTTTGGGGCAGGCGGTACTTGAGGGGTTAGCCACGGGTGCCAGAAATTCTCCAGGCTGGCGGGCAGGGGGGTCCTTGCTGTTGTGGGAGACTGGGGCCTGTGTGCCCCCAGGACCACCCAGCAGGCTGCCCACACCTGGCGTTGGCGAGCTTCCGTGGGGCGCCGTGTTGGCGAGGCTTCCCGACGGCTTGGGGGTGCCGGTGTCATGTCTGCTGGGCGGCGGCTGCTCTGGTATCAGGAGACCGGGGCTTGCTCCCATTTCTCCCGCACAGGCGGCTGGAGGAGAACGCAAAGCCTCTGTGAATTCTGTGCTGTCCGGGGCTGACTCTTCGGCAGTTTCAGGCTCCTTGGCCTCCTGGGGAAAGTCCAGCGACGGGCGGGTTTCCTCTGAGGTCTCGGTGTTGGTGGGGACCTGCAGGGGATCCTTGGGGGCCACTGAGGGGCGATCAGCACACTTGGGGCCTCCCTCCCTGGCGGCCGCTCCCGTCTCCAGGCTTCGAGACGGGCCACGGGCCTGAGGGCTCCTGCCGGGGCCCGGGCGAGACCCGCCCGGCTCCTCGGGGTTCGCGGGGGCTCCGTCCCCGCCGGCTTCCTGCCTCGCCGCCTTCCGGGGTTTCTGTGGCTCATCCTCTCTGGGACCCTGGGTCAGCTCCACTTCCTTCCTCTTCTCGCCTCGGCCCCGCCGGCCTCTGAAGCCGGGGCCCCGCGGCGGAGGCTGCTCGTCCTCCTCGGACTCCGAGGCGAAGTCGTACTCGCGGAGCCTGCGGTCCTCAGCTCCGGGCCGGGGCCTCCCCGCCGCCAGGGAGCCGCACCTGCCCGCCCGCCGCCCCAGCCGCCGGTGGCGCCTGTTCTTCTGCTGCACGATCTTCAGAATGAGCTCCTTGCCCCAGGCGCCGCCCCGAGCCTTCCTCTTCCTGGGGTCCTTCCTGGGGGGCAGCCGGCGGCGCCGGGAGCTGCGGGTCTCCTCGGGGAGGGCGGCGGCTCTCGGGACCCGGGGCGCGGGGTCTGCGCGGCTCCCGGGGGCCTGCGTTCTAGGGCGCCGGGGACGGGGTGGGGGCCGCTCCCCGAGACCGTCGTTCCTCCGGGGCCTCAGGCCGGAGGCTCTGCCGCCGCCGCCCGACCCCGACCCCTCTGCTGCGCCGCCCGAGTCCAGATCCTTCCGGAACAGCTTCAACTGCTTCCCCCTCCTCTGCTGCCTGCCCTGGCTGGGCGCATCCGCCTCGGTGGGGGCCAGACCCAGGGAACGCGTTTTGGGCCTGCCTCGGGCTGGGCAGCCCCTGTCCCCAGGGCGGGGGGTTTGGGGGTCCGGCGTGGCTGCTGGGAGCGGGGGCGGAGCTTTGCTCTCTGGAGTCACCCCCGCCTTGCTCTTAAGGGGGTGTCCGGAGCTGGGACCTCTGGGGCCGGAAGGCTCCTCGTCCGCGAAGACGTCGATGAAGCTGCTGTCGATCTCCGGGTTGTCCGACTGGTACTCCATGCCGTTGAGCGCCTCTGTGATGAGGCTGTCCAGCTTGGCGTCATCCTCCATGTCCAGGTCCGAGGCAGGGAGCGGGAAGGGGGTGGCGGCCAGGCTGGGCAGGAAGCCTGTCCTCAGGGGGTCGTCTTTGCCCTCGGCCTGGGCGTCCCCAGCTAACAGGAAGGTCTTCGCGTGGCTGAGCAAGCCCGCGTGTGCGTCGGCAGGGACTCTGGGGGCAGCGGGGGGCGAGGGGAGCCCAGGGGGGCCTGGAGACCGCTGGTGGCCATCCTTGGCCCTGGCCAGGAGCAGGCCACAGAACTGCCGGTGGGCCAGGAAGGCCGCCAGGCTGCTGTAGTTGCGGTCACACTGCCTGCAGGTCAGCAGCACGTCCAGCTGGTCCAGGCTGGCGCTGCTGAGGGAGAAGTGGTGTGTGGGGTACGGAGGCGGCGCACGGGGGAAGCCCTGCAGCCCTCCCCGACCCACCTCGGGGCCCTCGTGGGGGAATGGGGTCTCCTCCAGGCACTGGAAGGCACCCTCGGCTCCCAGCCCATCTGCGGGAAAAGGGAAGGCCTTGGCTGGCTCTGGCTGGTAGTGGGTGGGGAGGGAGTGGGGGGGCTCCGGGGACGGGAAGGGGCTGCCCGTCTCCTGGGGGTGAGTGGGTGGGTGGAAGAAGGCCGAGGGCCCGAGGGGGCCGGGGAGCTGGCTTTCCTCTGAGCTGGGGTTGGCTGGGCTGCTGGACATCGGCGACAGGGAAGAGCAGGTGCTGCCGGCCGTGTTGGTGGCCGGTGACGGCAGTGGGGACTCGCTGGGGGAGGCTCCCACTACCCTCGGTGGGGGCAGGCTGGGTGTCCCGTGGGGTGAAACCTGGGGCTGGGCCACCCCGAAGAACAGGGGCTGAGCCCCAGGGTCTGTCATTCCGTTGTAGGTGAACAGTGCTGGGGAGCCGCCCTGGCTGCTTCTCACGGCTGGCAGCTTCTCTCTGGGTCCCGGTGTCTTGCCAGCAGTGCCCAGGGCTCCTTGGCTGCCCCCCTGCCACTCGGGGCCCCCCGCGGGGAAAGGCAGCCGGCTCAGCATCTCCATTCCGTGGGGACTTGGCCGGGCGGTCGGGAGCACTTGGGGCCAAGGCAGGGGGGCACTCTGGGGGAGGCAGAGCCGCTGGCCTGGGCTGGGCTGGCCGTTAAAGAACATACTCCTGGTGGCAGCCAGGGGGCCCCCAGGAGGTGTGGGGTAAGGGGCTGCTGTGGGGTCCCACAGCTGGGGCAGCCTGGCGGGTGGGGGCCCTGGGGCGGCCAGCTCGGTGTCCGGAGGCCCCGGGCTGGTGTCCACCCCACTGGCTCTGTACGCCTGCCCTGGAAAGTGCCTCTGGGGTAGGGAGCTAGGGGGCCCTCTCGTGCTCCCCAGCCCATCCTGGGCTGAAGGTGGTCTTTCGGGAAGGATTTTGGTCAGGCTCTTGTGTAAACTGTCAGAGAAGGGTCTCGGGGCCGAGTGAGCAGCTCCAGGGGAAGAGAGGGCACCACTGAGGTCGCTGTGGCGGTTCAGGCCACCTGGCTGGCCCTGGTAGCAGGGCAGGGGTGAGGGCGCAGGCTGGGTGGGCAGCGGGTAGGCAGGGCCCGTGCCCACGGCCTCCTCCGGCCACGCTCCCTGGGGCTGATGGAAGGCAAACACCAGTGGCCCATTGGTGAATGCGTGCCCAGCCACATCCGCAGGGAAGGGTTTTGTGCTGGCCCCATGCAGTGCCGGGAAGGGGAACTGGAAGGAAACTCCCCTGGGGCTGCCGCCGGGCCTGCTGCCTTTGGGAATAGGTTCCGGCTCGGCGGGGGGAACCCCGAAATTAGCACCTGGGAAGCTATTCTCAGCAGCGGGAGGCCAGGAGTCGGCCCCACTGGCCTGGTATTCGGGATAGGAACCGGGCTGGAGGGGGCTGGTGCCCCTGCTCTGGGGGGGCCCCGGGGCTGGGGGCCTGGGGGTGGCGCTTGGTGAGGTATAGTTGGTGGAGGTAAAGCTGGAGGGTGGCTCCTGGAAGCACCTGTGGAAGCCAAGCTCTTCGGCGGCGGGTTGGGCCTCAGTCCTTGGGAGGCCCGGCCTGAGTGGAGCTCCAGTCCCAGGGCCCTGGGGGGTGTCCACCTCAGGGAGCTGGGCAGCCTCCAGCTGTGGGTTCTCTGGTGTCTCGTCCAGGGTGGGCTTGGTCCTCGAGCTGGCGATGCCCAGAATGTAGCGCTGTGGGGGGCTGCCCTCTGCCCTGCCCGCCAGCCTTGAGGGAGCCTGCAAGGGGCTTCTCCCCGGTGGGGTCTGGGGGCTGCCCCTCTTCCCAGGGGTGCTGCTCGGGGCCTGGCCTCTCAGGGATGGGGGCTTGAGCTCCCCGTCCCTGGCCTGCCTTGGCTGGGCCTCGGGGAGCTCCATGGCCTGGGCCTGGCCGCCAGCCTCCCTGGCACCCTTGGTGGTCCTGGTAGCTGGGGTGTTGTCCTCCAGTGGCGGCTGGGAGGGGTGCCCCGGGCTGCTGGCAACTTGGCGGGGCTGCAGGTCTCCAGTCATGGTGGGGGGCGGCGCTCCTCGGGGGCGCTCCCCAGGCATGGCCCCTCCGTCCTGGCGCTAGGACGACGCAGCTGTCCGAGGGGGGCCCTGGGGAGTGGGCTGGACGGCCATCCTCAGCCCTCGATGGGCCCCAGGGAAGCCTGCGCTCATGGTCCTGAGTGGAGCCTGGAAGGAAAGGTCAGGGGTGAGTGGGGCA
This sequence comes from Homo sapiens, assembly GCF_000001405.40. NCBI lineage: Eukaryota > Metazoa > Chordata > Mammalia > Primates > Hominidae > Homo > Homo sapiens. The sequence continues at coordinate 88,427,313 of NC_000016.10, read as the reverse complement.
GAGGGGCTGGGTGGCCCTCGCCTAGACAGGGAGCTTCTAGGCTCTCCATGCGGGTGTGGCCGGGCCAGAAGCAGAAGAGGCTGCGTGCAGCCATCACAGAAGCTCCGCGCTTAGAAGGGATGCTCGGCTCAGCCCCTACCTAGAAGCAGGAAGGGAGAGGGCATCCCGCCAGATGGAACAGGGACCCTTCCCTGTCTTAGGGAGAAGAGGGGCGGTGGAGCGCAGAGATTGAGTGGAGGGGGAGGGAGGGGGAGCTTTCTGGGGTGTGAGGAGGCCGCTTACAGGCTCAGAGCAGTCCTCGGCCAGGCTGTGGAGAGGACAGGCACCTGTGTGGGGCACAAGCTCTCAGCCTGCAGGAACTGCCCCAGGGCAGGGTCCTGGCAGCGTCCAGGAGGGCCCAGGTGGATGCTTACACCTGCCATGGGGAGGGCCTTGAGGCAGGAGGCTGCGTTGCAGGACATAGGGGACTGAGGCAGCAGAGGCTCAACCTGAACCTCTCAGGGCCTGGGCGGCTGGTTCCAAGCGGGGACTCCCCTGCCGTCAGCCAGGGTCTCCCTGCCACCAGGCCTTACAGGGTAACCTCCAGATCCTGCCGTCAGCCAGGGTCTCCCTGCCACCAGGCCTTACAGGGTAACCTCCAGATCCTGCCGTCAGCCAGGGTCTCCCTGCCACCAGGCCTTACAGGGTAACCTCCAGATCCTGCTCCAGGAAGCCCCCAGCCTCCAGACGGTGCCGGCTCCCATTCTGGCACATGCCAGATGTAGCAGGAGCCGCTTGCCCAGAGGAGCCTGGCCCCTTGCTCACCCAGGGCTGGCTTCACACTCATCATGTCTGTTCTCATGTCATGACATACGGGACTGTCCTCTGTGCGGACAGGACTCAGACCCGAGCCATTGGCTGTGGCCACGAGGTGCGCAGGCCGCTCCGTGTGGGGGCCCCTTCTGACTTGCCCAGCAGGGACCGGGCGTCCTTTACACAGCAGAGTGAGGCAGGGCTCAGCCCTTGCAGGCATTGTCCTTGCCACTGACCCCTGGGTCCTCATGGCAGGCCCAGAGAGGCGGATGACTTGGCCAGGGTCACACAGCCAGCAGCAGAGCAGCTGGGAGCTGAAGGGACAGGCCTCAGGCCTGGAGCACTCTCAGAGACCCTGCTGCCTCTGTGGAGGCGGGGGCTGCCTCCTGAGGTCACAGGACCCTCCCACCGGCCTGAGCTGGTGGTGTCTCATGCCCCTCCCGGAGTTCCCGCACTACAGCCGCCTGGGGACTCCTAACGCAGAGGCTGGCAGGCCCTCTGTCCCCAGCACGAGGTTGGTACCTGTACTTCCGGCTGGCTCTTCCTGCTGTGCCCAGGGACTGCCTGCACCGGGGAGGAGGGTCCTGCCCAATTTGGGCCAAGGTCTCCAGGGTGGGCGAGGTCCCAGCCTGCAAACTCCACATCACACCACCAAAAAGAGTCATGCCAGCTGGGGGGCCCGGGTGCCCCTTCCTCCTCTGCCCCCACCACTGAGGTACCTCCTGTCCCATGACCCCGGGAGGAGGGCCCCTTTCCCTCTTCTGGGATCCACTGCCAGGGGGCAAAGGCCTGGGAGTCCTTGGGGCCAGGATTCACAGGTGAGGTTTGTTGAGTGAATAAATGATGCTGGGCGTCTGAGCACTTTCCTGAACTGCCTCCCTTGTGCTCACGGTGGCTCAGAGGTGATCTGTGATTGTCGCCCTGAATTTATGGGTGAGGAATCCAGGCACAGAGAGGTGGGGAACCCGCTCAAGGCCTCAGCCAGTGTAGGCGAGGTCCTCCTGGGAGGGCTGGCTCCTAGCCCTGCACATCTCCTGCCCTGCACATCTCCTGCCCTGCACATCTCCTGCCCTGCACTGGGCTTAGCCATGTCCCACATGGCCCAGACACCCACTGGGGCCAGGCTGCAGGGTTGGGGGTAGGAACAGCAACAGCCAGGCCCCACATGAAGCCCAGTCCCACATGTCAGACCCCCCTACCCATGGCCAGAGTCCTCCAGGAGGTGATGGAGGAGGAGGGGGCTCAGAGTGGGGACCTCAGCCCAGATGGAGCATCATAAAGGCCTCCTGGAGGAGGTGGCCTTTACGGAGTCCTGGATGGTGGGGAGGAGTGTTGAGAACACAGCTGTGCCCAGGGGCTTTGTCAAGGGAAGGAGCTGGTCTGATTTATCAAGGGAAGGAGTGAGGCCTGCTGGCTCAGCGGCTGCCATGAGGAACATCAGGTGACACGCCCGCCTGCTGGCTCAGAGCTGTGGCTGGAAGCCCTGCCCGGCGGGCCCCAGGAGTCGGCTCTCGGGAGGCAGTAGGCAGGCCCGGTTACTGTCCTGAGAGGGAGAGGAAGGCCGGGCGGGTGGGGGCGGAGGGGGCCTCAGGACCATCAAGACCAGAGCATCTGTGGCCAGCCTCGGTGCAGGCTGCTGCCTGTACATACCTGGGGAGTCGGGGGCCCCTCAGCTGGGTCGCCGCACAACTTCCTGAGGAATGAGAATTTCTTGGCTGCAAAGAAAATGGAAAGCATGTCAGGGCCGATGTGGTGCATGGCTCTGGACCAAGAGCCCGAGGAGAAGCCAGGTGGGAGGGAGCGGCTCCTGGGCAGAGCCGGCTGTGGCCTCAGGGCACCGGGAAGCCACCAAGAGCCACCGGGAGATGGGTGAGCTCCCCTCAGAGGCCAGCGGGCAGCTCAGCTGGCCCGGGGGACCCTGAAGGGTTTAGGGGTCACCTGGCTGCCTCAGCTGCAGCTTTGACGGCTATCTTAAATCTCTTTTTGTTGGGTCTTTATGTACGCATAGATTGTGTGTACATGCAGCTCCGAAGCTCCAGATTATTACGAGTTGCAGTGAGAACGCTGCCCCTCCCATCCCTGCCAGGATCCCTCCCCAGTCCCGCTGGGGAGACTAGAGGAGCTTCTGGTGTTTCCTCCCAGAGTCCCTGGATGCAAACACCAGCACACAGGAACACACACTGCCTTTCCTCCTTCCTTCAACAGAAGATCGTCGGCTACGCTCACTGTTCTGCACCTGACCTTTTTTTCATGTAACAACATATCCTGTAGATAATCCCACAACATTCCGTGAAGAGGTTTCTCACTCTCTGTCCACTCGTCCTCGCATCCAGGCTGCAGAGCACCCAGACCTGTCTGGATGGACACTGGGCTGCTGCCTGCATTCGGCCCTTAGAAACAATACAGCAATGGTCACCACATGGCGACAGCCTGTGCTCCAAACGCTGTGGGCCTAGCTGCGTCAAAGGGCACCTGCGTTTGACTTTGGAAGGAGATTGTCCAATTGTCAGTCTCCGTGATGGTTTTAAAATATGGCCACACATTCTTTAACACTCCTCCCTTCAAGAGGTGGAGCCTCATTCTCTCCACTTGAACACAGCTGAGCTTACCGCCTCACTGCTAATGAACAGAATATGCTGGAAGGAGGGGTGCTGGACTTCAAGATTGGGCCCTAAAAGGCACTGCAGCTTCCTCCTTGCACACTTAGATCACACATGTGGGGAAGCAGCTGCCATGCTTTCCGGGCACTCAAGCAGCCCCGTGGAGAGGCCATGAGGTGAGGAACAGAGGCCTCCTGCCTGTAGCTGTGTGAGGGAGCCATCTTGGAAGTGGCTTCCCCAGACTCCGTTGGGCCTTTGGATGATGCTGCAGCCCCTGCTGACATTCTGACCGCAACCTTGTGAGGGAATTTGAGCCAGAACCACCCGCTAGGCTGTGCCTGCATCCTGACCTTTGGAAACTAAGAGATAATAAAGGTTTGTTGTTTCAGTCTGTTCTTTATGATACAGCAATAGACAACCGTAACTCATGCCCCTCCTAGCAATGTAGAGAACCCAGAGGCCCTAATGTGAGTCACTGTGTCACAGGAGGAAGCATGTCCTTACCCAGAGATGTATAGACTGAGGCCCAGGGAGGGTGAAGAACTGCAGGAAGCCACTGGGACTTAGCAGTAAAGCCTTTGCCACACTGTCCCATCCATCTGTTCATGTATCCATCCATCCACCCACCTATCCATCCATCCATCTACCCACCCACCCATCCATCCATCTATCCATCCATCCATCCATCCACCCACCTATCCATCCATCCATCTACCCACCCATCCATCCATCCACCCACCCATCCATCACCCACCCATCCATCCACCAACCCACCCATCCATCCATCTATCCATCCATCCATCCATCCATCCACCCATCCATCCATCATCATCATCATCCATCTATCTACCCATCCATCATCTACCCATCCATCCACCCACCTACCCATCCATCCAGATACCCACCCACTCACCCATTGATCCATCTATCCATCCATCCATCCATCCATTAATCCATCCATCCACTCATCCATCATCATCCATCCACCCATCCATCACCCATCCACCCATCCGTCCGTCTGTCCGTCCATCCATCCATCCATCCATTCACTCATCCATCATCATCATCCATCCATCCATCCACCCATCCATCACCCACCCACCCATCTGCCCATCTGTCCATCCACCCATCCATCCATCCAACCATCCATCCATCCATCCATCCATCCATCCATTCACTCATCCATCATCATTATCCATCCATCCATCCACCCACTCATGTATCACCCACCCACCCATCTGTCCATCTACCCACCCATCCATCCACCCACTCATCCATCACTCACCCACCCATCCATCTACCCACCCACTCATCCACCCTTCCACCCAATCATCCACCCACTCACACATTCATCCATCCACCCGCCCATCCCCCCATCCACCTGCCCATCCATGCATTCATCCACCCATCATCCACCCATCACTCACCCATCTATCCACCCACCCATCCATCCATCACCCATCCACCCATCCATCCACCCACCCACCCATCCACCCTTTTACCATTTGTCCACCCATCTATCCACCCACCCATTCACCCATTCATTCATCCACCCATTCATCCCCCCATCCACCTGCCCATTCACCCATCCATCCATCACTCACCCATCTATCCACCCACTCATCCATCCATCCATCCATTACCCACCTATCCATCCACCCATCCATCCATGCTTCTACCATTCATCCACCCATCTATCCACCCACTCACCCATGCATCCATCCACGTGCCCGTCCCCCCATCCTCCTGCCCATCCACCTGCCCATCCACCCACCCGTTCACCCATCACTCACCCATCTATCCACCCACTCATCCATCCATCCATCCATCCACCCAGTCAGCCACCCGTCCACCCTTCTACCCATTCATCCACCCACCCATCTATCCACCCACTCACCCATTCATCTACCCACCTGCCCATCCCCTCTAATCTACCCACTCATCCACCCACCCACCCATCCATCCACAAGTCTTTACATTTGTGTTGGATGCTGTGTCAGGCACTGGGCACACAGTGATGTGACAGATTCGCAGCCTTAGGCTGACCAGAAAGTCAGTGAATCAAGAAATTGCTGCAAGTGAGGAAGTTGCAGCCCAGAGAGGTGGTGTGACGGGTCCAAGGTCACACAATTGACACAGCCAAGCTGAGATTTGAAGGCAGGACTGTCTATAACTGTGCTTCTTCCGCGCTGAACAAAGGGTGGCCCCACCCCACTGCCTCCACACCCTGTCCCTCTGTCCTTCGCATCTCCTGGGGTGGCCCTGCCTCTGCCTGCCCAGCTTGCGGGCAGAACTTGGCCATCCCATCCCCTTTCCTCTGCCCCAGGACAGCAGGGACATTTGCCTGCAGCACCCCAGGGCACTCGAGGGCCAGCTGCCAGCTGTCCCTCCAGGGGCTCGGGGACGCGTCCCAGTCCTTGGAGCTGGGGTGGGCATGGGGCGGCATGTGCTCCAGGCCTTGGGTTCTGGCCCCGCCAAGGCTCTTGGCAGAGCCCCTTGGTGCCAGCCTGTCGGTGTGGGTTTCAGTAGGCCGGACCCCTTTGAAGTCGGGAGATCCTATCCCCCAGATCTAGGGCTGGCCCCAGGGAGACCCCGGAGGAGCACGAGCGGCTCCTTTTCTCTCAGAAATAGGAACTGGCCCCTCTTTAGCCGGCCAAGCGCTCTGGTAACTCAAGAGCAGGTTGGGGTGGCTCTGGCTGGGGGTGTGGGGGAATGCCAGTGCCTGAAAGGAGGGGTGCCCCCACCTGGGCTCCTGCCCCCACGCTTCTGCCCCACCCCTGGCCGCTGCTCCCAACCCTCTTCGCCTCACCTCCTCTTTCAACCTGCTCAGTTTCAGCTATGGCCTGTGCACCCTCGAGAGCCAGGTTCTCCCCAATCTGCCCCTGGTCCCACCCCTGGCCCTTCCTTCCCAGCCCCTCCTGGGGCCTCTGCTGGAGAAGATCCCTCGGATTGGGTTGCCCCTCCCGTTTCCCTTCCTCCCGACCCCCACTCACTCCTGGCCAACCACACAGGGGGCTTTGGGGCCAGCCCCACCTGGGCTTGACTCTCAGATCCCGCACTCCTTGACTGTGGGATCCAAGCCCCGTCCCAGCCTCTCTGAGCCCGTTTTCCCACCTGTGAAATGGGGATGATCAGAGTCTTGACCTCACAGGGTGTGGTCAGAGGGTTAAACAGAACAACGCAAGCCACCTCATGGAGCACACAAACCAGCACGCAGTGAGTGCCTAGCAGACGTTTGCTCAGAAGCATGGCATCCCTCTTCCAGGAAGCCCTCCTGGATTGCGTGTGGTGTGAACTCCTCGGGCGTGTCTCCATGATCCTGCAATTCTCAAAGGGCGCCTGTCGTTCCACATCCTGGTGGCCATCCCCTGGGGACCAGGCCTGGGAGCCCTGCACACTCGGCTGCACTGCCCAACTGGAGTGCCACTGTCCAATTGGGCCTCCTGGCCTCAGTTTCACCAACTGTAAATGGAGGTTGGATCTGATGGGTCCTTGGGCCTGTCTGTGACACCCTGATATCAACGCTCACGCAGTCCCACTTGCAGCCAGGCATCCTAAGCAACCTGCTCCTCCTCCTTGTGAACGGTCCCAGCCCTTTCAGCTGCATCCATCCCTGGTGTGGGGTAGGCTTCATTCTCCTGGTTGTTTCTGCTGTCGTCAGGGCTGGCCCGTGCCTTCCCAAACAGCAGGGACTGGCTCTCCCTTTCTCCTCAGCCCCTCTGTGGGGAGAGCGGAAAGCGTGGGGTTCCAGGCGAGGGGGAGCTGCGGGAGAACTGCCCTTTCTTCCCTCGTCCCGGTGTGGGAGTGGGGCCTGGTGCATGTGCCCTGTCTTCCCCACACATGGAACCTGCGTGTGGCCCCGCTTTCCAGACATGGCACTGGGGAAGGACAGCATGGCTGAGAGCTGAACCTGCAGTTGGGATCTGGCCCCCACCTGCAGCCAGGGTCTGCTACTGTGTGCTGTGTGGCCTCAGGCCGGCCTCCACCCCTCTCTGTGCCTTCCTCCCTTTGGCAGAGGAGGGCATTGCGTGAGCCCCACAGGCCCCCGAGTCCTGCCTGGCTCAATCCCAGCTCCAAGGCCCTGGCCTGAGAGAGAAGAGTGGGGACATGGGGCCTTCTGGGTGACCTGAGCGGCTGCTCTGATGATGTGACTCTTCAGCCGAGGCTTGGCCTTGGGTGAGGGTCTCTCAGGCATGGCGTTGGGGGCATTCCTGGCTGTTGGAGGAACGTTGAGGAGGGGTGGAGTGCTATTGAGGGGGCAGACGGCGCTTCAAGGGGTGGGACCAGCATGGGCTTCAGGGGCAGGGAGTGGGAGGCTGCCGGGGGTTAGGGAGGCTGTCCACACCCAATCCCAGGGCCCCACCTGTCCCACCCTGGACACCACACAAGGGCCAAGAAATATGTGCCATGGGGTGGGACCGGGCTGGGAAGAGCAGCTGGGCTTCCAGGCCGAATGGGGGAAACTGAGGCTCACAGAACCTGCCCAAGGTCACATGGCAAGTCTGGGGAGCAGAGCCGGGGTCAGGATGTTGGCCTCCCGTGCTGAGCTCTCCCGGTCTGTTTGGGAGGCACCGGCCCGTCCTCGGACCAGCTCGGTCCAGTCTGTCGGTTCCCTCCGGCCTCTGGCTGCCCACCAGGGCTGATCCTGTCCGAGCTGTGTCACCCTGGGCACCGTCCCCTGCTGTCTGACCCCCCTTCCGTGGCTTGGCACGGCCCCTGAAGCCAGCTAGCCTCTCCCCGATGGGTGTGGAGCACAAAGCCAGATGCCATGTGTGCCAGCACCGCTGGGCAGCAGCCTCCGGTCCCAGGTCACCCGAGACAGCAAGGCTGGGAAAAGGGAGGAGTTCGGCTGTGCCCCGGCCTTCATCCTGAGCATCGTGTCTGCCCATCACACCCATCCGGCCCCATTCACAACTTGGGCAGGCGGCCAGGCTCACCCCAAACCCTGGTGGAGCCGAGCAGCCCAGGAGAAAAGCACAGGGGCCTCCCGTCTGTAGTCCTCGCCGTACGGGGCTGCAGCGCTGCTGCCTCCTGACATTTATTTCACAAACATTCTCCTTTCCTTTTGCTTCAAACGCTGCCGCTTTGCTTAAAAACTATCTGTTACCTGAGTGCTCAGATAAACCTTTGCAGGTAAAATTATATCTGAGATATGGCCCGGAGGGTAAGTTTAAGAATACGGCGCAAATTATCAGCTGCATTTATCTTAATTACTTTGGGGGAAAGTGGAGGCCGGCATTGGAGGGGCTGGGGAATGGTGTTCGTCCTGTCTTATCGGGGTGCCTATTCGAGATCCTTTAACAGGAGGGAGATAAGGGGGCACATGGGGAAAGAAAATGATGTCTTCGAAAATGACAGGGAGGTGGCCGGGGGGGCGGTGGGGATTTGTGCTTAAAGACGGAGCCCTGCCACCCACTGAAATTGCTGAGAGCTGGCACATGGCAAGAGGCAGGCAAGAACGGCAGCCCCCCTCTCCTCTGCCCCTCTGTGCCACAAAGGCCAATATTCAGGGGGTCATTACCCAGAAGGACACCAGGACCTCATCAGTGGCCAGGCCCCAACCCAGCTCTGCTCAGTCTCCTAGACAACCCTCCACGGCCTCACCGAGATGGGCCTTCAGCTTTAGCTCCAATGCCACCTCCTCCAGGAAGCCCTCCCTGACCACAGAGCTGTTGCTGTTGGTCCCGGCTCTGTAGATGGTGTCCATTTGCTGCTGTACTGTCCCCTGTCCTCACTGCCGGCATCACACCGGTTGGGGCCGCAGGTCTTCTGCTTGCCCCCATCCTGGGCCTGGCAGGGAGTTGGTGCTCAGGAGCCCGGGTAGAGTCCAGCTGGGGCAGCTGTTATTCCTGGGGTCTCCAGGAGCTGCTCCTTGAACCTGGGGCTCTAGGTTAGGGTGAGGGACCAATTCGGGTGGGCTGCAGGGTGGGGACAGGCCTTCCCTGTGAGCACACACGTGGACACACTCATGCACACATATACAGGTGTGTGCAGTTATGCATGCTCATCCATGCACACGCGTGAGCACATGCTCATACGTGCATACATCCACACATGCCCATGCACACGTGGGCTCACGCACACTCCCCTGCCAGGCCATGGGGGGCTTTGGGGCCTCATTTCTATAGGAGACTCTGAGAGCTCCCCGGCACTGGGAGGTGGAGGTGCAACTGTAGCATGCTGTCCAGAAATGACTTTGGAGACACAGCCTACCCTCTAAATGTCAATGCTGTACCGGAGCCCAGCAAACGCCAGCTGCCTCCATCAGCACATTTGTCTGAGGGTCCTTCTCCCCTGCCCAAAGGGTGTAGGAAGAGGGACCATGTGCGGGGAGCGAGAAACGTTTGGGGGCCGCCCCGCCAGGCATCTGGCTTGCGGGGACTGGATTGGGATTCATTGGCCCCAGGAACCTTCTAGCAGAGCCAAGGTGAATACAGCCAGGCGGGTATCCCAAGGCTGAGACGGCTCGTCCAGGGTGTGGAGGTGGCAGGTGGTTAGAATGGGCAACGGTGCCCACAGCCCCAGAACCCACTTTAAAATCCAAAGACGGGGGTGCCTTTCTCTCATTGGCCGGTCGAGCAGCCCTGCCTTGGATTTCTAGAATGAGGATCGTTGAGGGTGACTCGGTCAGTGTGCCCACTTCACAGATGGGAACAGTGGCTCAGAAAGGGTGTGGGCCTGCCCCAGGCCACACAGTGGCGGAGCCTGGGCTCTTTCGCCCCTGGCTTTGAGCTCCCTTGCAGCGACGCTCTGGGCAGGGTGGGTGGGGGCCTTGCTCTCGGCCTCCTGGGGGAGGCCCAGCAGACAAACAGTCCTCCATGTGCCAAGCAGCAGCTCTGGAAAAGGGCAGGCGGTGCCCAAGTCTGCCTTTCTCTTGGAGCTGTCAGCCCTCACCCTGTCACAGCGAGAAGGAAGCCGAGTACCACGGAGACTCCACGGGACCCCAGGAGGACGCCCTGAGTGTGTGGGTGGCTGACCTTGACCTGACAGTCCCAGGCCCTGGGGTAGACGCCGACCGCAGGACAGGCCCCTGCTCAGGCTCTGGTCCCCCAAGAGGAGCCCTGGGTACCCCTCCCGGGGAGCGAGCGTGCCACTTCCTGCAGGACCCTTCTGCAGGCTGGGTCCCGTGGAGGGAGCCCTGGAAGGGCGAAGGGTGCGTGGTCCTGCGGGGTTTTGATTTTGTGGGCAAGGTTGTTACCATCCCTCCCCTAAAACAACCAATCACCACGTGACTGCTTGTTGATGCTAGAAACCCTAGTTATTTTCCATTACTCTTTCCCAATGAAGCCCTGCGTGCAATTTCTCACGGTAATGGTGGTGGCGTCTGAAGTGGCTTCTTTCAGTGGTCTTTTCTGGGGCCTACCCAGACTCTCTGGGTCAGAAGCTTCCGGCTAGGCCCAGAGCTTGCCTTGGAGATCCTGCCGAAGTCACACACCACTAAGATCACAACGTGTGACAGTGTGAAGCTGGTCTGGGTGGGAGGTAGGACGGGAGGCCTGGGTGTCGTCTGTCTTCCAGCGTGGGGAAGCCCCAGCAGGCCCATCTCACAGATGAGGACGCCCGGGCAGCAATAGCGTAAGTGAACTTCGAGCAGCCACCTGGATTCCCCTGTGCCGTCAAGTGGCCTCCTGAGAAGGTCACGGCCTCTGGTTTTTGGGAACGGAGCCCATCCCACCTCGAGTGAGGTCTCTGCATGAGAAACCGGGACCGATGAGGCCTACATGGGGGTCACCTGGTCCTCCCACTGCCCCAGCCGAGGTTTAATGAGCTGTCTCCTGAGTGACATGATTAATGGGTTTCTGCGACGCCTGGTGGCTGCGTTAATTACTCTCCCGCTGCTGTGGGGTTCGGAATCATATCAGCCTCCTTTTTCAATTAAAAGTGATTATAATTTTGCCTCCTAAGGACGAGAGGATTAGTGAAGTGCCCGGGGTGGGAGCTGGGTGGGGATGGGGTGTCCGCACTCTGGCTCTGCAGCGCTGGGAAGCGAGTCGTCCTGGGAGGGGCCGGGCTGCGTGCCTGCCGCCCCAGCTTGAGGAAGGACACTATGAGCACCGACTGTGTGCCGGGTGTGGCCTTCCAGGCAATCGGTCCAATGATCATGCGGGGCTTGGGAGCTACACGCCTGGAAGAAGCCGTCGGTCCCGGTTTGCAGATGAGGAAATGGGCCTCCAGTGTCAGTGCTGGGTTCCAGGGCACATGGCTGAGATGTGGGGCTGGGACGTGCACCCAGCTCTGGTCACTTCCGGGCGCTCTCCCTGCTCCTGAGCAGGCTGGGTCCGTGTCCTCCTGCCCCTGGAAGACATCCTGTCTGGGTGGCCACCTGGAGTGCCAGCTGTGATTTTCCAGACACTTTGCAGAGGGGGCCTGAGTGACAGGCATTCCCACTGCACTGCCATTCCCAGGCTGGGGGCTCAGTCTCAGTGTGTTCAGCTGTAAAATGGGCACAGCACTGCCCCCCGCAGCACAGGCCCCTGGGTTCCCAGGACACAGAGCCTTCTTCCCTCCTTCAGCCAGGGGTGGAGTCTGGCTGAGGTTTGAGGAGGGGCTTGGGGGAAGGGCCCTGGCTCCTGAGGTTGTGGGGCAGGGTGGTGAGCCTTGGGCAGTTCGAGGCCCTGGGCGGCAGGCTGTGGTGGAGGCTCCCGGCCCCTCTCCAGGACCTCGCTCAGCTGTGACCGGCACTGGCCTGACAGATCCTGAGATCCCGGAGGGTCCCTGATGTTCCGGGTGGTCACCGGGCCAGCACTGCCTCATGAATCCTCTCAAGGCCCCACAAGGTGGTTCTGTTCCTCCCCATTGCTCAGACGAGAAACCGAGGCTCAGAGAGGGGAAGGGACTTTTCCAAGGCCACACAGTGGGAAGTGGCACCCGGGACCGGAGTCTCTGCGAGGCCGAGGCAGTGCCCTTCCCTGTTGCAGGTGCCTCCTCGAGGCTACCTGGGCCCTGGCGCGGCTGACCCTGCTGTTCCCACTCGCTGTGTGGCCTCAGCTGGTCTCTGGGCAGCTGGAAACTGGAGGCCTGGCCGTGCTCCCCTCTGCCCCGCCCTAACTGGCTGACCCATGGCCCTGGGAAGGCAGGGCCGGGTGGCAGTGGACGTCTGGGCGGGGCTGTCCTGCGTGGACCTCTGGCCACAGTGGCCTGGTGAGGGGTGGCCCTGTGCCGCCCGGGCACTGAAGAGCCCTGTTCCCTGGGGCAGGGGAAGTTACCCCCCACTGGGACGTCCTTCTGGGTTCGGCCTGTTCTCGAGAGCAGGAGGCCACAGCCAGGACAGAGGAGGCCTCTACGGTGCCAACCTGAGGCCACAGGGCCTGCCTCTCCCTCGGACCCTCCTGCCGTGGGGCCCGCTCCCAGCCATAGCTTGCTCCCAATCCAGGGCAGCTCTGCCGGGCCTGGGGGCCTCTGCCCTCACGGCTCTCTCCCGGGAGGCTGCCACCTTTCAAATCCCGGCGCCACAGCATCCCTGGGCCTCCAACAACTCGAGTCTGCGGTCCCCAGGGCTCTTTGGGGTGGAGGTAACGAGACTGTGGCCTCCTCCAGGTGCCCCCGAGGCCAGATGCCTCCACCCCACACCAAAGTTTGTTCCCGTTTCCCGATGCCCAGCAGGTGTTTGTGTTGGAGACTGAAGCCCGGGCGTGATGGGATCCGTGGCCGTGATCTGTGGCCGTGTCCGACCTGGAGGCCCGTGGCCTGCAGGGAGCAGCCTGAATCCAGGTGGGGGCTTTGGGCTCCCAAGGTTGGACTCTACCCTGTCTTCCTGGGGACTCGGGATCTAGGCCCTGAGGGTGACAGGGTGTGGACCCACTGCAGGCAGCCAGCCCTGAGGGCCTGCAGCCTCCAGCTGTCCTTCAGGGAGTCCCAGACCCGAGGGTGTAGGGAAAGCTCGGATGCTGAGGGTCCCAGACGGCTCCACCGCATGGTCTTGGGGTTGTCACTGGCCAGGTGGCAGCAGGGCCCTTCTCCTCACCCCTCTTGGTGGAGGCTCAGGGTCACTGTCTCTAAGTGCCACCATAGCGCCTGCTTCCATGGCACCTGCCTCCATGGCACCTGCCACCACACTCACACAGCCCTGGGGGCTGGCCCGGTCGCTCTCCCCACTGCTGCGGAGGCTGCAGAGGCCTCTGTGGCACTGCCCAGGCCCTGAGGCGCGGAGCCCAGGAGCTGGGATGTCCCTGGGTCCTGCACCCTCCGGACCACAGCTGCAGTCAGCACTGCCACAGTCACCCCATTTCAGAGCTGAGAAAACCGAGTTCAACGCCCAGCTAGAGGCAATGGCGGGACTGACTGAACCTTGCTATAACGCTGCCCCCAGCTCTGCAGGACACCCTCCGAGGCTCACTCTGGACGGAATCACTTCTCCAGAGGCCTGGGTTCACAGGCAGGCAGGACGGCGGGGCCCAGTGGGGCTGAGCAGGGCTGCCACAGAGCCCAGGGCTCCCTGCTTTCAGAAAAACACAGAAAACACATCTGTGCTGGGAAAGCCACGGTGCGCCGGGCCTCGGCCTGCTGGGCCTCTCCTTTGCTGTCTCCTCACTCCTGCGTTCCTCCTGCCACCTCCAGGGCCCACAGGTGGGTGTTTTGAGGGTGAAGGGAAGAGAGAGGCTGAGGGGAGAGACAGAGCGGGTCTGTCCTGGAGTGTCACTGCCCAGGCCGCCAGCCTCAGCACCCAGCCATTTCCTGCTGCTCTGCCTTCTTGGTCCCGGCCTCTCGTGCACACGGGATGGCAGCTGTTTGTCCCATTTATCACGTGCGTGCGGGGACCCAGATTTTAATTAGCTTTACGCACGACTATGGCCCCCGTGCCTTGGATAAGGCAGAGATAATGGCCCAGATTTGTTCAAGGAAGGAGCAATGGGGATGCCACACCGCTAGTGCCTGGTCTGGTGTCGCCGTGGTGCGCCCTGGGTCTCTCGGTGACCCTCCCACTCAGGTGGGGGTCGCAGGGCTCCCATGCCCACAGTTGGATAAGCGGCCACTGCTGCCCGGGCCCCGGCTGTGGCTGTGGCTGCCAGGACACGGAGCACAGTGGCAGACTTTCTGATTTTTGAGAAATCCAGGTTTTAAAGTGAAATCTCCCCATTTAAAAACTTTGGCAAGAATTCATGTAAAACAAGTAACTACTATGTGGGCCGAAGCCGTCGGCATGGTTTATGGTGTGTGAGCGTTCTCTCTGGGCTGCACATTTTCCAAGCTGTCCCCGCCCTGACGAGGTCCCCCGTTCACCCACTCGCTCTTTCGGGTATATTGACCGAGTGTGGGGACATCGCTGTGGGTGAGACAGACTGCCCTCCCTGTCCCCCATGCTGCATGCTGCTATCCCAGGGCCCAGTCTGGGGCAACTCTAGGACAGAACAAAGGTCCCTGGCTCTATGGCTGGGTCTGGGCTGCTGTGCCCAGGAAAGGTCAAGGGTTTCTGGAACCGCCATTGGAGCAGGAAAAGCCTTCACTGGCAAAGACCTCATGAACTCCGATGCAGCAGGGTTCAGAGAGGTTAAGCGAGGTGCCTGCAGTCACACAGCAGGGCTCAGAGAGGTTAAGCGAGGTGCCTGCGGTCACACAGTAGGGCTCAGAGAGGTTAAGCGAGGTGCCTGCAGTCACACAGCAGGCTGTGGAGAGGGCACTGGGAAGGTGGGCACTGGGTGGCTGTGTCTGAGGCTGCGCAGAGGCCTGCATGGCCAAGTGGGACTGGCAGACGTGTTACTTCGGGCCTGGGACTGGAGAGGGGATGGCAGAGCAGGGTGGGCCTGGGACGGTGGGCCTGGGACAGGGGGCGTGGTGGGCTCCTGATGGAGGGTGGGGCTCTATGCTGGCCCCTGCCTCCCCAACTGCCTCTCCGGACCCCCCGCCCCCTGCACCTCCCTAGCCTGAGGCTGACTCGGCTCTGGCAGGAGACAGAGGCGAGACCAACAGGGTCTTGGGACCCCAGGTTCGCCAGCTGGACCTGGCCTTGCTGTGCGACACCACGCCAGGGCTCCATGAACATCAGGGTTTCGTCTCTTCTGGGAAGGCAGGGCAGGCTGGTGGGGGCCCTGTGAGGCCCCCAGAATGCTGAAGGGCAGAAGGGGACCCCAGGTGTGGGCCTGTTCAGCTGTGACAGAAAGGGAAACCAGGTGGGGGCCTCACACACTCCCTACAGATAAAGAAACCAAGCTCAGAGAGGGTGAGACACTCGCCATGGACACAGAGTGAGAGGCCCCAGGCCCTGCAGCACTTGGGCTGGCATCCACCCTGCGCCACCTCAGGCCACCGCCGTCTCCTGCCCAGAAGATTTTGACACCTGTCTCCAGCTTCCTGGGGCTCCCTACACCCCGTTCTCCCTGAGGCAGGCCAAGGGGTCCTTCCAAACACACCTGAGGCTGCAGCCATGCGGGAGAGCCATGCTCACACCCACCCCTGCCCGCTCGCACCCCTGCCTGCTTGCACCCCTGCCCGCTCGCACCCCTGCCTGCTTGCACCCCTGCCCACTCGCACCCCTGCCTGCTCACCTGCCTGCCTGAGCCCAAGCATACACACCTCCTGGCCTTGCCCCTGCTGCCCCACCACCCCTGCCCGCCACTCCCCCTGGACCACCCGCCGGGGCTGCGTTGGGCTCTGGAGGCCTCGGCCCAGATGCTGGCTCGCTGGGGTCTGAGCCACCCCCACGGAGCCACTCACCTGCGTCTCTGTGTCATTGTCTGTGTGGCACTTTCACCCTCTGAAGTTGTCATTGCTGAGGTTGGGTGGAGGGTGGGGAATTGTGAGGTGTGGGCTGAGGTGTGTCCCCCAAAAGCAAGTCCTAACCCCAGCACCTACGAATGTGACCTTACCTAGACATAGGGTCTTTGCAGATGCGATTAGCTAAGAGGAGTCGCCCTGGATTACAGGGGCTCTACATCCAAAGACAGGTGTCCTTCGGAGAGGGCCCCATGAAGAGAAGGGAGACGGACGCAGGAGGAGGCCACGTGAAGATGGAGGTAGAGGTGGAGTGAGGCGGCCACGAGCCAGGAATGCCTGGGACCTCCAGGGGCTGGAGGAGGAGGAGGTGGGAGGGACCTTCTCCAGGGGCCTGAGCAGGAGGTGGCCTTGCCCACACCTGTCGGGTCATCGCTTCACTGCAAACTTCACCATGACCTCCACCGTGAACTTTACCATGACCACGTGACCTGCACCATCAACAGCATCATAGACGTTACTGTGAACTGTGTGACCTGCACCATCAACGGCATCATAGACGTCACCGTGAACTGTGTGACCTGCACTGTGAACTTCTCCATGACCACGTGACTTGCACCATCAACAGCATCATAGACGTCACCGTGAACTGTGTGACCTGCACCGTGAACTTCTCCATGATCACGTGACCTGCACCATCAACAGCATCATAGACGTCACCGTGAACTGTGTGACCTGCACCGTGAACTTCTCCATGACCACGTGACCTGCACCATCAACGGCATCATAGACGTCACCGTGAACCGTGCATCATAGATGTCACTGTGTGACCTGCACCGTGAACTTCTCCATGACCACGTGACCTGCACCATCAACAGCATCATAGACGTCACCGTAAACTGTGTGACCTGCACCATCAACAGCATCATAGACGTTACTGTGAACCATGCACCATAGATGTCACTGTGTGACCTGCACTATCAACGGTATCATAGACGTCACCGTGAACTGTGTGACCTGCACCATCAACGGCATCATAGACGTCACCGTGAACTGTCTGACCTGCACCATCAATGGCATCATAGCCGTCACCGTGAACTGTGTGACCTGCACCGTGAACTTCTCCGTGAACAGTTGGGCTTCCCTGATCTGCTAAGTTACCTTCCTTCCCCCACCCCCACATCTGATCTATCAGTGGCTCTGCCTTCTAGAATCCAGCCTTTCCCAGTATCTGCTCTGAACCCCCTGACTCTCATCGTCCACTGGAACACTCGGCATCCCCTTCCTGGGCTCTGCTGCGCACCCTGCTTCACCATCTTCCAGCAGCCAGAGCTGGCCTGGAAGACCTGCACCAGGCCCGCCCCACCCAGAGCCCTGGAACGCCCCGCGCCCCCCCCCCCCCCCCCCGGCCAAGATGGCCACCACACCTGTCGCACTCAGGCCTCCGCTCACAGGCCACTGAGCGAGGACCTCTGATCACTCTGCCCAAGCTGCCTGGATGCCCTGCCCGCATGTGTGGGCCCCGGCCTGCTTTACCGAGCTTTGTTTGCATTTTCCTCACGCAGAGCTGCACACGTGTGAACACATGCATTTTTCGTCTCCATTCAAAAAGTGTCTGTGAGTGCACACGCTCATATAGCATATGTGCATGGGGTGCACACGGCCTATGAGGAGAAGGTCCTCCATCCTGAACACCCAGGACCCCTCCCCGGCTGGCCCCCTGCCCCTGGTGAGGGTCTCTTCCTCCCACACTCCCGGCTGCTGCCCTGAGCACGTGGGTGACCCGCCTGTGTCCTGGCTGCTGCCCCGAGGATGCAGGTGACTGGCCTGTGTCCTGGCTGCTGCCCTGAGGACTCGAGTGACCAGCCTCTGTCCTGGCTGCTGCCCTCCCGCTTTCACGTTTGTCTAGCCGTGCTCAGTCTCTGGTCATCCTCCAGTTCTCAAGTGTCTCCGAGGGAAGGATGGAGATCCCATCTCTACCTCCATTTCACAGATGGCTCCAAGAGACCTCGTCATCATCGCCTCTTTGCAGGTGGGGAAACTGAGTCACCGTGAGGTCAGGAACTGACCCTCCCTGAATGCTGACCTGAGCCCAGACACATCACATCACAGGTGGGCGAGCCCCCAACTCCAGGCCGCACTCCCGGGGTCTCTGGTCCCATGACCCTCCCTGCAGCAGAGGGGCCCCCAGAGAGAAGCTTCCTTGCAGGCCCAGCCCCAGCCCCAGCCCCATCTCCCCTGCAGCTAGGGAGGGCCCCCCTGCTGGGCTGACCTTCAGCCCACACAAGCCCCAGCTGCTGGCTTCAGAAGGTGGGGCTGGATAGGATACAGCAGAAAGCCCCTCCCTCCCCGCTTCCCTATGAGTGTTTTTCTTTCATCATTTGGAGAAAAAGTAGGGAAGAAATGAAGAAAGAGGGATATCTGCCAGGGGCTGGAAAAGGCACTGGGGCCATGTTTTCCTTCAATGGTGCATTGGGTGCCGGGCACAGGCGGCCCCTCTCTCGGGCCAGCTGGGGTCTGCAGGGACGGGGGCCAGGCGGGAGGGTCAGGGCTGGCCTGGGAAGCCCATGTGGCCCCGGCAGTAAGCCTGGAAGGGAGAGACGATTCCGGAAGGAAAGCGGGGAGACACCAATTCAGCCCTGAGCAGTCAGTGCTGGCAGGTCGTTGGCAGTCTGGGAGGGCATTCCTGAGCCTCGTGCTGACCCCGCTTCTGGTGAGGGTTCTACGGTGACAGCCCCTCCCTCTCATTCCTCAATCTTTTTCTCCTTCCAACTTTGTTTCTTGAAAACTTGCCCTCCCTTTGTTCCAGAAAGTACTAAGTGGGCTGGGCACGGTGGCTCACGCCTGAAATCCCAGCACTTTGGGAGGCCAAGGTGGGCGGATCACCTGAGGTCAGGAGTTCAAGACCAGCCTGGCCAACATGGCGAAACCCCGTCTCTACTAAAAATACAAAAATTAGCCGGGCGTGGTGGTGGGTGCCTGTAGTCCCCGTTACCGGGAGGCTGAGGCAGGAGAATTGCTCGAACCTGGGAGGCAGAGGTTGTAGTGAGCTGAGATCACGCCATTGCACTCCAGCCTGGGCAACAGAGTGAGACTCCTTTGCAAAAAAACACACACAAAAAACAAAAAAAAGTACTAAGGGGGCTTAGGGAAAATGAGGCCTATACGACAAGAGGTTGAGACACAAACCACAAACCAAAAAGCTTACAGGAAGTCTAAGCTCTGAGCTTCCTGGCCAGCAAGGCAAAAAGGGAACAACACACAGTAAGCTTGTCTCTTCCATGACCTGGGCAAGGGGAGTGAGTGCCCGTGTGTCAGATGCATGCACTCACGTGATGCAGCAGGCACACACGTGCAGGCATGGCCGGGTGTGTGCATGTGGTTTCTATGTCCTACCTGTGATACTGTCTTAATTTGCACAAACCTGTACTCAGAGACAGAGTGGGCACCAGCAGGGCTCCACAGGAGATGCCCATGCCCCCAACTCACAGAAGGCAGCGTCTGAGCACTGGCAGGGCCTGTGGTGTCACCACCCTGGGAGTAATTTAAACCTGGGCCCACAGGTGGGACTTGGGGGCTAGGAACCATCTAGAAATGCATGCCAGGCCTGGAACCCAGGCTCTGCCACATGCCAGCCATCTGGGCAAATGACTCTCCTATGCCCATGCCTCAGTTTCCCCTGCACAAAACGGGGACAAGGACACAGCCACACAGGGTTGAAATGAAGATGAACTCAGACGTCGGATGCACACGGCCTCGTTCGGTGTCCGACACCTGGTGATTTCTCACTAAAAATGATCAGGCAGGGTACTCAATTAGTGCGTCATCGGCCACGCTATAGATACAGAGAGTGACGCTGATGAGGGTCCGCCCCATCCCTGTCCAGGCTTGCTCCTTCCTTCGCGTAACACTGAGAAGAGGGTACCGTGAGCCCTGCCATGATGCCGGCTCCCAGCTCAGAGCTGCACGCAGGTGCTGGCGACGGTTCCGGACGGATCCCTGGAAGTGTGGACGCAGCTGAGACAATTCCCAGTGACGCAGGAGCTCCCACCCTGGGGGGCCCAGCCCAACCTCACCCCTTTGGGAGCTCTGAGCCGCAGCCGCCCACTCAGGGACAGCTGGCCACAGAGCGCCGGGCACACACCTCAGTCCTGGGGCCGCAGAGGGTGGAGAAAGAGCAAAGGCCCAGGTGCGGCGGTCACAGCAATCAGGGCAGGCTTCTCAGATAAGCACTGTCCCCAGTATCACAGGCGCGATCTCCTGGTCTCTTAAAACATGTTTATGCTGATTTTTAAGGCAGAAAGATTGTAGGAAATGAAAGAAAATGTCCACTGAGGGGGACCCACGAGGCACTGAGTGACCTGAGGGGTGCTGAACAGCCGCTAGGGGGAATCAGGAGACCTGGGGGCCGACGGGGGAAGCTGTGGCGCCAACCCTGTGTCATCCCCAACCAAGAAAGCAAAACACTAACAGTACTCGAGGCACAACCCCATCTTTGTAAAAAAGGCAAAGAAAAGCCACCTCTATGCCCAGGCGCACACACACAGAGAGGACTCTGTAGCCCTCGGAGGCAGGGGCCGCAGACATGCACACAGGGAGAGGACTCTGCGGCCCTCGGAGGCAGGGGCTGCAGGCGCGTGGGGTCAGCTGCCCCTCTCCTCTCCCTGTTGAACCCTCTGCGTCTAAGTCCCTCACCCTGGGCAGGGACAGCTTTTGTAATGAGAAGAACCAAAGCACGGGTCCTTCCGATAACCTGGAGATCCTCTGCTGAGCTGCAGGCGGCAGGCGCAGGCTACCTGGACCCTGGCCATGGGCAGCCCGCACGGCAGGGAGGAGGACAGGAAGGCCACAGCGGGCAGCGGGGGCTTCCCAGCGTGGGGGGCACTGCAGGGCACTTGGATAGGCAGGTAAACTGAGGCACACATACACAGGGCCATCCTGAGACACATTCCACACACACAGCTGCCCTGGAACACACACATGTGTACACGGATGAACACACACGTGCACACATACACGGCCACCCTGAGACACACCCACGTTTCTGCCCTCCCACCCCATTTCCCGTACTCAGCTCTGGGCCCCACGGAAGGGCGGTTTCCTGGGCAGTCCCACCTTTGGCGAGGCCGGGCAGGTCGTCGGGCCTGGCTGGACACGGTGGCTCGTGGTGGCGTGGTCGGCTCCGGGCTGCTCCCTCCCAGGCCCTGTGGAAAGTTGTCCCTGGCTCCCGCCACCTTCCAGCTTTCCCATCTCAGCTGGTTTTAATTAATTTCCTTCAAAGTCCCCAAAAGCAATTCAGCCACGTTAGCGCTCACCAGCTGCCAAGACGCTCTGATGTGTGTGTGTGTGTGTTTTGGGGGCGGGGGTCGGGAGGACGCAGGAACCGTCTTGTGTTGCTAACTGCAGAGGCTTTTCCGCTTCTGAGGCCAAGAGCTGCAGGGCTGGAGGCGTTTCTGGCCTGGGCCGTGGGGCGGGCTGGGCAGGGCTTGGCAGGGCGGGCTATGACCGGGACAGACGCTGTGGCCCCACCGAGGCGGCTTGGAGTGCCGGGAGCCTGCACACCCACGTGCACTTCCTGGGGGTACTCTGAGCACCCACAGGGTCCGTGGGGCCCAGCTGCACCCTCTGCTCTGCTCTCATGGGTGTTTGGTGAAATCTCATTGGTGTTCACTTCCCTGGGGACCTGTGTCCACTCACTCCCCAGCCCTTCCCACTGGAGTCCTCTCCAGCCCCCAAGGCCCTGATGCAAATGCCTCAGTTGCTGGGGGAGGACGCCAGGGAGGCAGGTGGGCCACAGGGCACGCTGGGGAAACTCATGGCCCATCCCAAGGGGTGGCAGCAGTCGGCCCCACCTGACTGTTGCCGGGAGGCACCACGGGCCCATGTGGCCACTCCCCTCTGGTTTCCAACAGAAGCTTGGATATTCTCGTGCACTTCTAATATTTTAAAAACAGTGGTGGCCAAACCACAGCGGTAGCCCAGGGGCTACCCGTGTGCCAGCCTCGTCCTGTATGAGGCCACACCCCAAGGCTCAGGGCTCAGATGCTCTTGCTCTGCTCTCCTCATCCTCCTTTCTAGCCCTGGCCCATCCTGTGGCTGCAAATGTCCCCTCTGTGTGGACATCTGTTCCTTGCCTGTCCACCACCAATCTCCCATTGTTGGCAACAGCACCTCAAGCATGCTGTGTGGAGCTACCCTCCCCTGCCCTGTGTTCATGTGGTTCCGGGAGGGCTGACCCCCTCCCCGCCCTGTTAGACTGGATCCTCATGCTGATGTTTGAATACCTGGATCCAGCTATGCCTGAAGTCCCCCTGCACAGCCTGGTTATGTGAGCCAATAGAGTCTCCTTTCTGCTAAGTCTGTTTGGAGTTGCGTTCTGTCCTCCTGAAGCTGAAAAGTGTCCTGACCAACATGACCCCAGGTGGGGATTCACGGGTGACCCAGTTGGGTGCCGATTTTGTCCTGGGTCTGCTGTGCGTCTGCACTGGCTGTCCTGAGGGCCTGACTCAGCCCTGTGGTCCCTAGCTACCTTTCTCCTCATAATGCCACTCACACTCACCCCTCTGGGTGGTCGGTGCCTCCTTCCTGCAGCATCCCTCTGTGCCTGCCCCCACCAGCACATGCACTCATTTGCATAGCAGCACGTCCGTGGGCAATCACCCTGCACTAGAGCCTTCCACCTTTCCAAGGCCTCCCAGTTCTTCCCCTGCCACCCAGGCACAGACGACATCCCCACTGTGGCTCAGCCATGACAGCTGCCCCTTCCTCTCCCCACCACGAAGGCCTAACAGAACATGGCCAAAGGGATATGTGGGTGGACAACCTCGAACCAACTCCAGTTTGAATCACACAGGTGAGCAACTCACTCGTGCTGGTGAATCACTAACAGCACACGCACCGCCGGCGCCGCCCAGGGCCAGTCTGCCGGGCCTCTCAAGGCCTGGCTGTGGCTCTTGCTGAAGTCCTTACAGGCGAAATGACCTGGTATCTAGAATCCGCTTGTAAAAGCACAGCAAGAATAAGCATGGGGGCAGAGACAGATGAAGCCAGGCTGCCCAGGGGCCAGCACCCATTGCAGCCAGGTGCCGGGGGTGTGGGGCTGTGACATGTCTCTCGCTGCTCTTGTATATGTTTAAAAAGGTCCACAATAAAAGCATAAACACAAGGGTCCCGCAAAACAACAATCACTGTTTTTCTAAAGGATCCCAGAATTGCAGGGGAGCTGACCAGTCGGGGGGCTTTGGGCCCCCTGGCGGCACAGAGGCTGTGTTTGCACTGTCAGTGTGAGGGCGGAGAGGCCTCTGGGGGGCCCTGCAGCACCGCCCGAAGCCACAGAGCTGAGCTGGTGGGAAGGGCGCTGCCCCTCCTTGCCCACCAGGAACCCCTGAATTTGCTTTTGAACCAGGCTGAGGAGTGTCCTGGGACTGAGGGGAGGGGGCACCTGAGCTGAGTGGGGGCGGGAGGCATCCAGACAGGCCCAGGGCTTGGCCTCTAGGGAGGATGGAGGATGCTTTGTGGGCACCAGGCTACTTCTGAGAGTAAAACAATTCAAGTTATAAGTTTGTAACAATTGCAGAATGGAAAGGGTCAATGATCAAGACAGAAACAAATGGTACAAACTGTGGGGGCCGAGGGCAGGAGGCCCTGCTCCCTGTCCCAGCAGCTGCTCTGCCACCCTCGCCCACCCCTGGTCCCACCCTCCCTGGCCTCTGCAGACGGTGGCCTCGATGGCAGCTCACAGGCCCGGCTGCAGACCCCGAGACCTGGAGCCCTCTGCCCTGTGTTTCAGCAGCTGCTCCCGAGATGGCGGTGTGAGCTCTGTGGTGCCTGGGAGAGCAGTGACCTGCCCAATCCCACCACTGTCCAAACAAGATCCTGTGTTTGCCCCCTTCAGCAAGTGCGAGACGGAACCCAGAGCCACCAAACCCACGCAGAGGATTTTAACATAACCATTAATAACACTATGTTACAAAAAATGAGAAGTCCAGGGTAAATGCTCACCCAGAGCAGGTGTGAGACAGCAGGGACTGTTCTGGGCAACCAGGATGCATGGCCACCCTGCGGAACACAGCCCTGGCAACGGACGGACAGAAGCATCCAGCACGGCCACTGGCCCCGAGCTCCCAACCGCACTCGGCCTCCACCCAAGGTTCTCTCCTGGACTCCCCGATCCCTCCCACACCTCTCCTTCTTAAGTTTCTGGGCCCCATAAAGTTAAAAGTGCCTGGATGCACCATGTCTCCCACGCGTCCACACTCTGGTATGCACGGCGGGTGTTGCCATTTGCTGCTTCATCTTCCCGGGCCGGGCTGGCCTTTTGATGGGGTGTTCCTGTTCCCGGCGTGGGGGTTCTCAGCTGAAAGAGTCAGCAGAGCCCAGGGAAAGCCTGGCTGGTGGAGTGACCCTGGGCCAACCGCTGCCCCAGCCTGGCCTGTCTCGGTTTCCGCACTGGTAAGATGAAGTGCATAAGGGAGTTCAGTGGGAGATGAACCCAGCTCATCAGAGGCCCTGGAACCGGAGGAATAATGTCCAGAGGCAGGCGGGGGCCGGGCCCCATTCTGTGCCCCCAGATCCTGGCAGGGCTGGCCTGGCATGAGAGAGGGCCCTGAGAAAGCAGGTGACGGTGGAGGCCCTGACCGTGGGGGCAGACCCAGGTCAACTGCAAAGGGGTCTGAGCTGCAACCAGCATCCTGGGAAAGTCTCTACTCACAGAGGGAAACTGAGGCCCCTGCAGGGACACACTGTCCCTCTCCACAGGGGCCTTCAAACACAACTTGGCCCAGGTAGCATCCTCTCCCCAAGCTGGTGCCCCCAGACTGTCTCCTCACCATCCTCCCTCCCACTGCACTCCCATGACTTCATGGTCCAGCCATGGTGCTACCCACAGCACTCAGCATCCTTAGCATAACTGGGGCCCAGTTCTTGATCCACCTGTTCACCTGGGTGAATCTGCTTCCTGCACTAGATGGGACACTCCTGAAGGAGAGGGTAGAGTAGGACAGGGTCACCACTGTGCTTCTGGTGCCTGGAAGACTGCAGTCACCATCCAGCATCTGCCACCCACTCATTCCCCCTTCCATCCATCCATTCGCCCACCCATCCATCCACCATCTCTCCATCCATCTACCCATGCATTCACCCATCCATCTACCCATCCACCCATGTATCCATCCATCCACCCACCCATCCATCTACCATCTATCCATCCATCCATCCATCCATGCACTCACCCATCCATCTACCCATCCACCCACATATCTATCCATCCACCCATCCATCTTCCCATCCACCCACGTATCTATCCATCCACCCATCCATCTTCCCATCCACCCACGTATCTATCCATCCATCCATCCATCCATCCCTCCATCCATCCACTCACCCACTCACCCATCTATCCATCTACCTATTCCTCCACCCTTGTATCCATCCATCCACCATCCATCCACCCAAGCATCCATCTACCATCCATCCATCCACTATCCATCCACCCATGCATCCATCCATCTACCCATCCATCCATCCAATCACCCATCCATCCACCCATCCACCCATCCATCTACCCATATATCCATCCATCCATCCATCCATCCATGCACTCACCCATCCATCTACCCATCCACCCATGTATCCATCCATCCATCCATCCATCCATCCACTCACCCAACTATCCATCCATCTACCTATTCATCCACCCATGTATCCATCCATCCACCCATGCATCCATCCATCCACCCATGCATCCATCCATCCATCCACTCACCCATCCACCCACCCCAGCATCCATCCATCCATCCATCCATCTGCCCACCCACCTATCCATCCATTCTTCCCTCTATCCATCTGTCCATCATCAGGACTAGAATCTGGGTCTTGGGCCTGCAAGTACTCTATTCTAGCCCTCGGCTTACTGCAGGGCTGAAGGTGCTGTGGCGTCCTGGAGTAAGCCACTGCCGTACTGTCCCCCACTGCCCAGCCTCAACCAGAGAGGCCCTGACATTGTTAGGCTGGACAGCACGGTGCCCGTGGCACTGTCTTCTACTGCTCTGCATACCCCAATGCTGGGAGAAGAGATAAGTTGCCCCTCTCTTGCATTTACTCTTGGTTGTCTCTGGGTCCCATGGGAGAGAGAAACTGTACCCAGTCTTCTGGGGTCTGAACGCACTTTTCTGCTTGAGACTACTGAGTGTCCAAGGGCCTTATGAGCCAGGGTCAGGGAGGGGCTGGGGTGGAGGGAGCCAGGCTTGGTGGGGGACAATGGCCTCTTCTTTTTCCTGCAGTGGATGCCCTTCCATCCCCCTCCGGTCTGCAGAAGCAACCCCTGGCCTGTTGTTCAGCGGGTTGTTTCTGGGCCCCTCCATCTCCTGCCCCCGCCACCCCCTGGCCCTCTGCTTGGTCCCTAGTGGTGGTAACCACTGTCTTGGGGTTACTGAAGATGCTCCCAGGTGACCCCGTGAACACGATCTGAAGAGATTCTGCCCATTTTATCCAGAGGTGAGGTGACCTGCCCAGAGATAGACTGTTTGCGGACCCACAGGCTGACCTTGGGTGCCATCCCAGCTTGCCCTCAGCCTCTGGAATGGGGCCTTGCACTGCCGACCACCCGCTGACCCATGACTGTGGGGACAGAGCTGGCTCTGGGTCCAGCTGTTGCTGCTGCTCTGTTTTCACAGCTGAGAGGAGGGACTGATGTGGAGCAGTTGGGTCCCTGGCCCCAGGAAGGCCTTTGGGCTCGCCTGGCTTAGAGGTTCCGGAAAGCAGGGACGAGCAAACTGCTTCCAAGACCCACAGCAGCTCTGGGACTGTGCTCCTTCCTGGTCTGGCCAGCTCCTGGGAGCAGCAGCAGGAGCTCTGACAGGTGTGAGCCGGCAGGGCCTCAGTCTCCCCATCTGGAAAATGGAGCCGTTGTCCTGGTAGGCCAATTTTGCAGCAGGGCTTCAAGCTGCCAGGCCTGGGCACATTTTGCTGGGCTTTCAGCAGGTGGGGCCACAGGACACTGAGGCTCCAAGGAGGGCAGAAAGGGTCCCGTGTGAGCTAGGGCAGAACCGGAGCTCGAACTCGGGCCTGCTGATCCAGATGCCAGCCTCCTTGCTGGGTGCCCGTCCTCACCTGCCATGAAGGCCATTGGCTCTGCGCCTCCCCAGTGATGGCATGATGGCATTTGCTGCTGATGAACGGCTGGCCCGGACACTGCCTCCCTTCACCCCACGTCCCTGCCACACTTCAGCCGGCCCTCACTCACCCTATGAGGCAGGCATGATGGTGGCTTCCATTTTCCCAATGAGGAGTCCAGGCCCAGGGAGGTGGAGTGACCCGCGTGGGATCCCAGAGCTCCTGGTGTCTGCCTCTCTAGGGATCTGCTTCTCCTGAGGTGGCCCCAGCCCTGGGTAGAGCCCTGCGGAGGAGCACCTGGCAGAGGGGCTGCCGTCCTGGCTGCTGTCCCAGGCTCCACGCCTCCTGTGCACTCCTGCGAGATTGGGCGTTGGGTGAGAAGGAAGGACTGGGAGCTCCATCCACAGCAGAGAGGGGTGCACAGCTGGTTCAGGCTGCAGGAGTGAGGCTGGGGGCAGCTCACATATGTGGGCCTCAGCTCATACCTGGCCACAGCAAGCGTGTTCTGCTATTGAAAATGTTTGGTTTTAGGTGATTTTGAGCAGCTGGGAGGCACCACAGATACTCATTTCTGGCTCTTGTGACAAGGTTGTCCCTGCTCCAGCCTGGCCCTCCCATGAAGGTGGCTCTGTCTGCCCCTGCCACCCACAGCCGGGCTTCTCACGCAGCCCCCTCCTGCCTGGCCCACGGGCATCTGCTTGTGTAACCTGTGGGCCCACAGGCCCAGTTTAAATTCCAACACTGTCATCTTGTAGCTGTGACTCTGGGCAAGTAATTGAATGTGGTCCCAGTCTCTGCATTGTGTCCCATCCAGACATGGAGTGTATCCTTGTCCCCAGAACCTGGCTGGCCCCGGACTTGCTTTGATCATTGGGATGCGGCAGATGTCATATGAGTCTGGAGACTTCGCCATCACATGAGGGAGCAGAGGGGAGGGAGGGGCCCAGGCCCAGCCTCAGATGACTGCCAGGCAAACACACAGAGCCTCTTGGGCCCAGTGGGCTGCCTGCCAAACTGCCAGCCACATGCAGCCCCTGGGTGGCCAGGTGAGACCTGCCGAAGCGCCAACATCATACTCTCGGAACAGGGGAGACCATTGCCGTGTGAACCTCAGCAGTGGGGCTGCTTGTTACGTGGCAGCTGACAGTGGTTAACGTCTCTATGCTGTGTTTTCTTATCTGTTAAATGAGGTTAAAAATAGATCCTGGGGGGGTGGTGGTTTGCTGTGGGGATGAAATGAGGCAGTGCAGGTCAGAGTGAGTGCAGACGAGTGACTGTCGTCCTCTGCTTTGTCTCTGACCCATGAAAGCAACACTTTCCTCAGATCTGCCCTGACCTTTGGTCACGGATCCCAGCCCGGATGCCCTGGGCTGCTGCAAAGGAGCCAAGTCCAAGTCCATCCTGCTGGCCCATGTGTCCCTTCCTCTGGGACTCACGTGTTCCCTTCATTTGTGGCTCACATGCCCTTTCCACCTGTGGCTCACGTGTCCCCTCATCTGTGGCTCACACCCCCCCTTCATCTGTGGCTCATATGTCCCTTCATCCATGGCTCACATGCCCCCTTCATCTGTGGCACATGTCCCTTTGTCTGTGGCTCGCGCATTCTCTTCATCTGTGGCTCACACACCCCTCATCTGTGGCTCACATGTCCTCTTGTCCATGGCTCACATGCCCCCCTTCATCCGTGGCTCACGGGTCCCCCTTTAACCATGTCTCACATGTCCCTTCATCCGTGGCCCACATGTCCCTTCATCTGTGGCTCACATGTCCCTTCATCCGTGGCTCACGGGTCCTCCTTCATCCGTGGCTCACGTGTCCCTTCACCCGTGGCTCACGTGGCCCTTCATCTGTGACTCACGTCGCCCTTCATCTGTGGTTCACGTTTCCCTTTGTCCGTGGCTTGTGGTGTCTTGCGTGTGTGGCCTGAACACAGGACCAGTAGTGAGGAGGGTGGTGGAGGGAGCACAGCCCCACCTGCCACTCTAAAGAGCTGCACGTTGCAACCAGGACTTCTGACACCACAGCAGGGAGCAGGGATCAGAGGCCCATCAGGCTGTAGAGAGGTCACCTCCTCCAGCACTTTCTGGGGCTTTGTTTTGCTTTCTCTGACCTGGCCCTGTCCAGAGGCTAATGGAGGCCTGGCCCTGCCGGGCTGAAGAGGACCTGCACCATCTCCTGTGCCCGGCTCTGGGCAGGGCAGAACCTCTGACCCTGGACCTGAGAGCCAGGCCCCTGACACCAGAGGCTTGATGACACGCCATGAAGCAAAAGCTGAGTTCCTCTCTTGACCTCGACTGTCACTCCCAGGCACAGTCTCCAAAGTGTCTGGGATGCAGGGAGTCAGAGGCCATCCAGGGAGGGGATTTCCAACATTCTCCACATTGACACCTTCGTTCGAATGACCATAAGAAGAGATCTTACAGAGGAGAATCTCTCTCTCTCTCTTTCCTCGCGTATATATCTATGTGTCTCTATCACATCTATCTATCTATCTATCTATCTATCTCTTATTTATATCCATCCATCCATCCATCCATCCACCCATCCATCCATCCATCACACATATATACACATACTACATACATATATGCCTTATAAATATTCAGCTTTGGATTTACATGGTGGGGCAAAGACTGCTAACATTGAGATACACGACCTTGCCCTTTAACCCCCTGAGATCCTGAAATTTGCCAGCTCCATCGATCTCCTTTAGCCAGCCTTCCTCAGCAGTCTTCTTAGCTGGGATGAGGGCAGGCAGACCTGCATGGCAGGAGGGAGATGATGAAGGAAAGGCACTCCCAGGCCACAAGCCCCGAGTGGGACTGACCCTGTCCCAGGTCCCAGGGTGAGTGCATGGCCCAGTCTCACAAGCCAGGGCACCACATCCATCCCAGGGCCATGGTGATCGCTTGAGGGTGGGCACCGGGTCCGCCAATGAGAGGCTTCCCTGGGTCCTTTGCTGGAACTCATAGGAAGAGGTGCTTTTGCTGTGCTGGTCAGACAGAGGCCTCAGCCCTGGGGGCCACTTAGCCTCCCTGCAGGAGCGTCTTTGCCTGGCCTCCCTGCAGCAGGGTCTCTGCCTGGCCTCCCTTCAGAAGGGTCTCCTCCCGGCCTGTCTTCATGAGGGTCTCCTCCCGGCCTCCCTTCAGGAGGGTCTCCTCCCGGCCTCCCTTCAGGAGGGTCTCCTCCTGGCCTCCCTTCATGAGGGTCTCCTCCTGGCCTCCCTTCAGACGGGTCTCCTCCCGGCCTCCCTTCATGAGGGTCTCCACCCGGCCTCCCTTCAGGAGGGTGTCCTCCCGGCCTCCCTTCAGGAGGGTCTCCTCCAGGCTTCCCTTCAGACAGGTCTCTGCCTGGCCTCCCTTCTCAAGGGTCTCCTCCCGGCCTCCCTTCACGAGGGTCTCCTCCTGGCCTCCCTTTATGAGGGTCTCCTCCCGGCCTCCCTTCAGGAGGGTTTCCATCTGGCCTCCCTTCAGACGGGTCTCCTCCCGGCCTCCCTTCAGGAGGGTCTCCGCCCGGCCTCCCTTCAGGAGGGTCTCCTCCCGGCCTCCCTTCAGATGGGTCTCCGCCCGGCCTCCCTTCAGGAGGGTCTCCATCTGGCCTCCCTTCAGGAGGGTCTCCTCCCGGCCTCCCTTCAGACGGGTCTCCGCCTGGCCTCCCTTCATGAGGGTCTCCTCCCGGCCTCCCTTCAGGAGGGTCTCCGCCCGGCCTCCCTTCATAAGGGTCTCCTCCCAGCCTCCCTTCAGGAGGGTCTCCTCCTGGCCTCCCTTCAGATGGGTCTCTGCCTGGCCTCCCTTCAAGAGGGTCTCCTCCAGGCCTCCCTGCAGGAGGGTCTCTTGAGTTTGGAGCTGATGTGCAGAAAAGCAGAGCCAGGAGATGAAGACAGGCAGATACCTGCCGGCCCTGTCTGAGAACCTGGATTTAGCTTTGCCTTAAGTCCATCATTCCATGGACCTTTCAGTATCACAAGCCAAGAAATTCTCTATTGTGTTCTATGAGTTGTGTTTCTGTCACTCGCACTCAACAGACCCAAAGTACAAGCACCTGAAAAACGCAGCTTGACCGTCACACTGAGAGTGGGATTACGGGGAGAAGGGACGTGGAGTGGATACACGACAGATGGTCCCGTGTCCGCCCTCAGACCTAAACTCTGCTGCCTGTAGGAAGCCTGAGCACATGGCTGGGAGGGCGTCACCTGCAGTGGGGATGACTCCAGAGTTCACCTGGGGTGGCCCAGGGTCAGGACCCTCGGGACAGGTGCAGAAGACGGGCATGGGGCCTGTCTAAACACAGCATGGCCTTTGATCCATCCAGGAAAGACGTGCGGCCTGATGCCTGTCAACATCCTGGGCCATGTGCACCCCGCATGGTGGCAGCTCTTACTGGCTGTGGAATGGCCCAGCATAGAGTGAAGATCAGACTCTAGAGCTTCTGCCTTCAGGTTTTAATCCCTTCTCCTTGCTGGTCACACAGCCCTGAGTGAGGCATTTAGCCTCTGAGCCTCCGGTGGGAATTATAACATTATAATGTTATCTACCCACAGGGCTTCCATGAGGATCCCTGACACCAACGAACCTGGGCAGGTCACAGCATGGTGCCTAGTATGTCATACTCAAGAGTGGCACACCCAAACCAAGAACATATCAGTTATATAATTTATATTTGTACATATATACAATTATATATTATTTATACAATACGTGTAACATACAATGTTACATAAGTATACACACAATATCTGTATATATGTGTGTATCTTTCTATCTACCTACCTACCCATCCAGCCATCCAGCCATCCACCCATCCATCCATCCATCCACCCACCTACCCAACCCATCAATCCATCCACCCACCCACCCAACCCATCAATCCATCCACCCATCCATCCATCCATCCATCCATCCATCCATCCATCCATCCATCCATCTACCCATCCACCCATCCATCCACCCATCCATCCACATACCCACCTACCTACAGAGCTCCCTGGCTGGCTGTCCATGGCCATAAGAGAAAGTTCCTCCTGGCTTCAACTTTCTGAAGTTCTGCCTACAGAGTTCACCTCAAAGTAGAAGGGTCCCTGGGGCTGATTCACTCCTTGCGGCGGGGGGCACGTGAGCCAACCTGAGGCTGTACTGGCCAAGACATGGCAGCAAAGCCCAGATCCCAGAGTGGAGAGGCTGATGGGGGCAACGCTGTTGTTGGGGCCAAGGCACAGTAAAGTTGTCCTGGACAGCAGGGAGGGATCGGGGTGAGTACAGGTTGGTAAAGAGGATTGGGTGCCTGCCCAGTGGTGGGCCCAGGTATCTCGGGGACCATGAGAGAAGGACCACATGAAAGCCATGGTGACAGGGCTCCGACGTGTCCAGGGGTCTCCACATGCTGTTGTCACGCTCTGAGAGGCCCTGAGCCCCCTGTTCCCTCAGGCACTGCACCTTTCACTCTCTGAACACCTGGATGTCTCCTGGCCTTCAGGGCCAAAAAAATGACAAGGTACCTCCAGCATTCGACAAGCTCACCAGGCGGCAGAGGAGATGCCAGGCCTGGCCTGGGGAGGGGCCGGGAGTGTCAGCCCCACCTCACACCCCACAGGCCTGTCCTTCAAGGTGCCTGGCCACGGGCACCTCTTGTGCTCATGATACGACCGGGAAGCACCTTCAAAGACTGAGTCCAACAGAACGTGAAATGCTTCACGGATAATTTTTTAAAATCCAGACCACATGTTAACGTGAAACTATTGCGGTTATGCCGGGCTAAATGAAATGTATCATTAAAGTTCATTTCACCTCTTTTCTCATCTGAAGCCACTGAGCACCTGAAACTTGAGTGTGGCTCAAACTCCACCCCTCTCGGACAGCACAGGTGTAGACGTGTCAAACCCTGCTCCTCTCAGGCAGCGCAGGTGTAGACGTGTCAAACCCTGCTCCTCTTGGACAGCACAGGTGTACATGTGTCAAACTCCGCTCCTCCCAGGCAGCGCAGGTGTAGACCTGTCAAACCCCATCCCTCTCGGACAGCGCAGGTGTAGGCGTGTCAAACCCCGCTCCTCTCAGACAGCGCAGGTGTAGTCGTGTCAAACCCTGCTCCTCTCAGGCAGCGCAGGTGTAGACGTGTCAAACCCTGCTCCTCTTGGACAGCACAGGTGTAGACGTGTCAAACCCCGCTCCTCTCGGATAGCACAGGTGTAGACGTGTCAAACCCCCCTCCTGTCGGACAGCAGAGGTGTAGCATGAGCCCCTCCTTCCTGAGGCCCCAGCATGGCTCGCCCTTTGGGGTCCCCGATGACGTCTCCTGGACACATGCCCTCAAAGCTGCTGGCCGGAGACCGGTGGGGCAGCGTCCGCCCCACTTGTGGTTGGAACCATGATGGCCGTCGCACACCGGCCCTGGCCTCTGCCTTTCAGACCAATTGCCAGCCTTGCTGGTTGTCACCTGTGTCCTGAAGGCAGGACTTGTGATACCAGGGAACAGGTGGGAAAACTGAGGCTGAGGGTGTGAAATACCTTAACAAAACCCACAGCTCCAGGGCTGACCCCCACCCGAACCCCTCCTCCTGCCCGGGCAGCTCGGCACTGGGGCGAACCCACTCCCGCTCTTTCCTCGATGGGCTCCTGGGCTCTGCCCACCCTGGGCCACAGGACACAGCAGGGCTTTGGGTCCCAGGCACCTCCCGCCTACGGCAGGCCCCCCTGGGTGCCCTCTGGAGACTCTAATTATTCCCCAGGCACCGGTCCGGCATAAACACAGCCCAGACATCCAAGCAAAGCAGGCTGCTGGTGTGGACAGCCTTTCCCAGAGCTAAATGCGGCTCCCAGCTCCAGGCAGGCCCTGAGCGCTCAGCTAACAATCGGATGCCGCGGGCCCTGGGCTGACCCTGCTGTGGGCATGCTCCCACTCACCGGGAGTGACCGCTTGGCCGGGCACGGAGGGCCGCTGGCGGCTTTTCTTCCGCTGGGAGGGCACTCCAGGGCGGGCGAGGCAGGAATGCACACGGGCTGGTCCGCGTTTAGAATGTATTTATAGACCGGCCACAGCTGCCAGCCGCGTGGTGCCCACGAGGTCAGCTTCCTGCCAGGCCCTGCGGCCAGATGTTTACTGAGATTGCAGAGACCAACCCACCCACACACGCCTGGATTTATCCCACATCCACGCTCTGAGGCCTCTCTGTGCCAGGACCTGGCGGACTCCGGGACTCAAAGAGCTGGGTGACAGTCACGACCCTCAGCAGGTGTCAGTGCTTCAGGGACTTGGGACTCAGGACCAGCAGGCAAACCACAGATCTACAAGGAGCAAGGGAGGTTGGGGAGGGAACCTGCCGGGGAAGGGAGACCTTCTCAGAGGAAAGGCAGGGCGATGTTGGAGGTGGGTTTTGAAGGATGAATAGGAGTCTTCCAAGAATTCCAGGTGGAGATGAATAGCAAGAGCAAAATGGTCTGGTGGTGAGCAAGGAAGTGGGGTGTCTGGGGACAGCAGCTGCCATCCAGGTGCCTGAAACATAGCATCTAGGGACAAAGAGATGAGGCTTTACAAGGGTCTGAAAGCTCAACATAAAAATCACCAGAGCAGCCTCAGATGCAGACCCCAGACCCTGCCCCACTGATTTCCACTCAGCTGGGAATGTGTGGCTTAACCAGCCCCCGAGGGGGTCTGATCCAGGCCCACCGACCCTATTTTAAGGAACGAACTCTCAGAGACGAAAGAGGTCCGTGATGGACACAAAAGTCGGGTGTGGCTTCCCGGAGAAAACAGAGAAGGCTGTCAGGCGTGAGAAGGCTGGGCTGGGGAGGAGGCACCTACGCTAGGCGTTTGGCATCAGGATTGCAAGGCACAAGGGCACTCAGAGACCC
Organism: Homo sapiens; assembly: GCF_000001405.40. Taxonomy (NCBI): domain Eukaryota; kingdom Metazoa; phylum Chordata; class Mammalia; order Primates; family Hominidae; genus Homo; species Homo sapiens. The sequence goes on along the minus strand of NC_000016.10, from coordinate 88,392,317 downwards.
TGGGTGCAGGGCTGAGCTGCTCGTGCAGCAGCTGCGGGCATACGTGGCCACGGAGCGTTTGCACATCGCTGGCCAGAATCAAGACACGGTACAAGCGCAGAGCGCACGCGACTTCCTGAGGGCGCAGCAAGGAGAATGTGAACTCACTGACGTTTGTATCAATCACATGGTGGAATGAGAATACTTTGCAGATACAATACAATTAACTTCATCTGTTTCTTTACATATTTTTAAATGTGGCTCCAAAATCACTTGGGTAGCTTGAGTTTGTAGCCTGCATAAGATATTGTATGATGTTATGTGATATAATGTATCTGCATCATAATAGGATACCGTATCATGTTATGTGTTATATGACAGGTTGTCATACATCATATCTTTAGATTACATTATACTTTATTACATTATGTTGTATATCATATTATACTAAATTTTTCTAGCTATTTCTATTGGTGAGCTCTGACCCACAGACTGCAAACCCAGCCTGCCTGCACAGGGTTCAAAATGCTCATAAAAATTTCCAGCCAAGAGATGTTACAGAAAAGTTCAGTCAGGCTTCTCTTGAAAGCCGATGAGATGTGGCCGCCATAAGCCTGTCCCCTCGCATCTCCTGAAGATGTGTCGGGTGCTTGCCGTGGGCCACAGACCGCACTGCTCCCCGCCGCCTCCTGTCCCCCGGCCCCACCTGTCCCAAGAGCCTTCCCACCTACACAGGTCAGAGGCTCCCGATCCCGAGGCATTGGGCCTGTGCCTGTGGGGACCACTCAGCCCTCCACTTGATGAAGAGGACACCAAAGCCAGAGAGGGACACCCTTGCCTTGGGTGGCAGAGACAGCCAACCCTTACAGTCTGTCCAAAACGATGGCCCTGAATTCGCTGTTCCCCAGGGCTTTGCCCAGGATCAGACTTGAGCCTGTGGATGCTGGGACCTGGGGAACGCAGCCAGCCAAGCACAGTCACATGGAGCAACTGTCCTGGCTCTGTCCCTTCTGCCAAGCAAGAGGTGGCAGCTTTGAATCCCAGCCCTGTGTGCTGCCCGGCTCTTTCCTTTCTCCACGGGGTGCTGGCACCCAGACCCTGCACATGGTGCCCTGTGCTGCCTCAGCACCATTGAGGTGCTCTCCACATCTTATCACTCCACTGAACAGGTGGGGAAACTGAGGCTGCGGGGGACTTGGCCACAGTCTCCCGGGCAGCAGCTGGCACAGTGGGATTCTATATCACACCTCCCAAATGCAATTGCATGACATGGGCGGACGGCAGCCGGAGCTGGTCCCATCGCCAGGACAGCAGCCTGATTTGGAGAGAATGACGCGGGCCATTCACCCGGGCCTGTGGTGTGGGCAGCTGCCTGGGTCGGGTCTTTCGGAACTGCTGACCATGAGCTGCCAGAGGTTTCAGTTCTGCCAAGAGGAATGTGTCTCTGCGCCTTTGCCTATGCTGCTTCCTTTGCTGGGGATGTCCTCTCCCATCTGGCATGCTTGGAGAACCTGGGGATTCCCTCTCCCATCTGGCATGCTTGGAGAACTCCCAGTCACCGTTCAAAACCCACCCAGCTCAGAGACGCCTTCCCCCAGGGAGCCACTATAGGATCCTCACACACTGGCCTGTCTCCCTAGTCTACCTGCTGGCTTCTACCCTCTGGAGGGGCTGCTTGGGGCAGTGCCCGGCGGCATCCGAATGTTAGCACTGTGGCCGTCCCTGCTTCCTGTTTTCTCCAGCTGAGAGTAGCTGACAGTGCAGGAAAAGTCAGCTTGCCTAGGAAGGGGAAACTGAGGCCCCCTGGAGGTTGTGTCCAAGTGAGACTTGGGTCAGGAGGAGCAGTGGGGGTTCCCAGGCAGAGCGGCCGCCTCCTGTTTGGCTGGAGAAGACACACAGTGCTCATGGACCCCACGTGGGGTTACGCAGTCTGGCCTGCCTCCCCCAACCCCTCTGACTGCTCCCCACTGGGTAGGCTCTGGACAGGTGCCCTGACCTCGGTGGGGTTGGAGCCATGGGGCCCCTGCCAGTTGGTGGGTGCCCCTACTCCCATGTGTATCCAGAACTGGGGAAGGTGCCACAGGACAGATCCCAGGACCCGCTGGGCCCACTGTGAGACAGGCCTGAGCTGAACCCCGTGACCACCTGACCTCCGTGAGCCCCTCTGCCTGGAGAGCACAGGGATGTCCTGGGTTTCCCGGAGTCAGTGTCAGTTCGGAGCCAGTGTCTAGTGGCCCCCGAAAGTCTGATTATTTCTTTCTCCTCGACACACAGCCACCCCGGAAAAAAGCTGTGGGTCCCTTGGGAGGAGGCTGTGCAAGGACGAACAGCGTCATCTCTGGCAGCGTAGCGGGGCCCTCCGCAGGCCGACCCCACCTCACTCGCGGCTTCACCAGGCTCCCTTGAGGAAGCACCTGGCCCTGCATGTGGAGAGTGGAGAGTGGACAGGTAAGTGTTCAGGAGGCGAGGGCTGTGCTGTCCTCAGGGGGCCAGGGAGGCACAGCGGGGGAGCCTCCTGGGGGACTGCGCTGTCGTTCAAAGACACAGCCTTGAGGTCCCCATGGCCACTCACTCCCTTGCCTTGACTTCCCTACTCAGGGAATCCTGAGCCCCATTCCCAGTTTGAATCCTGGCCCCATTCCCAGTCGTGTGGTCCTGAGCCAACGCCTCACCCTCCCCTGGCCTGGTTGCCTCATCCACAGAGTCGGGGTAAGAGGTTCCCACCACTGACACACTGGTGGGAGCGGAACGGTGGGAAAGAGTGGGGCAGCTCCTTGAAGGCCAGGGTGGCCACGGGACGAAGCACTTCCATCCCCAGGAAGCTGCCCAGGAGAGATGACAGTGGGTGCCCACACAGAAGCGGTACACAAAAGCTCACGGCAGCTGGACTCACAACAGCCAGACAGGGGAGGCAAGCCAGGCGTCCAACGGAGGAGGGGTGCGTGCACAAAATGTGCTCCGTCCACGGGGCAGAACAGCGCTCAGCCGCAAAGACGAAGGAAGCGCCGACTCCCGCCACGGCACAGATGGACCCTAAAGATGTGACGCTGAGTGACAGAGCCAGTCACAAACGAGCGGGATGTAGGAACCACGTACTCGAAGTGTCCAGAATGCACAAATCCACAGGCAGGAAGGAGCGGCTGCCGAGGGCTGGGAGAGGGGAATAGGGAGTGACTTCTTCATGGGCACAGGGTTTTTTTTGGGGTGATAAAAACGTTCTAGAACTAGATGGTGGTGATGTTTGTACAACCTTGTGAATATCCTGAAAGCCACTGAAGCGCACACTGTAGGAGAGCGGTTATGTGACTCGAGAGCTTTATCGCTGTCTCTGTAGAAAAGGTTCCTACAGCGAAGGGCTGGTGTAAGGCACAGAGGATGGCCCTGGCACCTGGCTCCCCGGCTTCTACAGATGGGGCAGCTTCCTCCAGTATGGAGACTGGCCCTGGCACCCAGCTCCCCAGCTTCTACAGATGGGGCAGCTTCCTCCAGTATGGAGACTGGCCCTGGCACCAGGCTCTCCGGCTTCTACAGATGGGGCAGCTTCCTCCAGTATGGAGATTGGCCCTGGCACCAGGCTCTCCGGCTTCTACAGATGGGGCAGCTTCCTCCAGTATGGAGACTGGCCCTGGCATCAGGCTCTCCGGCTTCTACAGATGGGGCAGCCTCCTCCAGTATGGAGACCCGGGTATCCTGGCTCCCACGCCCCCTCTGGCTGGGATCTTAGCAAGTCACATTCCTGCCCCTGCCCGGAATGCAGAGAAGCTCCATTCTGTAGCCTCCCAGTGGGCAGTGCCCGGCTGGCCACATCCAGGCCTGGAGACGCAGGCTCTGTTTACACACAGCCACCTTGGCCCAGCAGCCCCGGAGGAATGCGGAAAACCCCGCTCAGGGACGCTCCCAACGGTCACATTCTGCAGGCGGCTGCCGTGCCCGGCCGGTAGGAAAGCCTCAATGGCTGCTCATGAATGTGGACTCTGTTTGGCCGCTGGCTGGGATGCTGGCCCTGCGAACAGCCCAGAGACAGGACAGGCGCTGTTAGCAGTTAGCCAGGGGACGGAATGTCCCCCATCCTGCCTCTGGCTCTGGCCCACCGGCCAGGAGGGGTTGAGGGTGGGGAGTGTTAGGAGCAGCCCTGGGCACAGCTCCCTCGGCCGGGGCTGCTGAGTTCACACTCACTGCTCACTCATCCCTCCACTCACCTGCCTATCCACACCCTCGCGCCTGCTCGGCCGCTCTCCTCTCTGGGGAGCCCCTCTGCAGCCACTCTGGGGTTGTAAAGAGACTCCAGGTGCTGTGCACCCCACTTGGTAACGCAAACCGAGGCTGGGAGCCGTGGCTGCCCTGTCCTGGCGGTGTGGCTGGGAGGGCTGGGTGAAGCTTGGCCCCAGAGCTCTGAGGACCCCAAGCCTGTGTTCTTTCCACTTGAGGGGCCACCCACCCTGATTGGAGGAGCAAGGGCTGGGGAGATGGGCCCTTTGCTCCTGGTTCCTCCACGGCGGGGGGCAGAGCTCCTCTTGCTTCAAGAGCTGGGTGTTAGGGGGACGGGGTGGCAGGAGCCCCAGGTCCACCATACTAGGGTGGGCCAGGTGAGCACCCAGCGTTCCCCACACACGCTGAGCCTTCTCAGCCTGGCCTGCGGGCTCTCCTCGCTGGGTCAAAAACAGCTTATATTTGGAATTCTCCTCCCCAAGGCCAGCTCCCTTTCAGCAACAGTGTGATTCTCAGAGACCACTTCACTCCTGGCAGGGCTGGGGTGAGTACTGAGCAGGAAGTCTACCGTTTGACGCCGGGTCACAGCCCCCAAGCCGCCCCCAGCGTTGTCGCTGGTCTCACTTTCTGGTCCTCCGGACTCGGGACCAGCAACCGCAAGCAGCCAAGGGGGTGGGGCATGCTTTGAAGAACATCTGGAGGCTGTGCTGACCGCGGCCCGAGTCCCCCGGCACCCGGGGGTGGGTCCTGCCCGCCGCTCCCACCCCGCCCTGAAGCCAGCCTGGTGAACCCAGACCAAGGGGGGAGAACCGGGAGTGACGTGGACTCACAGGAATGAGGGGGCTGGACGGCCGATAGCACCTGAGGAGGGCCAAGGCCGCAACCCTCCGGCCACTGAGGGCAGCTTCCGCAGGCACGCAGGATGGGGTTGCAATGGAAGGTCCTCAGGGGTGCGGACGGCGTCCGCACCTGACCCAGGGCTGCCGCGGGTCTCTGGGTGTCTAGCACAAGGCGCTCCCCTGGGTGGACACAGTCTTGGAGGTTGGGGAGGCCCGACAAGCAGAGTATAGACTGGGTGCCGACGTGCAGTGAACAACCTGCCCAACTGTACTGGCCCATCTTTCCTTCTACCCAGGGAAATGGAAGTCCTTAGCTCTGAAGTATACGATTGCAGCCAGTCCCTGAGGACAGCATCTGCCACCCCCACCATGACCACTGGCAAATGATGAGCACGGGGAGGGAGTGGCCAAAGAAACAGGCCCTGAGCCACCTCAAGGCTACTTCACAGAGCCCCATCCTCACGGAACCACCCACTGCCTTCCACCACGCTCTGTCCAGCCCCCAGCATGTAGCAGGTCAGCTCCATCAGAGAACGAGGCTGGCTCATGGGGTTCAGTTGAGAGGCCTGGGACCTTAAAGCCACTTGGAGACAGGCTTGACCTGGAAGCGGCTGGTCTCTCGAGGTAGGTGGATGGAGCTGTGTCTGGAAAGGAATCACTAGAGGGCCCTGGATGTGACGGGACCCTCCGAGTCACCGGCCAGCGCCTGCTGAGCCCGGGGAGAAGGGATCCGGCCTGAATAGGGCCCCTTCGTCAAGGGGGATGGCCTTGCAGGGTAGATGGGACACCAGTGATGGGAGGTGGGATGCAGGATGCGTGAGGGCAGCAGGGAGAGGAGGGGTGTTCCCACGAGGGTGGGGGTGATGTCTAGGGGAGAAGGGCAGGCAGTCGCCGGTGGAGATGGGGCGGGACGGTGGGGTCCCGGGCAGGAGGCGGGAAGAGAGAACACACATCCTGAGATGAACCCATGAGGACCCTTATCAGGGAGTCAGAACAGGGCTGGACTGTGGCCTGGAATGCAGGACCCGAGCATGGCCACCGCCCACAGTGAGCAGGAGGACGGGCTGGTCACACTCTCCCAGGTCTCCTCCCCACCCTGCAGGTCTAGAATGAACCAAAGCAAGGGTGGGCTGGCTGGCCAGGAGGGAAAATGGGGAAGGCGCTGGGAAGATGGGGAGGGCGCTGGGAAGAAGATGGGGAAGGCAGAGTCCACGGGACCGGGCCGCTTGTGCCTCACCGGCATCCCTGCTCCCTATGGCGGCCTCCATCTGGGCTTTTAGCTGGCACCTTGCACCACTCAGGTCTTTCTTGTCCTCAGAACCCTCTCCACAGGTCCCACGGAGTCTCCTGAAACCCATGGGCTGCAACCACAGCAGCTGGTACCTACCAAGTACTTGCAGTGTGCCAGGCCTGTGCCAGGGTGCTCCACACACCAGCCCGTCCCACTGACCCCTGTGAGGGCTCCCCATTTTTCTGATGAGAAATAAAGTCCCAGAGGGGTTTGGTCACTCACCCAAGGCCACACAGCCCCTAGCAGCTGTTCCCAGAGCCTGGACTCTTAACTACTACACAGGCATTCCCCACATCATCAGCCCTATGTTTGGACAAGGAGGCAGGCAGGGTAACAGAATTTTTTTTTTTTTTTTTTGAGACAGAGTCTCACTCTATCACGCAGGCTGGAATGCGGTGGCACGATCATCATTAACTGCAGCCTTGAACTCCTGGGTTTAAGCAATCCTTTCTCCTCAGCCTCCCTAGTAGCTGAGAGTACAGGTGCACACTACCATGCCTGGCTAACTTACTTCAATTTTTTTTTTAGTAGAGATGGGGTCTCACTATGTTGCCCAGGCTGGCCTCAAACTCCTGGGCTCAAGTGATCCACCTGTCTCAGCCTCCCAAATTGCAGGGATTACACAGCCACCATCCCCGGCTGGTAACTGAATTATTAGTAGGAGTCAGAACCGGAAGGGAGGGTAGGGGGCTTGTCTTGAAACCATCTGGGCTCCAGATGAGTCCACCATGGCCTGATATCTAGGGCACTATCGGTGGTGACAAGACTCCAGGAGAAAGGAGGGGAGGGCATCTCTGCTTCCAGGCCACCCTGGTGTTCAGGTTTACTTCCGTTCAGCAAACACGAGGAAAGGGCAGAAACCCACTGAATTTCTCCCAGGGGAAGGTGGCAGGATGGGGCCTGACCAGGAATGTCAAGTCAGAAATGACCTGAAGAGATTAGGCATACAGGGGGAGACCATCCCTATTAAAATTATCCAAAGGCAGCCATGTGTAACAGCTGAGCAGATGTGCTGCCTGCTGCCTCAGGATGATGGACCAGTGCATTCCAGCTGGTAGGACTGCAGGAATGGCTGGAACAGGCTGCTGTGATGGGGAGTGAGTTCCCGGTCACTGGAGGTATCCAAGCAGAGTCAGTAACCTGGAGGCAGGGTCTGGTGGAGACTGAAGCGCTGATGAGGGGGTTGAAGTTCATGACCCCAAAATTTCCCTTGACCCTGAAATCCTGGGACTTCCTGGTTTGCACACTGCCCAGAGCTGCCAGCCTCGGGGCATTACAGCCACACACCCTTCACCTGTGCCTCCCAAGCTGAGACTCTGCGGGGCCCCTGGGTTCCCTTTGAGAAGGCCCTGGCCTTCCTTTTTGCCTCAGATATCCTCTTCCTCTTTTCTATTTGCAGGGCAGAATGATCACCTCCCGGTGAGCTCTGTCCTGTGGTCTGGGACCTGCCAGGCGCATGGCATGGAAGACACGTCTCCCAGGCCACCTCCTCCGAGGGTGCCTGGCTGCCCTTCCTAAAACTGCAGCTCCGCCCCAGCTTCCGAGCTCCCTGCTCAGCCCTCACGCCCGACGCTGTCCAGGCATTTACCTGTTTATTTTGTTTATTTTCAGGAATGCAGGGCTGTGGGCTGTGCTGGGGGCACCTAGGACAGGCTGGGCACTGAGAGGGCCTCAAGACACCTTTGTCCACCCGACCGGCAGAAGGGAACTAGACTTGCTCTTGGCAGAATGGGCAGGGGCTGTCCACGACACTACCGCGTGCTGTGCTCACTTCCCAGCATCAGCCCACTCTGACCATCAGTTTCTGCATCTAAGACTTGGGTTAACACGGATCTCAGGACGTAAGGATTAAACGTGATAACACGTGGCACACTCCCTATGCCCAGCATGGCTCACGGCTGGGGATGAAGCAGTTAACCGCCTCCGCTGCAGGAGCGGACTTGGCAGCTGAGCTGCCCCCCCGCCCCCGCCGGGGACCTGTCCCTCTGCCCTCGGCCCAGGGTGCAGGGACAAGGACTGGGTGGCCGCGGGAGTCCCCCGAGCCCCATTGGCCTTCCCTTCCGGCCGCCGCCACGCGGGGCGCCGCGTCCCCACGGGTCTAGACGTCCAGCCAACTTCCCGGCTCTGCAAAAGCCTCTGGGGGTGCGCGGGGCTGGGCGGGGGTGCGGCGTGGTCTCCCCCAGGGTGGGCTCCAAAGCTCCCACCCCCGTCCGGGGCGCTGACACCGCCGACTCGCAAGCCTATGCCGCGCTCGGAGCGCCGCGGGGCCAGCACGCCCGGGCGGGCGGCCCGGAGGAGGCGGCGGCACGGCTGGGGCACCCCCGGCTCCGATCCGCGATGAATGGGGCGGCCCGGGCCCCGCTCCCCGCAGCCCCGCCCGGAGGTCCCGCTCCCCGAGCCCCTCGCTCCGCGGCCCTCGCCAGTACGTTGCCCGGGCGCTTCCCAAACTGCCCACGGAGCCGGACCCCGCGCTGCCAACGCTCCGCTCCGGGCAAGGCTGCGGCCCCCGCCGGGCCCCGGCGCTCGCTGCCCCGCACGTCCGGGCCCGGGAGGAGGAGGTCGGGGGAGCCGGGCCGGGCGCCGCGAGCGCTGGGAGGGTCCGGCCCCGCCGGGGAGCGGCCCCCGAGGGCGCAGGAGCGGGAGCCGGGCCGGAGACCCCCGCGCAGCCCGGTGACACCCCCGCCCCGCGTTCCAGCCCGGGGTCCCCAGGCACCGCGCGCGCCCAGGCGGCGCATCCGCACTCACCTCCGCTCCGAGGCCCGCTCCGCCCGCCACGCCGGCCGCCGCCAACGAGCTCCCGGCCCGCGCCGCCCCAGCGCTCTGCAGCGGAGGCGCCGTCCTCATCCCGACCGCAGGCCCGCCCGGGCCGCCCGCCCGCCGGGCACCGAGCCGCTCTGCCGCGCGCTGCGCCTCGGGGCGGGGTGGGAGGAGAGGGAGCAGCCGCCACCCTGCCCAGGTCGCCGCGGGCCAGCCCTGCAGCCAGCTCCAGCCCTGGGCCGGGTGCTGGGAAGGCCGGACGCCGGCCGGCGGCCGCGGGGTCTGCCCCCCGGAGGCTGGGGCGGCTTAGGTTACAGACTCCGCCGCCCCCGCACCCTCCCCCCAGCTATTTTTAGCGCCGCTTTTCCTAGGTGTTTGTTTCATGGGACCCACCCCGGCGATGGGGGGCCCTGAGGCATTGCTCCCTGAACCCCCTCTTCACACTCCCCAGCCAGCCCACCCCAGAATGGCAGGCCTTGCTGCTGAGACGGAAACGCTGCATTCAGCACAACTTAAAAAACGTCTGCCATAATGCTACCCATGTGGCTTCCAGTGGCTGCTCTATCTCCATCCCTGGCCTGCGCTCCAGCTCCCCAGGTGCCCACACATGACACGCTTGTCCCTGTGCTTCTGTCTAGGAGGTGGGGGATGTCCCGACTGGCACCTGGCACCTGCCTGGGCAAGTTCGGTTTGAGTGGCTCAAGTTGGCCCTCGAAGGCACCATAAGGAGGTCCCCATGGCACGCTTTCTCATAGGTGGGAGCTAACATTGCCCCCAGACCTTCGTGTCTCCACTCTGGGTCCCTTGTCCAGCCCTGGGACTGCCCCAGACTGGCCCGTGAGTTCGGCAGCATTGCTGGTGGGGCGCTAGGAGCCATCCAGGCCCCTAGAGAGGGAGAGGCCCTTACCGGTCATTTGTCCAACATCTCCATTCACAGCCAAGGAAACCAAGGCCTGAAGAAGACAAGGAACCTGCCCAAGGCCACACGGCGGAGATGGCTCCAGGCAGAGCCCCCTGGCCCAGTACGTGCCCGTCCCCGGCTGTCCCAGACAGGGGCGTGTGGGCCTCCTCCAAGGGCAGGGGTGCAGCGTTACGGGCAGCATCTGGGGACGGATCGCCCTCCCCCACTTCAGAGGATCCCAAGTCATGAACTTGGTGGACTTCTAAGAAATAGGGTGGCAGTGGGGGGACTTCGCAGAAAGGAATGCTTTCAGAATTAGTCCTTCAGACAAAGGTCCCCCGGGAGCAGGTCAAGCACGCTTTACTTACGCAAGTTCAAGTTGCACACCCTTTTAAGGACACCTTTATTATGTAAAGCAAGGTGTGGCCTAACCACGGGCCTTCTGGTGGAGCCAATGAGTGGGCCTGCCCCTCCCCCAATCTGGTCTGCCTCCTGAAGCTGTTTTGGGACTCTGCGAACGGTATAGAATAAACTAAAAGGAACTGCACATGGCAGTGGGGTTTCTGTGCTGGCATCGCAGCACATGGCATTCCTGCCAGTGGACGCGAAAACGTGAATTGAAAAAGGGGCAGGGGCTGAAAGGCCCCAGAGGCTCGAGGCTTGGCTCACATTTCCATGGCATCATCTGGGGCCTCCAGGTCCTGGGATCTCCCTTTCCATGGAAAATGGGGAAGAACTAAGAAACCCTCTCGAGTTAATCAGGATTTCAATCAAGCGGGTTTCCTAAAGTTTCAAGGGCCAGGGGTCCCCTGGCTGTGGACAAAGACCCCAGAGGGCGTTTCCTTCCTTCTCGTTTCTACTGGGTCTGTTCTTGTTTCTAAGAAAGACTTCAATTTCCAAACCCGTGTGTGTGTGTGAGAGAGTGCATGTCTGTGTGTGAGTGCGTGTGTGTGAATGCATGTCTCTGTGTGTGAGTGCATGTGTGTATAAGTGTGTGTCTGTGTGCGAGTGCATGTCTCTGTGTGTGAGTGCATGAGTGCATGTGTGTGAGTGCGTGTGTGTGAGTGCATGTCTGTGTGAGTGCGTGTGAGTGCATGTCTGTGAGTGCGTGTGTGAGTGCATGTCTGTGTGTGTGTCTGTGAATGCATGTGTGTGAGTGCATGTCTGTGTGTGAGGGCGTGTCTGTGTGTGAGTGTGTGTGTGAGTGCATGTCTGTGTGTGCGTGTGTGCGAGTGCATGTCCGGGTGTGTGAGTGCGTGTGTGAGTGCATGCCTGTGTGTGAGAGCGTGTCTGTGTGAGTGCATGTGTGTGAGTGCATGTCTGTGAGCGCATGTGTGTGAGTGCATGTCTGTGTGAGTGCATATGTGTGAGTGCATGTCTGTGTGTGAGGGCGTGTCTGTGTGTGAGTGCGTGTCTGTGTGAGTGCATGTCTGTGAGTGTGTGTGAGTGCATGTCTGGGTGAGGGCATGACTGTGTGTGAGTGCATGTGAGTGCATGTCTGTGTGAGTGCGTGTGTGTGTGTGTCTGGGTGTGTGTGCATGTGTGAGTGCATGTGTGTGAGTGCATGTGTGTGAGGACGTCTGTGAGTGCATGTCTGTGTGTGAGTGCATGTCTGTGTGTGTATGAGTGCATGTCTGAGTGTGAGTGCATGTGTGTGAATGCATGTCTTGTGTGAGGGCGTGTCTGTGTGTGTATGAGTGCATGTGTGTGAGCGCATGTCTGGGTGTGTGCGTGTGTGAGTGCATGTGTGTGAGTGCATGTCTGTGTGAGGGCGTCTGTGTGTGAGTGCATGTCTGTGTTAGTGCGTGTGTGTTAGTGCGTGTGTGTGCATGTCTGTGTGAGTGCATGTGTGTGTGCACGTATGTGTGAGTGCATGTGTGTGTGCATGTCTGTGTGTGACTGTGTATGTGTGAATGCATCTGTGTGAGTGCATGTCTGTGTGAGGGCGTGTCTGTGAGTGCGTGTGAGTGCATGTCTGTGTGTGAGCGCATGTGTGTGAGCGCATGTGTGAGTGCATGTGTGAGTGCATGTCTGTGTTTTAGTGCGTGTGTGTGTGTGCATGTCTGGGTGTGTGAGTGCACGTGTGTGAGTGCATTTGTGTGTGAGTGCATGTCTGTGAGTGCATTTGTGTGTGAGTGCATGTCTGTGTGTGAGTGCATTTGTGTGTGAGTGCATGTCTGTGAGTGCATTTGTGTGTGAGTGTGTGTCTGTGTGTGTGTTTGTGTATGAGTGCATGTCTGTGAGTGCATTTGTGTGTGTGAGTGCGTGTCTGTGTGTGAGTATGTGTGTGTGTGACTGCATGTGTATGCATGCACACAAGTTCTTTTCCTAGCCCTGGGGCACCTGAATGCCGCCTGGGCGTGAGAAATGACAGAAGCCCTCACTCAGAGTCCATGCTCACAAGCATGGTGACAACAGGGGATGACCCTGTACCCACTCCGGGCCAGTCACTGTGTGAAGGACTCTGACAACCCCGCGAGGTGGGACTGCCTCTTCCCTTTCACAGGGAGGACTAGCAACCTGGCCAAGGCCCGCGGCACACCTCCCCTGTCCCAGAGCCACCGTCCACCCCTTGCCTTGTCCCCATGTTCCACACCCACCTGCTTTGACTAACCCAGTGGCAGCATCAGGAGTCACTTTGGACTGTTACAACTGGGAGCTACCTCTGGCATCTAGCTGGGGGGCAGGGGCTGCTGCCACGCCTCCCCAGTGCACAGGAATCATCCTGCCCCAGGTGTCAATGGCGGGAGGTGAGAATCCTGGTATCAGCACCCTCCTGGGGGCAGCTTTGCTCCAGGCTTGGCCTCCTGATTCCCGTCCCTCCCCTGGCCTGGCCCTGGCAGCGCCTCTTCCCCCTCTTCATAGCCCTCAAAGCCATCAGAGAGCTGAAAAGGAGGGCCACGTCCACCCCTCCTGGAAGGAGTTGCCTGATGGGGTGCTCTGCAGGGAGCAGGGGCTGGGAAGGTCCCCTGTGTCTGTGAGCTCAGCAGAGCTGGAAGGCTCCCGGGTGGTCCTAGCCCCTGCTTTCCAGGAGGAAACTGGCCCAGCAGGCTGCTGACTAGACTTACCCACAGCCACTGAGCCAGGTCTCATGCCCTGGCCAAGCCCACATGCTGCCCAGAGCTCCAGGCCTGCTACTGATCAACCTCGGGGGGCGAGGTTTCCTGGGTCCCAGTAGACGGTCAGGAGGGCCAGCTCACACGAGTCACCCCCTGGACTTTTGCCTGATGTAAAAATGAAACCGAGTAACCAGCGCCATGCAGGGGGAGGCACGAGAAGCCTCCGACAGATTCCAAGGGCAATTGCCATTGGCACTCGAGGTCAGCGCTGATGGCCTGGGTGTGTGGACACCCGTCCATCCTGACAACCATGCACCTTGAGAGCAAGGCCGCACCCCTGCCACGTGTGGGCCCACGCCTGCCCCAGATGGGCTCTCGAGAGAGGAGACCTCCGAGCGAGGACCAGACCTGTGGCCGAGATGTGGCATGTGGGACGTTTAAACACTCTGGGAGTTTTCAAAGCAAGCTTCACCTGTGATCTCATGGGCTCTTTAATCCCATTTGCTAGATAGGGGAAGCTGAGGCTGGAGGATGCAAAGAGCCCATCCCAAAGATGTGGCAGTTAGTGGTCGAGCCTGTCCCAGGTGCTGACTGCTGCCACCCTCTCCCTAGTTCAGGGTGGGAGTGGAAGGGAGAGCAGCTTTGGGGGCCCCGAGCATTGGGGTCTGCACAACATACAGGGGTCTGTGAGCAGCCGGGCAGAGGTGCAGACTCGGCGCTCCCTATGGGGCAGGAAGCCCATCTGGACGGCCTCTGATGAGCTCCCACCTCCCTGAGGACGGCTCCTGGGTGCAGCAGGAGGTGAGCAGGGGCTTGTGTGTCCTCTCCCCGTTACGATGCGTGCAAGCACAGAGGACAGCGATCACGGGGCCTCTCCAAGAACGTGCGACCTGGCTGATATGGCGCTAGTTATTTTACCAGCCTGGGATTTCTGGAACACAATCAGTACCCGTGGACTTTGCTGAGTAGACCCTCAATTTGGGTCTGGATGCTGCAGAGAAAAGGGCACAAACAGGCCCGGCCCCGGTGCCCCCTGCTCCCTGCCCGCCGTGTGTGCCTGGGTGAGTCAGCGGCCTCTCTGAGTTTCCACTTGCTCATCTGGGAGATGACATCATGGCGCCCACCTGTCAGGAGGGCAGAGCTGGCCCCTAGAGGCTACGGTGCTGCGGCCTCACCACTCCCTGGCGGTGAACTGGGGGGATCTTGGGGCGTCTAGGACAGTTGGACATAACAGGTATGTGCAAGGTAGGAGGAGTGGGTGGCTCTTTGGACTTGGGGTCCTTGAGGATGCAGGTGTCCGTCCCTGGGTCAGGCTTCCTCTCACGCTGTGGTGACCCCTGTGCTGCCCTAGGCACCTGGCCAGGGCTCGGCTCAAAAACCATTTTTTTTTCCTGGCATCAAACAACAACAACAACAACAAGCTCTAGAATACGAAAGTGGGGATGAATACATCTTCATCTACAGAGCACAGCACCTGCAGGCCAGCGCTTGAGGGGTGGCGTGGTCCGCGCCCTGAGGACCTGTGTGGGTACAGGATGCCAGCTGGGACAGGGGGAAGGCTTTGGAAAGTGAGTGGGAGAGAGGAGGGAGGGCTGGAGGAGGGAGATAGAGGAGGGAGGATGGGGAGTGAGGAAGGGAGGAAGGACAGAGGGAAGCTTGAGGGAGGGAGTGTCAGGGCCTGGAGCCCGGCTGAGCCCGGTCCAAGGAGACATTCCAGACGGATGGTGGCGCGTGACTCAGATGCCTACGGCCCAAGCGTTTCTGCCCCATCATCTGAATGGCCCCAGTCGAGAGCAAAAAGCTGGGGTGGACAGGGGTGGCCTCGAGGGCGTCCTGCACAGGGGCACAGGCACACACCCCCACTGCAGGCCATACACACCGGCTCACACATTCACGTGCTGCCATGGGTGGCGGGCCCAGCGGGAGAGTAGCCGGAAGCCACCGGGCCCATGGGTCGGCAGAGGGTCTGGGCATGCAGGATCCACCTTGCCCACCCTCTGTGAGGCTCTGAGCAGCAACGCCCCTCCCCTGGGAAGTCCCCCTGCCCTGCACCACCCCGGCTCCTGCCTTCTGAGCAGGGCTGCTTTTGGACACACGGTCTGTGCCCCTGCCCCATTGGGAAGACTCCTGTGGCCTGCCTGGTGTGCAGAAGACACAGGAGTGGTGGCTAACTGTGGGCTCTGGGTCGAGTCCCATCTCTGCCTCCAGCTCTGGCAAGTCCCTCCTGGGAGATGCTGAAGGGACCCAGCTGAGAGCCAGCCTGCGCTGGGGCCTGGCCTTCTGGTGCCTCTGGCCCTCCCGGCGGCATGAGCGGGCAGAGCCGTCCTCCCTGCTTTACCCAGTAGGAGGCTGGGCCCTCGGGGGCCTCGGGGCACGCTGGGAGGAGGCCTGGCGTCTGGGCTGGGCACACACCACACCTGTGCCCTGCACTTCCTGGCTGCCCTAGGAGCCTCTCTGGGAATCTCAGGCACAGCAGGCAGCTGGTGGCCTGGGTCCAAGCCCCAGCTCTGCTGTCTGCCAGCCGTGTGGCCGGGACACCCCGCGAGCCTCAGTTTCCCCATCTGCCGCGGTAACCCAGTGAATGTGCTGGGGCCGTGGGCAGCTGCTCTCTCCAGACACGCTCAGCCGGAGCATCCCTCACTCAGCCCTCGCAGACCTTCAAAATGGGAATCCTTCTAATGAAAAGAAAACAGAGGCGGTGGAGACCGGCCGGCCGCGGGAACCCCAGCCAGCGGCTGGCGCATGAATGGGCCCGTTCACGGGCGGCGGCAGAGCGAGGGCCCCGGAGGAGGCACCCGGGCTGGGCCCAAGGAATGGCAGTGCCTGGGGCAGGCCTGGGGCAGGCGAGGAGAGGGACAGCGGCCTTCAGTGCCTGCTGCAGCTTCCCTCCCCCTCTCACCCCGGACGTCCCCTCACACCGGGCCCGGCTGTGTGAAGGAGTCAGACGTCCGCAGTCCGAATCGCCACTGTCCTCATTTTTTTTCCTGTAATTATGTCTCCAGGGGACAACTACGCATTTACATTTTGCTCAGCTCAGTCATTTATCCAGAGCCTGCGAGAAAGGCCCACAGTAAAAGGCGCATTGATGTGTGTTTTTGTGTTGCTGGGGCGACTGGCGAAGGCGTGCAGACAACTGGCCCTTGTGGCCCGGCTGCGCCGTGAACAGCGGCGTCCTTCTCCCAGCACCTGGGCCTGCGTGCCGCCCGCCCTGAACCTGCCATGAATGCCCTCAGTGTACGCGGGTTTTCTTTTCCATACCTGGCCACTGAATCTTCCAACATTCTTCTAGAAAAAAATGTGGCAAGTTTCCCTGGGAGCTTTTCCTCTCCAAATGGCTTATCCACTCCAGTCCGGCCCACACGTCAGCCAGCTCTTCTTCCCTTTAGTGACATTAAAGAAAAATCATGCTTCCGTTTTTGCCACCTGCTGCTGGAGCCCAGTCGTTCCTTCTGATTTCCCAAGGGGTGAAGTTCGGCAGTCAGACGATTTCCTTCGTTTAGTCTTTGAACTTGCACAGGCTGGCCGTGTGGCTCAGCATTCCCACTGTGGTCAGATGTGACCAGGCCGGGTGCCAGAGGACAGTGCGCCTCATGCCTGCGATGGCGCCCGGCACCCAGGAACACTCCTCTTTGTTGAATAAATGAATGAACAAAGAGATTCTTCAACGGCTGGAAGGAAACGTGGGAAGGATGAGCAGAGGCACCGGCAGGGGCGATGTCTGGGTGTACCAGGGGCCATGCTGTGGAACCATTCATGGCAATGGTACCAGTAGCCAGCCGGGCCTGTGTCCCTGGTGGGACTCTGTGCAAAGATGTCACAGGTGTTAATGTATTTCGTTCTGGTAACTCACCCAACTTGCTGCTAAGTGGCCCAGATGCCTGCTGAGAGGCAGCGTAGCAGACGTCCGGGTTCAATCCCAGCTCTGCCTCTTACTGGTGGCCTTGGGCTAGTGGCCTTGGCCCCTCTGTGCCTCAGTTTCCCCATCCTTGTGCTGAGAGAGATGAATGGTGGCCTGCGTCAGGCCCTCAGGGCGGCCCAGCCTGAGTCCGGATGGAGGTGAACTCTGTGGCTGCTCTTGGAATCTTTTCTGGGTGACTTGTTTTCTCCTTCACAAGTTCCCAAATTTCCACGCTGGTCATGAATTCTATTTCATAACCAGAAAAAGCCTGAGAGACCATCAACCACCCTGCCCTGCGCCTGCTGCAGCCTTCGGGCCTGTCCTTCCAGGGCCCTGCCCCAGCTGTGTGCACAGTCCCAGCGCTTCGGTGCCTGGGCGGTTTCTGCAAATGCAGCTGGGGCCTGTGTTTTCCCGGAGCCTTGTGCGTAGATTCCACCACACTGAACGCTGCCAGGCGTTTGCTCAGGGCAGGTAAAACCTTTACATCTGCTGCGAACTGTGAGCTGTGCTGGGGCCTGCATCACCGCCCAAGCTGCTAGCAAAACCAGCACGCCTCAGAGCGCAGATACAGCCGCTCACAGCTCAGCAGCGTCGATCTCAGCCCACTTGGCATACGGCGCCGATCTCAGCCCACAGCACACGGCGCCGAGCTCAGCCCACCGCACATGGTGCTGAGCTCAGCCCACTGCACACGCAGCTCTTTGTTAATGAAACTCTGGGTTAGTGTGAATAAGAAAACAACATCCTACCCATCACAAGAATGTCCCTGAACACCAAGGGGTCAGGAATAAACATGGACTTCGTCATGTCATGCCCCTGCTCAGAAGCCTCACATGGCACCCCAGTGCCCATAGCATGAATATTCACTCAGTTCTAGACTCACAGCCTTTCCCTGTCGGGGCCCCCAGCTATGTTCCTGGTCTCAGTGCCCCTTCTTCTCTGCCTCCCCAACTCCGACTCAGGCCACCCTGAGCTGCTGCTCCCTAGTCTCCCGCACCTCACTCATTCTGTATGTGATGTTTCTCCTTCCTGGAATCCTCTCCCTTGCTGCCAGCTTTGCCAGCTAGCAAACTCCTATTCATCCTTCAAGACCCATTCAGAAGTCACCTCCTCTATGCTGCCTCCTTGTATTTTGGCACACATATGTCATACTGTGTCCTGTGTCTCGCTGTGCACTGGCTCTCCCTTGCTGGGCCACAGAGTGCCAGGCCTTACTCATTTCTGTCCACCCTGTACCTCAGACAGTGCCTAACCCCATGCAGGGCTATGTGCATCTGTGATGGGCTGAGTCTGCTCTTTCATTCCTCACCACACACTACGTTCATTCCTCAGCTTGGAATGGCTCATATCTCTGACACTTAAAGCCTCTTTTTTTTTTTTAATTTTAGACAAAGTCTCACTCTGTTGCCCAGGCTCTGCAGTGGTGCAATCTCCACTCACTGCAGCCTCTGCCTCTTCCTCCTGGGTTCAAGCGATTATCCTGCCTCAGCCTCCCAAGTATCTGGGATTACAGGCGTGCACCACCACGCTCAGCTAATTTTTGTATATTTAGTGTCGATGGAGGTTTGCCATGTTGGTCAGGTTGGTCTCAAACTCCTGGCCTCAAGTGATCTGTCCACCTCAGCCTCCTAAAGTGCTGGGATTATAGGCGTGAGCCACCGCACCCTGCCGTTTCTTCTCTCTTCCAAAACCTGCTCAAGATTCCTCCCCTGAAGGTAGCCCTCTGTGCTTAACCCAATGTGACTGTGATGTGAGCAAGTCTATGGAGCATCTGAGAATGTTGGCACCAGAAAGCCTCTTGAGGGTGGTCTGGTCCAGGCTTTTCACTTTACAGATGAAGAAACTGAGGCCCAGAGAGGGAGAGATGCCAGGTGGGGCACAGGCAGGGTGGGACCAGATCTCCCAAGGGGACTTTCTGTTCTGCGTGGCCTCCCCATCCGCCTCCACACAGGGACAGCCCAGCTGTCTCATCCTGTTGACAGCTCAACACCCCATCCTGAGATGCTGTCTCTCAAGGCATCCTGGCTTCATTCCACTCCCCCACCAAACCACCTAACACATCCTGTCACACAATGAGACTCCTGCAAGCCATATACCAGGGAGCTGGACATCCCTGGCACAGGGTGACTGTGGCCACTGCAGGAGGAGCCCTGTCAGTTGCCAGTTGGGTGACTTTGGGCAAGTCTTGTTTCCTCTTAGAGCCCCAGTCTTCTTTTTTGAAAAACAGAGGTGACAAAATAGAGGTTGACACCTCAAACATTGTCATGATAATGCAACAAAACAATGTCAAGTACTTAAAAGAGTGCCTGGTACCAAGCCAGGGGATTCTGTCAGCGTTAGGAAGGGATGAAGAGGATGATGGCGATGATGGTGAAGATGGTAATGATGGAGACAATGATGGTGAAGATCATGATGATGGTGGTGATGATGGTGATGATGGTAAAGATGGTGAAGATGGTAAAGATCATGATGATGTTGGTAATGATGGTAGTGGTGGTGATGATGGTGAAGATGGTAAAGATGGTGATGATGATGGTGGTGATGGTAAAGATGGTAAAGATCATGATGATGGTGGTAATGATGGTGGTGATGGTGATGATGGTGGTGATGATGGTGAAGATGGTAAAGATGGTGATGATGGTGGTGATGGTGAAGATGATAAGATCATGATGACGGTGGTAATGATAATGGTGATGGTGATGATGGTGGTGATGATGGTGAAGATGGTAAAGATGGTAATGATGATGGTGGTGATGGTGAAGATGACAAAGATCATGATGACGGTGGTAATGATGATGGTGATGGTGTGATGGTGATGATGGTGAAGATGGTAAAGATGGTGATGATAGTGGTGATAGTGATGATGGTGATGGTGATCATGGTGATGGTGGTGATGGTGGTAATCATGGTGATGGTAATGGTAGTGATGGTGATGATGGTGATGGTGATGATGATGGTGATGATGGTGATGGTGATGATGGTGATGGTAGTGATGGTGATGATGATGGGGATGATGGTGATGGCGATGGTGACGATGGTGATGGTGATGATGGTGGTGATGGTGATGATGGTGGTAATCATGGTGATGGTAATGGTAGTGATGGTGATGATGGTGATGGTGACGATGATGGGGATGATGGTGATGGTGATGGTGATGATAGTGGTGATGGTGATGATGGTGGTAATCATGGTGATGGTAATGGTAGTGATGGTGATGATGGTGATGGTGACGATGATGGGGATGATGGTGACGGTGATGGTGATGATGGTGGTGATGGTGATGATGGTGGTGATGGTGATGATGGTGGTGATGGTGATGATGGTGGTAATCATGGTGATGGTAATGGTAGTGATGGTGATGATGGTGATGGTGATGATGGTGATGATGGTGATGGTGATGGTGATGATGGTGGTGATGGTGATGATGGTGGTGATGGTGATGATGGTGGTGATGGTGATGGTGGTAATCATGGTGATGGTAATGGTAGTGATGGTGATAATGGTGATGGTGACGATGATGGTGATGGTGATGATGGTGATGGTGGTGATAATGGTGGTGATGATAGTGATGGTGATGATGATGATCTCACAGAATAGTATACTGAAAACACCAAATTAAGCATAGCAAATGTGTTGATGTCACTGAGAACAAGCAACCAAGCTGTGATGTTGGTGGCTGGCTAGGTTTGCTCAATGGTTACATCACTGAGGAAGAGATGGAACAAGGAATGCTAAATTCTCAAAACCAAGCCTACTGTAAGCATGAGTGTGAATGCATTTTGTCCATAGCATGACTTTCTGGCTGAGATCTAGAACCGGGGTGGAGCTCTGCCTCTACAAAGCATGACTGGCAGCTTTGGGCAAACCCCTTCACTTCCCTGAGCTTTGGTTTTCCCATCTGTCACATGGGGATGATCAGATCTGCCTGGCCTGTTATCAGGCCGTTACTATGAGGACTGAACTGGGGACATATGCCACACCCTTTGTCAATTGTCACGTCCTATGTAAATGTGAGAACTTGATTGCTCATGTATATGGCTGTGCATGGGTTTTAGGATAAATTAGCATCTCCCATCCTGGATTCTCCTAATTGTTTATCTATCGGAGCATTGTGTGTGCTTAGTATTGACTAACTCCTCTTCCTGTCTCAGAAGAGATCAGGCTGGTTTCTCAGACTGAGGAGGCTGCCATGTCTGTGGGATGCTCTATCAGTGAGGCTTTGCTGTGTAACAGCCAGTCCCAAAGTTAACAGCTTAAACAGTAACTAGATTATTTCTCATGATTCAGAGGAGCATGTGGGCCATTTTCTGGCCTAGGCCAGCTTGGCTGATATCTGCATTCAGCCAGCCACTTGGCTGGGGCTGGATGGTCTAATGGTTGACTTGCTGTGAGCTGGACGACAGGAATGACTGGGCCGCGTGCCTCCCATCCTCCAGCAGGTAGCCTGGCTCACTCACATGGCAGGGATTGCAGGGTTCCCAAGCTCAGCAAGAGCGTAACCCCCATGAGCAAAACTTTCCAAGCTTTTTCTACTTGCATCGCACTTGCTACTGCCCCATCGCCAAAGCCAACTTCAAGGGATGGAGAGAGACTCCAATCTTGAAGGCAGGAGCCACAGGGTCACCCACCCTTCCCACAGCTCGGCCTCAGACTTCTGGTCTCCAAGCTGAGGGGATAGATTGCTGCTGTGTTCACTTGCCCAGTTTGCGGTCATTTGTGACAGCAGCCCCAGGAGACTCACACGCTTCAGGACTCAGGAGTGGGCCCTGGACACAAACATGTGACACACGTGAGGCACGCAGCAGCCCAGTCACACGGAACGTCTAACCCCGAGAGGAACCCAGACGTGGGTGACACGACAAGATATTATTCCTTAGCCGATCGTCCAAGGTTCAGGGCACGTGGATCCCAGGGCTAGTGACTGGGGGGACAGTGAGCACGCACATGCTACTGAATTCTGGAACCTTTGTCTGTTCTGGCAACTCTGTGTCATGGCTTTCCCCTGAGGAATAACGAGGGGCCCACCATGAGGTGGAGCCCGCCCCACGCTCTTCATGGTATCAGAGTCGGCAACAATCTGCACAAATGCCCACAACAGGCAAATAGTTTAAATACATATGCTCTCACCAGAAGATGCTGAAAAGGCTTGTTCTTATTGATGCTGGAAATTGTGCCGAATAGGTGCGTGTAAAAAGCTGGTTATAAGAGACGTCTGCACTCATTTTGTTAAAAGGCAACAAAAAGAAGCTGATGCTCCTGGGAACAGTGGGAAGACAGACAGCGGTCAGAAAGGCTGCGTCGACATCCCGGCCACAGGATCAAGGGCAACTTTGAAATTTCCCTGTTTGGGTTTTGCTGGAGTGTCCAAACTTTGTGTAAAGAACAGGTATTATTTTTGAAACAGGAAAACAATGCAATTAAAAGCAGTGGCCTCAGCCCAAGTGGTCAAAGCTGTGCTCAGGGAGGTGGGTCCCCAGGAGGGAAGGAGCGGACACTGTGGTTTCTGAGGGCGCGGTGGGGACGGATTGTTGAGACTGTGTCACTGTCCCCGGAAGCTGGGGCTGGGGGTCGCGGGGGTGGCCTCTGTGGCATGAACAGCACAGGGCGGGCCCCACCTCACCGTGGCCCCTCGTTATTCCTGCTCCTCTCCATCTAGCTCTGCAAGAGCCTGCTCTGTCATCTGAGAAACAGGGCAGTGGGGACAGTGTCGCCCCTCAGAGTCATCATGAGAATGTCGTCACAGCCAGGGGCTACTTTGTGAACCTGACTCATGACATTAGCATCCTGCCTGAAGTTGAGGGAGCTGGGCTCAGAGAGGTGAAGTGACTTGCGCAGGGTCACATAGCAATGGGCAATGGGCTGACATGATGCCCTGCTGTGTCCGACTTCAATTCCCATATTCTCCTCATGTGGCTTGGGTGCCCCCTGCAATGGAGAAGTGGGGAGAGAAGGCCACACAGACCCCAGCCTACTGGGCTGCCTCCATCCTGTGAGTCAGGCAATGCCAAGGAGCCCTGGGAAGAAGCAATGGGGCTTTAGTCCCAACAGGTGGATTTGCATGTCATTTGCATTTATTTGCATGTGGCGTCCCAAGGGCAGTGATGCATGTGCTGGGCGTCCTGCCTACCTGGGAGGGAGGGGTTTATTCCCCAGCGTGGGGTGGGGGAATGGCGAGGGGAATCCATGGCTCAGAACTTTCTGGAAAGCCTGCAGGGCCACCATCTCAGGATGGCGCCCAAGGATGCAGGGCCTGGTACATAAAGTGGAAGCTGTGGAGACCTGCCGCCCAGGGCTTTTTTTTTTTTTGAGACAGAATCTCACTCTGTTGCCCAGAATGTAGTGCAGTGGTGCAATCTCAGCTCACTGCAACCTCCACCTCCTGGGTTCGAGCAATTTTCCTGCCTCAGCCTCCCAAGTAGCTGGGATTACAGGTGACCGCCAGCACACATGGCTAATTTTTGTGTTTTTAGTAGAGATAGGGTTTCACCATGTTGGCCAGGCTGGTCTCGAACTCCTGACCTCAAGTGATTTGCCTGCTGAGATTACAGGCATGAGCCACTGTGCCTGGCCTGCCCAGGCCTTTGAGAAGGAGATCAAGGAGCTCAGTGAGCTGGTGGCACTGCTGAGGCCACACTCTCCCAGGCCACACTTTCCCAGGCCACAGTCTCCCAGACCACGTTCTTCTGGGCCAATCTCTCTCCCAGGGCCATGGTCTCCCAGGCCACTCTCTCTCCAGGCTATGTCCTCCCAGCCACACCCTCTCAGGCCACATTCTCCCAGGCGACTCTTTCTCCAGACCACAAACTCTCCCAGGGCTATGCTCTCCCAGGCCACTCTCTCCAGACCACCTTCTCTCCAAGGTTGCACTCTCCCCAGAGGCTGCTCCCAGCCAATGACCAAGCTCTGCTCTCAGAGACCAAGAAGCTAGATGGTTTCAGGAAGCCCTGAAGAGAAAGGATGGAGCCCCCCACCTCGCAGAACCCCCACCTCGCAGAGCCCCTGCAAGGAGCTCGGCCTCCATCAGAGCTGAGTTCTCTGCTGCCGGCTCAGGGATGGCGTCCAGGCCCAGGTCACCTGTACCCTGTCCCACATGTGTAGCTCTTACGCCCTCCTCAGTATCTGCCCGTGGGTTCTGTGGAGGCTGTGACTGGCTCCGGACTCCAACCCAGAGACCCGGTCACTGTCCAGAAGGACACAGCATCTGATGCCAAGCTTGCCCCTGGGCAGCAGTGAGGCCCAGTGTCAGCTGAGGGAGCAGGCTTGTTTATGTTTGATATAAGCGCGGGATTGTTCTCTGCCCTCGCTGCTATTATGCGAAGGCAAGTCCTAAAATAATATTGGATTTCCTCTCTCATCCTGTGTAGGGAGGACACTCATCTGGAGTGGAGTTGAGATCGGGCGTGCTTTCGTCTGCGGGCATTAGGATAAGAATGCGGGTCTCTGTGTTTGCCGTAGAGCTGGCGCTGATGCTGATGCTGGCCCAGGTTCACTGGTTCAGCAGTGTGGGGGCTGCTTTGGAGAGGGATGTTTTTGTTTTTTGATAAATATGTCTCTTGGAAAGCTGGTCTCTTCGTGGAATTGTTCGGAATTCCAGATGGGGCCATGAGCCCGGGACCCCAGGGACCGGAGCCAGTGACCAGCCGATGAGCAGCTGCCAGTGAGGCTCAGGATGGTGCCCAAGGATGCGGGGCCTGGTGCATAATGGAGGTCACTGCATGCTTGGGCTTGGCTCCAGCACACAGAACACTCACACAAACACCTTTTTGTGGTCATGGTCGCTTTGCTTTGATTTCTAAATTCCTGCTTCAGTTCATCACAGGCGCTGGGACGTGCACTTCCTTCCAAAGCCCTCAAAGCTGTCTCTGTGTCTGCTATCATGGCAAATGTTCTGGTGCCCCATGCCCTGGGAAAAGGTGGCGAAGGATGACCTTCATCAGCTATCCTGGGGCAGGGGAAGGAAGGCTTTGGAGCCAGTCACATCACATGCTAATCACAGCTCCGTCACTCACGAGTTGTGGGACTTTGAGCTTAACCCCTCTTGTTCCTTAATTTCCTCATCTGTAAAGTGGGCTTGGAATACTTGCCTTGAAGGATTGAGTCTTGCCTATGACCATTGAGATGAGAGCGTGGGGACCAACATCTAACTCAATATATGCTGTTGCTATTGTTAAAACTAAGAACTTGGTATACAGTTGGAGCTCAATAGGCTATTTTCTTTCATTTACTTAGCAAACATTTGCTGAGTACCCAGAGGAATCAGAGTCTGTGACAGGCACTGAGGGGACGCAAAAAGGGGGAAGACATGGATCTTGCCCTCAAGTGAAGATGATGATGGTGATGAAGACAATGGTGATGATGTTGGTGGTGGTGGTGAAGATGCTAGTAATGAGGATGGAGGTGTCAGTGATGGTGGTAATGACAGAGATCATGTTAGCACTGTTATTGCTCATAATGATGATGGTCTTGATGATGATGATGGTCTTGGTGATGATGACGGTGATGATGGTGGTGGTGATGGTGTTGATGGTGTGGTAGTGATGGTAATGATGATGGTTATGGYGATGGTGGTGGTGATGACAGTAATGGTATTGGTGATGATGGTGACGGTGGCGATGGCGGTGATGATGGTGATAGTGATGATGATAATGATGGTGATGTGATGATGGTGATGATGATGGTGATGGTGATGATGATGATGGTGATGGTGATAGTGACGATAATGATGGTGATGGTGGTGGTGATGATGGTGATGGTGCTGATAGTGGTGATGATGGTGGTTGTGGTGACAATGATGATGGTGGTGAAGGTGATGATGGAGGTGATAGTGATGGTGATGATGGTGGTGGTGATGATGATGATGGTGATAATGATGATAGTGATGGTGATGGTGGTGGTGATGATGATCATGGTGATGATGGTGATGATGATAGTGGTGATGATGGTGGTTGTGGTGACAATAGTGATGATGGTGGTGTTGGTGAAGGTGATGATGGTGGTGAAGGTGATGATGGGGCTGATGGTGATGGTGGTGATGATGATGGTGGTGGTGACAGTAATGATAATGACGGTGATAGTGATGATGGTGATGATGGTGGTGGTGGTGAAGGTAATGATGGTGATGATAATAGTGGTGGTGATGGTGGTTGTGGTGACGATTATGATGGTGGTGATGATGATGATGATGATGAAAATGGTTATAGTGATGATGATCGTGGTGATGATGGTGATGATGATGGTGATGATGGTGATGATGATGGTGATGATGGTGATGATGATGGTGATGATGGTGATGATGATGGTGATGATGGTGGCCTCACATTTATCAGCATTTACTTTATACCAGGGCTTGTAAACTTATTGTCTACATTATCTTAATTGTAACACATAGTAGACTGTGGGGGAACACCAGAATGTTGCAGATTTCTGCAGGGGGCACTGTCACCATGTGTGTATGGCTGGTTGGAAGAGGTAGAGGAGGCTTTAGTGAGGAGGCAGAACTCAATCTGGGAAGGGTTTGGCAGTCTCAGCCTGGTAGCTTGTGTGGCGGCATTGCCTCTGCCATGATAAGGTAAATGGAACCCTTGGACTCCCTCACTTACCCCGACCACAGATGTAATTGCAAAGGACTCCAAGGCTGGTGAGGACACCTGCAACCACACTCAGCCCTGAAGCCATACCAGCACCATGGAGTGGACCCGCTCCTGGTCAGGACCCTCTGGCAGCAAGTGGCAGAAAACCCAGCCCAAATGGACCAGCTGAGAAAAGGCAGTGCTTGGCTCACATAACTGGAAAGCCCAGGCACAGCCGAGGGCTTCTGCTGGCCGGCTCCAGGGTTCTTTCCCAGCAGAGCCCTGCCCCTGGCAGCAGGAAGACAGCTCCCCCATGCTAGCCTCATGCCCGCCACCTCCTGGTCCAGCAGCAGATGGGTGCTTGGCCCCTTCTGACAGTCCCAGAAGACATGACTGACCACTGGCTCCAGTGGGTCCCATGTCCATCCCAGCAGCCAGGAATGTAGAGCTCTGATTGGATGGGCTTAGCTGTGGGCCACCCAGGAGCCATGGGTGGAGCCAACACCAGGCCAATCCCCAGAAGACAAGTAGAGCAACATAAACCAGAAAAGGCTGGATGTTGGGAGTTGAACACAACTAATATCTGGCACACAGGCCTAGCTTCCATCCTGCAGACAGGAAAATTGATGCCTGGAGGTCTGCTCGAGATTACTCAGCTAATGATTAGCTGGGCTGAGACTCGACTCATGGATCCCAAAATAATGCTATTTCATTTTCCCCACATGCAATCGGAAAATCAAATTTGAAAATTGATACCATTTGAAATAACATCGTAAAACATCAAATATCCAGGAATAAACTCATGAAACATGTGCAAGCCTTTTTATTCACTCATTTATTTATTTATTTTTGAGATGGAGTCTCACTCTGTTGCCCAGGCTGGAGTGCAGTGGCGTGATCTTGGCTTGCTGTAACCCCCGCCCCTTGGGTTCAACGGATTCTCCTGTCTCAGCCTCTCAAGTAGATGGGATTACAGGCTCCTGCCACCACACCCAGTTTATTTTTGTATTTTTTAGTAGAGATGGGGTTTCACCACATTGGCCAGGCTGGTCTTGAACTCCTGACCTCAAGTGATCCGCCTGCTTTGGCCTCCCAAAGTGCTGGGATTACTGGCGTGACTCACTGCGCCCAGTCTATACAAGACTTTTATGTAGAAAATGGCACGACATCACTAAGTGAAATTAAGACCTAAATAAGTGTGGGGCCATATTCATGGACTGGAAGACTCTAATGGAAAGACGTTGATTCTTCTCAGATTGATCTCTGGATTAAACACAATTTCAGTCTAAATCCCAGCAGCTTTTTTTTTTTTTTTTTTTTTTTTTTGGAAATCAACAAGCTAACAAGCTGATTCTAGAATTTGTGTGGAAAAGCAAGGAACAATAATAGCCAGACAAAATAAAGGAAGAACATGCTGGAAGGCTTCCACCACAAGATATTGTGACTTCCTGTGAGGTTAAAGTAATGAAAACAGTGATATTGGCACAGGAATAGATAGACCAAAGTAACAAGATTTGGAGTTCAGAAATAAATCTGTACATATGCAGTCACCTGGTTGATGACAAAGGTGCCAATGAATTATTGCAGGGGAAATGATAGTATTTTCAGTAAACGCTGCTGGATCAACTGAGTACTGAATGTTGAACCCTGCTTAACATCATACTCAAAACTCAATTTCGGAATCTTAGCTCTAAGTGTGAAAGGTAAAATAACAAAGCATCCAGAAGGTAACACAAAAAATATATCTGTGGTCTTGGAATAGGCAGTGATTTCTTAAACATGGCACAAGACACTAGTTATAAAGGAAAAGACTGATAAATAAAAGTGCACTAAAATTAAAATCATCGGTTCACCAGTAGACACCATTAGAGAGTGAGATGCAAACCACAAGTTCTGTTCCTGCTAATGGCCAACTAGCCCCTTCCAGACCAGCCTGCATGCAGGTAATAACTATCAACTGCAGACAAAATACCAGAAAACAACGACTCAGAGGTGCTGGAGAGGGAATAAAGGCAGGCTGATGTTGGAGGGGCATCTGCACATGGAAAAAAGGATGAGTATTTGTGGTGTTTTCTGGGTTTTACAGCTTTTGGTCTGAGAGATGACTCTAATGTCTGCCACGTGGGACAGCTAAAACTCTGATGCAAAACCTGTGGTCTTGCTGGGTGGAAAAACCAGAAGACAGAGTTTAGGGCAGCTACAGACACTGAAAACTGAGGAGAGGAGATCTTAAATAGGAGAGACCAACATGGGAAAAATCTTGTATTTAAACTTTGCCAGGACATCTGGCTGACTCCCCCAAGCCACACATGCATGGGGTAGACCCCAGGCAGTCTGGCTGGGGCTAAATAATTGGAATCAAGATTTGAGCTGTCATCCACAACAGAGGAGACAGAGTTTTCTTTCACTTTGAGTTTATCCAACTTAAATGCTTGCTGTCTGGAGGCATCACTCTTTGGAGGCACACAGCAGAATCTAAAGGTTCTAAAATATGTCACTCACAATGTCCAGAATAAAATCTGAAATTACCTGACATGTAAAAACAACAACAACAACAGCAACAAAAACCCAGAAGAATGTGACACTTTCTCAAGTGCAAAGACAATCAACAGAGACCAAGTCTGATATGACCTGGGGGCTAGAATCAACAAAGATTTTAAAAGTAGTTCTTTTACTAGGCTCAAGGTTGTAAAGGAAATTATGCTTGTCACAAATAAAAAAGACAGAAAGCCTCAACAGAAAAATAGAAACTATAAAAAGGAAACAAGTAAAAATCTAAAAGTAAAATATACAATATCTGAAATGAGAAATTTCCTGGATGGGCTCTACAGTAGAATGGAGATGACAAAGAAAAAAATTCATAAGTTTGAACATAGATTAATGGACGTGGTTTAACCCTAGATAAAGATGGAAGTCAAAATTAACAGAGCCTCAGAGACCTACAGGACAATATCAAAAGGTCTGCTATGTGTGTAATTGGAGCCTCAGAAACAAAGGAGGGTGACAATGGGTCAAAAATTATTTGGACAAACAGCAGTTAGGTTTTTCTCCAATTTGGTGAAAGATAAATTTATAGCTATAAGAAAGTCAACAAGAAGCAAGAAGAATATAAAGAAGCTATATTCAGGCATATCATAGTCAAACTTCTGAAAACCAAAGATAAATGGCACCAAAAATCTAGGGGAATAATGATCCAAATTACCACGAAATCCTCATTAAAAACACCAGAAGTCAGAAGACAGTAGAACAACATCTTTAAAGCGATGAAAGAAAAAAAATGTCAACCCAGAATTTTATATCCAGGAAAAACACCCTTCAAGAATGAAGGTGAAATGATATTTTTGGATAAAAGCAAACTAGAGAATTTCATCGGCAGCTGACCTAGGTTTTAAGAAAATACTAAACAAACTTCTCAAGGCTGAAGAGGTAGGAATTCAGATAGAAATTCAGGTCTTCTGGAGGAAATGGAGAACATCAGAAATGGTAACTACATGGGTGAACAGCATGAGGATGGGAGCAAAGCTCTTTCCACATTTTGACATTCTATGCAAAAACCAGGAGCCATAAACTGATCTTACAATTGTATACCATTGGAATTGGTATACAATTCCAATGATAATCTTACCAGAATTTTTCCATAGAAATTGACAAACTGATTCTAAAATGATAGGGAAATGTAAAGGACCAAGAATATCCAAAGCAACATTGAAAAGAACAAAGTTGAAGAATCGATAGTAGCTGAATTTAAGAATCAATCTAAAGCTACAGAAGCCAGACAGCAGGGACTGCAACAGCAGTCAATAAACGGATCAATGAGCAGAACTGACAATTCAGGAACAGACACACACTTACATGACGATTTGTTTTTCAACAGAAGTGTCAATGCAATCCAATGGTGAATCTTCCAACCAATGACACAGGCACAACTGGGTATCTGTACACCCCAGACTCAGTCACGATGAACCACAGACCTAAAGGCTAAACCGATCATGCTTAAAAGAAAGAAATTTAGATGAATATCTTCACAGCTTAGGGATTGGAGAAAGTATCTTAGGACATGAAAAGCAAGAACATATGAGAAAAATATTCATAAGTTAGATTTCAACGAAAAAAAAAAGAAACCAGTGCTCATGAAAAGTCACCATTAAGAAAATGAATAGACAAGACACAGACTGGGAGAAAGCATTTTCAAAACATGTATCTGACAAAGCACTTGTATCCAGGGCATATAAAGAATTAGAACAGAAAATGCCTTAAGTGGGCAAATAATTTAAAGAGACCTTCACAAAGGAAGATATCCAAATGGGCAATAAGCACATGGAAAGGTGTCAACATCATCAGTCTTCTGGGAAATGCGAAGTTTCTCTGATTTGGTGTTTTCATTTTTCCATCATAGGTTAGTTTTACCTGCTCTAGATTTTCCTATATAAAAATAGAATCATACAGTGTGTGCTTCCTCTAGGGCAGGGGTCCCCAACCCCCAAGCCTATTAGGAACTGGGCCACACAGCAGGAGATGAGTAGTAGGTAAGCCAGGGAAGCTTCATCTGTATTTACGTCCACTCCCCATGGCTCACATTACCACCTGAGCTCCACTTCCTGTCAGATCAGTGGCATTAGATTCTCACAGGAGGGTGAGCCCTATTGTGAACTGCGCATGTGAGGGATCTAGGTTGTGTGCTCCTTATGAGAATCTAATGCCTGATGATCTGTCACTGTCTCCCATAACCACTAGATAGGACCACCTAGCTGCAGGAAAACAAGCTCAGGGTTCCTACTGATTCTACATTATGGTGAGTTGTATAATTACTTACTATATATTGCAATGTAATAATAATAGAAATAATGTGCACAATAAAAGTAATGTGCTTGAATCATCCCAAAACCATCCTCCTCACCCCTTGTCCATGAAAAAATTATCTTCCATGAAACCGGTCCCTGAGGCTAAAAAGGTTGGGAATCACTGTAACAGGGGGTGTCGGGCAGGGGTGGACTGCCTTTGAGAGAGCACGCGGGCACTGTCTGGGGGTGGACTGCCTTTGAGGGAGCATGCTGTCTGGGGGTGGACTGCCTTTGAGGGAGCATGCGGGCGCTGTCTGGGGGTGGACTGCCATTGAGGGAGCACGCGGGCGCTGTCTGGGGGTGGACTGCCTTTGAGGGAGCACGCGGGCGCTGTCTGGGGGTGGACTGCCTTCGAGGGAGCATGCGGGCGCTGTCTGGGGGTGGACTGCCTTCGAGGGAGCATGCGGGCGCTGTCTGGGGGTGGACTGCCTTTGAGGGAGCATGCAGGCGCTGTCTGGGGGTGGACTGCCTTTGAGGGAGCATGCGGGCGCTGTCTGGGGGTGGACTGCCTTTGGGGGAGCATGCGGGCGCTGACTGGAGAGATGATGTTCTTCTGCACGTTGGCAGGTTTTAGGTTGTATTTATTGGACCTCACTGAATGGCGCTCGAGTTGTACATTTCGTTGCATGTAAAGTTCACTTGAAAAGAAAGTCAAGGCCAGGCACGGTGGCTCACACCTGTAATCCCAGCACTATGGGAGGCCGAGGTGGGTGGATCACCTGAGGTCAGGAGTTTGAGACCAGCCTGGCCAACGTGGAGAAACCTCATCTCTACTAAAAATACAAAATTAGTTGGGCGTGATGGTGTGCACCTGTAATCCCAGCCGGGTGTGGTTTCTCATGCCTGTAATCCCAGCACTTTGGGAGGCCGAGGTGGGTGCATCTGCAGTCAGGAGTTTGAGAACAGCCTGGCCAACATGATGAAACCCCATCTCTACTAAAAATACAAAAAAAATTAAAAAATCAAGAACCAATATACAAATATTGACCTCTCTGTTAATGATGTACATGTTGAAGTATTTTGAGCAATGTGTATTAATGTCTGCAACTTACTTTGAAATGCATCAAAAAATAAGATGAACTGATAGATAGAAAGATGGACAGAGACATGATAAGGTCTATTCAATGTTAATTCTACAATCCAGGTGGCAGGTATATGGATCATCACTGTAGAATTCTTTCGAGCTTTCTAGATATTTGATTTTCAGATCCAATGTTGGGGGAAGAAAGAAGAAATAATGTAAGCCCCAGAGTAAAAGAATATATTTGCAATGCTTTTATTTTTCTTCCAACAAAAGACTGGTATCCAGAAAGTATTTTTCAATACTTCTAAAATCAATACAAAAAAGACAGAGATGATCTTAGATAAGTGGACTGAAACTCGAGCAGACACTTCACAAAAAAAGGCTATCCCGATAGCCAACGATGTTTAAGAAAGTTCGCAACATCTTTAGGCAGCAGTGAAATGTAAATCAAAACTCCTTCCCACACAAACCAAATGACTCAAATGAAAACACAGGGAAACAGAGCACAAAAGCAGACAATAGCAAATGTGGGCAGGATACCGAGCCCGCGGGACACTCAGAAGCAGACAATAGCAAATGCGTGCAGGATACCAAGCCCCCGGGACGCTCAGAAGCAGACAATAGCAAATGCGGGCAGGATACCGAGCCCCCGGGACACTCAGAAGCAGACAATAGCAAATGCGGGCAGGGTACCGAGCCCCCGGGACGCTCAGAAGCAGACCATAGCAAATGCATGCAGGGTACCGAGCCCCCGGGACTCTCTGAAGCAGACAATAGCAAATGCAGGCAGGATACCGAGCCCCCAGGACACTCACGTGCTGCTGGTGGGGGCGTAACTTGCCACAGATCCTCTGAATAGCTGTGTGACAGCATCTTTGGGGCAGAGCGTCTGCACAGCCAACGACTCGGTGATTCTACTTCTAGGGGGAGTCCCCGTAGAAGTGAGTGAACACTTATGCTCCCAAGAGCTGTCCAAGGAAGCCCACAGCCTGCAAGTTAGAAGAGCCTGAGACTGGAAGCATCCCAGGTGTCCACCAAGGGCAGAAAGGACAAGAAAAGGTGAGGCTAGCCTGGCATGGTGGCACGCGCCTGTAATTCCAGATACTCAGGAGGCTGAGGCAGGAGAATCGCTTGAACCTGGGAGGTGGAGTTTGCAGTGAGCCGAGATCACACCACTGCACTCCAGCCTGAGAGACATAGCAAGACTCGGTCTCAAAAAATAAAAATTAAAAAAAAAATTAAAATAAATTAATTAAAACAAAAGTGGTGCCTTCACACAGAGGAATGCTACGCACCCCAGGATGGGGTGACTCTCAGAGACCTGGCGTTCTCTGCAAGAGAGGCAGACACAAAAGAGCCTCCTCCATGTCACTGATGGAAATAAAATTCAGCATCAGGGCCTGGCCTGGGTGGGAGTGGCAGGCTGGTGGCTGCCTCTAGGGAGGATTCCTGGATCCCGGAATGTTCGGATCTGGGTGGTTGGTACATGGGTGGGCAGGTTCATTTTACAGACATTCGAGTTGTGTGGTTTTCTGTACATAAATGATCCTGCAATACAGGAAATGCACCCAGCCCCAGAGGTCTCGCATCATGACACTCTGCCCAACACGGTCCCTGGAGGCCGGGTGGGAAGACCAGCCCCCCTCCCCCGGGTGTGGACCTTCCAGCTGCGGGGCCGTGGTGGGGGTCTGAGGTCCGAGCCCCTGGGCGCTGGGGGTCCGAGCTGAGTCTGTTTGCTTAGCTGGGCTTCCTCACAATGCCCGCCTCTGTTCTTCCTGAGGCCTGACGCCCACGCTGCAGTGCAAGCCGGCTGGGGGCCTGGGGGAGGTGGGACCTCAAGCAGCCCACACTGAAGCGAAGCTTGCCCTGAAAGGAGGCTGGATCTTGAGGCCATCTGGCCCAGCCCCCCGCGTGTCCATGTGACCACTCACTCCCTCTCTCTGTGCCTCAGTTTCTTCCCAGGACAAGTGGACATTTCGGGCCAAATGCCATCCCAGGCATCTGTACTGCGGGTGTGGAAGGCGCCTGCAGAAGAGGCGCTTCTTGTTTCCGCTCCGTCCTCCCAACAGGCCCTGCCACCGGCTCCCTCCGGCCTCCCTTGTCTACACCTGGCGGCCTGAGTCACTCGCTTAATAACAACCACAGTTTGGGAGGCAGTGAGCGCATGCTGCACATTTTTGCATTGCATGGGCAACAAAAGGACTAATTGAATCATGATCTCCCATAAATGCGATGGGAAATGAAATAACTGCGCTGCCTCAAAACAGACTTGGCGTGCTTCGGAGCTCAGTCACAGCTAACTCAAACCAAGCCCGGGCCCCCCCTCTTCCCCTCTGTCTCAGCCATCGCCTCCCTGCCCAGGCCCCCGCCTGCCTGCTAGCACCCAGTGTACTGAGATGCTGGCTCGGAAAGAGGCCTTGGGGTCCACCTGCTACTTCCTGGCTGATGCCACCGAGGCCCAGGGAGGGGGAGTGGCCTCCCAGGATCAGGGCCGGGATGAGACTCGAACCTACACTTCCCATGTCCATTAGGAAGTCTTCATCCAGGGTCTGGGGGTCAACGCAGTCGAGGACTGGATATCTGCAGGTGGCTAGGGGCAGTGTCTAGACCCGTGGAGAGGTGGCACCACGCTGCAGTGACAGCTGGTCCCCACCACCTCTGCAGAGAGGTTGTCATCCCATTGTACAGGTTGAGAAACTGAGGTCATGAGTGTGGCTTGAAGGGACAGTAAGTGGGGAGTGGGATTCAAACCCGGGTCCAGGGCTCTGTCATCGTCCCAGAAGGAGCACTGTTCTGCCCCTGCTGCCAGGGAGACCACCAACCTCCAACCCCTCCAGCCAAGGGCCAGCCCGGCCCGGGTCAGAGGGTACAACTGGGGACCACCAAGGGCTGGGAGGGGACCCGTAACCGGGGCTGGCCGGGCACCCTGCAGCTCCCCCACAAGCATTGCCTGGGCACCCACCATGTGCCACCACAGCTGCACCTCCGTGTCACAGCAGGGCAAGCCAAGCTTCCAGAAGGTTCTCTGTTACTGCCTAACCCTGCACAGCTAACAGGAGAGCCGGGATTCAGCAAGAGTCTGCGGACCCTGGCCTGGTGCCTCTTGCCCCATCTCCAGGAACTGATGCGGCTCCTGCCCCGGGGAGCTTCCAGGCCAACAGCAGAGATAGGTGAGTCCACAGGCTGTGCCAGGACTGACCCCTCTGCACATGGGGCTGCGTCAAGGTCACGGAACGACGGAAACCCTGGCTGGAGGTTTTCTCCGTGGTGCCTTGTTCATGTATCTGGCCTCTCCACTGACATGGCCTTGGAGGACCTTCTGAGCCCAGTCTGCTGGGAGCTGGCAGATGGTGATGATGTTAACAGTGATGATAGGTGTATGCCCACACGCACACAGGCACACGTCAACACACACAGGCACACGGCAATACACACACAGGCACATGTACACACACACACAGGCATGTGTACACACACACACAGGCACACGTCAACACACAGTGACACACACATTTGTTTATACTAAAACACAGGCCTCCCCAGGGGCTCCTGCATGGAGCCCTGCCCCCTCCCTGTGTACTGGGGCAGAGGTTTCCCAAGAAGCCCGCTAGGGCTTCAAGACTGAAACCAGGCGGCTCACAGCTGGGCAGTGGCAGGACTGAGATTCGATCATGGACCTTGGACCCTGACCACTCCCCTTTGATCTCCAACCTTAGACCCACGGCTCCCACATTGAACTCTCTGTGCCCAGAGCCGAGGAGGCCCCCACCAGTGGTGTGGGAGGGGCACGAGGGATGGAGGGTACGGGTGTGATTTTGGGGTACACACATAGTTCTGAAGTGGTGTGGCAGAGGGCGGGGCGTGCGGTCTGATTTGCTGACCTTTGAAAGTGATGATGAAGGCTGGTGGTGCCAGCTTCTAGGGTCCTCTCCTCCTCAGAGGGCCTCAGGGGGTGTGGCCACATATGGGACGTCTGCCAGGCCGGAGGCTTTAAAACCCCCTTCTGTGTAGGTCTTTGTGCAGGACCCCCACGGCATGCCCCAGAGGCTGACCCAAGAGGCGGCCGCCGAGGGCATGTCTGCACCCCAAAGTGTGGTCTTGGTCCTCCCCTGGGAGTCCCACACCTCTTTCGGGTCCAGGTCCATCCTGCCTCCTGAGTGTCCCCCGGCCCCGCTCACAGTTCTGCAGAGCTGTCGCCATGCTGGGTCTGAGTATGTGGCCCAGAGGACTCTCCCTGCAAGACTCCCAGCCCCTGGATGATAGGCCTGTTAGGGTGCCTGGGCTTCCTGCGGGTCCTGGAAACACCTGTCCACTCACAGAGCAGACTGCTGCCTGTGGACTCACAGCCAGGCCGATCTGACCACCAGCACTGAGATCTGAGGGCCTGGCCTGGACTCCTCACCCACCCCCAGGATCGGCAGCAGCTGCTGCAGGGTGCGGGAGCCCGGGTCACCGACGCCACGCTCACGTTTCTCCCCATCCTTCAGGCCAGGTAAGGGTCCAGCGGGAAGATGAACATGGAGCTGATTCGTCCGTGAGCGCCATGGTGGCGGGACGGGGAGGGTAGGAACCAGAGGCCACTTTCAGGGGCTCCCAGTTTAGCTTCTTTGTTTTGTAGCAGCAGAAACCGAGGCCCAAGAAGGTTAGGGGACTGTTTGAGGTCATGCTGCTGGGATTAGGATGAGAAAATAGCCCAGCCTTTAAGCACCTCCAGCCATGGGTGTTCAGCTGTCTGCACAGTGGACTCTGGGAGGGGGCGTGATAGTCTCGTTGTAGAGTTGAGAGGCCGAGGCTGGCGGAGCTGAGTGTCTGCAGCTGGGCAGGTGCCCAGTGTTCTGCCCAGTGTTCTGCGCCCCCTGCCCACCCTCCCCAGGCCCGAGGTCTGTGGGAGACAGGGCCGCGAGCCCACGTTCCCTGAGTATCAGGTGGGACAGTGCTGTGCTCTTCCCCTAGCGGGGACAAGGGCCTAGAGACGAGCTGGGCTGGATAAGCACAAGTCTCTTCTCAGCCCCCTGCCCCCACTGGAGACCCTGGACTCGACTCGACTCCTCAGGCCTCCCTTGCAGCACCCTGCTCTGATCTCAGCTGCCCTTCAGACCCTGGAGCCTCAGGGCTGAGAGGCCCCTTTTGAAGCTGACCAAGGTGGGTCTAGGGTGAGTAAAAGGAAGCCCTGTTTACCTGCAGCCAGGAGGCTTGGGAGCCTTGGGAGCCTGGTCCGCTTGGGAGACTGCTTGGGC
This sequence comes from Homo sapiens, assembly GCF_000001405.40. Classification (NCBI taxonomy): domain Eukaryota; kingdom Metazoa; phylum Chordata; class Mammalia; order Primates; family Hominidae; genus Homo; species Homo sapiens. The sequence continues at coordinate 88,354,713 of NC_000016.10, read as the reverse complement.
GGAGAATGGAAATTAAATTCAAAGAGCGTTTAGACACATGAGCGCACCCTAACAGCAGCCTCGATTCCATTTGAGCTGGGGGCCGGGCGCGGTGAGAAGCGCCTTCGCACGCACCCTCTTATTTCATCCTTAAGTCACTGCTCCGACTTGGTCCCGCTATCCCTACTGGACAGGCTGGGAAACCGGGGTGCGGTCGGCTCCTGTGGCTCACCCCAGGTCACAGGACTAGTAAGTGGCCAAACACAGACTTGACCCCAGCTGCACCTAATTCTGGAGCACGAGCTGGTAACCACTCTGCAGACAGCCCTCTCCACTCCCGCCGCCTGCGTCCCGGGTTCCAGAGAATATCCAGGGAGCCGAGGACCTGGCTGCCAGAAGCCCTCCTACCCCGAACCTGGCACTGGGCTGGCAGGCAGCCGGCCCCAGGATGCCAGGCACCATCCCTTGCTTCTCCCTGGTCCCCCTGGGGAGCTACAGACCCGGATTCAAATGCTGGCGGCTCCTGCGGCAGACTTTCTGCCCGTAGAAGGGAACCCCTTGGGTTGCAAGGAGGCTGTGTCACAGGGAGCTGTCACCTAGCCACTGAGTCCACAGGCATTCACTGAGTACCCACTGTTTGTGAAACTGTCCCCAGTGCTGAGGTTGCAGCCACAGCCTGGCAACACGGTCCCTGGCCCTGTGTCCTTACATTCCAGCTGGGGCAGCCACGAGCAGGTAGATATGAAGCAGGCAGGGGTGCATTCACCCCTCACGGCGGATGTGAGGAGGGGCTGAGACGACAGGCTTTACCTTCCCGCTGCCTAGAGGCCAACAGCAGGGAGGGGAGGGTCATGCTCCCTCCGGAAGCTCCAGGAGAGCTTCCTTCCTGGTCCTTCCAGCTGCCGGAGGCCCCAGGCGGTCCTCAGCGAGTGGCCGCATCCCCAGAATCTCTGCCTCCGTCATCCTGGGCTCATCTTCCCTGCATCTGTGTATGACCTCATTTCAATCCATAGCAAATTACACCTGCAAGGCCCCTGTTTCCAGAGAGGTCACATTCTGAGGATTCGTGTGGACTGAGTTGTTGGGAGCCACCGTTCACCACGACACGCGCGCATGCTCTGAAGCAACACCGAGCAGGGAAGGCCTAAGGCACCCAATGGGCTCCGGGAGCCTCTCTGGGCAGGCAGCAGTGAGCCGCGAGAGGCTGGCGGAGGGCGTTGTGCGCAAAGGCCCTGGGGCAGGAAGCCGCTGGTGGCTCTGTACAGCGTGAAGGGGGCCAGGGTGTGGGGCTGGGGAAGCTGGGTGGGACTGAGCCCCAAGCGGAGGTGGGCGCCGGGTCACAGGCCTCTTGTCATTGGCATGGGAGTAGTGACACTGTCCCGCCCTCTGAGTGGGAGGGCAGAAGCCATCGGTGGTTCCTGCGTGGAGGAAGACATGGCAGACTCACGTTTTAAAGAGCCAGGGTCCCTCCAGCCGCATTATTGGGAGCGTATTGTGACGTCTCGAGTGAGAGGGCTGGACCTGGGAGCGCTCTCTCTGCAGTGAGACTTACGGCCTCGGAGGTGCACTGTCCGCAGGACTGTTAGGCGACCAGCATTCTCTGGACCATCCCACCCTGGGATGTCAGCCCACCTAAGGGTTTCCCTCCTGCTTGGCACCACCCTGAGCCTGAGCCTGGTCTCTCCCTGCCCAGACCCTGCAGTCTCACCGGGGCCTGCCTGGGCGCCCCCAACTTGCTGGGCCTGAGAACCACATCTCTCTGGCTGGCCTCCCACCCCAGGCTGGGCCTGGCTCTCTGCCCCCACCTCCCAGGCCTCTCCAACGGAGGGGACCCAGGAGGAGCCGTCTCACTCGGTGGGCTCTGGGGCAGTGCCCAGGGGTCAGGCCCATGCAGCAGGACGGGGTCAGCCATCAGAGCTGTGAGGCCGGGGCAGCCATATGCCCACATCTCCCTGTGATGTGGACCTGCCTAGGGAGGGAGAAGAGGGGAGAGAAGACCCTTGGGGCTGTAGCCTCGAAATCTTCCACGCCACGTCCCCACGGCTGCTACCAGCCAGGGAGGGGAAGGGCTCATTCCCACGGCAGGTTTGGTACCAAAGTGCCCACCATCGGCCCCGTCTACCAGTTCTGGGAAGTTGGCCCCATGCCTGTTGTGGTTGTACAGACAAGGACACAGGCCTGAGGGCTTCAGGAACCTGCCTGGCAGCCCAGTGGCCTGGTGCTGAGCCATGGTGCCCAGTGTGCCCTTCCGTGCCCGTCAGCACCATGCTCAGCCTCCACACAGGCAACCCCTCCCTCTGTGCACCTGCAGCACCCTCCAAAAGGCCCTGGCTCTGTTATTGGTTTCATAAGTGAAATTCTCTCAGATGAGTCACGAGGACACCAGGCAAATTTGTCATTCCTCTGGGTTGGCATGAAGCTTCTTTACTGCGACAAAATACATACTCCTAAAATTCACCGCTGCCACCATCTGAAAGGGCACAGTTCGGTGGCAGTTTGGTGGCAGTGAGTTGTCCATGGCATTGTGCACCCGTCCCCTCTCGCTGGTTTTGGAGCTTTTTCCTAACCCTAGAAGGAAACCTGTTCCTCTGGGTAGTCACTCTCCATCCCCCGCCCCCAGCCCCTCGCACCCATGGACCCGCTTTCTGTGTGTGCCTGTTCCGGGTGTTCCCTAGAAACGGAATCCCACCATGTGTGGCCTGTTGTGGCTGCACCACCTGCAGGTTTCTCTGTGTCGTGGTGAGCGTCACCATCATATTTCTCCTCGGGGCGGAGGGGCCTCCCTTCCTCACGTGGGACACGTCGTGTTTCTCCACCAGCCAGGTGACCCAGTTTCGAAACCCACTATAGACATCAAATGAGATGCTGGAGCGAGCACGGCACCACTTGTCATTTCCCAGTGGAGACAAGCAAGGGTGGGGAGAGGGTGGTGGGTGGTGGCAAAGCGTGGCCCGGCCTCAAACCCTGGAGCCCCGCACAACCCCCTGCACCCTGCTGGTGGGGGAGGAGCTCCGGCTGGGGCCTGCTGCCGGCGGTGGGGGTGGGGGCCTCCACAGAGGGCCGTCTGGACCTCAGATCCACAGCCCAGGGCGGCCGCCACAGCACGGGACTTGGTCAGTGTCATTGGAGCGTCGGCGGCCCCTTTGTCCTTTCGCGGAGGACACGGGGACATCACAGGCCGCCTGGGGAGCCTGGGATGCTCTTGCTCCTGAGGGGTCAGGGCCTTTCTGGGACCTGTGCTTTGATTTTGGTTTTGTCAGACAACAATCCCACAGGCCCAGGGCGGTGCCATGTGAGGCCTGTGGGGCTGAGTAAGGTCTCAGATCCCCTGAATTTAACGTCCTCATCCCATGGCTGGGGTGATGGAGGCCTGCACAGAGGCCTGTGGGGCAGAAGAAGGTCTCAGAAACTCCCAGCATTTAACGTCCTCATTGTATGGCTGGGGAAACGGAGACCCACACAGCCCAGTGACCCGCAGCTGGGCACCCGGGACCAGCAGTGGGAGGGGGCAGCCGTCCAGCCTTTGGCTACGCCACCGAGGGCCGGGTGTGTGCCGAGGTCAGGGACAGGCCACACTGCCTGTCACCTATCACCCTTTCCTGAGCACCTGGAGTGACTGACCCCGACATGCTGAAGACCAGGAAACAGGCCCAGCAAGGTCACAGCAGGTGTCCAGGGTCACATGGCCACGCCGGGGGAGCGCGGCAGGTCGCCTTGCTGCTGCAACAGGCCACACACACTTGGAGGCTTGGAACACACATTTATTCCTCCACAGTTCTGGAAGTCAGGGTCCAAAATCACTCTCACTGCTTCCACGAACATCAGGGTGTTGGCGGGGCTGGGTCCTTCCGGAAGCTCCAGGGGAGAATCTTTTCTCTTGGGGAGAATCTGTTTCTTGCCTTTTCCAAATTCTAGAGGCCTGCATTGCTGGGCTCAGGGTCCTCTGCCTTCAGAGCCCGCAGCGCGTGTCTCTAACCTCTGCTGCCATAATCAACATCTACTTCTGGCCAAGAGGGAGGTTGGCTCAGCATTGAGGAGCTTGGTGATGACATCAGGAGCCCTGGGATCTTCTCCCATCTCAGCGTCCTGAACGTCCCCCTTTCACCACGTGAGGTTCCGGAATCATGATCTTATTCCGCCCACCACAGGGAGGCTAAGCGTGAGTCCAGGCTGGTCTGCCTCCCCTGTTAATTCAGGTCCTGGCCATCTTCCGGAGGGGAAACTGAGGCTCTGAGAGGGAGGCGACCTGCCTGGTCATGTGCTGGTGAGTGGCCCAGCCCAGGCGAGAGCTGGTGGTGGGGCTTCCCTGCCCTCCCCTAGGCGATTCTGGCCAAGGGAGGTGGGTGCGCCGGGAGGTGCCCATGGCCTTGTGCCGGGATGTGGCGCTTGTGCTGGAGCCTGTGTGGGCACCATCCAGGTCCCTGCGTGGATCATGCCAAGGGGAGGGGAGCGGACGGGGGGGCAGGGCCCTTGGGACAGGAGGGCAGTGCTGTGGGAGGCTGCTCACTGTGACACCTTTGGAGATCCGCCTGGAGCAGCTGCTGTGGCTGCCTTGTGTTTAAACGTGGACAGTGTTTGACCTTCGGTTACTAAAGCAGCTCCATGATTGCACCCTCCGCCCCAAGGGGGGCGGGAGGAACTGCCCTTCTCGTGCCTGCCGGGCTGGGCCATGGCAGAAGCTGGGGGTGTCTGTGTGTGATGTGGGTGCACATGGTCTGTACGCTGTGCGTGCTGCATGTGCTTGTGGTGTGTATTGTGTGGTATGTATCGCTCATGGTGTGTATTTGTGTCTCGTGTGTTGTGTGGTATGTGGTGTGTAGTGTGTATTGTGTGTGATGTGTGTGCAAGTGTGTGGTGTGTATTGTGCATGGTGTGTGTGCACTTGTGTGTGGTGTGTATGGTGCCTCGTGTGTGTGCATTTGTGATGTGTGTAATGTGCCTGGTGTGTGTGCACTTGTGTTGGTGTGTATTGTGCTGGGCATGTGTGCACTTGTGTGTGGTGTGTATTGTGCTGGATGTGTACTTGTGTGGTGTGTGTATTGTGCTTGGTGTGTGTGCACTTGGGTGCAGTGTGTATTGTGCCTGCTGTGTGTGCACTTGTGTTGGTGTGTATTGTGCTGGGTGTGTGTGTGTACTTGTGTGGTGTGTGTATTGTGCTTGGTGTGTGTGCACTTGGGTGTGGTGTGTGCCTGGTGTGTATGCACTTGTGTTGGTGTGTATTGTGTAGAGTGTGTGTGTACTTGTGTATGGTGTGTATTGTGCCGGGTGTGCGTACTTGTGTGGTGTGTGTATTGTGCCTGGTGTGTGCACTTGGGTGTGGTGTGTGTGGTGCCTGGTGTGTGTGCCCTTGTGTGTGGTGTGTGTGTGTGATATGTGTGTACTTGTGTGTGGTGTGTGGTGCTCATGTGCATGTCCCATGCAGCGTGTGTGGTGTTCGCTGCTACCTGAAGGTCACCTGTGCGTGTAGAGCCTCGCTCAGCCCTCTTGGCTGTGAAGCCTCCGTCTGTCTCTCATGGCCTCAGTTTCCTGCTCCGTCGGGGAAGGCTGCACCGGCCTGGGTGTCTGGAACCGAGGTGCTGGTGAGGGGGGACGAGTGGCTGCTTGCTTCTTTTTCCAGGTTGCTGGAAGCCTCCTGCCTCCCGCCCAGAGCCATGCTGGCCTGTGGATCTTTCCGAGTAAAGCGATGGAAATGGTCAGAGAGGCCGCAGTCGGCTTGGGGCCTGCGTGGGAGGCAGGGGCCGAGGACTCGTATGCTGTCCCCAGCTCAGGACTGGCTGTGGGGGCTGTGGTGAGCCCTACCCTGTCCCGGGAGAGCGGCTGTGTGCACCACACACACGCAGGCACACACATACATGCCCACGCGTGATGCCGAGTGCCTGTGGGGTCCTGTGTGACCATTCCCCCGACAGCCCCAGGGGCCTCAAGAAGGAGACGACAGGTCTTCTTCAACTCTTCACCTGGAGAGTTGGGGTCCCAGGGCAGTGGGGCGGCTGAGGCAGGCTCCCCGGATCCAACCCAGGTCCCAGCCCCCAAATGGCACCTCAGGAGGTCCCCACGTCTCACGGCAGGGGTCTGGGCAGGGCCTGGGCTGGCCCTGGTCAGTGCTGTCCCTCACCTGTTTGACCCGGTCCACTGGGACACTGTTGGACCCCCACTCCCTGTACAGCTCCCCCGTGTGGGCAAATCAGCAGGTCATCCCAGTTCTGGGGCTGAGGGTGGCGGGGTCTTGAGGCAGGTGCAATGGTGGCCCCTGAGGGATATGCCCATGTCCCAACCCTGGGGACCTGTTGGTGTGGCCTTATTTGAAGCCAGAGTCTTTTCTGGTGTCATGGAGCTGGGTTCGCACAGGAGTGGGGTGGGGCCCTGAATCTTATGATGGGTGTCCCTACAAGGACAGGGAAACGAGAGGCACGCACAGGGGAGACAGCAGTGTGAAGCCAGAGGCAGGGACAGCAGCAATGTGGCCACAAGTCAGGGAGCTCCCGCAGCCACCAGGAGCCAGAAGAGGCAGGAAGGCGGCCCTGAGCCACCTTGACTTTGCACTTCCGGCCCCAGAGCTCTGAAAGGATCGCTTCTGCTGCTGCTGTCAGGGAAGCCCCAGGGGACGCACACAGATGCGAAGGGGCAGGTGGGCCAGCCCAGAAGACTCAGGCTCCGACCCGCTGCTGTCCCTGGCCCACCACGACCATGCTCCGCCCACCAGGCTTCCACAGCGAGGAGGACGTGGGGGTGCAGGGTAGACCGTTTGGGCCTCTGGGCTCCTGACACCTGGCGGAGCTCTCTGGGAAGAGCCCTGCCCTGCCTGGTCTGAGATCCTCCTCCTCAGGGGTCATGGGGCACCCCTACTCCAGCTGTACCCTGCACACCTCTCACAGGACTCTGCTATCTTCCTGGGAGGCCCAAACACATCCAATGGTCCCAGGAGGCGGGTGGGTGCTGGGCGTGGCCCAGGACTTGAGACGCCTTTGGGGTGAATTTGAGCCAAGGCTGGAAAGGCGAAGATGGGAGGACCAGAGGCAGGGGTGAGGTGCAGGTTCTTCACTGTGATTGGAGGAGACTGGCCCCGCCTTCCCCACAGTTCTTCACATCGGGGTGGATGTGGGGCAGATGGGTTTCCTGGGGCCATGATAACCAAGTATCACAGATGGTGTGGTTAAAACGGGAGTTTATCGTCACAGTTCTGGAGGCTGGAAGTCCAAAGTGAAGATGGTGGGGCTGGTTCCTGCGGATGTCAGGAGGGAGGGTCTGCTCCGGGCCTCTCTCCTGGGCTTGGCGACACTGTCTCCTCCGGGTGTCTACGTGTGACCGTCTCTCTGGGTGTGCCCGCGGCTCAGTGGAAATCTCACCTTTGAATAACAGTGCTAGTGAATTAGGACCCGGCCTAATGACCATGTCTTCACTTGAGCATCTGCAAAGCCCCTATTTCCAAAGAAGGGCCCGTGCACGGGTGTGGGGGTGGGGCCCTGACGTCTTTTGGGGGATCGAATGTAGCCAAAACATGGGATCTCACTCGTCCAAAGGTTCAGGGGCCTCCTGCATTGCCTCATAGGTGTGGGTCCCCAGCTTGGTGGGAAGGAGGTAGGGCCGGCATCCTGCTCCCAGGGAAGCAAAACCAACACAGGTGACACCATGCTGAGACCGCCCAAGCTCAGCCGTACGGCCTGTTCACACATTACCACATTTCTGCTCTTTCCCTGTGAATTTATCTTACTTCCCCCCAGAACCAGCAGGAATGACATTTCTTGCTAAATACCTCAGTGTGCCTCTCCTGGGAACGAGGGCCTTCTCCCGAGGGTGGCCAGGCCAGCTGGTTCTTCCCGGCTGCCGATTTTCATTCTGTGGTTCTGAAGAAAGTCTGAGGGAGGATGTGGCAGCGTGGACACAATGGGAACCTGAAAGTCCAGCAGTGGGCAGGTCCAGGGCCAGCTCGCTGCCTGAGCAGCTTGGGACGCACACACAGGGCCGCCCATCTCCCCACTTCCTCTTAAAGGAAGGAACAGGTCCAGCCTGGGCAACATAGCGAGACTCCATCACTACAAAAATTAAAAAATTAGCCAGGTGTGGTGGTGCGCACCTGTAGTCCCAGCTACTCGGGAGGCAGAGGCAGGAGGATTGCTTGAGCCTGGAGGTTCAGGCCGCGGTGAGCCAACATCGTGCCACTGCACTCCAGCCTGGGCAACAGCGCGAGACCCTGTCTCTAAAAAATAAAAAAAATAAAAGTAAATAAGAGTAGGAGCAACGGTCCTGCTGTAGGGTTTGCTCTGTGGCTTTGAGGTGGCATGGGAGCTGCATGTGCAGGTCCAGGCCAGGGCTGGGAGGGAGGGGCTCCGGGCAGCCGACCTGGAGTTTCCCAGCGAGTTCTGCCAGGAGCCGGGGTCTGTTTTGGTGATTAGTGGACAAGCGTAGCTGGGTCCCCAGCACACTCGCAGGGCCTCGTGGTCAGCAGAGGTTCTCCCGAGATGAACGGGCCAGAGACCATGCTTCTCCCTCACCCAGCAGCCTGCACCGGCCGTCCCCACATCCTGGAAACCACTGGAGAATCGGGCCTGGGATGGAGCCGAGAACTCCCATCCCTGGAGATATCTGTCGGGCACCCACGGAGGAAGAGTAGGAAAGGAATAAAAATTCTTTTGTAATGCTCTCGGCTGTGAAGTTCAGCACTTTAGCCAGAAATCTGAGTGGTGTGCTCACAGCCTGACCCGGTCCAGAGCCCCACCTCTCACGCTCCTGCCCCCGCCAAGAATAATGGGAACAGATGGCGCCATTTTCCTCTGGTCCTTCCAGGGTGATGCGATGCCAGGTCATTGTAGTGATATTCGACGAGGGAGCAGGTCTAGATCCTTCTGGATGAAGGGCAGAGTTGCTGAAGCCTGAAGGTCACCTCTGGCAGCCTCGGTGGGGCCTGGCGGGCGGGCTGGCAAGCATTCTCCCCTATGAAAAGCTGACTCTCGTAAAACCCTCCTTCTTCCAGTCCGGGGGAGTTCCATCCACGTGAGGAGAGCTGGAGCCAGTGTTTTGGTGGAAGCAGGCAAGGCTTTGGAAAGCGCCCTTCCCTGCATGGTGAGCCAGAGGCTCCCTCTGGGCTTGTGTGAAATGGACCCCGTGGCGACCCCACGGGCAGAGGGGACAGCTGCCCAGGTGTGGGTTCTGCCATGCCAGCCTGCAGAGGCCTCTCGTCTTACAGAGGGCAGTGACGTGCCCACATCTCATGGTGAGTGACCACAGAGGGGCCCTGGTGCAGATCCCATGCTCCTGGTGTCACCTACCCAACGTTTGCGTGTGTAGCCATCATGGCTGTGCCGTCCCATAAGGAAGCCCTGGGCCACACGGAGCTGCTTACATTTAAGTTAATTGAAATTAGGTACAATTAAAAATCTGGTTTTTTGATACCACTACCCAGGCCTCAGGTGCTCAGAAGCCCTGTGTGTGGTGGCAGCTTGTTGCCAGCACAGGCACAGAGCTGTCCCACGGTCACACGAGGTGTGCGTGGATGGCGCCATGCCAGGGTCTCCTTTTGGACTCAAGAGCAAGGATGGAAATGGAGCATCTGGCCTGGGTGCCCGGGAGGGGGCTGGCTGGACAATTCAGGCTCTGTCAGCAACATGCCCTATGACCTCGGGATCCACTCCCCCCATCCCAGGCTCACGTCACCTTTACAACGGGTGAGGAGGAGGTGACTGGTCTTCTCAGGCCCTTCTAGAACCTGCTGTAGGGCTCTGGGCCTGACCAGCCAAACCCCAAGTCAGGGCGACTTCTGTGATGGATATACAACATTGTCAGGGATGTCGGGGCCACACGCTTGACACCTGGAAGGTTGCAGGAAATCCCAGAGGCCGGGTGATGGAGGCAGGGCGACCTGACGGGTTCGACACGCGGGACCCAGAGCCAATGTGGTGGTTTGGGGAGGAGACTCGGGTTCCGACCCGGTCTCGCCTCTGGGACACGGGGCACACACCCATAGCGGCCCCTCCCAGGAACCCAGGCACTTTGGGGGACCTTCCGGCTGCATCCTGGGTCCACCATGGCCATATGCAGAGCTGCTTCCCACGCTCTTTGCACAGCTGTGGTCACAGGCCCAGAGAGGGCCCGGGCACCGCCTGAGGGTGCACAGCAGCAGAGGCAGGGCCAAAACACAGCTGGCTGTCCCGGCCCCCAGTGCAATGTGCCCCTCTTCACACTGACCCCATCCCTGCCAGAAGCCCATGGGGACTTTCACTCTGCAGAGCACCTGCCTCAGGCCCTGTGCCCAGCACTGCAACCCAGCCCAATGGCTCTTCAATAAACTCTTAATTTCAGAACAGTTGAAGATGTACATGAAGGTTGCAAAGACAGCATGGAGAGTTTGTGTCCACCCCTCACTTAGGGTCCCCTGCCGTTAACATCTCACATCACTGTGGACACCAGCAAGAACTAAGGAACCAGCATCGACACGTTGGTATGAACTGAAGTCCACGCTTTGTTCGGAACCCGCCCCCCCATCGCCTCTTCTCCCCCCATGCCCTTTCTCTGCCCCAGGATCCCATCCAGGATCCTCGTGTCTCCTTCGGCTCCTCTGGGCCGTGACAAATTCTCAGACCCTCCTTGTTTTTGATGACCTTGACCGTTGTGAGGACCGCTCAGGTGTTTTGTAGAGTCTCTCCCTGTTGAGACTCTCTGCTGTTTTTCTCATGATTAGACGAGGGTTATGGGTTTTTGGGACAGAGACCCCAGGGGTGAAGTGCCCATCTGATCATGTCCCGTCCAGGATCCACACCATCAAAAGGACTCATGATGGTCAAGGATGACCTTGACCTCCTGGCCGAGGTCGTGTTTGTCAGCATCTCCACTGTGCAGTCCCTCTCTTTCCATCTCCCCATATTGCCATGGTTTGAATATTTGTCCCCTGCAAAACTCATGTTGAAATTCAATCCATATTGTGGCAGTCTTGAGAGGTGGGGCCTTTAAGAGGTGATTAGAGGGCTCTGCCCTCATGAATGGATTAATCCATTCATGGATTCATGGGTTATTACAGGAGTGGGACTAGTGGCTTCATAAGAAGGAGAAGAGAGACCTGAGCCACCAGGCTCAGCCCCCTTGCCATGGATGCCCTGTGCTGCCTCAGATGCTGCAGAGTCCCCACCAGCAAGAAGGCCCTTAGCAGAGGCAGCCGCTCGACCTTGGACTTCCCAGTCTCCAGAACCCTGGGAAATAAACTTCTTTCCTTTATAAACTACCCAGGCTCAGGGATTCAGCTACAGCAGCAGAAATGGACTAAGACACACACTCTGCTCTTAGGAAGAAGTCACGATGGGCAGGCTGCATGTGGGCGGGCGGCTCTGTGCTACTTCCTGGGCAAGCGTCTATGTACATTGTTTGGGAGGGATGTGTCTTTTCTTCCCCATTTATTTATTTCATCCATTCGATACTTTATGTTACTGTGGGCTCGTGGATGTTTATTCTATCCTTGGGATTTTAACCCCATACAACCCCATACCATGTTTACTTTGTCACCGGATGCCATCTCAGCCGTGGCCCTGAGCTCTGGACGGAGGTCCAGGAGAGCAAGTGCAGGGTGGGCTACCACGGACCCAGGAGCATGAGAGGTGTGAGACAGGATGCCTGTGCTTCTCAGTCCCCATGTGCTATGTTCCCGCTGCTTTGCCTATGGACCACAAGGGGTGTGAGACAGGACGCCTATGCTTCTCAGTCCCCGTGTGCTATCTGCCCGCTGCTTTGCCTGTGGACCACGTGGAGCTCAGCAGTTGCCCACAAAGCTCATCCAGTGGCCATGAAGGACTTGAGCCCAGCCTTGCTGCCCCTGTGCCCCTCCAGGTGAGGGAGGGTTACCTCCCACAGGGACCCACCACCCAAATACACATGACGTCCTGCAACTGGGTCCCGACAAGGGCTTGACGGGTATCGCCCTATGCTGGCGTCATTGACAGGCATCGCCCTACGCTGGCATCAGGCGGCTGCTAGAGTCTTACACTTATGCACGTTCTCCCACCTGGCCCAACGCAGAACAGATGCCACCTTGAAAAGAAGCAGGCCCACCGCCTGCTGGCACAGCCTCAGTCCCCCCATGGTCTGTCCCCAAGTTACAGGGAAAAGGCTCACTGCTCAGAGCCGCCTCTGCATGACGGGCCCTGGCAGGAGGTCCGAGAGGCTGAGCAAAGGAAGGGGCTGCGGGACCACAGGAGGTGGGGCAGTGATGTCCTACCTGAGTGCAGGGCAGTGGGCCCCCACCGTGCATCAGAGCAGAAGCAGCTTTCCCCGATCATCCTCTCTGACCCTCAGTGGCCATTGGAGTGGGGAGCTGAGGAGGATTCTGAGGCTCCATCCAGGTTCGGCCATGAGCGGGGCACAGGGAACTGGGCTGCTGGGAGAGGACATTTGGCCTCCCCCATGAGATCTTCCTGAGGTTCCTGGAGCTCCAGGAACATGAGAGATGCAGGCAGGAGGGGAGGCAGAGACTCAAGTCCCAGCCTGGACCCCCACACTGAGCTCCCTGGTCACTTTGGGTAAATCTCTCGAGTCACCTTCCCAGCAGTGACAAGGTGGAGACCGAGCCCAGACCTGCGAGGTGCTGGGGGGCGAAGGGCTGGAGACCCCTGTCGCAGCGCCTCCTCAGCCCCTGCCCGGCCTCTCCCACCGGCCTTCTTCGTCCCCAGCCAGCCCCGCCCCGCCCTGCACATGTTGCTGCTTGCCTCACCTGGGACCCTGTTGGCTGGAGCTGCCACCTGCTATGATGCCCAAAGCCCCATTCTGCTTCCCCAGCTGGGCACCTCGAAGTCCACACATCAATGCTGGCCGCCCCGACACCTGCACAGCTCCTTCTCACGGCCTTCCCAGATGGCCAGCGCCCTTGGTGATGCTCTCGCCCTGGCCCTGGACCCATCATGACCTTGGTCCCCAAGTCCTTCAGGCTCATCCAGTCACCCGCCCAGCCCCCACTGGGCATGGCAGCCCCCAGCCATCCTCCCCTGCACACCCTTCCTGGCTCATCTGAACCCCACCCCCAGTCTGTGGACGCTGCACCACCTGCCTCAGGGAGCATGCATCCATGCCCCCGCAGATGGCAAAACCGAGATACCCAGTCCACCTGCAGGTGTGCAGGGCCTGCCTGCTGCCACCCTGGCTCCGTCCCAGCTGTGAGCCGTGCGGGAGTTAGGATGGCTAGGAACCCAGGTGCCTGCTTTCTGGGGCACGGCTTGAGAGTCAATGCGAAAGGAAATTGGGATTACGTCAGAGAGCTGGGGAGGACGGCTTGACCTGGGAAACCTGGAGGGTGGCCCAGAATGAGTCCCCCAGGTGAGAGATCACAACAGTGGCCGGCCCTGCCTCACGCTGCCCAGCACGTCCCAGCAGGGGCAACTGAGTCCCAGCAGCCACCAGGAGCAAGATTCCAAACGCATGTTCCCAGTGGGAGGCCCTGGCCCATGCGCCTCCTGGGCCCTGGAGAATAGACTGAGGGGCTGGCCCTGTACAGGCCCCCAGCATTCAGTGCACCAGGCGGGCATTGAACAGGGACACCCCAAGACCTGGTGTTGTCCAGCCTGTGAGCTAAGAAGGGCTTCTACACATTTACAGGATTGTACAAAATAGGTAGAGATGTGTGACAGAGACCACGTGTGGCCCACAAGGCCTGAGAGATTTGCTACTGGACCTTCACAGGAGAGGTCTGAACCTCTGGGGGAAGACGAGGTGCTCAGGTGGCTCAGGAGGGGGCCAGGAGCTCTGCGAGGGCTGCCAGCCAGACGCCAGCCTGGACCGCTTTGCCCGGGCCCCGGGCTCTCTCTGCAGGGTCCTTGCTACCCCAACCCCCAGGGCTCTCTGCGAGGCCCTCCTCCACGCTAGGCCCCCGGGCTCTCCTAGCAGGTCCTCATCCCAAGTCCTCTCACGGTCCCTCAGGGTGGCTCTGCCTGACACCTCTGCCTGTAAACTCCTCCCTGTGCATCACCCTCTCCCTCTCCTCTGCCCCACCCTCCCCTCTGACCCACCCTCCCCTCTGCTGATTCCCAGCCCAGGCAGGCGGATTCTGTTCCAGCGGGACTCCTCCCCACGCACCTGCCTCCTCTGTGCTCCCGGCTGTTAAGCTGCGCCGCCCTGCACTGTTGTTCCTTCCTCCCTCTGGGCCTCAGCTCTGTGGGGCTGGGCAGCACCCTCCCTGGGAGACTTTCTGGCTGCAAAGCCCAGCACTCCCCAGTCCTATCAAAGCTTCGAGAACTTCTTGTGGGCCTGACCCATGACACCTGACCCGTGATGTCTGGCCTATGTCACCTGGTTCATTATACCTGGCCCTTTATACCTAGTCTGTGATGCCTGACCTGTGATGCCTGGCCCATGACACCTGTTCATGTCACCTGACGCATGACATCTGGCTTATGATAACTGGCCTTTGATACCTGGTCCATTATACCTGTTCATGTCACCTGGCCTTTGACACCTGGCCCATGACAACACCTCGTTTGGTACACGTGGCTCACTCCCACCTATGAGGTGCTCTGTGCCTGAACAACAGGCTCCCCCTGCTCTGCAGGTGAACTCCTTAAGCTGCCGTGCCGGCCTGGACTGCCGTGCAGGGGAGGCACCTCTGTGCCGGCTCAGCCATGTCGGCTGGGGTAGGAGGAGAAGGGGTGGTGAGGGGGCTGTTTGCTTGCTGACTCACTTTATAGAGAGGACTGGTGTCCGTGGCTCAGACCTGGCACTGCTCTTGCTTAAAAATATTGCACCTGTCCCCTGCATGCTCAGAAGATGACCAAGGTTTGTATCTTAGTAAAGAGGCCCGCCCACTCGCTCCCCTCTGCAGGGGTGGCCCGTCCCCAACACTGTGCCACCCCGTGAAGCACCTGGGCTTTGCCATGGCCAGGCCCCCTGCCACTCTGTCCCCTGACCTCCTGCCACCATGTTCCCCATCCCCCTGCCATCCTGCCCCCTCGTCCCCCTGCCACCATGTCCCCCCATCCCCCTGCCACCATGTCCCCCCGTCCCCCTGCCAGTCTGTCCCCCATCCCCCTGCCATCCTGTCTCCTCATCCCCTTGCCATGTCCCCCCTCCCTCTGCCATCCTGTCTCCCCATCCCTCTGCCATGTCCCCCATCCCCCTGCCACGTCCCCCATCCTCCTGCCACCATGTCCCCCATCCCCCTGCCACCATCCCCATCCCCCTGCCACTATGTCCTCCATCCCCCTGCCATCCTGTCCCCCATCCCCCTGCCATCCTGTCGCCATCCCCCTGCCACCATGTCCCCCATCTCCCTGCCACCATGTCCCCATCCCCCTGCCACCATGTCCCCATCCCCCTGCCACCATGTCCCCCTTCCCCTGCCACCATGTCCCCCGTCCCCCTGCCATCCTGTCCCCCATCCCCCTGCCACCATGTCCCCATCCCCCTGCCACCATGTTCCCCATCCCCCTGCCACCATGTCCCCCATCCCTCTGCTACCATGTCCCCCATCCCCCGCCATCCTGTCCCCCATTCCCCTGCCAGTCTGTCCCCCTGCCACCTGCTATCCTATCCCCTGCTATCCTATCCCCGATCACCCTGCCATCCTGTCCCCACATCCCCCTGCCACCCTGTCCCCATGTCCCCCGCCACCCTGTCCTCCCTGGCTCCCACTCTCGCTCCAGTGGCCCTCCTAGTTCTGGGAGTGCACCTGAGTGACTTCTCTGCTCAGGCAGGCACGCCCCCTCCAGGACGCAGCAGCCCTGGGGAGTCCAGCTCAGGCAGCCCTGCTGTGCAGTGAACGCACACTATCAAGTGTGATGTGGGTTCTCTGGGGCTTCCAGAACAAAGTGCCATAAACTGGGGAACTTCAAAAAGAGACAAATGTTCTCTCCATACAGAAGCCTGAAACCAAGGCGTTGCAGGGCCACGCTCCTCCTGAGGCTCCAGGAGGGTCCCTGCTGCCCCTCCCTGCTTCTGGGGGATGCTGGCTTCTGTGACGCTCTTGGCCTGTGGCCTGTGCCTGTATCGCCACAGCCTCCATCTCTGCTGTGGCCCTGCCCTTCCTCTGTGTGTCTGCCCATATCCCCCCTTCTGATAAGGACACCAGCCTGATCTCATCTTAACTAATTGCACCTGCAAAGGCCCTGTCTGTAAAGCAGGCCATGTTCACAGGTTGTGGGTGGACATGGGTTTGGGGGCAATGTTCACCCAGCAGAGGCCTCTGGCCTCCGTGTTTCTTCCTTGGTGACAGCACAAGATGGCTTGGGGGCTCTGTGGTTCTCAGGAGACAGTCTCTACAGACGGCCCAATACTTGTGCGGGGCAAACACACCCTGGGGGCGTGGAGCCTCAGTGCATCACCCGAGGCCACCTCTCCTCATCAAGTCGACCAGGGCACAGTGATGATCAGCCTGGAGAGTCAGGAGCCGGGGGTGGCCTGCAGGGTGCAGACTCCTCTCTTGCCGGGGCAGACATTGCTAATCAACCACAGAGCACTATCCCGCAGCCTGGACCCAGCTCAGGACCACCGCTGGGTACTGCACTACAGTCAGCAGCTCCCCACCCATGGGACCCCTGCCTTCCGGGAGCCAGAGGGTCTCTCCCCAGGCGATTGGAGGCGCCGGAGGGTCTCTCCCCAGGCGATTGGCAGCGCTGGAGGGTTGCATTGCGCATTAAGAGGAAGTTTGCCCATGGGCCATGGGATGTCTTGGGGCACTGTGAGAAAGCAAAGTTAGGAACCGCTGGCCAAGTGACAGCACTTTTCGTAGATGTGTCACCGAAAGCACAGCAACCAGAGGAAAAATAGAGAAAGTGGATCCTCATAAGCTAAAAACATTTG
This sequence comes from Homo sapiens, assembly GCF_000001405.40. Classification (NCBI taxonomy): domain Eukaryota; kingdom Metazoa; phylum Chordata; class Mammalia; order Primates; family Hominidae; genus Homo; species Homo sapiens. The sequence goes on along the minus strand of NC_000016.10, from coordinate 88,337,970 downwards.
TGTTTCAAAGGACACCATTGAGAAAGTGAAAGGCAGGTCACAAAGCAGGAGAAAATTTTGGCAAACCGTCCATCTGAGAAGGGTTTAGCGTCCAGCATATACACAGAGCACGCACAACTCAACAACAAAAAGCCAGACAACCCCATTAAAGCAGAGGCCGTGTATCTGAGTGGGCTTCTCCAACGCACATGGAGAGATGCCTGACACCATCAGCCACCAGGGAAACGTGCGTCACAGCTGCGGCGAGCTGCCCCTGACGCCCGTGGGGTGGCCAGAACTAAAGATGTGCAGTGATGCTTGCTGCTGAGGATGCAGAGGACCAGAGTCCTCGTGCCTTGCAAATGGGGATGCAAAATGAGGAGCAGCCTGGCACTTCCTCAAAAAGACAATCAGAGAGTGACGCTGGGACCCTGTACCACTAGGTATAAACTCAGCAGAATTGAAAACACGTCCGTGCAAACACTTGGGTGTTGTATTAGTCCGTTCTCACACTGCTGATAAAGACATACCCGAGACTGGGTAATTTATAAAGGAAAGAGGTTTAATGCATTCAGTTCCACAGGGCTGAGGAGGCCTCACTATCATGGCGGAAGAGCAAGGGACATCTTACATGGCAGGAGGCAAGAGAGAGCTTGTGCAGGGGAGCTCCCCTATAAAACCATCAGATCTCATGAGACTTATTCACTGTCATGAGAACAGCATGGGAAAGGCCCGCCCCCATGATTCAGTTACCTCCTGCTGGGTCCTTCCTGCCACATGCGGGAATGGTGGGAGCCACCATTTAAGATGAGATTTGGTTGGGGACACAGCCAAACCATACCAGGTGTGAACGTTCATAGCGGCACTACTCACCATAGCCCCAGCGTGGAAATGGCCCAGATGCTGATCATTTGGTGAACGGTTAAACCATGACAGAATATACTTTTCAGCCACGAAGAGGAGTGAAACACTAGCACATGAAGCAACGTGGAGGAACCTTGAAAACACGGGGCCGAGTGGAAGAAGCCAGACACAAAGGGGCAAACACAGCATGATTCTGCTCACAGGAAATGCCCAGAAGAGCAGAGATGGTAGACTCGGGGTGGCCAGGGGCTGGGGGAACGGCAGGTGGTGAACTTCCATGGGTATGGGGTTTGTTTTGGGGATGATGACCTGTTCTGGAATGAGATAGTGGTGATGGTCGCATAACTTTGTGAATGCATGAAAAGCCACCGAATCGCACATGTGAAGGATGAGTCTGCGTGGTATTGGCGTGTCAGTGTCTCATGTGAAGGATGCATGTGTGTGGTATTGGCATGTCGGTGTCTCACGTGAAGGATGGACATATGTGCTGTTGGCACGTTAGTGTCTCACGTGAAGGATGAACATGTGTGGTGTTGGCATGTCAGTGTCTCACATGAAGGATGAACATGTGTGGTATTGGCACATCAGTGTCTCACGTGAAGGATGAACATGCGCGGTATTGGCATGTGTCTCATGTGAAGGATGAACGTGCGTGGTATTGGCATGTTAGTGTCTCACGTGAAGGATGAACGTGTGTGATGTTGGCATGTTAGTGTCTCACGTGAAGGATGAACATGTGTGATGTTGGCATGTTAGTGTCTCACGTGAAGGATGAACATGTGTGGTGTTGGCATGTTAGTGTCTCACGTGAAGGATGAATGTGTGTGGTATTGGCGCATCACTGTCTCACATGAAGGATGAACATGTGTGGTATTGGCGCATCAGTGTCTCACGTGAAGGATGAACGTGCGTGGTATTGGCGTGTTAGTGTCTCAAGTGAAGGATGAATGTGTGTGGTGTTGGCATGTTAGTGTCTCACGTGAAGGATGAACATGCGTGGTGTTGGCATGTTAGTGTCTCACGTGAAGGATGAACATGTGTGGTGTTGGCATGTTAGTGTCTCATGTGAAGGATGAACGTGTGTGGTATTGGCGCATCACTGTCTCACATGAAGGATGAACATGTGTGGTATTGGTGCATCAGTGTCTCACATGAAGGATGAACATGCGTGGCATTGGCATGTTAGTGTCTCACGAGAAGGATGAACGTGCATGGTATTGGCATGTTAGTGCCTCACGTGAAGGATGAATGTGTGTGGTATTGGCACATCAGTGTCTCACATGAAGGATGAACATGTGTGGTATTGGCGCATCAGTGTCTCACGTGAAGGACGAATGTGCGTGGTATTGGCATGTTAGTGTCTCACGTGAAGGATGAACATGCATGGTGTTGCTGCGTCAATGCCTCCATGTGAGTTTCTTTCTTTCATTGATTCGATGCTTATCGAGGCTCTCATTTCTCCTCCCATCAGGAGGCAGAGCTAATTCCCCTCCCAGGCATCTGCCTGGACTTGGCAATGCCTGAACAGTGGAGTGTGGCCAAAGTGAGGCCCTGTGGCTGGGTCATCAGAGGCCCCTCCAGACACTCACTTTGGGAGCCCTGAGGGGCCGAGGAGGGGGCCTGGCCACCCTGAGACCCCGTGCCAGAGTGGCCCTGTGGGGACGTTCCAGCTGTCTCGCCATGGCACCAGCTGCAGAAGTAAGGCCGCCCTGGAAGTTTTTGACCAGCCCAGCTGCCCACAGAGCACCCCGGAGTGGCCCTCATCCACACCATGTGGAGCGGAAGTGCATCCAGCCCTGCCTGCATTCCTGACGTGCATCCAGATATGTACTAACCAGGGAGTTAAGCTCTGAGTTTTGGGGTGGTGGAGAGCCTGGCCTGCATCTGACCCTACAGTTAAGCTCTGAGTTTTGGGGTGGTGGAGAGCCTGGCCTGGTTTCCTGGCAAACCTAGCAGCTTAGGGCAACAGACGTTCATCCTCTCACAGCCCCGGAGACTGCGAGTCCCAGATCAAGGCATGCGCAGGGCTGTGCTCCCTCCAAAGGCTCTGGTGGGTCCTCCCTGCCTCTTCCTGTGCCCAGTGGCTGCATGGCTCCCCTGTCCGTCTCCATCACACATGTGTCCTCCCGTTGGCATCTTCCCACACGGCTCCCCCTCCATCTCCATCACACATGTGTCCTTCCGTTGGCATCTTCCTTCACGGCTCCCACATCCATCTCTGTCACACATGTGTCGTTCCGTCGGCATCTTCCTTCACGGCTCCCACGTCCGTCTCTGTCACATGTGTCCTCCCGTCGGCATCTTCCCACACGGCTCCCTCATCTGTATCCATCACATGTGTGTCCTCCCGTCGGCATCTTCCCATCTCAGGCTCCCTTTTCCTTATGACGCTTTCATAGGATTTAGGCCCCACCCTGGTCCAGGACAACCTCATCTTGAGATCTTTAGTGCAATCATATCTGCCGACACCCTTATATGAAATAAGGCCACAGTCATCGGCTCCAGGTGGACATGAATTGGTCACAGTTTGACCTTTTGAACCTTCTGGGACAGATGAATCACTCCCGGCTCTGTGATGTGTGCACACCCTGGGTCATACAGGTTGAGTATCCCTAACCCAAAATGCCCCAGAACCCAAAATTGTTTGAGCTCTGACATGATGCTCTTGGGAAATGCTCCCTGGAGCATGTCTGATTTCAGATGCTGGGTCAGGGATGCTCAACTGGTCAGCGTAAGGCAAACATTCCCAAATGTGACAAAAATCAAAACCAAAACACTTCTGGTCCCGAGCGTTTCAGGTAAGATTGTTGTTGTTGTTTTTTACCATCCATCCCCAGAATTTTTTTCAAAGGGGGCATTCACAGGAGGCTTAGTCCAGCTTAGTCCAGCATCTCAACAAACCTGAAAAATTTCTTAACTCTTTGGTCTCTTAGGAAAGGGAGTGACATTTGTAACACAGAGCAAGACTTCCTTAGCTTCACGCCTGCCTCCCTTGGGCACACACACAGACACAGACACACAGACACAGACATACACATGCACATAGACACACACACACAGACACACACAGACACAGACACACAGAGACACACATGCACACACAGACACACACACACAAACACATAGACACAGACACACACAGATACACACAGATGCACACAGACACACATGCAGACACACAAACACATACACATGTAGACACACACAGACACACACAGATGCACAAAAACACACACACAGACACACAAACACACACACACACACTGCAACTGCCCCCACGTCCCCCCCACCCCCTGCCACGCAGCCGTCACTCTCCCTTGCTCAAGTGTGTGAAGTGCTCCGGTTCTTGGTGTGTTTTTATTCTCCTCGGGATCTTTACTACCAGCCCCACCTCGCGGGCCCGCATCCGTGGGAAGAATGAAAATGCCTTCCCTGGGCAGGCAGCCCCGGCCACACATGCAAAGACTTCCGTGCTCCTGCCTTCATGCCCCACCTTTGCATCTTTGCTGGAAGGAAATGTCTCCAAGTTGTAACTGTCGCTCAGTCACCCGTGGGCCCCTCTTCCATGACTCAGCAAGTCCGAGCCTTCTCCACCCATGGGCCCCTCTTCCGTGACTCAGCAAGTCCGAGCCTTCTCCACCCATGGGCCCCTCTTCCGTGACTCAGCAAGTCCGAGCCTTCTCCACCCATGGGCCCCTCTTCCGTGACTCAGCAAGTCCGAGCCTTCTCCACCCATGGGCCCCTCTTCCGTGACTCAGCAAGTCCGAGCCTTCTCCACCCATGGGCCCCTCTTCCGTGACTCAGCAAGTCCGAGCCTTCTCCACCCATGGGCCCCTCTTCCGTGACTCAGCAAGTCCGGAGCCTTCTCTCCCCTGGCCGTACCCACCGGCTTGGAGACCACACCTGGTTTCCCTCTGGGTGGGTGGAGGCTCTCAGGAAGCATCAAGCAGGGGACTCACGGATGGACGGTGGATGTGGGGACACTCGCTTTGCCCACAGAGGCCACAGCATGGGCAGTGGGCACATGATCCCAGCAGGCCTCCTCCCTCTAAGGTTTACCGCCAAATCACCAATGAGCAGCAGCACAAGGACCCACGGGGTGTGTCCTGGTGCCAGAGTGCACCTCTGGGTGCCACAGAGGCTGGGCAGGGACGTGGCTCCTGGGGACACAGCTCGGTGGCTCTGACAGGGGGGTGGGAAGGTCATGGGCTGGAAAGCAGCATGACTGGGTCTCCAGTGCCCAGACTCAAGGGGCAACCCGGGGCCTTGGTCTTCTCGTCTGTGAAACGGTGAGGAGGCTGGCTGCAGAGGCTGCTTGTGTGGAGTCTTGTGGGAAGGGTTTGCAGGCTGTGAGAGCCGGCCTGAGCAGTGGTGCTGGGGGCCCTCACCCTGTTCCCAGCAGCCCCCCCTCCCCCATCCTGCCCATCTCAACCCACGGGTTCTGGAGTCCCTTAGGGGAGGACTTGCTTTGTTGATTTTCATGGTGCCTTCCCTCTCCCTGCCTCACATGGCCTATGCCAGGTGGCTGCCTGCCAGAGGTGCACACAGAAAGGTTTATTCTTCTGGAATGGCCCAAACCTGCAAGTCAGATTCAGAGCCAAATTAGAACCCAGCATCCAGTGATGCTGCAAGGACCTTGCTCAAGGCCAGGGCCAGCGGCAAGGCTGTGCCCAAGCGTGGCGGTGCTCAGCACTGCCAGGAGAGCCGGCACAGAGGGGGCAGGGCACGCGGTGACGGCACATCATGGGTTCCCACGGGTGCTTCCAGGCCTCAGGCACCCGCGCCAGCTCCCCACACAGACGGTGTCATCCTCCTGCAATAAGCCACAGCATTCTTGGACGCTGTGCCGAAACCCGACCCGCTTAATACCTAATGGGGTAGTGCACTTGGAATGCTGATTTCCTATGAGTCATTTTCCATCCTCTGTCAAAAAATGCAACTTTGTTTATTTCTGAAAGATTCCTTCGGTGGCTTTACTGATGTCAACTAAACACCAAGGAGGGGGTGGAGAGAGACTCCCTGTCCCATCATGCCTGTCCTCAGGGCTGTGAGGAAAGCTATCTGCCAAAGGGGACTCGGGGGCTGCCAAGGGCCATGCGGAGACAGAGGGTCAAACCCAGCTCTGCTCTTGGCACAGTGGCCTTGGGCAAGTCACTGCCATGCCAGGCCTTCATATTCCTGTGAATGAGGAGGGGGCTACTCCTAAAGCCTGCATCCTGAGCTTCCAGGACTCATGGGTGTCTCCAGAAAAGGAAAAATGAATAATGATGACAACAATGGTGATGGTGGTGATGATGGTGATGATAGTGATGGTGGTGATGAGAATGATGATGGTGGTGATGATGATGGCGGTGGTAACAATAGTGATGATGATGATGGTGGTGATGATAGTGGTGATGGTGATGGTGACGATGGTGATGATGATGGTGGTGATGATGGTGATAATAGTGATGGTGGTGATGAAGATGATGATGGTGGTGATGATGATGGCGGTGGTAACAATAGTGATGATGATGATGGTGGTGATGATAGTGGTGATGGTGGTGGTGGTGGTGGTGGTGATGGTGATGACGATGGTGGTGATGGTGATGATAGTGATGGTAGTGATGAGGATGATGGTGGTGGTGATAACAATAGTGATGATGATGGTGATGATGGTGGTAGTGATGATGGTGGTGATTATGATGGTTATGATGGTGGTGTTGGTGGTGGTGATGGTGATGACGATGGTAGTGATGGTGATGGTGATATGATGATGATGATGGTGATGATGGTGGTGAGGAGGATGATGGTGGTGATGGTCATGGTAACAATGATGATAATGATGGTGATGGTGGTGATGGTGATGATGATGACTATGAAGGTGATGGTGATGGTGACGATGGTGATGGTGGTGATGGTGGTGGTGGTGACGGTTGTGATGGTGGTGGTGATGGTGACGACGGTGGTGATGGTAATGATGGTGATGATGGTAATAGTGATGGTGATGGTGATGGTGACGATGGTGATGGTGGTGGCGATGGTGACAATGGTGATAGTGGTGATGGTGGTGGTGGTCGTGATGGTTGTGATGGTGATGATGGTGATGATGGTGGTAATAGTGATGGCGATGGTGATGGTGACGATGGTGGTGATGGTGATGGTGGTGGCGATGGTGATGACTATGACAATGATGATGCAGCTGCTCAGTGTTTAGTGAGCACTTGCTGCATGCCAGGTGCTTTTGCAGACATGTTCTCAGTCTGCACAAACCATTTGCTGCACAGGGAATGTGTCTCCATTTTTGTGGATGAGGCTCATAGGACTGAAGGGGCAAGCCCAAGGTCACAGAGTGGCAAACAGGTAGCATGCGGCAGTGGCTGGCCTGTCACTCAGTGTGCAGCCTCAGCAGGAGAGATCATGGGAGGGCCAGGAGAGAAAACTTCTCCTTTCCCTGGGGGCAGAAGTCTCTCACCTCCTGTGCTGACTGAGGCAGGGGTGTGGGCCATGCCTCTGCCTCTACACGTGGCAAGCCAGACACAAGCTTCTTTCTTAGTCCCTCTGTCCATGAAGCGGAGGCCACAGTCTGGGCCAGTGAGAACCAAAGACATGCCAGGAAAACCACAACACGTCATTGTTTTGTGACTGTTGCTCACGCATGAGAACCACTGGGAATATGCGTGCTAAGGACGGTGTGGAGAAGCAAACCCACTCCGCTCTCAGGGTAGGAGCCTGAATGGGCATGACTTTTCAGAAGGCGTGGCTATGGCACCAATGCCCCACACATCATCACGGCAACGTGGAGTCCACTTCCAGGACCGTATCCGACAGTACACACAGCAGAAATGCTAGGAAGGGCCTTCGCATGTGCACACACATGCAGGACACCCACACAACACTCACAGGACGCCCACAGGATGCCACAGGTCCCGTGTGCAAGTGCATTCACAGGAAACAGCCACAGCATAAGTGCCCATTGCCTAGGGGTGATGACAGCATCATTGCATGTCCCTAAATGAGAAACGCTCTAACCGAAAGTCAGAAGGCCAAGTCCAACGCTGACCTCCCTCTGCCTCTGAGGCTTTGCCTATGCCTGGCATTTCATGTGGATGGCATCAGGCTGGATGTGGCCTTTTGTGACTGGCTGCTTCCACTCTGCCTGTACCCAGGCACCCTGTGCCCAGAGTGCATCAGACTACGTTCCTTTGGGTGCCTGGATGATGCCACGCCTGTGGGCGCCCGTGGTGCTTGTCCGTCCCTCACCGGATGGCCTGAGGGCTGAGGCCATCTCTGCTCTGGTGGGTGAGGCCTTGTGAAGGCGTCTGCATCCCAGGAAAGGTTTCAGCTTGTTCTCACCTTGGGGTTGCTGCCCCCAACCCCATGTTTTCAGCACAAATGTTGTTAAGAACTTTTCCCTTGACCCCCGTCCCCTTTCCCCTGGAACAGCTGAAAGACTAATGTTTTCAATGAGGACCAATTCCCTGTCAGTGTGACCAACTTCCCAGTCTCTTGGGGACCGAAGCGCTCCCAGGATTTGGGGCCTTCAGGGGCAGAAGTGGCTGGCAGAGGTGCTAGCCCTCGCCTCTGAGAAGGGAGCCCCTCTGGGGAATCTGGGGAGCTCCCACCTGTGTTTCATCCTCACCCTTCTGACTCAGGCCCTCAGAGGGCCAGCGGGAGGCAGCCCCCAGCCCCTGCTTGGCTGTGGTATGAGGTGAGACCCCTGGAGGGGGCTTCCGCTAGGCAGCGATGTGCGGTTGGTGGGAGGAATTAAATCACGTCTCACACACCCTCCCTTATCGGCTAGCTGTGTCCACATCTGGATCAATACTAACCCAGGCCTTTCCTTCCAACGGGGCTTCTCCGTGTTCTCAGAAGATGAAGAAGCAGCAAACACACTGGCTGGGCTCCCTCCCTGGAGCCCCTTCACCACCTGCCCAGTCACGGACAGCAGCGGCCGTGTTACTCCCCAGCTCATGAACCTTCTGTGGCTCCCTGTTGTTGACAGTGAGGGTCGACACACAGACCCCGGATACCACTGCCAGAGCTCCCGGTCAGCACATCATGGGTCGGATACAGGAACTTGCACTTTTATAAAAACTGCAGGAAATATGGAGGCAGGTGGTCTCTGGGTTTTCTTTGAAGGACTCCGGCTGCGGGTGAACGTCGGGACCCCGTGGAGAACATTTAGGGCCCTGACCCTTCTTGCTGATTCGGTTTGACTCTGCTCCCTCCTCGGCCTCCTCCGCTTCCTCCTCGGCCTCCTCTGCTGTGGCCAAACTGCGTCTCCCCCACCCGCCTGCCCCAGCTGTTTTCTCTGGACACCTGGAATCCTCTCTGGTTCCTGTGTGGTGCTCACTGTGTGGGAAGCAGCCCTCCCTAGACTGGGCGCCTCTGTTGCTCACACCGCACCCTCTCCCATTGCACTCAGCTGTGTGTGCACATCCCAGCCCCCCGGCTGGAACGCTTGAGGGTTGTATCTGATTTCTTCTGGTTTTCCTTGTCTGGTGCATTTTGGGAGCCAGGGATGGAGGAGATCAGTGCGTTGGAGAAGAACCCGGGCCCTGGACCCCACAAAGATCCATGTCAGGCCAGGTGCATCGGATCAGCTTCCCCACAGAGCACACACTGATGGTGTCTTGCACTGGGGCCGTGGCGTTTCAGGTCCAGCAGCAGAGCTTCGACGGTAGCCATGCGGCCAGGCCCCGGCTGAGAACTGCCATGGCGTTTTCCTGGGGAACCTCCCTGGAGGTTGTGAAGAAGGCACTGCTATCATTCCCATCACACAGGTAAGGAAGTGCAGGCTGGGAGCCGTCATATGGTTCAGCCAAGGTCACACAGTCAGCAGCAGAGTGAGAATTTTGTTCCTCTACAGGCATTTTAAATACACCTTTAAGGCAGAATACAGTACACGTGCAGAAAGCACCAAGACTGAAGTGTCCGGCCTGGCCCATGACATAGCGTGCGTCTGCCTGCACAGCAGCCCCGGGCGAGAAGCACAGACTCGGCAGCTCCTCCTTCCCTGGGACCTGCGGATTCCTCGACCTCATCCCAGCTTTAGGACCGTGGCTCCCATGGCGTGTGCCCTTCTGTGTCTGTGGGAGTCGCCGTGTGTGCCGGGAGCTGCTGCTCTCCTGCCTGGGCAGCAGCATGGGTCGTGCATTCCCCATTGGCTGGGACAGCAGGTGGGTGTGCAGCCGTGATGGAGCCCGGCCGTGAAAGTGTTTCTGGTAGACAATCTCACGTTTCTGGTTTCTGCTCTGCTGGGTGTGTTTCCGGTGGGTGTGTGGGCCCCAGCTGAACTCGGGATCCGGCCGGTTTTCTCAAGCAGCCGGGCCTAGTCAGCTCCGACCACACTGCGGCCTCTCCAGCTCCTTCCGGATGACACCTGTGGTGCGGGGTCTAAGCATGGAGCCCAGGCTGCCCTGTCAGTGCTCAGTGAGTGTGCACGGAAGGTGGGAGGGGAGAGGGCGGTGGAGGAGCGGAGAGGAGGGAGGAACAAGGAGGTGGCCCTGGAAGCACTCAGCCCTGAGGTACGGAGCACGTGCCCTGTCCTGCTGCCGGTGACGCAGCCCACCGTGAGCACAGACCCCCCCCCAACCCCAACGTGATATGTTGAGGATGGCACAGGCCTGGCCCCTAGCTGGCCCTGGGAACCGCAGATGAGAACATTTCAGCACCCACACCATGCTTACGCCCTGGGATGGGGCTGCCTACCCGCTTCACAGGATGTGGCCTGCAGCCCACCTCGTCCAGGGAAGCAGGTGAAGGTGCATCTACCAAAGCCAGGTGGCAGGGGTGCTGCACAAAGGAGAGGCGAGGCCGGGAGGACCAGCGTGGCGAGGCGGGGGCTGGCGTGAGGCTGAGTGGATGGAGAGGCAGACCCAGAGAACCAGTGCCGGGGAGGCAGGGGCTGGTGTGAGAAGCCCCAGTGGTGCAGGCCACAGGGTCCCACAGGCTCTGGAGAGGCGGCCACCCGGGGCCTGGACCTTGTGCCAGTACGAGGGACACTATTTGGGATGGGGGATGGCCCCACTCCTGGGGTCCAGAGTGGCGCTTCTCCTGAGGTCCCACAGCAGATGCTGAGGACAGACCAAGGACATCAGGACCCTCCGCCCATCAGAGAGGCGGGGCCGCCCTGACCCAGGAGACAGCTCAAACCAAAGACAGACAGACAGGAGGGAGAGCGACGGGGAGGGAGACAGGGACACAGGCCGAGAGAGGTGGGGGTGCTGCTCCTGGGCCCCGCTGCCAGGTGGGCATTGGGTACTCTGCCCAGTTTTCAAGAAAATGAAGTGCAGACAAGGCAGCCATGGCTGAGTCAGGAAAGAGCGGGGGGGTCAGGACCGGCCCGAGTGCTGCCCTGGCCAGGGAAGGCCTGGGTGTCACCCTCTGATCTGGGATTGTTCTGGAAGGTCTCTAAGGTGCTTTCACAGCGGGGGTCCCATGAGTCAGTGACGTTAAAGCAAACACCCCAAACCCGAGGCCTCCATGTGAGTGCCTGCGTCAGGCACTCTGGTCCTGACCTCCATGTGAGGTGGCTGGAGGGTGGTCCCTGGGAAACATGCGGTGTCCTGCCCAGCAGTGTCACTGCCCTGGGCCTTGGGTGCTTTAATAAAGTGGTTCTGGATGTCCCCGAGGCCCAGGAGCAGCAGAAGCTGCAGTCCCTGGAGAGTGTCTCGAAGTGTATTAGACCATTTTCATGCTGCTGATAAAGACATACCTGAGATTGGGCAACTTACAAAAGAAAGAGGTTTAATGGACTTACAGTTCCACGTGGCTGGGGAGACCTCACAATCATGGCAGAAGGTAAGGAGGAGCAGGTCACTTCTTAAATGGATGGCAGCAGGCAAAAAGAATGAGTTTGTGCAGAGAAACTCTCATTTTTAAAACCATCAGATCTCATGAGGCTTATTCACTATCACGAGAACAGCATGGAAAGAGCCACCCCCGTAATTCAATTACCTCCCACTGGGTCCCCTCCCACAACATGTGGGAATTCAAGATGAGATTTGGGTGGGGACACAGCCAAACCATATCACAAAGGCTCTGAGACCAGGACATGTCTGTGGCCCATTGCTGGGGCCTCTGGGTTGGCAGCCCCTCCTCTCTGCCTACAGGATCACACTGGCTGGGAGTGGGGAGGGGGCGCAATCACAGGCACAGTGGCCACCCCTGGACTGACTGACAGGTGTTGTTAGCTCTATTGCTCACAGTGTACAGCTGAGGAAGCTGAGGCTAGAGAGGAAGTGGCGTCCTTCAGGTCTAAGGGGGCAGAGCACCGATCCTTCTGCCCTGCAGCCCCATCTGGGATGCGTGGAAGAAAGGAAGGAGGAAAGGGAGGAAGGAAGGAGAAAGAGGGGAAGGAAGGACCAGGGTAGCCGTCACACGGAGCATTTGAGTGGCAAGGCCCTGTCTGTCCTGGCCCCACTGCAGACTTTTGGGGTGACATTGAACAAGTCACTTTCCCTTAGGGGGTCTCACAGGCCACAAATTGCATGAGGGATGGGACCAGGAGCCCTAAGTGGCAGAGGCCCTTCCAGCTCTACCACCCTGGGACACTGTGTCCTGGTGTGGGTATCAGTGTCATTTCTGGCCATGCTGGGCTTGGCGCCACCACACATAGTGCCCCTGGCTGCAGTGGTGGGGCCACGCCTATCACTGACCTGTGTCCTCCGGGTCCCCTGGGCAGGGTACTCAGCGGCTGCCCCGCCTTCAGGCATGAATTGGGAAGAGTGATGCTCTGGGTGGAAATTGTGCCTCTCCCACTGTGACCCTGATGGTTGCCCCAGAAGCTGGCCACCAATTGTGCAGTCTGGTGGGTGTCCTGGGTCTGAGCCCCTGCGGCCCCCCGGGGTGCACCTCGGGCAGCTTACGGAGCCTGTAGGGACCACCTGGAGTGTGCCGGTGAGGACTTGAGGCCCTGTGTATGTCACAGCTGCTGTCGCGACCACCTGGAGTGTGCAGGTGAGGACTTGAGGCCCTGTGTATGTCGCAGCTGCTGTCGGGACCACCTGGAGTGTGCAGGTGAGGACTTGAGACCCTGAGTATGCCGCAGCTGGATGTGATCTCAACCAGAAGCTGCTGGAAGGATATTTCCCAAGGGCACCTCCTCCCTCTCTCTTTTCCTCCTGCTCCCACTGGCTGAAGTGCTGGATCCCCCTTCACCTTCCACCATGACTGTAAGTTTCCTGAGGCCTCCCCAGAAGCAGAAGCTACCATGCTTCCTGTACGGCCTACAGAACTGTGAGCCAACCCTCTTTTCTTTATAAATTGCCCAGTATCAAGTATTTCTCTATAGCAGTGCAAGAACAGACTAACACAGCTTCCTCCAGCTGCCCCCTCTGCCCATCAGCATAAGACACACCCACCGGCACCATGACAGTTTACAAACGCAATGGCAACATCTGGAAGGTGCCGCCCCCTTTCTAGAGATTTCTGAATAACCTTCCCCTTAATTCGCACATACTTAAAAGTGGGTATAAAAACAGCTACAGTCCCTTATGCACTCACCCTGGCGCACTCCCTGTGGGTTAGCCCTGCTCTGCAAGGAGCAGCAACTCTCTGTACACGGCCGCTTAAGTAAACCTGCCTTCCACCACCAGCTGGCTTTCAAATTCTTTCCTGAGTGAAGCCAAGAACCCTCCCGGGCTGAGCCCTGGTTCTGGGACTCTCTGCATCACAGCCATAGGAGAGGACAGCACTGAGGCCTGGCCACACGTGTGTTCACACCTGAGAGCTCTGGGGAGGTCAACATCCCAGACGGCACAGCTGTGACACAACAGCCCCCCACATCCTTCCACCCACCTCCCATAAGGGGTGTGTGTGGGGGTCTGCGTCTCTGCCTTTGAATCTGGACCTTTTTACTTCTTGGCCAAAACAGAATGCTGCAGAAGTATTGCTCAGAAAATTTCAGGGCTGGCGGTCCGAAACTGACAGCCTCTACTTCCTGCCTCTTGGGACCCAGCCCTCATGCTGTGAGGAAGCCCAAGTAGCCCCGAACAGGCCCCGTGGGGAGGCGCTGACCACAGGCCCCTGGCCAGCCATGTGGTGTGCCATTTTTGCGGCGGATCTCACCCCAGCCCAGCTGCTCCAGCTGAAGCCTGTGTCACTGAGGTGAGCTGCTGCCCGCAGGCCCTGACAACCATTGATTTGTGAGCAAAATAAGTAACTCTGCTTGGTTTTAGCCACTAAGTTCTGGGGTGATTGTTCTACCATGGTAGGGAACTGGGAGGGGTGAAATGGTGGGCACCCCCACGTGCCTCCTCCGAGTCTCCCTGTCACCATCTGTAGGATGGACACACAACACCCTTTTGCAGGGGGATGGGGGCACGGAGTGGGAGACTGCACAGCTGCGGTCTGGCATGTGCCAGGGGCAGAGTGGGCCCCTGGTCTGTGGGACCACGGCCATTACCGGTCATGGGCAACACTGGGTGTGGGAGTCCCCCTGCCCACTTCTGCCACTCAGTGGCAGCCCCCCCAATACCTCTACACTGTCCACCAGAAAGTGGGGGTCAGGGAGATCCTGGCTTTGCCAAGAGGAAGCCTGGCTGCCCAGGCCTTCCCACAGGGTCCTGAGGCTCTTGGGACCATTTCCAATAGTGAGGCCTCCCTCCCATGCCCAGGGCCCTCTCACCCCACAGAGATTTCGCCAGGGCCTGTCCTGGGGCCTTTGCTGCTGAGTGATGTCAGAAGTGATCAAAACACAAATGCTACAGAGAAGTGGGAAGGAAGAAGGTGGTTTCTGGCATTAGAGTTTGCTAGGTAAGCAGCCATCATCTTGGCAGCTGTATGTGGCCCTGTCAGGACAGGTCTGTGGCCCTGTAATCCACTGAGCGGCCTGCGAGGGTGTCAGGGCCTGGGACACGTGTCCCCAGCCTCCCAGGGGCATGGCACTGCACCACCAAGGCCTCCGGGGCCCCTCCTCGGAGCTCTGCAGAGCCTGGGGCAGACTGCGTGGCAGAAGGCAGGGTGGCCACCGAGCCTGGCTCCTGACTGCACAACATGGGCACCCAGGGAACGGCAGCTCTAATCCATGATGTGGGATCACTGCCCCCACTTTACAGACGAGGGGAACTGAGGCTCATGTGCCATCCACACTGTCCACAGGTAATAACAGCTAACAACTTCCAGATGGCCGTGGCTGGGTGGCATGAGTACTGACAGCGTTGTAAGCATGCCGTTCTCCAATCTTGGGAGAGACAGGAGGAGCCGAGAGCTGTCATCCTCTCCGCTTTCCTGAGCTCGTCTCCTTGCCTCCGACAGTCACAGGCCTGCCCAAAGTCTCCTGGGCTGGGCTCACATTTGAACCTGGCCCCCAAGTCCTGGGCCAAGTCCATTCGATGGTTCCCCCATCCCACGGATTCTCCTGAAGGTGGGTGGGCACGGGGAGGGCCTGGAGTGGTTATTCGGCAACCTTCATGCATTTCCTGATGCAGCCTAGAGCTCAAGGCAAGGGCGACCCCTGACTGAGTCCTGGAGTCCGTGGGATGGAGGGGTCGCTCGGGTCCCACACAGTCTCCGAGGAGTGGTGGTGCCGCCTGCTCTGGCACAAACCCTCCTCGTCAGTCACACCCCCTCCAGCATCACCGGACTTGCCGTAGCTCCCGCCATCTGTGCTGGAGCCATGAGATACGGTTTGATCAGAGCATACTGCAGTTGGCTCCCCACTGCCATGGGTGGCTGCGGCTGTGGAGCTTCAGGATGAACACGGCCGGGACACTGACGTGACAGGCAGGGCGGGGCTCCCGAGACCGCGAGAGCAGGTGCAGGAGCCATTGCCTCCCAGCCTCGCAGCCGCCTCCCATGTGATGGGTCCAGGTACTGGCAGAGCTGGCTCCTCCCAGAGCGGCCGTGGGGCCTCAGGTGAGTTCCGATTCACCTGGCCTCCGATTTCCTGGGGACTGTGTGGGGCACAGGTTTGGGTGAAAAGCGCCCCCGGCTCTGACACGCTGGGCTCTGAGTCCATCGGAGGCTGGGAGAAGATGCCGAGGCCGCGGGGAGGGTCGGAGCAGCCCAGGCGGCACCTCCTGCCGTGGCTCCATGATGCTGTAGCCTGCAGCCCGCCCAGCTCGTCCAGGCCCACAGGGACCATTTCCAATAGTGAGGCCTCTCTCTCATGCCCAGGGCCCTCTCATCCCACAGAGATCTCGCCAGGGCCTGTCCTAGGGTCTTTGCTGTTGAGTGATGTCAGAAGCGGTGCAGCATCCTGTGGCCACTGAGCCCTGGGTTCCATCCCACCTGTCTGGGTGTTGCCAAGAAGGCATTTGGGGGAGGCACTGGCCTTGGCCATCAGCTGACCTTAAGTGAAGCAGATCATGCTCCGGATGGCGGTGGCTGCATCTAATCAGGTGAGGCCTTACCAACAGAATCCGAGGGCTGCATCCAAACAGGTGAGGCCTCATGTGCAGAAGCCAAGGGTCATGTCCAATCAGATGAGGTCTTACATGCAGAATCTGAGGCCACACCAATCAGGTGAGGCCTTATGAGCAGAATCCGAGGGTCACATCCAATCAGATGAGGTCTTACATGCAGAATCTGAGGCCACACCAATCAGGTAAGGCCTTATGAGCAGAATCCGAGGGCCACATCAAATAAGGTGAGGCCTTACATGCAGAATTCGAGGGCTGCATCCAATCAGGTGAGGCCTGACATGCAGACTCTGAGAGCCATATCCAATCAGGTGAGGCCTAACACAGCAGCCAAGGGCCACATCCAATCAGGTGAGGCCTTATGAGCAGATGCCAAGGGCTGCATCCAGTCAGGTGAGGCCTTACATGCAGAATTTGAAGACTGCATCCAATCAGGCAAGGCCTTACGGGCAAAAACCAAGGTTTCCCTGGGATGGTGGATTCTGCCTGAAGGCTGCAGCATCAGCTCCTGCCTGGGTTTCCAGCCTGCCCTACGGATTTCAGACTTGCCCCAGCAAGATCCCGAGGGGGAAACCCAAGGTGGGGGGCACCCCAGGACCTTCCCCTTGGCGCCTCGCCCAGGACAGCCTGGACAGGAGGAGCTTGGTCCCTGCGGCATCCCCGGGCCAGGCTGGGCCGCTCTGCAGCCTGGTCAACCTGGGACCGACTGGCTGAGGAAGGCCCTCACGTCCCCACCCTGACCCCAACATTTCATACTGAAAGGCAGCCTCGGATGGCAGCCACGGTGTCTCATTCGCCTGTTCATCTATCCATTCACTCATTCATTCATTCCCGAGCACTGGACACTGCATCTGCGTCCTGAACTCCTCCCACTTGCAGAGTCTGAGGGGGCAGCTCACACCCTCTGTGGACTCGTGTTGGGCGTGTGCTGGGTGGGTTCGGCATTGACTGGCTGGTTAACCACTGGGGGTTGTTTTGTTGTTTTTCTAAAGACCAGCAATGAGACTACATGGACATAAGTGCAGGAGGCTGTTGCGGGTCTCCAGCTGACGTGTTCAAGTTCAAGACCAACATACCTGTCAATAATCTCATGGTCAGGCTGGGCATGGTGGCTCACACCTGTAATCCCAGCACTTTGTGAGGCAAAGGTGGGCAGATCACTTGAGGTCAGGAGTTCAAGTCCAGCCTGGCCAACGTAGTAAAACCCAGTCTCTACTAAAAATACAAAAACTAGCCAGATATGGTGGTGGGCGCCTGTAATCCGGGCTACTCTGGAGGCTGAGGCAGAAGAATTGCTTGAACCTGTGAGGCAGAGGTTGCAGTGAGCTCACATCATGCCATTGCACTCCAGCCTGGGCGACAGAGCAAGATTCTGTCTCCGAGAAAAAAGAAAAAAGAATAAAGAATCTCGTGGTCAGCCTTTAAGAAATGCTGATGAAGACGCAAGGCCTCACTGTTAACAATAATTATTACCATTAGAGTAAACGCAGGCTTCCCATCATGAGGGCAGTGTAATCAGCAGGAACATTCTGAAGATGACATTTAAAACCCCGAGTCTCCCTAGGATTATATAAATTGGGTGGAATTATCACTTAGTAAACACGTGCAAGGCACTCAGCCTGTTTAACTTCTGCCACGGCAAGCAGCTTCCCCCGTGCTCTGTAAATGTCCCACCTGCTTTTGAATGGCTGCATAATGCTCCATGAGTGGAGGCCTGGCCATGCTTTGAATTATCCCCCGCTGTTGGACATTTGGGGGGTGCCTGTTATCATGGCCTGTGTGGCGAGGAGTCAGGCTTCAGGCCGGGGAGATGCCAGATGGGAGGAAACCCTCACTGACCCCACATGAGGGTCAGGAGCCCACCATTCTGGCTTTGGAGACTGGAGAAAACCTTTCCTTGGAAGATAGGGGCCTGAGGCCCAGCTCCTCACCCAGCAGCTTGGTCTCCACCAGAGTCAGGGTCCCACCTGTAGGGCAGGGGAGTCCTCTAGCTGCGAAGCTGGGCTGCAGGGAGGCCTGGGGGCCGGCTCCTGACCACTCAGCGTGTCCTGTTATTCTCCCTGCAGCATCCACAAACCCAAGGCGTCGAGTTTGCACGACCCACAGACGGGGCTTCCTAGGGAGGGCTGGAAATGGTGGATGGGGAGGAGAAGGGTGGCAGGGAGCCAAGGGGGCTACCTGAGGCCCTAGGAGGGCAGCCTGGGGAGTGGCCCCGCTGCTTCCCCTCTGAGAGGCGCTGCACATGGAAAAGGGATCATTGGCAGGACCCGGGCGCATCAGCAGGGCCTGTGCTCACTCTGTTCAGGAGGGCCCCCACCTTCCGAGGCCTCGGACTGCCTCCTCCTCCCTGGGGGAGCAGCCCCCTCCTCCCGGGGCCCAATCCTTGCACCTCCTGTGTGGCTCCGCCCAAGAAAGTCTCCTGGCCCTGCAGACGAGGAGCCCCCTTCGGCTCAGTCAGGGGCCTGAGTGCATTTGTTTAGGCGACACTGGTGAGGAAGAACCTCAGAAAGGCAGGTGTCCAGGTCTCGGCCACCTGCAAGGCCCCCTCGGAGGTGAGGCCAAGGGGGACAGTGTGGGCAGCCAGACACCCAGACCCTCTTCCATCTGTCTGTGAGGAGCCCGAACCCCAAATCCAGAATCCGCAGGACAGTGGCCGGTCATGGGAAGGCATGCATCGGAAGCCTGAGGCAGAGTCCCATCCTGCCCCAGCCTGGTGGCCAAGGCCCTCTTGACCCCAGCTGGCAATACAAAATGACCTGCTAGGAAAGCCCTGGGGTGCCCCGTCTGGTCCTGACCCCCAGGTAATGAGACTTTTGGGCTCCCAAACAAAAGCAAGTTTATCTCTGGGTGTCATACAGCTGACATCTGAAGATGCTGCTGCCCTGGTGAGGACGGTCACCACGTGAGGGCCAAGCTGTTTGCATGATGGCCGTCTGGACGCTGGGGCTTCTCCCCCTTGCACGCGCTGTTCGGGATTTGGCAGTGGTCCTTCTGCACAGACTCCCTCCCTCGCATGCTTTCCAAGGGAGCATCCCCTCCTCCGAGCTCCAAGATCTCAGACTCCTCCCTTGGCAGAGCAGCCAGCCGTGGCTGAGCTCTGTCCTCTCCCCACGGCACAGGCCAGGGAGGGAGGCAGCCCAGGTGTGGGACACGCCAGGAGTTCTTACTTCATGAGCAACAGAACCCAGAAAATGGTCCCCTTCTTGATCCCCCACCCCACTCCTGCCCTTGGCAGGCAGGGGCCACCGCGTCTCCCTGACTTGCTAAAGGGCTGGGGGGAGAATTGCCTGATCCTGAGATGCAGCTGGGGCAGAGGACACCGCCAGCTCCTCCCCTGATCCTGAGATGCAGCTGGGGCAGAGGACACCGCTGGCTCTTCCCCGCTTACCGAATGGGCACAGAGCATGGAGAGGAGGAAGGGGGGGCAGCGTCTCCAGGAGGAGGCTGGGCTGGAGGGGGCCAGGCTAAAAAGGGCAGCCCCTGCCGAATGTAACAGACCCGGGCCCACTGGGGGCTTTGCAGTTGGTATACCCACAGCCACAGCCGCAGCTCCATGGAACGCGCCCTGGAGAACCAGCGGCCTCCCTCCAGCCCAGGCTGGGCCCGAAGATCTGGGAGAGAAGGGCTGAGAGGGTGGAGCTGCCACCGGCTGTCCAAACCTGAGAGGCCCAAGCCACGGGCAGGGATCGCAGGTCCCTCTCCTCATGGGGACAGTGGCAGATTCTGTGGCAATAAAAGTAACTTGTCATTAAAGGACAGCAGAGGACAGGGCTGGGGCCAGGAGGAGGAAGCAGGAGGAAAGGCCATGCTCTGAGTGCCAAGGCACGGGGACCTCACCCCACCATCACCCTCAAGACCTAGGTTCACCCCTGTCCCAGGGAGAAAGATGACACCGAGCTCTGAGACAGGCCCGGTTCAGCGGCGCAGAGAGCAGGAGGAAGTATGGTGAATCCTTAAACAGAACCAGATGGGATTTGGGAGATAAAGAGGGAATTTCTGGAAGGTTCCTGTAAGTTCCTGGGGACTCAAGTCACGGTCAAGGGAAAGGCGTCTGGGAAGCTGCACATGGACTTCCTGTGGTTGAGAGGACAGTTGTGGCTGGAAGCCAGAGTGAGGAAAGAGAAGGCCTCTGCACCGGCCAGAGAGCTGTGCAGGGCGGCTGCCGGCGGGCACTGCCCCTCAACCCCAACACCCAAGCCTCAGCACGATGGAGACTACATCTGCACCAGGTCGGGAGAATGCCAGGAGAGACCCCTCCCAGGGAAGGGTCTCCTGGACCACAGGCCCGTGGCCCTACCTCTGTTTTCAGAGGATGCGAAACTCTTCCAACCTTCACCAGCCAGGTTCCGAGGCTCCACCCTGCCCCTGGCCAGCGTGCAAAGGTGAAAATGCACAGGGTCCCCCTAGGACCACGTTTCACCCGCAGAAGAATGGAACAGGTGAGGTGCTGTGAGCATCTGCCCTGGGGAGAAGGCAGAAGGAGGCTCCACGGAGAAGAGGGTGTCTGAAGTAGGCTTTGGCATGTGAGTCGGTGTTCATCACGCTGGAGAGGCAGTTGGGAACTGCTTCGGCTCCCCACCCTGCCTGACAGCTGAGGGCCAGGCCAGCATGTGGGGAAAGGGCTTCAGCCCTGAGATCAGTTGGATTCCATCAAACTGGGGTGGGGGCTGCCCATGTGGCGCTCTCCTCAAGCCTCTGGCCGGCCGGCCCCTCTCTCTGCCAGAGCCCCACCATCTACAGTTTATTATCTGGGTGGAGCATTGCCCCTTCCAGCTGGGTTGGGAGGGAGAATGCCGAGGTCAGGTGTTCTGGGTTTAGAGCTGGAGAGCGCGTGGGATCTGGAGTTTTCTGTGGGGGTGCATCCTTCTCAAGGAGGACCCCAGCTTCGATAGGTTCCCAGCATGCTGGGCAATGCGGCACTGAGACAGCACCCAGGCTGGGTGCAGTGGCTCACGCCTGTAATCCCAGCACTTTGGGAGGCTGAGGCGGGTGGATCACTTGAGGTCAGGAGTTTGAAACCAGCCTGGCCAACGTGGTGAAACCCTGTCTGTACTAAAAACACAAAAATTAGCTGGGCGTGGTGGCGGGCGCCTGTAATCCCAGCCACTCGGGAGGCTGAGGCAGGAGAATCGCTTGAACCCCAGAGGTGGAGGTTGCAGTGAGCCAAGATCGTGTCACTGCACTCCAGCCTGAGCGACAGAACGAGACTCTGTCTCAAAAAAAAAAAAAAAAAAAGACAGCACCTATACTCAGTGCTCACCAGCCAAGCTGACGCACACTGGCTGAGCAGCAGGGAGCCCAGGCCCACCGTCGGGGTGTCTGCATGTCAGATCACATCACCCTCATGAAAACCCCGGAAGGAGTGTTACTCCCAGGGCAGAGAAGTGGGAAGAGCCGTGCCAAGGTGAGCTGGATGCAAGGCTGGCGTCTGGCCCCACGAGCGTGGTGCACCATCCCATCCTAAAGGTGGCAGATGCTGGCGGGCAGACCAGGGCTGGCAGCTGCGATCACACTCGCCCAAGGTATAAAAGGTACGTCCAGATTCCTGGACCCAGCCCTGCGGGTTCTGACTTAGGACTGTTCAAAACGTATGAAAACTGCCCCGGAGATTCCGGTGAGGAGGACGGACCTGGGGGAAGCTGCTCCTGCCTTTCAGACTGGCGAGTAGTGAGGGGCGGCCGGCCCTGCTCTCTGCCCACCCGGGGCTGTGGTGGCAGCATGTGCCCTGGTGACGCGTGGTCCAGGTGCCGCCCTACAGAGCTGCAGGTGCATGGCCGTGATCACAGCCTTTCCTCAGTGGTGCAGGCGCCGGGGGTGGGGTCAGGGCCTTGTGCACTTCCAGGTTTCCTCTGGAACGTCCGGAGCAGGCAGCCTGGGCGGGCGAGGCCCTGTGTGTGACTCAGCAGGAGGGGGAGGGCCTGGAGGACCAGCTGCTCTTCCTGCCGCTGCTCCGTGTCTCCCACCCCCTTGGCCTCCAAGGACCCCAGCCCAGGCCTGCTCTTGTCTTGGAAACCAACCCAGGCCAGGAGGTCGAGGGCTGTCCTTTGAACCCTGGGGGCTTTAGAAGCTGATCGGCTGAGTGAGGGTCCTCCCTCCCCCACCTTCTGCACAGGCAGACGCACGGATGTGCACTTCCCCAGCCCTGGACTAGGATGGCCACCCTCCTTCTGGGGTCACAGGGAGGCCTGAGAGCTCCTGGGCCCTGCTCCCTCCTCTGCAAAGTCACCTGGCCACGCCCTTGGTCACCATGGCGATAAAATGGTCCAACAGAGGCAGCGGGCTCTGCAAAGAACAAACAGAAGCTTCATCTCCCCCTGTGCCAGGGTGAGCGTCAGGCCAGAGTCCATCCAGGCGTTGTGTGCGTGCGTGGCCTGGCAGCGATGGAGAAGATGACGGCCCCCACTTCCTGGGTCTGTGTGCATGTGTGGCCCAACAGTGACACACAGGATGGTGGCCCTGCTTTCTAGGTCTGGGGCCAGTGCCGTGCCAGCCCCTGCCCCAGGGACCTCAGAGGGCACCAACACTCCGACCACACAGATCTCGTGCGCCCGTTTCACAGTGAGGAAAACCAAGCCGCACAACCTTAGGTGACTTGCCCTGGAGCCCTGGCCCTCGGGGGAGACCTTCCTGCCCCTGGCTCTCACCAAAATATAATCTAGGGTCAGAGAGGAAAATCATATCTCATTCAAAACTCCAGGTCAGATCGAGGAGGACACTTCCTCAGCATAATTACAGAGATGATAGTCCACACCAGCATCATCATAATCACAGAGATATTCTACACCAGCATCATCTTAATTACAGAGACAGCCCACACCAGCACTGCCTGAATTACAGAGATGACAGTCCACACCAGCATCATCATAATCACAGAGATATTCCACACCAGCATCATCTTAATTACAGAGACAGCCCACACCAGCACTGCCTGAATTACAGAGATGACAGTCCACACCAGCATCATCATAATCACAGAGATATTCCACACCAGCATCATCTTAATTACAGAGATAGCCCACACCAGCACTGCCTGAATTACAGAGATGACAGTCCACACCAGCATCATCATAATCACAGAGATATTCCACACCAGCATCATCGTAATTACAGAGACAGCCCACACCAGCACTGCCTGAATTACAGAGATGACAGTCCACACCAGCACTGACTGAATCACAGAGATGACAGTCCACAGCAGCACTGCCTGAATTACAGAGATGACAGTCCACACCAGCATCATCATAATCACAGAGATATTCTACACCAGCATCATCTTAATTACAGAGACAGCCCACACCAGCACTGCCTGAATTACAGAGATGACAGTCCACACCAGCACTGCCTGAATTACAGAGATGACAGTCCACACCAGCATCATCATAATCACAGAGATATTCTACACCAGCATCATCTTAATTACAGAGACAGCCCACACCAGCGCTGCCTGAATTACAGAGATGACAGTCCACAGCAGCACTGCCTGAATTACAGAGATGATAGTCCACACCAGCATCATCATAATCACAGAGATATTCTACACCAGCATCATCTTAATTACAGAGACAGCCCACACCAGCACTGCCTGAATTACAGAGATGACAGTCCACACCAGCACTGCCTGAATTACAGAGATGACAGTCCACACCAGCACTGCCTGAATTACAGAGATGACAGTCCACAGCAGCATCATCATAATCACAGAGATATTCTACACCAGCATCATCTTAATTACAGAGACAGCCCACACCAGCACTGCCTGAATTACAGAGATGACAGTCCACACCAGCATCATCATAATCACAGAGATATTCCACACCAGCATCATCTTAATTACAGAGACAGCCCACATCAGCACTGCCTGAATTACAGAGATGACAGTCCACACAAGCATCATCATAATCACAGAGATATTCTACACCAGCATCATCTTAATTACAGAGACAGCCCACACCAGCACTGCCTGAATTACAGAGATGACAGTCCACAGCAGCACTGCCTGAATTACAGAGATGACAGTCCACAGCAGCACTGCCTGAATTACAGAGATGACAGTCCACACCAGCACTGCCTGAATTACAGAGATGACAGTCTACACCAGCATTGTCTTAATTACAGAGAGAGTCCACACCAGCATTATCATAATCACACAGACAGTCCACACCAGCATCATCTTAATTACAGAGATAGAGTCCACACCATCATTGTCTTAATTACAGAGATAGATAGTCCACACCAGCATTGTCTTAATTACAGAGACAGCCCACACCAGCATCGTCTTAATTACAGAGACAGTCCACACCAGCATCGTCTTAATTACAGATAGTGAAATAAGACAGAGATATTCACTAGGATTGAACATTTTTTGGAGGGATGGGCGGATGCAATTGGACTAGAGAAAGAATTACAAGGTATAAAAATTGAAAAAGAGCAGAGAAAATGATCACCATTTTAGTTGATATGATTACATATCTGGAAAATGAACAGAGTTCATGAAGATGACTGGTTAGAGTAAGATATTCAAATATCAACAGCTTTCTCATATATAATTAGATAGAAAATATAATGAGAGATCAAATTTATAACAGCAACAAAAAGATATCTCAGAAAAAACTTAGGAAATGTGCCTCAGCCACATGAAGGGAACTTGGAGGCACAGCGGAGGGATGCTCAAAATGCCCGAATCAAGGGAAGACCCTAACACTGACCCTGACCGTGACCCTGACCAGGAGCCACGATAATAACAAATATGTCAGTTATCCCTAGATCAGGCTGCAGAGTCAATCAGCTCCTTTTTCCTATACCAACAATTATTTCTGGAACTAAGTAAGTTGAGTCTAAAGTTCATATGGAAAAATAAACATCCAGGCCATCCTAGAATAATTCGTGAGGGCATGGAGGCGTGGAGTCCATGGCGCACCAGCATGGCTTGCAAAGCTACTGTAGTAAAATGCGGTTTGGGGCTGGTATGAAGATGGGTGGACCCATCAGTGGAACAAGGCAGACGCATTGACTGCGTTGTAAAGGCAGCATTTCAAATGGTCTTGGCACAGCTGGCTCACCCCCTAGACAAAGGAAAAATGGCGTCTCTCCCTCAAATCAAAGACTTAAGGGCAAAAAAACAAAAGCACTAGAAGAAATCATGAAAGATGTTTCTAACAAAATAATTTCAGCATGCGCAAGGCCTTTTGAAGAATGAAACAAAACACAGGAAGCTTAAAAGGAGGTGGGTATATGTGACCACATAAAATAAGGGTCTTAAAGCCAACACAAATGAACAAAACACAGGCACACGAGCAAGTGAAGAATTGGGGAGAAATTTGGCAACTTATATATCAGAAACAGGGGATTAAAGAAACAACAAAAAGAGTAAGTTACAGACCAACCCGTCAAGAGACAAATGGGCAAATGGCCTGAGAAGCTGGTGCAAGAAGGTAAATCCCAGCAACCTATAACCACATGAGAACAGGCTGAGCCTCCTGGGAATTAGAACTACCGTACTGATAGGCTTTGGCTGTGTCCCCACCCAAATCTCATCTTGAACTGTAGTTCCCATAATTCCCTTGTGTTGTGGGAGGGACCAGGTGGGAGATAATTGAATCATGGGGGTGGTTTCCCCCATACTGTTCTCATGGTACTGAAGAAGTCTCATGAGATCTGATGGGTTTATACTGGGAAACCCCTTTCACTTGGTTTTCATTCTCTCTTTGCCAGCTGCCATGTAAGATGTGCCTTTGCTCTTCCTTTGTCTTCTGCCATGAATGTGAGGCCTCCACAGCCATGTGGAACTGTGAGTTCATTAAACTTCTTTCCTTTATAAATTACCCAGTCTTGGGTATGTCTTCATCAGCAGTGTGAGAATGGACTAATACAAGCAGCCAATGAGATTTCACCATCAGGTGTTCCACAATCAATCATTTGAAAGCACGCAGCTTCAGGAACAAGCCCCAGGCTATATCATTGCGAAAATGCAAATCAATATGTCCTTGTTGGCGAACGACTTGGCCAACTCAATCCAAGTTTAAGACACAAAAACCTGGGGCCAAGTGTGGCCTCCCAGAAATCTACCTGGCAGGTACTCACAGAGACTTCCACACTAGGACTGTCTCTGCAACGCTGCAGGGACAGCCCTGAAACCACCAGACACCCCTCAGTTGGAGCCCAGCACAGTAAGTTATAGAATGAACCACTGACGGAGGGCAGGCCACCATCCCTTACTAGCTGTTCTGAAGTCCCCACAAAAGTTCTTCTGGAACTTGCTTGGAAATTTGCAGTGAGACTGTTTATTTTCTCTGCTTCTCCAATCAGGGTAAATATTCATGTTTCAGTGCAGAAACAGTCATGGGCTTTCTTATGGGTTATTTCCCTGGATCCCATGGGAGTGCTGTGTAAATGTACATTACATTTCTAAAATCCTGAGCTCTGAAATAAAAAGCCTGTCGAGCTCCAGGGTTTGGATAAAAGCCTGGGGACCTGCAGTTTCAGCTTTAAAAAGAGTGAGGCCTCAGCCAGGTGGCCAAGGTCAATGTCCCCTGCGATGCATCCTGTTGATGATGTAGACCCCTGAGGGGATGTGGTGAGATGGGCACTTCGCCCCCAGGGTCTTCCTCCCAGTGATTCATCGCTGTAGTCTAACCATGAGAAAAACACTAGACAATCCCAATTGAGGGATGATCCACAAAATGCCCAGGCGGTCCTCAAAACTGTCAAGATCCTCAAAAACAAGGAGTTGGAGAGGAGCCGAGGGAGGCGTGACGAGCAAATCCTGGGTGGGATCCGGATGTGGTCCTGGTGCAGGAGGAGGCTGTGAGGGTGCACGGTGAATGAGGATGGATCAGTGTTGGGTTCATCAGTGACAACAAAGGCACCGTGAGAGGGTGAGATGTGGACAGTTGGGCGCAGGGCAAGTAGAAACTCTATGCCATCTTCTCGATTTTTCTGTAAATCTAAAACTGCTCTTTTAAAAAGCCTATTAAAAATAAAAAGCAGCAGCCTGGCCAAAATGGTGAAACCCGGTCTCTACTAAAAATACTAAGATTAGTTGGGCATGGTGGCGCACACCTGTAATCCCTACTCAGGAGGTTGAGGCAGGAGAATCGCTTGAACCCAGGAGGTGGAGGTTGCAGTGAGCCGAGATCGCGCTGCTGCACTCCAGCCTGGGCAACAGAGCGAGACTCTGTCTCAGAAAGTAAATAAATAAAATTAATAAAAAAAAAAAAATAAAATGAAGGACAAGGTACTGTCAAGGAACAAGATCCAAGACACAGGCTACAGAAAAACAAAGGGGGAAGTGCAGCTATCACTTTTGTGTGCAAATGGTTCCACCGGGAAGAAGGGGCAGCACGCAGGGCTGTGTTAGATGTGTGACTTGTGAGATGTGACCAGAGCCCCAGGCACACCCTTATTTCTGCCTTTCATGGCCACCCTAAAATTTAAGCAGTGGGAGGCACTGCCTTGTGTCTTAGCCAACAGCTCCCACCCCCCAGCTCCCCAAAGAAATTCTGCTTCCCTCCCCCAACCTCTCCTGCCTCAGAGTTTGGGGGTGGTGAGGAAGTCAGCAGGTGCCTGAAGCTGATGTCCTCCGTGTAATCTGAGGGTTCTGCAGAGATTTGCTCTCATGCCAGGCTGTCCCACCTGATGACCCCTTCCCTCCCCATTGGCTTCTCCCTGCCCCCACTGCACCACTGGAGGGCACCCCTGCTCCCCATAGCGCCCTCCCTCTCAGGCCACTCAGTGCACAGGAATTGCACACCTGTTATTGCTCTTCTGATTCTAGGAAGGGTTTTACAACACGGGTGGGTCATGGACCTGACTCTTCAAAGCCAGGCTACCCTGGGCAGTGGAGGGATCTGGCCTCTGGCAGGGGCAGGCCCTCAGGTTACAGCTGACTCCTGCCACGTGGGTTGTTTCTGCCTTAACAGAGTGGCCCTGATGCTTTGTTATTTTGATCCCAGGGACAGGACAGAGGGGCTTGGAGGCCAGCATTTGAGGAGAGTGAACCACACTCCCTGGCACCGAGAGGGCACCTCAGAGGGCACCCCCCCGCCAGGTGTCCTGAACACTGAGAGGGCACCTCAGAGGGCACTCCCCCCGTCAGATGTCCTGAACACTGACAGGGCACCTCAAAGGGCACTCCCCCCATC
Source organism: Homo sapiens (assembly GCF_000001405.40). Lineage (NCBI taxonomy): Eukaryota > Metazoa > Chordata > Mammalia > Primates > Hominidae > Homo > Homo sapiens. Next base: position 88,309,640 of record NC_000016.10, on the reverse strand, counting down.
AGGTGTCCTGAACACTGACAGGGGACCTCAGAGGGCACTACCCCCGCCAGTTGTCCTGAACACCGAGAGGGGACCTCAGAGGGTACTCCCCCCATCAGGTGTCCTGAACACCGAGACGGGACCTCAGAGGGCACTCCCCCCGTCAGGTGTCCTGAACACCGAGAGGGGACCTCAGAGGGTACTCCCCGCGTCAGGTGTCCTGAACACCGAGAGGGGACCTCAGAGGGCACTCCCCCCACCAGGTGTCCTGAACACTGACAGGGGACCTCAGAGGGCACTCCCCCCGTCAGGTGTCCTGAACACTGTGCTCCTCCTGGCCCAGCTCGGAGGTGTCCCTGTAGGGCTGGCCACCACAGGTCACCGCTGTCCCACCCTCCTCAAATTGCCAGCACACCACCACGGAGCCCACTCCTCCAGGCTGTGACACTTATGAGGCCTTCCTCCTTCCCCTGAGAGGTGAGCATCAGCCTTAGGCCTCTGGGCAACACGCACAGGGCAGGATCAGGTATGAGAGACTCACTAGGGGAAAATCTGTGAGAAAACCGGGGCAGGAGCCTGGGAGGTTGGGAGAAGGTCCAGTCGGGACGTGGGTCTGGGCCCTGGGCAGGGGAGAGGAAAGGAAGGAAGGTTGGGAGCCCTTTGCACGGTGGCTCAGCAGGGCCACTGGGGGGACCTCAAGCCAAAGTCACCACCACCCAGGAACAGATTGCCTGGGTGTCAGGCTAGCCTTGATGCAAATGTGGAGGTGAGCTCAGGATGCAGAGGCTGGGCCACTGGTCAGTCCTGCTCCCCACAATGGAAGGCCTGAGAGGCATGTTCTCATGGCTCTGCAGACAGCACTTAGAAGGGTGTCTGTCCAAATAGATGAGGAAAAACCTCCCAGTTTCTTTCTGGGGGTCTCCTGAGAATCTTCTGTGCTTTGCATCCCATGGACCTCATGGAGGTGGGGTCTGCTCAGTCTTCCAGCCCTCACCATGCCCAGTCTGTGGGTGTCCTTCTGCTCCAGGCACCAGGAATGCAGCAGTGAAGAAGAGAAGGAATCCTGCTCTAAGACATGGGCTCTAGTGGGAGAGGACTAGATTGCAATGCTGGGTGCTCTGCAGAGAACAGAGTGTGGAGGGGCAGGCTGGGGGAGATGGGAAGAACTGGCCCTTTCATTTTAACTCATTATTGGTGAAAGATTCCCTAGGTCCTTAAAAACATCTCCCAAAGAATCAGATGATTTTAAAATCTTATCCCTGAGTCAGTGCAATCCCGATCACAATCTCTTCTGGCTTTCTTGCCAAAACTGACAAGCAGATCCTGAGATTCATATGGAAATGTAAGGGACTCAGAATAGCCAAAACAATCTTGAAAAAGAGCAAAGCTGGAGGACTCACGCATCCCACTTTCAAAGCTGATGGCAAAAGCACAGAAGTCAAGAGCTGGCATAAACACAGATACGCAGATTGATGGAATGGACTGAGAATGAGGGCTGGAAATAAACCCTCAGAGTTACAGTCCACTGATTTCCAACAAGGGCACCAAGGCAGTTTAACAGGGAAAGAATAATTTTTGCAACAGATGGTATTGGGCCTAGTGGATATCCATGTGCAAAAGAATGAGGTTAGACCCCTACCTCACACCATACACAATGTGAACTCCAAAAGTAGTAGCAACCTAAATGTGAGAGCCGAAACCATAACACTCTTAGAAGACAACATAGGAATACATCTTTGTGGCTTTGAGTTAGGCTATGATTTCTCACATATGACACCAAAAGCACAAATGACAAAAAGTAGATAAACTGGACTTTCTCAAAATTAAAACTTTTGTGCTGCAAATAATACCATTAAGAAAGTGAAAAGGTAACCCAGAGAATGAGAGAAAACTTTTGCAAACCATATATCCAATAGGGAACCTGGCTGTAGAACACATAAAGAACTCTTGCAACAATAATAAAAAGACAAGAATCCAACTAAAAATGGGGTGAAGGGTCTGAGTAGATATTTCTCTGAAGAAGATACACAAATGGTCAGCAAGCACATGAAAAGACACTGATATCATTAGCCGTCAGGGAAAGGCAAATCAAAACCACAATGAGATGCCACTTCACACCCAGGAGCTTGGCTGTCACCAAAAAGACAGACAATAACAGGTGTTGATGAGAGTAGGGAGAATTTGAAACCCTCCCACACTGCCCGTGGGAATGTAAGATGTGGCAACCTCTTTGGAAAAACAGTTTGGCCAGTCCTCTTGGAATGTTAACTGTACAGTGACTGTACGACCAGCAATGCTGCTTGTAGCTGGGGACTCTAGAGAAATGGAAACCTTTGTTCACATAAAAACGGGTACACAAATGTTCATTATTCACAATAGCCAAAAAGTGGAAACAGCCCACACTTCCATCAGTGGAAGAACAGATAAACAAAATGTGGTCTATCTACTCAGCAGAATGTTCTTTAGCCACAGAAGGAATGAAGTGCTGACACACACCCCAGTGTGGGGGACCTTGAAAACATCATGCTGAGTAAAAGACACCAGCTTCAAAGGGCCATGTGTGGTATGATCCCATTTCTATGAAATGCCCAGAACAGGGAAACCTTGGAGGCAGGAAGTGGATTGGCGGTTGCCAGGGACCGGGGTAGAAGTAGGGGGAGGAACAAGGAGCTGATGATAAAGGGCCTGGAGTTTCTTTCTGGAGTGATAAAAGTGTTCTGGAATTAGATAGTGGTGACGGTTGCACAATTCTGTGAATTCACAAAAAAACACTGAATTAAAAGAATGACTTTTATGGTATATGACTTATATCTAAATACAGATGTCACTAAAAAAATTCACTGTTTTCCCCCACTCCTTACCATCTGGTAGAAGCGGGGACAGGGAAGGAGACGGAATAAAGCCAGAGCCTGTCCATCAAAGCTCATTTCTGGAGCAAGGACCCTGGTGCTGGTCAGGGTCCTGGGTTGCCCTGTCCACGCCTGGCCTGGAGGCGTCTGAGCTACGTTCCAACAGCATCAAGCAATGCCGGGCAGTCATGGGGCTTCAGGCTAGTCATGGGGCTTCAGGCTGTTGGTGCTGGTGGCCCCAGTGTTGTGTGGACCACACCCCACCACCCTCTGGGTGCAGGTGACATCCCGCATCTTCCTGAGGGCTTCCCACTCAACAGGTGCTCTGCAGCTCAGCCTCCCCGAGCCTCCCAGGGTGTCACACAGGCTAAGCAGGCTGCTGTGTGTTAAACCCACCTGGTATCCACACACCTACAGAGAACAACTGTGACAGGCTAGTGCGAGAGCTCCAGCCCTCACACAGGAGGCAGAGGCAGGGCACGTCCCTCAGCTCCTCAAGTTCCCTTACTGACAAGGAGATGCGGACAGCACCTGCCATGCAGGGGTGTGTGGACACAAGAGCAAGAGGTGCCTGGAGGGTGCTGGCAGCACAGTCCGGTGCCTGGCACACTGTAGGCTCCTGACATCATTAGTAAACCATGGACAGGAGGCTGCTTCTGAACCTCTTGTCATTGGAAGCCCCTGCCTTGTGACTTCCTTAGGCCCACAACACACCTGTTGGGAACTACCAGCCTTGGCGTCTCCAGGCCTTTTTGCAGTGCAGTCAGACCAGGTGTCTACATTCACACCCACATGTGTATGGCTGCATGGGGTGTGGGGATGTGTACATGTGTGCATGTGTGTAAGGACATGTATGTGAGTGTGTGGGTTTACGTGACAGTGTGTGAGTGCATGAGAATATCGGTGTGCATGAGAGTGTGCTGGGGATGTATGTGTGTATGTGAACATGGATGCGTGAGTGTGCATCTGTGTCTGGGCATGTGCATGAGTGGTGAGTGTGCATACATGTGTATATGTGTGCATGTGAATGTGCATTTATGAGTGTGCATATGTGTGTTTCCGTGTGTATGAGCATGCAGGCATGAGTGTGCAGGTATGAGAGTATGCATGTATGGTCATGCGTGTGCATGTGAGCATGTGTGTGTATGTGAAGGTGTGCATGCGTGTGTGCCTGTGAGAATGTGTGTGCACGTGAGGGTGTGTGTGCATGTGTGAGGGTGTGCGTGTGTGCCTGTGAGCGTGTGTGCACGTGTGAGGGTGTGCACACATGTGTGCCTGTGAGCGTGTGTGTGCATGTGTGTGAGGGTGTGCGTGTGTGCCTGTGACCATGTGTGCACGTGTGAGGGTGTGCGTGTGTGTCTATGAGCATGTGTGCACGTGTGTGAGGGCGTGCATGTGTGCCTGTGAGCGTGTGTGTGCACATGTGAGGGTGTGCATGCGTGTGCCTGTGAGCATGTGTGTGCATGTGTGTGAGGGTGTGCGTGTGTGCCTGTGTGTGTGTGCATGTGAGGGTGTGCGTGTGTGTGTGCCTGAGAGCATGTGTGTGAGGGTGTGCATGCGTGTGTGCCTGTGAGCGTGTGTGTGCATGTGTGTGAGGGTGTGCACTGACATTTCCTGCACATGCAGACATCCCCTCAGTGTGGCCTGCCCCATGCCGGGCATGGACATTAGGACTCAGAAGGACTGGGAGTTTCTGCACCAGGGCATCACTCCTGCTGATGCCCATCACTGCATTTGCTCTGTGTGGGTGTCAGATGCTGCCCTGTCTCCAGCTTGGCCTCTACTGCTCTAGCTTCCAGTAGGCTCCTAAATCATCCAGTGGCTTGGGGAGGGGGATTCCAGATGGAACTTGGGTGTGGCTTTAAGAGCCCAGGATTCAGAGCTTCAGAAAAGGGATCCCAAGCCAATGTCCAAATTCTTGCAGGGGAAGCAAGTCCACTGGCCTCCAGGGTGCAGGCAGCACCTGGGTCCCTTGCTTTGGTGAACAATGTGTTATTACACTGCCTCCTTAGCCAGATGAGACAATACAAATTCCTCAAAGCAGCAGTCAAAAGCTATAATCTGATTTTGCAACATCCAGGAGCAGATGCTCTTTGGGAGGAATAAAACACTGAGATGATGGGGGAAGGAATGCATTGGGTTAGTGTTTGCCTTTTTATGCTCTTGGCTTCCAAACACTTGAGGTTGAAGCATGCCACAGAGAGCAGAAGCAGCTGGGTGAAGCCCTGGACAGGCACATTCCTGAGCTGAGTCGGGTGGATATGGGAACATGCTGGCCCCCTTGCTCACCGGGCGACTG